>NC_000005.10:12516849-13770274 GCF_000001405.40 Homo sapiens
TGCTTTTCTAAGTGTTCTAATGGTTCATTTAAATTTTAAAATTATATGATTTCTTTTGATATGCAGAGTATACAAATAAAAATCCATTATTATATCATACATTTATTTTTAAAATATAAAGTTTGATTTATGTCTTAGAGTATAGTTTTATTGATAGTCTTTATTACCATCCTTAGATATAACAGTAAATGACTGTTTATACTAAAATTAGATTCTAGTAGTTAGACAAGTTCTTAAATCTTCAAGGATAGTTAACATAATAATTGACAAACGTGTTGATTATCAAAACACATTTATATAAATAGCTTTGAAAATATTCTATAATGAATAGTGGAGTGGGTTAGTAAAGTAATTTAATTGTTACTGTAGTTACTTTTTGGTATCCACTGCAATATTTTCATAACCATATTAATTGGTCTTGTCACATACATGGGCCAATCCTCAGTTGCTAGGTATTTACACTACTAAAACTTGGAAAAACAGAAAAATTTTGAAGAAAACATTAAATCAATCCTTTAAAATAATCTTGATATGTTAAAAATAATTTAAAAAGTATTTGTTTAATTCCATGTTCTTTGATGTTTATTTATTCAACATTTTCCCCAATGAATTTATATTTTCTTTTACACTCTCTTTCTTATGCTAATTTCAGTAAAATGCTAATATATGCCATTGTCACAAGTTTTTTTACTTTTAGTTCAGCTGCTCAATATGAGACAATTTTTAAATTATACCTATTTGATATACCTGGATAATATTTTATTAGATCATAGGGAGTACAATCACCAAAAACAATGATTCGAAAATTACCATATTATCATCACAAGTCAATAATGCATTAGTCGTTTTATAGTCTTTGTATTAGGACAACGCATTCTACTTTTGCTTAATATATGATTGGAAAATAAATTATTTTAGAGAAGCACTAATGTTTTTGATTTGTTGGTGATCTTCAAATCTCCTACATTTATAGTGTTATGACTATCAAATGAACAAAGATGCCTGTATTCTGAGAATAAGCCTCATTAGGATCATCAGCAACATTTGACAAACAGGGAACATTGCTTTTGCAAACTGGCTTTTCATATCAGGAAGAAAGTGTTTCTGTTTTGTGTTTAATTACTTAGTCTCCAAAATGCAACAGTATGACTAAAAGAATTTTAAAAAATCTAATAACATTATTTCTTCTTTCATATATTGTGTTAGTCCATTTTCACATTGCTGGTAAAGACATACCCAAGACTGGGAAGAAAAAGAAATTTAATTTGACTTACAGTTTCGCATGGCTGGGGAGGCCTCAGATTCATGGTGGGAGGTGAAAGGCACTTCTTACATGGCAGCAAGAGAAAATGATAAAGAAGTAAAAGTGGAAACCCCTGAAAATCCCATCAGATCTTGTGAGACTTATTCACTATCATGAGAATAGCTGGGAAAGACCAGACCCCATGATTCAATTACATCCCCCTGGGCCCCTCCCACAACATGTGGGAATTCCAGGAGATACAAATCAAGTTGAGATTTGGGTGGGGACACAGCCAAACCATATCATTCCAACCCTGGCCACTCCATATCTCATGTCCTCATATTTCAAAACCAGTCATGCCTGCACAACAGTCCCCCAAAGTCTTAACTCATTTCAGCATTAACCCAAAAGTCCACAGTCCAAAGTCTCATCTGAGACAAGGCAAATTCCTTCCACCTATGAGCCCGTAAAATCAAAAACAAGCTAGTTACTCCCTAGATATAATGAGGGTACAGGCATTGGGTAAATACAGTCATCCCAAATGGAAGAAACTGGCCAAAACAAAGGGGTAACAGGGCCCATGTAAGTCTGAAATCCTGTGAAGCAGTCAAATTTTAAATCTCCTAAATGATCTCCCTTGACTCCAGCTCTCACATCCAGGTCATGCTGATGTGAGAGATGAGTTTCCATATTCTTGGGCAGCTCTGCCCCTGTGGCTTTGCATGGTACAGCCTCCCTCCCAGCTGCTTTCAAGGGCTGGCATTGAGTGTCTGTGGTTTTTCCAGGCACACATCCACGAGGGCACCACCCCTGCAGCAAAAATTTGCCTGGGCATCCAGACATTTCCATATATTTTCTGAAATCTAGGCAGAGGTTCCCAAACTTTATTTATTTAATTATTTATTTTTTTGAGATGGAGTTTTGCTCTTGTCCCCCAGATTGGAGTGCAATGGCACAATCTCAGCTCACTTCAACCTCTGCCCCTCAGGTTCAAGCGATTCTCCTTCTTCAGCCTCCCGAGTAGCTGGGATTACAGGCACCCACCACCATGGCCAGCTAATTTTTTTTTTTATTTTTATTTTTAGTAGAGATGAGATTTCACCACGTTAGCCAGGCCAGTCTTGAACTCCTGACCTCAGGTGATCTGCCTGACTTGGTCTCCCAGAGTGCTGGGATTACAGGCATGAGCCACCCCACCCAGCCCCAAACCTTAATTCTTGATTCAATACCACATGGAAGCTGGCAAGGCTTGGGGCTTGCACTCTCTGAAGCCACAGCCTGAGCTCTACATTGCCCCCCTTTAGCTATGACTAGAGTGGCTGGGACACAGGGCACCAAGTCCCTAGGCTGCACACAGCCTGGGCCCAGCCCACAAAACCACTTTTTCCTCCTGGGGCTCCAGGCCTGATGGGAGGGGTTGCCATGAATGTCTCTGATATGGCCTGGAGGCATTTTCCCCATGGTCTTGGGGATACACATTAGGCTCCTTGCTACTTATGCAAATTTCTGCAGCCAGCTTGAATTTCTCCCCAGAAAAACGGTTTTTTCCTTTCTATCATATAGTCAGGCTGCAAATTTTCCAAACTTTTATGCTCTGCTTCTCTTTTAAAACTGAATGCCTTAACAGTACCCAAGTCACCTCTTGAATGCTTTGCTGCTTAGAAATATTTTCCATCAGACACCCAAAATCATCTCTCTCAAGTTCAAAGTTCCAGAAATCTCTCAGGCAGGGGCAAAATGCCATCAGTCTCTTTGCTAAAACATAACAAGAGTCATCTTTGCTCCAGCTCCCATCAAGTTCCTCATCTCCATCTGAGACCACCTCAGCCTGGTTTTCATTGTCCTTATCATTATCAATGTCTTTGTCAAAGCCATTCAACAAGCCTCTAGGAAGTTCCAAACTTTCCCACATTTTCCTGTCTTCTTCTGAGCCCTCCAAACTGTTGCAATCTCTGTCTGTTACCCAATTCTAAATTCCCTTCCACATTTTCAGGTATCTTTTCAGCAATGCCCCACTCTACCTGTACCAATATATTGTATTAGTTCGTTTTCATGCTGCAGATAAAGACATACCCAAGACTGAGAAGAAAAAGAGGTTAAATTTGATTTACAGTTCCACAGGGCTGTGGAAACGTCAGAATCATGGTGGGAGGGGAAAGGCACTTTCTATATGGTGGTGGCAAGAGAAAATGAGGAAGAAGCAAAAGAGAAACCCCTGACAAACCCATCAGATCTCCTGAAACTTATTCACTATCATGAGAATAGCATGGGAAAGACTTGCCCCCATGATTCAGTTACTTTCTAGGGTGTGATATGCTTTGGATGTTTGTGCCCTCCAAATCTCACGTTGACATGTAATCTCCAATGCTGAAGGTGAGCCTGGTGTGAAGTGTTTGGGTCATGGGGGCAGATCCCTCATGAATGGCTTGGTGCCTTCCTTGTGGTAACCAGTGAGTTCTTGCTCTGAGTTTACAGGAGATCTGGTTGTTTAAAAGAGTGTGACATCTTCCTCCTTTCTTCCTTGCTCCCACTCTCACCACCTGACATGCATGTCTGCTTTCCTTTCACCTTCTGTCATGATTGGAAGCTTCCTGAAGCCCTCACTGGAAGCAGATACCAGTGCCATTCTGCCTGTATGGCCTGCAGAACCACAAGCCAAATAAACCTTTCTTTATAAGTCACCCGGCCTCAGGTATTTCTTTATGGCAACCCAAACAGATTATCACAGTGTGGATACAACATTACTGTCTGGTAAGCAAGCATATTTTAGAATTGTCGTGCTCATTACAGTAGTCACTAATCCTTATATGGCTTTAAATTTAAATGTAAGTGCTCTATACCCATCTGTGGTTAGTCTCCACTGTCATAAAAAGCTCAGAAATAGTATATTTCCATAATTACAGAAGGTTATGTTGAACCAATGTATTGTAGAAAGAACTGAGAATCTCACTAGATATGGCAAGAGTAGTAAAGATACTCACCTTTAGTCAAACCAGAGTAGATTGACTTCATATTTAATTAATATGGCAGAGGGTGCAGCCAATTCCTAAGACAAGGAGTAAAATCTACAAAAAATGATTCAGAGAATAGGAGCATCAAACACACGTATGTGCATGCATGTACACATGTGTGCACATGGGCACACACACAAGTCCTGATTATGTTTGAGATAAAAACAAACAAGGTTAAACTGTATATTTTTTGGTGTAATGGTATTTTTTTTAACATATATTGATGGTTTTAAAAACTGAGAAAGAAAGCCAGAAAAAAGTTAATAGTTTCCTCTAAATTAAAATTGCTCTTCAGGGAACAAAATATTCACTAGTTACAAAAAAAAAAAAAAAAGAGCAGAGATATGACCAAATATTGAATTACAGTAGCTGGTCTTGAACAAGGAATTATCATCTACACTATAGTCCACTTGATAAAGAAATGCATGGAGGTCGTCAATATTTGTGAGTGATTGCTATGATTTGGATATTTGACCCCTCCAAACCTCATGTTAAAATTTGATCCCCAATGTGGAGCCAAAAGGTAGGTGTTTGGGTTATGGGGGCAGATCCTTCAGGAATAGGCTTATGTCCTCCCTGGAATGCGGAGGTAGTGGGTGAGTTCTCAGCTGTTAGTTCCAGTGAGAGCTGGGTGTTCAGAAGAGCCTGTCGTCTTTCCTCCCCATCTCTCTCGCTTTCTCTCATCACACGATCCCTGTACATGCTGGCCCCCATTCACCTTCAGCTTTGAGTGGAAGCAGCTTGAGGCCCTCAGCAGATGCAGATGCTGGGCTGATGCCAGGTTTCTTGTACAGTCTGCAGAACTGTAAGCCAAATAATCCTCTTTTCTTCATAAATCACTTAGTCTCAGGAATGCCTTTATAGTAACACAAATAGGCTAAGACAGTGATCCACGAGCAAATGAGATGTATTCTCAACATAAGGAAGTAAAGTAGAAAAAAAGAAAGAAATATATTTAAAAAAGAAGAAGAATTTGGAGGACTATCATGAGAGTGAACATGATATTTATATCACATCTATCATAATGTCCAGTGAGCTCAACTTTAAAAACGTTAAATTCCACCTGCTGCTTTCTAACTGTTGATAAAGGAACTGTTTTCGTCGGGTGGGGTGGGGGAGCAGTGGGCAGGTGCTAAAGGAAGGTGAATCATTTCTGTTTTGACATGTTAAGAGTGAGATGCCAAGTGGATATGTAAGTGAAAATGTCAAATACGAATTCTGATGACTCATAAGCCTGGACTTCAGAAGAGAGGTCAGTGATGGAGGTTCAGTGTTAGAGTCCTTCACTAATACAGGATGTTAAAGCTCTGGAACTAGATGAGAACACAGGGATTAAATATGGATATAAAGAAGAAAGGTCAGGCCCAAACCCGGGGAAACTCCAAAATTTAGAGCTGTGAAAAAATACAGGAGCTAACCAGAAAACTATGAACAAAAACTCATGAAGGGGGAGGTAGTCTGGGATTACACATTTCATTAGAAGCTTAAGGAAAAAACATATTAAAGAAGGGGGAGTAGTCTAGGTTGAATTAGCTGCTGAGTGTTCAGGTAAAGGGAAGAAGAGAGGTGACCCCTGGATTTGGCAAAAGAGAAATTATTATTTACCTTGACAAAGTAGGTGCAATGGATTACAGGGAACAGCAATGTAACTAACTTGCACAGAGGGGATAATTCAAGGGGAATAAGTAAAGGCAATGCCAAAATGTGCCTTGTGTGGCAAAAATTAAAACATAGAGATGATTTTAACTCTGTCACAGGATTTCTCAATATAATAGCTTTATTCAGATATTTAAATTGTTAGTTAATTCTGAATCAAGTTTGTAATAATAAGCAGTACTTTGGGGTAATCTTTATTTGAATGTAATGCATACACTGGAAATAATTTTCTTTATTCATGAAATGTTTTACTATATTTATTGATCTCTTAACAGAGTTAATTGACACTCATTTATGAAACATGTCTGCATACCTCTAAAGTAAATGCTTCCAGAAACACCAAGATGAGAAGACAATATCTTCAACCAGCAAATTCTAATAGATATAAAGCAGCTAAAACTGATATTTATATTACCATTAGTTTACATAGTGATATAATTTATAGTGATTAAATTACATAGTGACATAATTTATGTCACTATTAATATTAAATTAAATATAAATAATTTGAGGAAGGCAAAATAAACACCTTTTGGAAATTAAAGGTGATCTAAGGAGATATCTGGTGGTAAATTCAGTAAAAAAGGAGATGTACTTACAGTTGAGTTCCAAAATATATTTAAGATTTGTAGGCAGTTAGAGTCAAAAGGGAGAGGTATGGGCAGTAAGAATTGTTTAGTGTGCCTGGAAGATGACTTCTCATTTATTCTGACTAGAGTATGAGGTACATCAAGGGAAGTGGGAAAATTGCTTGTGTGATTAATTTGAGGACAGGGTGGGATGTTAAGCTTTGCTAGTTTATACTCTCTTCTATGTTGTGACTATTTTATACTACCTTTTAATTAATTTTGTGATAATTATTTAAATAGAATTACATATTATAACAATAAAAGTTATTCTTATTTTCTCATATTCTGATGGTTTTGTTTTGTTGCAATACATGATTTCAGAGTCATACTTGAAAGTGTGTCTTCAGTGATAGCCTCAGACATAACATACATTCCTATATATTAGTTAATTTGACTTCAAAAATTAAATTAGGTCAAAATAATTTTATCTTAGAAACTTAAAGATATTTTTCTACAATGTTTTTCTAAAAAAAAAGCTTTTCTCTTTTGCAGGAGTTTTAATTATTGCAGAGAGTTTATATATATCTCTTAACTAGTTTTCCCTGTTATTGACATCTTATATTAGAACAGCAGATTTGTTATAATTGTAGGCCAATATTTACACATTATTATTACCAAAGTTCATATTTTTTATCAGATGCTCAGTTTTCCTCTCATATCTATTTTCTGTTTTCAGTCTCCCATCTAGTATACATCACATTGACTCAGCACATCTCTTTACACTTCTCTTGGTTTCAACAATTCCTTGAATATTTTCTGTTTTTGATGAATACTGGTTAGATATTTTATATAATGTCTTTGAATTGGCCTGAGGCTTATATGCTTTGAGTAGAAAGACCAGAGAGGTAATGTGCCATTTCATCACACCATATTAAGGGTAAATCATTTCAACATGACTTATAATTGTTGAGGCTGAGTTTGCTCACCTGGGTGAGGAAGTGTTTATCAGGTTTCTCCTCTGCCATGTTACTCTATTTTCCCTATTTATTATACTCTTTAGAAGAAGTCCCTTTTTTCAGATGAGTTCATGTCCTTTGTAGGGACATGGATGAAATTGGAAATCATCATTCTCAGTAAACTATCGCAAGGACAAAAAACCAAACACCGCATGTTCTCACTCATAGGTGGGAACTGAACAATGAACACATGGACACAGGAAGGGGAACATCACACACCGGCGACTGTTGTGGGGTGGGGGGAGGGGAGAGGGATAGCATTAGGAGATATTCTTAATGCTAAATGAGGAGTTAATGGGTGCAGCACACCAGCATGGCACATGTATACATATGTAACAAACCTGCACATTGTGCACATGTACCCTATAACTTAAAGTATAATAATAAAATAAAAATAAATAAAAAAATTTAAAAATAAAAAAAGAAGTCCCTTTTTTCAAACTACATTTACTATGCAAGGAGTTATGCTCCACCTTCTAGAGAGTATTTATATACATTATTTGGAAAACTGACCTATGAAAGATTTCTCTATTGTCCTTATTTATTTATGTATTCAATAACTTATTTATATCAGTATGAACTTATGAATATTGATTTCATATTTTGGGTTATAATTCAGTGCCACTTCGTTTTTTTTTTTTTTTGCTCAAATGTTTTCAGTTTTGGCCACTGACAATTCTTTCATTTGGCTTTTATGTCCATTTGTTACATCCCCACTCCCATAATTTTATTTTGTTTTGTTTAAGTACTTTCTTACTTCCGGCATTAAGCTTGAGTCTTTTTATTGGAAAAGGGTATGAGAAAACAAGATCTGGGTGAAAGAGGTGCTTGTTGCTATTGGGGTGTTATGTTTTCTAGTCCCTCTAAGCCGACACTGTTATCTTTGCATTTCCATTTGGGAAATTTCTATTGACCTGTCTTCAGCAAATTCTTCAATTCTTGATAAGCATTTTTGACAGTCCATTTTTTTGTTGTTAGCAGAATACATGAAACTAGATAATTTATAAAGAAAAGGAATTTATTTCTTACACTTATGAAGGTGGAGAAGTCCAAAGTTGACAACTCACATCTCATGAGAGCCTTCTTGCTGGTGGAGACCATCTGAAAGTCCAGAGGCAGCACAGGCATTGCCTACTGAGGAGGCTGAATGTACTAGTTCAGGACTCTCTTCCTCTTTTTGTAAAGCCACCGTCTCACTTCCATAACTTCTTAATTCATTAAACCATTAATCTATTAATTCATGAATGGATTAGTCCATTTATGAAGGGAGAGGCCTCATGACCCCATCACCGCTTTAATGTCATACCTCATAATGCTGCTACATTGGGGATTAAATTTCAATATGAGTTCTAAAGGGAAAAATTATTCAAGCCATAGAAGTTTCCATTTTTCCACTTATGTTACCTATCTCCCTTGCATGTTGTCTACTTTCTCAATTAGAGCCCATCACGAATTTCATCGGAAACTTCCAACATCTGTGTGTTATCTTTGTCTGGTTCTGACGCTTGATGTGTTTCTTCAGACTGTGTTTTTCTTTCCCTTCATTATGCTTGCAATTTTTTTTTCTGTGTTGAAAACTGGGCATGTTACATCAGGTAAGAGGAGAGATAAATAGGAATTTTATGTGAAAATTTAGACTATTCTGGCTAAGAGTTAGGCTGTATCTAACATTTGCTGTATCTGTTTATGTAAAAGGTTTAGATTTCTTAAGTATATTTGTTTCTGTCTTACTTCTTGAGCTTGGGCTTCCCAAATACTCCTCCTCAGAGAGAGTCTATGTCTTGCGGATGGCTTATCTGTACTTTCCTTTTACTACAGTGAAGCCCTGTTGCTGTGGAGGTATGTGGTGAAAGGCATAGCATTCTATAATCTTCTAAGTCCCAGTATTTTAGTGGGTCTGAGTCTTTTTTCTGTGACCTCCACATGTGTTTCTTAGTGGTATAGTTCTTCTCACCTTCTTACCCAACCCTATGACTCAGGGAGGTTAGAAATACTTAAAAGTATGAGGAAAGTCTTTCCTCAAAGGGATAGAGTTCTTGTATATTCTTTTGCCTTAGAGAGTAAGCCTTTGTAGTTCAAAATACTCAATGTACATTTTACAATGATAATCCTTCCCTCCTTCTGCCAGAGCCATAAGGGGATCTTTGTAGGATTTCCACCTTGACAATCTGGTGTTGATCCCGCAAATAGAATCCAAAAAGTGTTAAGGTTTCTCTAAGACTGTGGCACCCTGGAATTTCTCACAGTCAGGCTAGTTAGTATACACTTGACCTCTGGAAATTTGTCAAAATTATCATATATATGTTCCTGCCTGTTTATGATATCAGTGGCTTCTGCTCCAGGTAAATATATCTCATCTATGACTCTGTTATATATTCACCTCTCCAAATTTTGGAGGGATGTTTGCCCTGTAACCTTAGATCTCTAATGGGTACAAGAAAAGTGGTTGATTTATAGCTTGTCAAGCTTTTTCTTATTATGTGTACAGAAGTGATGACTTCCACTCTTTTTATATGTTGAAGCCACAACTAGCAGTTCCTCTTCATTATTTTTTTACTTCTTATTCTCTCATAATCATCATTTTTTCTCTCTCTGAGAATATAACAAATTTTATTAAAAATTTGTATCTAGAAATGTTACATAATGTTTGTGGTTTTAGGTCTGTTTTTATTCGTCTTACTGGACATACAGAAATCATATTTAATCTGATTTTTGCTTACCATTCAGCTGTGTAAAATTTTCCAACACTATGTTTTTTAGTATATTTTTCTTCATTCTCCCTCTTCTAATGTTTTGGAGCCCTTATGAAGGATTAAAGATCATTTAAAATATTCCCTTCTCTTATTTTTTGTGGCTTGTAGATGCTATTTATTTAGTGTAGACTGATGACAGAACTTCTGGAAAAGAGAGACATTGTCTAGACAGGTAAAGTAGGTCTCCAGCTTTTCTAGTTCCAGTGGAGCCTCTGCTTCTCTTGGTGTTCATAACTTAAATGAACCTATCCCTGCTTCCATAGCCCAAGTATGTGTAGGTCAAACACCTCTTCTTTGAACCTCTTTGAAGGCTTTCATATTTTCCATTTGTTTTCTCCTGAATTGGTTTCACATGATGGCTTTCTTTCCTGGACATTAATTGTCTGCCTGTCTTTCACGTATTCATTATATTCTGGTGTCCTGATGGGAATTCCTTTATACTCCAGTGATATTCTTTTTTTTCTTTAAACATTTATTTTAGGCTCAAGAGATACATACACAGGTTTGTTACACGGGTAAATTGTGTGTCTTAAGGGTTTGGTGTACAGATAATTTTGTCACCCAGGTAATCAGCATAATATCCAATAGGTAGTTTTTCAATCCTGTCCCTCCTCCCACACTCCACCCTCAAATAGGCCCCAAAATCTGTTGTTTCCTTCCTTGTGTCAACGACATTCTAAATCTTCTTTTTTTTTTTTAAGATTAAATTAGTTTTACCCAATTTTTACCTACAAATTTAAATCGTAGATAATTGTAGAAGTCTTTTTTCTTAAAGACAGCATAGTAAAACTATGCAGTGAAACAGCTTTAGTGGCTTGCATTAATTGTTTGTTTAATTTAATCAGTCTTGTTGTTTATTGATAAAATACTTTGCAATATACAAAAACAATGACCAAGAAGTGTACCATTTATGAACCTAAACATCATTTCCCATTACTCCTGGTATGTTTGTGACAAATTATGTTAAACTTATTAGTCACCTCAGATACTTGATACTTTGTGGTATAATCTATACTTATTAGGGCTGGAGAGCACTCTTCCTGAGGTGCCAACACTGAATTTATCACAGCTAAATCACAATGTGTCAGTTGTATTATGATAATGAATTTCTTTATCTAGAATGTATTCCTGACCCAGACAATTAGTTACTCAATCAGCAATGTTTCTTGACCCCTAAGTATAAGGAGGATTAATTCTACTCTGCATAGTGGGGAGTTAGAAGCAGATTTTCTTTCAAGTAGCAATGTACTCCAATTGTTAGGAAAATTATGCTCAGATGATAAGTTTAAGTTGAGGAAAGGATATTCCTCTTCTAAAATCCTATGTCTGTGTGAACAATTCATTGAATTTACAGAGGGAACATAGTCAAAACAATTAAAACTGTTACAGCATAAGAGCCAGCCAATCAAAACAAGTGTCTCTGATGCACCATACACAGGCAGAAACATGGCTAAATATCACTCATGTTTAGCAATAAAAGGAAAAAAGTCATATATATATAGGTAATGGGGATGGTAATAGTGTTTCACTATCTACTCAGGCACACACAATTTGCAGGCATTGGAAAAAATCTAAACCTACACTACCTATGTAACTAACTGAAAACACAAAGATTACTTTTTCCCAAACTTCCCAAACTCTTGAAAATAAAATTCATCCAAAAATATTTATTGAGCACTGTCTACTTTTGTAATGTGTCAAACACTGTGAAATATGCTTATAAGAGAATTCTAAATAGACTGTGTAGCAGTTTTCCAGGAGCTAACATTCTCTTAGATGGAGATAGGCTAGGCAAATTTATAAAATAAAAAAAATTATCAGATTGTATTAAATTCCATTAAAAAATTAAACGAAGTGATATGATCTTGCAGAAATAATTTTAAGATAAGTGTCCAGTAAAGTCACTTGCAAGTGAGAGTTGAGTAGTCACCATCTGAAGTTCTGTACACTTATTAAACAATGTAATTCTCACATAAATGCAGTCAGCTAAGCAATATTTTTATTCCCATCTTTCAGATGATGGAACAGAGGCACAAAAATGTCAAGTAATGTGCCCCAGGTCAGGGCACTCAGATCGTAGGTCTATGACCTTTATCACTATACCACACTGCATCTCCTGGTGAGAACTCATGAAAGTCTAAGATGATGAGACAGTTGACTACCTGAAAACATAATAGAATAAGTTTCTATTTAGAGATGACCATCCTTACAAAGCTAGAGGAAGACGTGGATGAGGAGTTGAGGTTGGAATGGGGTCCTGGTCCAAATCATGGAGAGCTTGCAGGGGATATTTAAAAAATATATACATATATAATTTACATTTACATATATGTGTATTTGTATATGTAAATATATATGACCAGATAATATGTTTTAAGAATCTTTTGAAAAGTGATAAATAACTTCAAAATAAAGATCATTACTGCAATTTATATACACAAAGAGATTCTTAAGTCATAAAAACTTGTCATATTACCATACGAAAGTATTGACTATTATACAGCAAATGAGATACTCTTCTTCTAAAGCAGTAAAAATATTGTTTATAATAATAGCTAACATTTTTGAGTACTTACTCCATGCCAAGCATTGCTGTTAGATGTTCTACAAGAAATATCTCACTTAATTCCATAAAACACCAGGAAGCAATACAATAATTTACAGGACAAGATCTAATTTTGTCTCGATTAAAAGCCTCTGTTGTAGGAGTTCTTTTTTCCCTTGACAGTAGTGATTTTTATGTAGAATATCAGTAAGTTCTGCTAATCTGATTCCTGTTCAGAAGTTTAAAATTATTTTTAAAATAAAAATGTTACTTGTGTTACATATACTGAATAGAAAAACAGAATTCCTGATATGACTTAGTTGAAATAGTTTAATGGATTGGGATTTTGTTAAGAAAAAAATTAGATGCATCACCGTTAGCCCATATCATCACCGTTTTGTTTCAACATTGTTAATTGTTTATATAAGAAGAGGACATCGGCTTTTGATTAGAAAACCTATCCTAAGTCTTTTCTCATGTTTAGATTTTGACACTGGTTGTTCCTTATCTCTTTTTCTCAGTTTTTCATCTATACAACTCACTGATCATTGCATCAGGTGATCTTATAAGGAAGCAGAAGGCAGGATGGGGAATTTTATCACAGACTGTTGCTTCCTCATGCAAGATCCACTCTCTCAGGAAGACGTGCTGAGAAAAATATAATTCATTTTCCTGGCAAACCTCTGGCCTCTGAGAAACCCTTGAGAAAACCGAAGCCTACTTCTGTAAGCGAGGCAGTCAGGGAGAAGTTGCCTCATAAAGCAGATGGTGGTCAGCTTGGTTATGAAACGATAAACTAAGGAGACAAATCCCAGCGATGTTTTACACTTACCTGTATCTGACTTTGCTCTTGGACAGTCAATACCAATCCTGCCTGTTCCATTTTAGCAATCAGTGGAACTACTCTAGTCAGTTGTACAGGTGGCCTCAGGTGAAAACTCAGGGCAGGACAAATATTCAGGAGATGAGACCTGGGGAAAACAGATGACAATGGACAAGTTACAGTCATTCCTTCATCCATCATCCTTCAATAAATGCCTGGTGAGTGGACTATGACTTAGCCAGTGCTTCCTCCCAATGCATCTCCAGAGGTTTTGAAGTTGAAGCCCTAAGCTTTGGAAAGGCATAAGTTCTTAAATTTTATTAAGTACTATTACTGCTTTCTCTTTTATTATATTTTAATGTCATATCTAAGAAATCATTATCTAGTGCTAAATCACACACATGATTAACGCTAAATCATGCTAAATCCTGCTATGTTACCTTCTAGAAATTTTATAGTATTAGGTTTTACATTTAGGTCTGTAATGCACTTTGAATTATTTATATGATTTGACTTATGTATTGATTTTTTTTTTTTGCATATGGATGCCAACTTGTTCTGACAACACATTACAAAAGAACTATTCTTTCTTCATTGACTAGGCTTTGCATCATTGTGAATAACAGTTGACTACATATAAGTGTATCTGTTCTGATTTTTTATTTTTATCTAATGTATTTGCTTATTATTAGGCCAATACCATCCAGTCTTTATTAACTAGTACTAGCTATACTATGTTTTGAAGTAGGAGACTGAAACTTTGGCAACATTTTTTGTGAAAGTTATTTTGGCTATTCTAAGTTATTTGCACTTGTATATAGTCTGTTTTACACAGGTTTTTTAAAAAAATTCAAATTCCCTTTTACACCCATTTTTTAAAAAATATTGTTAGTTTTAAGTTTACTGTCCTGTAATTTGTGACTTTACTGTCTGTACTTTGTTCCTTTTTCTTCTTATTTTTTAATACATTGACTAGGTTTCCTCCTAGTATATTTTTATTGTTGGCTTTAACTCTATGTCTTGTTTTTAATGGTTGCTTTCAAGTTTACACATCTTTCATTTATCTAATTACCTATTTACCTTCAGGAACTATTATGCAATTTCACATATAAGAATCTCTAAACATTATACTTTATTTCTCACTTGCCCGAATTCATGCTATCCTTGACAGACATTTTAATTTATATGTGTTATATATACCCAAATATATTATGTATTAACTTGCTTTAAATTGAAAAATATCTTTTAAAAATAACTAAATAAAATTAAAATATCTTTGTTTCTAAAATTTATATTTTCAAATTTTGTCACACTTCCTTTCTCTATGTAGATGTACATTTTTCACATTTCAAAAGGACCTTTCTCAATATTTATTGTATTACAGGTCTGCTAATGTTAATATCTTTTATTTTTAAATGTCTGGAGCCAAGATGGCCACCTAGACCTAGCCAGGAAGGGCTTCTTCCACTGAGAGGGACTAAACCATCAATTAGACTGGCACATTCCAAAGAGACCTTCAGAAAGAAAGCATTGAGAGTGGACAGGAGGAGGATGCAGACTCTGGGATGAAAGGGGATGAATCTAGGAACCCTGCACGAGGTTGTCAAGCACAAGAACTAGTTCCTCACCCTGAGCGGCTGCTGGGGAAAGGGTGAGTGGAATAGATATGGTTCACTCTGCCACAGACCTCTGGTAACCTAGGTAGAGGAGAGAGACCCTATGACCTCCATGGAAATTTCAGCCGACAGGAGAAACTGCCTAGAGAGTTGGCAGAGACAGAACCCCAGCCTTCATGGAGGCCATGGGACTTGGCCTGGGAACAGCTGCAGTGGAGCATGGCCATAAGTACTCATTCCAGAAGGCTCACCATCATCTTCTAGGTGGCTTTAGCCTTTATTAGCTGTCTGACCAAAACAGAGCAGGGCTATCTTACCTATTGGATGGACCCAGGCTGATTTGAGCACCCCTTGACTGCTGGTTTATCCCAGGGTTCCTGCCTGGCCACACCTGCTTGTAGCACAGCCTCAGCTGCCAGCTGAAGTGCTTGCTGGTGGCCCCCACTGGCAACCACATGTCCACAGCTCTTGCACTACCAGCATGCACTTGCCTGCAGCCTCCCATCCACTGCTTCACCACTGCACACGTGCTTCTCCATGTTGCTGCTGGCATATGTGAACACAGGGACTCCCCACAGCCCACTGCCTCCCCACCAAAGTGCTTTTTGCCAGAACCCCTCATCAAAATGTTGTTGCCAGTGGACTGGGAACAGCTCAGTCCCCGAAGTACAGCAGGTACTTAACTTCAAGGGGCTAGAGAAAAAAAAGCTATGGGCCTGGACCAGCCCCCAAGATAGAGCACACAGCCTAGGAGTGTTGAACTAAGCCTTGGCTCCCTGAAATTATTCAGAAATGAAGCCAATTGACTAAATCCAAATTAGACCACAGTCAAATCCTCAAGGGAATCAAAGAATATAAAAGCAAGATGTTCCATTCAAAAGATTAAAGTAACTTTAAAGATTAAAGTAACATTAACCCCAACATATGAGAAAGAACTGTGCAAGATATCTGGCAGTTCTAAAAACCAGAGTATCTTCTTACCTCCAAAAGATTGCACTAGCTCTTCAGCAGTGACTTGTAATCAAAATGAAAAGGCTGATGTCTGGATGGCAATGAAGATCATCAAGATTATGAGAAAGTTGAAAACCAATGCAAATAATCTAAGGAATTCAATAAAATGATACAAGAGCTGAAAGATGAAATAGTCATTTTAAGATAGAACCAAAGTAATCCTCTAGAGCTGAAAAACTCACTATGAGAATTTTGTAATACAATCAGAATTGTTAATACCAGAAGAGACCAAGCTGAAAAAAGAATCTAAGAGCTCAAAGACTGGTTATTCAAATCAACTCAGTCAGACAAAAGTAAAGAAAAAAGAATTTTAATAATTAACAAAACTTCTGAAAAATATGAGATTATGTAAAGAGATCAAATCTGTGACTGGTTTGTGTCCCAGAAAGAGAAGGGGAAGAGCAAGACATTTGGCAAATATATTGAGAATACTGCCCATGAAAATTTTCCCAATATTGCTAGAGGACTCAAGATGAAACTATAGGAAATTCAAAGAAATCCAGTGAGATACTATATAGGATGACCACCCCCAAGACACATAGTCATCAGATTTTCTAAAGTCAATGTGTAAGAAAATACATTAAAGACAGCTAGAGAAGAGGAGCAGGCCACATTTAAAGGAAACCCCATCAGGCTAACAGCTGAACTTTAATTCAGCTGAAACCTTTTTTTTTTTTTTTTTTGAGACGAAGCCTTACTCTGTCGCCCAGGCTGGAGTGCAGTGGCGTGACTGCAGCTCACTGCAATGTCCACCTCCGGGGTTCAAGCGATTCTCCTGTCTCAGCCTCCTGAGTAGCTGGGGCTGACTACAGGCATGTGCTACCATGCCCAGCTAATTTTTTATTTTTAGTAGAGATGGGGTTTCACCAAGTTGGCCAGGCTGGTCTCGAACTCCTGACCTCAAGTGATCCACCCACCTCGACCTCCCAAAGTGCTGGGATTACAGACATGAGCCTCTATGTCTAGCCCAGCTGAAACATTTTAAGCCAGAAGAGATTGGGAGCTTATATTCAGTATCCTTAAAGAAAAGAAGTTCCCACTAAGAATTTTATATCCAGGCAAACTAAGCTTCAAAAGTGAAGCAGAAATAAAATCCTATTAGACAAGAAAATGCTAAGGGAATTTATTACCACCAGACTGCCTTACAAGAGGTAGTTGAGGGAATGCTAAACATTAAAACAGAAGAATGTAACCTGCCACCATGAAAACATGCTTAATACATAGCACACTGACAGTATAAAGCAACATCAAGTCTCCATAATAACCAGCTAACAACACAACGACGAGATCAAATCCTCACATATAAATATTAACCTTGAACATAAAGCAGCTAAACACCCCACTTAAAAGACACAGAGTAGCAATTTGAATAAAGAAGCAAGATAAAACTGTATGCTGTCTCTCCACATCCTCTCCACATCGATGTGGAGAAATAGGAACACTTTTACACTGTTGGTGGGACTGTAAACTAGTTCAACCATTGTGGAAACCAGTGTGGTGATTCCTCAGGGATCTAGAACTAGAAATACCATTTGACCCAGCCATCCCATTACTGGGTATATACCCAAAGGACTATAAATCATGCTGCTATAAAGACACATGCACACGTATGTTTATTGCGGCACTATTCACAATAGCAAAGACTTGGAACCAACCCAAATGTCCAACAATGATAGACTGGATTAAGAAAATGTGGCCCATATACACCATGGAATACTATGCAGCCATAAAAAATGATGAGTTCATGTCCTTTGTAGGGACGTGGATGAAATTGGAAATCATCATTCTCAGTAAACTATCCCAAGGACAAAAAACCAAACACCGCATGTTCTCACTCATAGGTGGGAATTGAACATTGAGAATACATGGACACAGGAAGGGGAACATCACACTCTGGGGACTGTTGTGGGGTGGGGGAAGTGGGGAGGGATAGCATTAGGAGATATACCTAATGCTAAATGACGAGTTAATGGGTGCAGCACACCAGCATGGCACATGTATACATATGTAACTAACCTGCACATTGTGCACATGTACCCTAAAACTTAAAGTATAAGAATAAAAAAAAAAAACTGTATGCTGTCTTCAAAAGACCCATCTCACATGTAATTACACCTATAGGCTCAAAGTAAAGGAGTGAAGAAAAACCTACTTATCTAATGTAAAACATTAGATAAGTTGCTGATACATTTGGGATATATGTTTCTACTCAAACCTCATGTTGAAATGGACTCCCTGATGTTGGAGGTGGGGCCTGTTGGGAGGTGATTGGATCATAGGGCAGATTTCTCATGAATGGTTGGCACCATCTCCCTGGTGGTGTCCTCATGATAGTAAGTGAGCTATCATAAGATCTGGCAATTTAAAAGTGTGTTGCACCTCCCCTTACCCTTGTTCCTGCTCTGGCCACATGAGGTGCCTGTTTTCCCTTCACCTCCTGCCATGATTGTAATTCTCCTGATGCCTCTCCAGAAGCTGAGCAGATGCCAGCATCATCCTTTCTGTATAGCCTGCAGAAACATGAGCCAATTTAACCTCTTTTTTTTTTTTTTGAGATAGAGTCTCACTCTGTTTCACAGGCTGGAGTGTAGTGGCATGATAACCATTCATTGCAGCCTTGACTTCCAGGCTCAAGTGATCCTCCCACCTCAGACTCCTGAGTAGCTGGGACAACAGATGCATGTTACCACTTTCATCTATTTTTGTATTTTTTGTAGAGAAGGGATTTTGTTATGTTGCCCAGGCTGGTCTTGAACTCCTGGGCTCAAGTGATCCCACCCTAGCCTCCCAAAATACTGGGATTACTGGCATAAGACACCATACCTCACCTCTCTTTTCTTTATAAATTACCCAGTCACAGGATTTTTTATAAAAATGTGAGAACAGCCTACTACAGATTGTTATTCTTATTTTAGACTAAACATACTTTAAACCAACCAGTATCAGAAAGTAAAAGAAAGTCACTACATAATGATAAAGAATTCCATTTAATAAGACTTACCTATCCAAAATATGTATGCACCCAACACTTTAGCACCCAGATTCAAGTTTTTAGAGATGTACAAAGAGACTTAGATAACCACACAATAATAGTGAGAGACTTCAACACCCCATTGACAATGTTAGACAGATCACTGAGGCAGAAAACTAACAAAGATATTCAAAGTGTGCAGCCAACACTTGACCAAATGGACCTAACAGGCATCTATGGAACACTGCACACAACAGCAACAGGGCATACATTCTTTCCATGTGTACATGGTGCATACTCTTAGATTGACCACACACTTGGACATAAAGCAATTCTCAAAAATTTCATAAAAATAAAAATCATACCAACCACACTCTTGGACCACAGTGCAATAAAGATAAATAACTATGCCAAGAAGATCTCTCAAAACTGTAAAATTGCAAAGAAATTAACCCTTTTCTGGTTGGCCCCAAGAATACTTGCCCACAGTGCTTGTGGCTTGGTGTTTGCCCTGAGATAACTTTGCCATGAAATATTTCGCTTTTCTTCTTATTTTTGCATCACTCTTTAGTATATTGACCTTGGAAACAGAAGACATTGTTCTATTTTATAGCATTCTGGTTTTAGTAGTGGTATTTCCATGTATAAAATATGGTAATTCTTGATAGCTGAAAATATCAAATCCTAGAAAACATAGTATCCCTACACATGATATTAACATTGTTCTAAAACAATTGGCCAAAGATTGATTTGATGAATCCATTTTTTTAAAAAATAAATGACTCCGATGATTCAGGTGATTTTGATGTTACTTCTGTTTAGAAATTACTCCAAGAGCAGTTTTTATATTTTATTTTCATATAGAAAATCTGTCAGATTTGCTTCAAACTCAAAGAGCATGTTTATGTAAAATTAAATGATTGCAGACAGTGAGCTGCACTTATTTTTTTTAAATGGAAAAAGGTTAAAGAACTGCCTCCTAAATTATTTAAGGTAAAGAATAAAATTAATACAGAAATCAAGAAATCCACTGAAAGTAATGAAAACAAAGATACAACATTTCAGAATCTCTGAAACATAGCTAAAGTAGTGCTAAGATGAAAGTTTATAGTGTTAAATTCCTACATCCAAATGTTAGAAAGATCTCAGATAAACAACCTAACATCACATCCAGAGGAACTAGAAATACAGGAGCAAAACAACTCAGATGTGAGCAGAAGAAAATAAATAACTAAAATCAGGGCTGAACTCAATGAAATTGAGACATGTAAATTCATAAGGAGAATCAACAACACCAAGAGCTAGTTCTTTGCAAGAATAAATAGAATTTACAGACAAATAACTAGACTAATAAAGAACAAAAGAAAGAAGGTCCAAACAAACACAATCAGAAATGACAAATGTGACATTATCACTAACCCCACAGAAATATAAAAAACCTCTCAGAACCTATTATGAACACCAGTATGCACACAAACTAGAAACCTTAGAAGAAATGGATAAATTTCTTGAAACATAAAATATTCCACGATTGAACTGGGAAGAAATTGAATCCCTGAGCTGACCAATAATGAGTTCCTAAATTGAATTAGTAATAAGAAATTTACTAACCAGAAAAAAGGTCTGTACCAGACAGATTCACAGCCAAATTCTACCAGACATAGAAAGAAGACCTGGTATGAATCCCAGTGAAACTATTCCAAAATTTGAGAAGAGACTCCTCCTTAACTTCCTCTACAAGGCCAGCATTATTCTGATACCAAAACTTAGCAGAGACATAATGAAAAAAAGAAAATTTCAGGCCAGTACCCTAGATAAACATAGACACAAAAATTACCAACAGAATACTAGCAAATCAAATACAGCAGAATATAAAAAACTAATCCATCACAGTCAAATAGGCGTTGTTCTTGGTATGCAAGTTTGGGTCAACTTACGCACATCAATAAATGGGATTCGTCACACAAACAGAACTTAAAACTAAAGCCACATGGTCATTTCAATGGTCATAGAAAATGCATCTATCTCTTCATGTTTAAAACCTTCAACAAACTAGGTATTAAAGGAACATGTCTCAAAATTATAAGAGCTATCCATGATAAACCCACAGCAAACATCATACTGAATGGGAAAAAGCTGGAAGCCTTCCCACTGATAACTGGAACAAGACAAGTGTATCCACTCTCACTACTTCTGTTCAACAGAGTACTGGAAGTTCTAGCTGTCAATCAGGTAAGAGAAAGAAATAAAATAACATACAAGTAGAAAGACAGCAATCAAATTATCTCTCTTTGCAGATGATATGATTCTATACTTAGAAAAATCCCATAGTCTCTGCACAAAGTCCCCTAGAACTGATAAACAACCTCAGTAGTTTTATGATAGAAAATCAATGTTCAAAAATCAGTAGCATTTTTATATACCAGGAACATCCAAGCTGAGAGCCAAATCAAGAATTCAATCTCATTCACAATAGCCACAAAAAGAACAAAATACCTAGAAGTGCAAATAACCAGGATAGTCAAAGATGTTTAGAATGAGAATTATAAAACACGACTGAAAGAAATCCGAAATGACACAAATAAATGGAAAAATCTTCCATGCTCATGGATAGGAAGAGTCAATATTGTTAAATGGACATCTGCCCACAGCAATATACAGATTTGATGCAATTCCTATCAAATTATCAACATTATTTTTCACATAATTAGAAAAAGCAATTCTAAAATTTATATATGACCCTGAAAAGAGTCCAAATATCCAAAGCAATCCTAAGCAAAAAGAAAAAGCTGGAGGCATCACCTTATCTGATTTCAGATTTTAATTATAAGTCTATAGTAACCCAAAGAGCATGGTACTGGTACAAAAATGGGCACATAGATCAATGGAACAGAATAGAGAATCCAGAAATAATAAAGAAACATACCTATAACCTACTGATCTTCAACAAAGTTGACAAAAACATACAATTGGTAAAGAAGACCCTATTCAATAAATAGTGCTGGGAAAACTGAATTGCTATATGCAGAATAATGAAACTGGAACCCTATCACTCATTAAATACAAAAATTAACTCAATCTGCATTAAAGACTTAAATGTAAGACCTGAAACTATCTTAATTATCAAAGAAAACCTAAGAAAATCTCATTTAGGCATTGGACTAGGAAATGAATTTATGACTAAGACCTCAAAAGTAAATGCAACAAAAATAAAGCTAAACAAAAAAATCAGAACATACATAAATTAAAAAATCTTTTGTACAGTAAAAGAAATAATCAACAGAGTAAATATGTAACCTCCAGAATGAGGGAGAATATTTTCAAACTATGCTTCCAATAAAGGACTAATATCCAGAGTCTATAAGGAACTAAAACAACTTAGCAACAACAACAAAAACAATAACAGCATTAAAAAGTGGGCAAAGGACATGAACAGACATTCCTGAAAAGAAGACACAGAAGCAGCCAGAAAACATATGAAAAAATGTTGAATATTATTAATCATCAGAGAAATGCAAATTAAAGCCACAAAGAGATACCATCTCAAAGCAGTCAGAATGGTTATTAAAAAGTCAAAAAACAACAGATGTTGGCAAGAATGCAGAGAAAAGGGAATGCTTTACACACAGTTGATGAGAATGTAAATTAGTACAACTTCTATGAAAAATAGTATGGAGGTTTCTCAAACAATTAAAAATAGAATCACCATTTGATCTGGTAATCTCATAACTAGATGTTTACCCTCCACAAAATAAATTGTGATATCAAAAAGACACCTGTACTCCTATGTTTTCTGCAGCACTATTCACAACAGCTAAGTCATGGAATCAACCTGAGTTTTGATCAACAAATTGTTGGCTAAAGAAAATGTGGCATATATACACCATGGAATAGTACTCTGAGATAATAAAAAATAAAACCATGTCATTGCAGCAACATGCATGTTGCTTGAGGCCATTATACTAAGTGTTTTTTTACTCAGAAATAGAAAAGCAAATACCACATGTTCTCATTTATAAGTGGGTGCTAAACAATAGATACCTATGGCCATATAGAGGAGAATGATAGCAACTGGGGACTCCAAAAATGGGGAGGGTGTTTGTGGGTGAGTTTGGAATAATTATCTATTTTGCACAATACTATTTGACTGTCCAGGTGATGGATACACTAGAAACCCAGACTTTGCCACTATGCAATATATATCCATATTACGAAACTGTACATGTACCCCCCGAATCTATAAAAATTAAAAAAATACATTTTAACATAATAAAATATAGAATTTTAAATTTAAACTAAATAAGTTTTATTCAAAACCTACTTCTTAGAGACTGCCAATAGACTCTATATACTTGGCAAAGATTCTTGAAATACAGAAAATAGGCAAAAGACAGACCCTGGCATGTAATGCAGTTGTACAAATTAGAAATAAAATGACAAGTAATGAGTAGGAAAAAAAGGCAAATGATATAAAAGACATGTCATGAAATAGGAAATACATGTCACAGGAACATTTTTAAAGATGCTGAGAAATCACTTAACAGGTACAACATACAGTGTTTGGGTGATGGTTACACTAAAAGCTCAGAGTTCACCACTATGCAATATATCCATGTAACAGAATTGCACTTGAACCTCTTAAATTTTGTTTAAAATATACTCGAAATTATTTATAGGTAAATTCCAATGAAGTCCACACTTATTCAGTTGGTAAACTTTAAGAATGTTGCAATATCGTATTCTATAGAGCACATGTATCAGTCAGATGACTTGTATATTATGCTCCTGAGTTTAACATATTGCAATCCATTTTGTTAAATGGCTTGGCATTATATTGTGAAGACCAGTTTTCATATACAATGAGTCAATAACATACTTGTCTACACTCGTGAGAATTTTTAGTCCTTGTATCCCAGGAGAGAGTTACAATACTTAAAATGGCACTGCTCCAGATGTTAAAAGACAAAAGGAAGAAGACGAAATATAATCTGCCTTGATAGAGAAAATGAATAAATTGTAACACATTGCCACAAGTAATCCACACATTACAGAAATAAATGATAGCTACACTTAGCAATACGAATGTCCTGTCCTAATCTCTAATCTCTAGTGAAGAAAAAGACAGTTACAGAAAAATATATACTCTCTAATATTATTTTTGTGGAATTCAGCAACAATTGTGTGTGTATGTGTTTTTGTGTATGTATGTATAAGCACATTTATATGAAGCACTCACATAAATATTTTAATAAGTGATAAAATGATATTTAAAATTTTATAAAAGGGACAACAAAAAAATGCTTTAAGGGAGGGCGTAAGTAGATGAACATGGCTGTTAAAGTTCTAGAGCACTGAGCAATGGCCGTTCTTTGTATTATGAGAAACCCATATGGATAAGCATATGTAAATCTCTTACTGCACCAATAAAATCTAAATTGTTTCTCTTCTCATATCAATGAATAAAATAATATGAATATTACTAGCTGTTGCCCCTTTTTATATCTCTTTTTCTTCTATTTTATTTCTTGCAACACCTAGAATCTGATTTTTCTAAATTTCAAAGTGAAGCTGAAATAAACTTAGTTCCTTATATGGTAAGACAGAGCCCTTTAGGGAACAAGGAAATGGATTTCTTTGGCTACAATGACAAAAAGGAAATAAATATTTTACCACATCTTGTTTCACAGGGCTAACCTTGTCCTGGGCCAAACTGTCCTCAGGAAATCCAGTGCTATGTTGAGGAAATCCAGTTTCCCTCTCAGATTCTTTTTGAGTTCTTTTTTACTAAGTGAATAAATTATGCTGTTTTCTGGAAGAAAAATGAAGTCCTAACGAAATAATCCTCAGAAAAATCACCTACTTAAAGTGTATATGTTACATATGTTATAAATATTATAAATGTGTATCAATGAATTTCTAATAGGTAAATATAAGTAAGAAAAATTACAATATCTACAAATGTCTTCTAAATGACTTTAGACTTGACAAATCAGTGTCAATTGAGATTCTTTTTCTGTTGCTTGAGGGACACTTTAGCAAAATAGATAAACAATCAGACCCTGGATTTAGCACTGAAGTCTCGTTTGAGATCTAAATCTGTCATGTACAAGACTTGTAACACAAATCAAGTTATATGTTCACTTGTGCCTCAGTATCCTCAACTATAAAATAGTAGTTCTTCCCTCACTGTATTGTTGTAAGGATTAATTAAATTAATAAATAAGGGACATTTTAAAAAATCCTGTCAAAATAATACTATACATTGATTTGCTATTTTTTTCCATAGCAAATCTTTTTTCACCCCTCAAAAATTTGCATGCATTGTAATAGATGCCAGACATTAACGACTATGCCAGACATATGCATTTCTTCCTGGATGGCTGTTACAATATAGCAAGGATGACACTGTGAACAGTAAACATAAAAAGGCATTTATTTCTCATGAAGGAAGATGGTATGGGTGAATAAGTACATTTGGGAATTGAGGTGGAGCTTTCTTGAGGAAACGATATTTTAGATTGTACCTAAAGAATAAAATGGACACTTTGGGAGGCCGAGGTGGGCGGATCACGAGGTCAGGAGATCGAGACCATCCTGGCCAACATGGAGAAAGCCCATCTCTACTAAAAATACAAAAATTAGCCAGGCATGCGTGCCTGTAATCCCAGCTACTCGGGAGGCTGAGGCAGGAGAATTGCTTGAACCAGGGAGTTGGAGGTTGCAGTGAGCCGAGATATCGCCATCGCACTCCAGCCTGGTGATAGAAGGGAAACTCCATCTCAAAAATTATAAAATAAAATAAAATAAAATATAAAATAAAATAAAATAAATAAAATAAAATAAAATACATAAAATAAAATAAAATAAATAAAATAAAATAAAATAAAATAAAATGGAGTAAGTAAGAGGGGCAAGATAATTCCAATGAGAATTAACCAAATGGGCCAAGATCTGAGGCAAGAAAGGGAATAGTGGGGAAGATTAAGTTAAGAGAAGAGCAAGGACTAACATACAAATGAAAGAAGTTACACTAAATATTAGCGATTTTAGAGGGAATAAAATAGGAAGCCATGAATTAGTTTCTGGAAAATAAAAAGAAAATGATCCGATTTATATGTTTTAAAAAAATACGTTAACATTTGAAGTAAGGGTTTGGAGAAGAAATAGCAAGAGCAGAGGTAAGGAGACTAGTTCACGTGCCTTTGCATGATATTGTGTTGGGCTGAGCTACAGTGGTGGAGGTAGGAGAAAGAATTTAAATGACTGCAGAAACCAGTTAGGTGCAGCATCTATAAAACATTGCATGAGCATAGACAGGAGGAAAAGGAAGGTGTTAAGAATACATTGAGAAAAAAGATGGACTATTATCCCTTTTTAAATATGGAGAACCCTTTGGATTTAGGAAAAAATATAGATATCGGGTATGAGTTGTTGAGTTTCTGAATAAAATGAGACAATAAAGTAAATATGTCAGCCTGGGATTCAAAACTGTATGTAAGTGTGCGTATGTTTGCATGTTCTATGTTTGTAGATACATATATATTTACATATATAAGACAGATGCAAAATATGACATTTCAAAGCATGAGAATGAGTAATGTTGCCCAGAGATAAAATTGAGAGAGATAATGTGTCCAAGACTTGATTTCTATAAAATTGGGGAAATTAAAATAGAAATTAGGGCCACGTGTTAATATTAAATAAAAAAGCCAATGTTTCTACAAGAAATGAAGAATCAACTATATTGAACATATCTGCAGTTCCAGGAAAGATGTGGACTCAAAAGTTCCAAATGCCTTGGAAATGGGTAATAAGTCTAACATAAGCAATAGCCAATTTCCTGGATATTAAAAACTGCAAGACTAAAAAGACTTGGTTGCAGAGTGTGGGGAAAATGTGAGTGGGGACAGGTTTCATGAGAACATGAATGTTTTGAGCCATGTGAAAGAGACATGAGTACAGTCATTGAGTGGATAGAGTCTAGGGTAGATTGGGGCACTGTAGTACATTTTCACATAGAGGTGCATGATCTAGGAGAGGGATGTGAGGAAGGTTCAGGAAAATAATAAGATAAAGAAAGTTGCTGAGAAAATGAACAGGGATGGTGCAGTAGCACTGCAACACTGCTAATAAAGACATACCAGAGACTGGGTAATTTATAAAGGGAAGAGGTTTAATTGACTCACAGTTCCTGTGAGGGGGCTGGAGGGGGCTCACAAACATGGTGGAAGGTTAATGGGGAGCAAAGTCATATCTTTCAAGGTGGTAGGCAAGCGAGTGTGTGCAGGGGAACCCTCCTTTATAAAACCATCAGATCTCGTGAGACGTATTCACTACCAGGAGAACAACGTGGGAAAGACCCGCCCCCATGATTCAATTACCTCCCACTGGGTCCCTCCCATGACACGTGGCAATTATGGGAGATAAAATTCAAGATGAGATTTGGGTGGGGACACAACCAAACCATATCACTTGGGTTCCAAAGCTCATATGGAGAAATGGCCTCAGGTAAGCGAAGAGCAGACACCTTAGGAAGGAAAAACTCTACTCTCTGCTTTTTAATTTATTGCTTATTCTGGAAATATCTCATGTTGCACTATAGTTTTTTCTAATAATATCTGCGTTATTACATGAAGTTTTTCCCAAGCATGCTTGCATAATTGTAGCCTATTGTATTATTTTTTATAATGTAGTCTGAATATTGGTAGAAAAGTTGATAGAAAAGTTTTGTTTCCTTCATTCAACAATGTATAGTTTCAACATAACGACTATATTTTAGAAAGGAAAATATATTAATGTATTGCCACATGACATATCGGTTATAAATGACTATTAACATTCAACATTTTTAAGTTAGCTTTTTAACATTATTGCATTGTGAAACTCCTGAATTATCTTGAGGGAGAAAGACTCTATATACAATTTGACCCTAAACTACATTATCATTATCATTATTTTTTGAGATGGAGTCTCGCATTGTCATAGGGGCTTGTGTGCAGTGGCACAATCTTGGCTCAATGTAACCTCTGCCTCCCAGGTTCAAGTGATTCTCCTGCCTCAGCCTCCTGAGTAGCTAGGATTACAGGTGCCCGCCACCCCGCCTGGCTAACTTTTTGTATTTTTAGTAGAGACGGGGTTTCACTCTGATGGCCACACTGGTCTTGAACTCCTGACCTCGTGATCCGCCCGACTCAGCCTCCCAAAGTGCTGGGATTTCAGCCACTGCACCCGGCCTATTATTTTTGTTTTTTTAAAAATGATTATTTATTATTACATGTGCTGGGATTACAGGCGTGGGCTACCGTGCCCAGCCTATTATTTTTGTTTTTTTAAAATAATTATTTATTATTACATATATATGTTTTATGAGTCTCACATCTTTAAAGGATTATAGTTGACCAAATACATCCTTAAAAAGTTCTGTAATTCCCAGACAATATTATGCAAGTTAATAAAAATTTGTTGTGATTAGGCTACACAGATTTGTTGAAGATGGACATGATTTCTTCCTTTGTATTATGCAATTAAGAATTTCAATTTATAACATACATTCAGAGCTAATTATAAGATACCAAGCATTTTGAACAAAATTGGAGATCTATATTTGCAGATATCTGTGACTTTCATTCATTTCCAAGAGGGTACACTGTGTTTCTGGACACGAGTGAAAGTTCCAGGTGCATGGGTGTCTCATTGAACAGCAGAAGGAGGATGAAAAGTACTGTTGAACTGTAGGGAGGCTAAAGAAATACTCTTCTTGGAGACTAGTCTCATAAAACATTACTGCATTCCCTCACTTCTTCATTCATTCATTTATTCTACAATTCTTTTGAGATTTTAATACATTCCAAGAATTATGTTAGCTGTTATGAGTTGCATAAGTATTCTCATCCTGATTCTTCAAGTACAAATTGAAGTATGAGAAAGACATACGATAATAAACCCCCCCCAAACAATAGCATTGGCTCATGGAACATCAAGGACAGTGTCCTGGGAGGAGAACTGTGTGGAAAACATTTTGCCTGCCCCCTGACCTTGTAGGGGGATATTTTCTTCAAAATCCTGGGAGATTTGGGAGAAATCTCATAGATCCACATAGATCCCAAATCCTGGGATTCTATGTGGATAAAATTAATGTAAATATAGACCTCTTTCTCTGCTCTTTAATTTCATCTATCCTACTTTAATTATTTATCTGATTGGAAAACTAAAATGAGAGAAATTGAAAAAAGGGAGAGAGTGAATGAAACTAGGTAAGCTTGGCTCAGTTTTGTATTTCTTCCTTTCAGGAGAATACTGCACACTTGGGTTGGCAAGCTGCTTTGCTGTACTGTCAATGGGCATCCTCCTGAGAACAAGAAGTCTGGCATTCCTAGGACTGTGTCTAGGAAAAGGTAATAACTTGCCCTTCATCTTCTATTCTCTGCATCATTTTAAAGCTTGTTTAGAACCTGGGAAGGGAAGAGGACCATTAGTTTTTTGATTCCCCTCAGAGTATCCCCAAGCAACTTCAGCATCCTTCTGGTTGGTTATTATCATTAAACTGAAATCTGAACCTAAAATATGTATCTTCAGAGAATTTTAAGAATTTAGCCAAGAGTGTTTTAGTAGTGATTTGAGGAAAGAAGAAAGAGGAAAAGCTAGGTTGAATTAGCTGACTCAGCAGACTCAGATATATATATATATATATATATATATATATATATATATATATATATATATATATATAATATGTATATATATGATCTATATATATCTGAGAATATATATTATATGTAACATAATCTTATAATATATTTATGTGAACAATGGAGAAATTTTTACTTACAAAAAAGTTACTAACAAGATATTTTGAAAAATTACTCTAGGAAACAGGATATTTTTATGGTACAAAATTTTGAGGAATTAAAAGTTTAAAACAAAACATGAACAACCTGAGATAAAATCAAATTTAGAATAAGTTAAAGACATACTTGGTAGAATTTAAAAAAGGAATCAAAAAAGGAAAATACCATTGAGTGATTTATTACTATTTACAGGGGAAAATAAAACCCTACAAAATAAATTATTTAGATTAAAAAAAAAACAGCAGCAATAATGGGGACATATTGGAGAATATGACAGAGTAGTCAGTAAAGGCAAATAGATAAAAATGAGTTCCAAGAATATTATTCCTCTGGACACAGACACTATGATATAAAATGTCCATAATTGATGTATTTGAAAGTAGACGAGGAAAAATGAAACAAAATATTCAGAATAAATACAGGAACATTTTCTGTAAAAGAAACCTGAATAGGTAGATTCAAAACACTCAATGTATTTCAGTGACTCAAAAAGCATTAATAATGATCAAAAAGACTGAGACAGATTCTGGTAAACTTACTGATCTTCGGGTTTAAAGAAGGAAACCTGCAAGCATCCAGGGAAAAAGACAGGAGGTCATTTAAAAAGGGAAATACAGAGATGATTTTATATTTCTCAGTAACTTTAGGTGACAGATGACAACAGGGAAACCTCTACAATGCATGAAAAAGAAATGAATAGACCCAGCAATCTTATGACCAGCTGGCATGTTATCCATTGTATAGCACAAAATGAAGATGAGTTTGACAAATCCAAGGTTCAGGAAATAAAGCATTCACTAACTCACTGTTAAAGAATATGCTGGTGAATGTGTCCATTCATCAGAACTATAGCTAAATAACCATAAAAAGTACAAACAGAGAATGGGATGTAAAAGCTACAAGTAAAAAAAAGATGTTTAACATGAAAAATAATATATTTCTTATACACTGAATGAGAATGTATCCAGATATTTTCCCCAGTCTCTTTTGAGAAAAAAATGACTAATTATGAAAGTATATTCATTTATTTATGCCTGAATAAAACAAATTATTTATTTAACACACAATGTGTCAGCCACCTCTCTGCATGCTAAGGATACTACAAAGAAAAACAAAAATTCCTTCCTTCCTAACAGATCCTTCCTAACAGAGTATATGTGCTAGAGCAGGGGTCCCCAACCCCTGGGCCATCCAGTAGTGGTCTGTGGCCTGTCAGGAACGAGGCCACACAGCAGGGGTTGAGTGGTGGCAAGTGAGCATTACCACCTGAGCTCTACCTCCTGTCAGATCAGCAGCAGCATTAGATTCTCATAGGAGCACAAACCCCACGGTAAACTGTGCATGCGAGGACTCTGGGTTGCATGCTCCTTACGCGAATCTAACACCTGATGATCTGAGGTGGAGCAGTTTTATCCCAAAACCATCTCCCCCCAACTGTCTGTGAAAAAACTGTCTTCCACAAAACCGGTTCCTGATGCCAAAAAGGTTGGGTACCACTGCTCTACAGAGATAGACATAAATTAAAAAGGTAAATATATAATATGTTAGATAATCAGTGTTATATAGAACAAAAGCAAAGAAGGAGCACAGGGAATGACTTATTAATCACCTTCCTTATTTAGTTGAGTTTGCAATTTTAAACTGGGTGGTAAGTGAAGACAAATAAGAAAGAAGGTTGTATTTAAGCCTTCTAAAAGAAGATGTGTATGACCTTCAGATTCCCTTGGGGAGAGGTCACCTAGATCCCACATGTAATCATTATTCTCCTTAAAATAGCTGAGATGTAGGTGGAGAGGAAGGGTGAGATCAGGGAGCTTGGAGGGAGAGAGCAAGTCCATGTCAGGAAGCAAGGATTTACCTTTTTTTTTTTCAGTTTTGAATGACGGCCTCCTGAGGCAACATTTTGTTGATTCTGGACAAATTCAAGCATCGTAATGCAAAAGTACGTCATCTCATCCTCCTGTCTTATACCCTTTAACTTCTGCACTAGATCTCTGCTGCTGACCCTGAGGCTGGAGAAGCCACAGGACTATGTACAAGCTTGTCCAACCCCCAAGACCCACTGGGCTGCATGGGCCACAAGCAGCCCAGGACAGCTTTGAATGCCGCCTAACAGATTCGTAAGCTTTCTTAAAATATTATGAGATTTTTTGTGATTTTTTTTTTTTTGGCTATCGTTAGTGTTAGTGTATTTTATGTGTAACCCAAGACAATTCTTTTTCAAATGTGGCCCAGGGAAGCAAAAAGATTTGATGCTGCTGCTGATGAATTCTGACTAAATGTCCTATAAGGCAAAACACTGACAAATAACAGAAAAGCAATGGTGAATACAATTTTCTTTCTTCCACTTTCCAACAGGCTTGTCTTAGTTCATTTGTGCTGTAATAACAAAACATACAGACTGAGTAATTTATTAAAAAAAATAAGAAATTCATTTTTTACAATTCTGCAGGCTGGAAGTCCAAGATCCAGGCATGGTTAAGGTTGGTGTCCAGTGAGGGCTACTCTCTGCTTTGAAGATGGTGCCTTGTGGCTACATCCTCTCATGGTAGAAAGTGAAAGGGCAAAGTGGGAGAACCCTATGTGAAGGCTCTTTTATAAGAGCCTTAATTCATGCATGGGGGTGGAGTCCTCATGACTAAATCATTTCCCAAAAGGCCTCACCTCTTAATATAACTGCATTAGAAATTAAGTTAAAAACGTGGATTTTGGAGGGGACACAAACATTCAAACCCTAGCAAGGCTATATTGAATTATCATTTGTGTGGCTTTTTAGAAGAGGGTCCTGCAAAATGGAACAATCAGTAGTGCTTGATATCTCGTTCCCCTTTCCCTGCCCTTTTGTCCTGGGGTTGCACTCTCAAAAATATAATAGAATGTAAATATATGCTACAGGATCTGCTTCTGGAGAAGCTCAGGGTAAAACAATATTTATAATTTTACAAATTACAACATCTATAAATTCTAGAATCACTAACTGTTTCACTTTGGTCTCAGATGGTTTATTGGACACGGCTTTCATTAATGGCATCCTAATTGTCAAAGGGGTCAAAACTGCCCCAACTTCTCTCGGGGAATAAGCCTATACAGATATTTTGGAAAACGAATTGCCCCATAAAGATATGTCCTGGAAATAAGGGTGTCAGTGTCTTGGCAGACCTTCTGGGACAGTAACCAGCATCTCACAAAACCAGATGCTCCATGAATGACAGGCGGTCTCTGAAGAAACTGGTGGTCTTGTCCATTATACAGCAGCAGAGGGAGTTAAAATGTCTCCATTTGCTTCATTTTGGTTCATGTGACCCTATTTTCTCTGGAGAAAACAACAACAGCAGCAACAAAACCAACAATAAGAACACCCAATTTGCCATGAAGTATTTCTTCCAATATTTATTTTTTTTGTGTGTATATCTTTGTTTTTGTTTTTACAGATAGACTCTCACTCTGTTGCCCATGCTGGAGTACGGGGTGTTCTATAACTCACTGTAACCTTGAACTTCTAGGCTCTAGTGATTCTCCCACCTTGGCCTCCCAAAACACTTGGATTACAGGTGCAAGCCACCATGCCCAACCTTATGATAGCATTTATTTTGTATCCATAGACTTTCTTTGCTAGATTGAGTAAATCTTCTATATCTGATAGAAGGGAAAGGAGAAAGTCATAAGGGAATGTAGAGTTAAGAAAATTTGATGAGCTTTGGTGTACAGAAAAGGGTAATACATGTGCATCAAATATTTAATTATTTAAGTATATAAATATGTTACAAATGAGTGCGTAATAATATCATTGTTATTTGGTAGGGAAGTGGTGACACAGAGGACATTAATACTTTATGCCTCATCTTCTTAGAACACCTCTGATTTCCATGCACAATTCTGTGCAACATCAGCCTCTGCCCATGAATCCCTTCCTATGCCTGGACTGAGAGTCTTACCATTTCCTATCCAGTGCCATTTCTAGGTCTTTTCGAAGACATGTAAGAGTTACCCATAATGTAGAAGGGTTAAGGTACCCAGGGTCATCCCCTAACAAATGAATTAATAAAAGTTTTCTTGTGTTTCAGGAGGAAAATTCAGACAGGCATTTTATACATTGGTTGGGAAGTATCAGCAGAATTAATTCTGGTAGCCACAACCGTGATCTTGACAAAACACTCTCCATATTGGCTTTTCCAACTTCTTTCCCTTCATGTCATCCTCCCAAACTGCCCATCTCTGCCATCATCTCCCCAGTAAAATATGTCCACCTATTCTATTGACCTCAAGCTCTGCCTTGGGGAGGGAGTTATTAACCATATGAGAGTTTTTATTTCATAGGGAGAACACTATGTTTGCCAGTTGCCACATTCATATGCAGAAAAAGGGAAAGTCCAGTGGGCAGTAAGAAGCAACTGAAAGAGAACGAAATGTTTTGCAAGGGAAGGGGATACAAGGTAAACTATTAAAGAGAAGACTGAGTTTTACATAGTTTTATATAAGAATGACTCTACTTATAATCAAGGAATCTCATAGATATTCCAATTTTTTTCTAAGTAAACATTCGTTTTCATGACAGATGATTTAAAATCTCTTTCCTTATGCTAAACAAAAGTAACTCTTTGGGGACAAATTTATAAATAGATTTATAGGGAATATGATTTGGAGAATGTGATAATTAGGGACCTCAAGATATTCCACATAATCTGGAGGTAAAGAAAATAAAAGTTTAATAAGAAGTGCCTCAGGATATTGGAAATCAGAAGTAACATTTTTTTTTTTTTTTGCACAAAGTTATTTTAAGATGTAATGACACCCAAAGGAACATGATATTAACACAGCCAGATTGAAGGAACTGCACATAAAGTAATTCACTGACGTTTACTCAGGAAAGAAACATAGAAAGAATCCTGGAATCAAATCCCAGGAGAAATAAACCCAAGTCCCAATTATAATTTTAATCACATTGTGTGAATGGACACATTAGGTCATTTCTAATCTTTTTTATTTTGACTTTATGCTCAAAACAGCTATAGCTTTGGGAATGGAGAAAAGAACCAATTTTCTCCAAGAATTAGCAGAAAAGAACTATTTTCTTACTATATTAAAAGAAGATGGAAATTTTAAACATTCATAAAAGCAATGATATAAATTTGTCACACACAGGCAATCGTTTCATATACTTAGAAACAACTTTTTTATCCATTAGATATCAATGTGAGATAGTTAATATCAAAGAGCAGCAACTATTGCTTAAAAAGAATTGCTTGTGTTTAAGTGAATCACAGTTTATCAAGATTATAGACTTAAGAAACTTATTTTTATCTTTTAATTTCAAGTTAAAAAAGTAAGTTTTATGTAAAATAAAATCAATCCATTTATAAGCATGATTAATGTTTGCATGTATACATTTCTTATAAATAGTTCCATTTTTAGACTCATTTCATGATTTTCCTTTAAATGTTTCAAACTATTTATTAATTTTCTAGGTTTGATTTTATTTTAAGCAGTTAATTGCTTCCTGATTGAACAAGTTTATGAGTTTACCAAGAAAATATTCCTAAGTACTTAAACAACATATGCAAATCCAGTAAATTAAAACTGTAAATATAGTAAAAATAGTCTGCAAAAATATTCATTCTTTATGTATTTACTAAAATATATATCTTTTAAATTAAAATAATAAATTTGAAATCAATTTTATATTGTTAGATTGAGATTTTTAGGGCTGATCTGTCAGGTTCTCTAATGAACCAAAGTTTTTCAAACATAACAATACTTCAAACATTATTCAGATTTTTTCTAATAAAAAAATTGCTCTTGTGACATATCTGATCTACTGTTGTAAATCACCTCTATATATTTATCCTTTTTTTAACACAAACTTGTAAAATCACTTATCTTTTGATAAAGCAGATTTTATGTTTCAAAGAGTTGTAGTCTGCAGATCAATTATGTAGGACCAGGTAATGGTGAAGATGTCAGGTAGATTGAGGTCACAATGAAGTCTTGGAGGCTGCATTCATTTAACTGAATTATTTCGTCCTGTACATAAGCATACTGAGGACTTTTCTCATTCTGATGACATGAGGAATCTTCACTAAGAAGGCTTCTACAACTACATTAAGATTGATTTCAGGGCTGGAGTGGCGGCTCACATCTGTAATCCTAGCACTTTGGGAGGTTGAGGGAGGAGGATCTCTTGAGCCCAAAATTCGAGATCAGGCTGGGCAACATGGCAAAACTCTGTCTCTACAAAAAATACAAAAATTAGCTAGGCATGGTGTTGCATGCCTGTAGTCCCAGTTACTCAGGAGGCTGAGGTGGGAGGATGGCTTGAGCCTGGGAAGTGGAGGTTGCAGTGAGCTAACATCAAGCCACTGAACTCCAGCCTGGATGACAGGGTGAGACTTTGTCTCAAAAAAAAATTTTAAAATGGACTTCAAAACATTAATTTTTTACCTCAAATACTTCACATGTACTACATTCATCTAATTAGAACTGATACCTATTTGCACACACTCTTACAGATAACTAATTTTACAACTTATTTTTACTCTGCATTACAATAAAACAATATGTTTTCCAATATTTTAAAATATATTATAATTCTTAATTCTCACACATAACTTTATCTGACTAGTAACAATTTGAATGTCACTCGGCATTACAATAAAATAATATGTTTTCCAATATTTTAAAATATATTGTAATTCTTAATTCTCATACATAACTTTATCTGACTGGTAACAATTTGAATGTCAGGAAAATGAAAAGACAGACATAGAAATAGAATTAGAAAATCAAATTCTCTTCCTGAATTAAGTAAAGCCATCTCTCAATCACTGTAGATATGCTGTATCTATGTTCCCTAAGAAAAAATAACAGCCGGGCACGGTGGCTCACGCTTGTAATCCCAGCACTTTGGGAGGCCAAGGCAGGTGGATCACGAGGTCAGGACATCGAGACCACGGTGAAACGCCGTCTCTACTAAAAATACAAAAAATTAGCCGGGCGTGGTGGCGGGCGCTTGTAGTCCTAGCTAATCGGGAGGCTGAGGCAGGAAAATGGTGTGAACCCGGGAGGCGGAGCTTGCAGTGAGCCGAGATTGCGCCACTGTACTCCAGCTTGGGCGAGAGAGTGAGACTCCGTCTCAAAAAAAAAGAAAAAATAACAATAATCAATATTCTCATGTCTTTCATGCCTTCAGAAGGAAAAAAATAGAGGTTTACCAGTTGTCGAAAGAAAATGTAAACAGCCATTCCACTTTATATACCTTAAACTATTCGGTCTTGGATATAATAAGTGCCTTTATAAATAAACAGACGGAAACAGGAATTAGGAAAGTTGTGACTGTAAAGTAACATAATAGAACAGGATGTGTAAAATACATTTTAAAATAATAATTATTAAATGTTAAATTTCAAAGTAGAAAAACATAGTAAAATATCTTTAAGGACACATGATGAATTAATGGAAATTGGTATTAATTCAAGTTGAAACACAAAACAAGGAGAAAAGATCAAGTTTTTCAGACCCTAGAAGGTAAAAATATGTGATTGCAATCTTAGAAAACAAGATAAAATTACGGAATAATAGTATTTTAGGGTTATATAAGCTAATACAACCTCACCTGCTTACATTACAAATAAGGATATTAAAATTCTGTAATGTAACATGACTATTACTATTTTAGACACATGTATATTTAGCACCAAATATTTAATAATATAAATCATTTGAGAAAAACCAAATTAGTTCTTTTTCTGATGTAGTGATCACCAAACCACACTCTGATGACAAATTCAGTATGTAGAGTTAACATGCATATGGCAAGGGAATGTCTAAGATGCTTCTATATGTGTTAAATTATTTAATAACTGAGGGTCATGTAAACCTTCAGTCTTTGACAAGTCATTCCAGTTACAAGTATTAATTAAAAAGTTATTGAGTAAGTAGTTGATGTGCAATAGCATCTATCTAAAAAAGTCTACACTGTCACTTTTTAGAATGGAAATGAAAAATACACATAGATGTAAATTTCAAATTTTATTGACTTTGTTTTATTGTAATCTAGAAGAAAGACTTTTTAAAATTTAATGAAGTTTCTCCTCAAACCTATTTTGACATGATCTTTGAGAGACCATAATTCTATAATATTCTTTTAAACAGTAGATAATGTATCAATTATTCATGTAACTATTATATTGCAGATAAATGTAAAGGGCACAATAACACTCTTAATGCCAGCTAGAAATACATCTTATAATTGAAGATTTATATTAAAATATTTAAAAAGTAGCTGATACTTTGCCTAGGATACATAAGTACATAATTTTTATTTAGACTTAGGCTAATTTGAATGACTATATTTGACTATATTTGAATGACTGTTTAATTTGAATGACTTTAATTATTAATTACAATAGATTGTCAAAATGTATGTAAAAATTCACACAAACACTAGTGTCTTAGTTAATATGTAAAACAAAACTTCAATATGAAAGTTTTATCTCAAATTAATATTTATTATTATGATACTGTTTGCTTATCTCAAAGACAATGGTGTCTTGAATAACACAATAGAAAATTATCTCAATAAAGAATACTACTTCTGGGTCAGGTGCAATGGCTCACACCTGTAATCCTAGCACTTTGGGAGGCCGAGGCAGGTGGATCACAAGGTCAGGAGTTCAAGACCAGCCTGGCCAAGATGGTGAACCCCCATCTCTACTAAAAATAAAAAATTAGCTGGGCATGGTGGTGGGCGCCTGTAATCCCAGCTACTCGGGAGGCTGAGGCAGAGAACTGCTTGAACCTGGGAGGTAGAGGTTGCAGTGAGCAGAGATCGCACAACTGCACTCCAGCCTGGGTGACAGAGAGAGACTCCATGCCAAAAAAAAAAAACAAAAAACAAAAAAACAAAAAACAAAAACAAAAAACTAGTACTTTTGAATACTGCTAAAATTTTCAAAATAATTCTAGCTATTGAGGTGTATTTTGATCCTTTAAGAAAGATACAGGAAGCAGTTATGTCTTCCCTGATTTAAAGAGTCTTCTAATGTAAAGATTAAGTAGGCTATGCATGTTCTCATGTAATAATTATCATTAAATTTGTTGTCACAAACACAAAAGGCATTGGTGACAATATACATTATTTTTTATTCTCCATGTTAATTTTCAGTTATGTGTGTATGTGTGTGACAAATAAGAATTTTAAAAATTTTAAAAATTTTAATATTCTTTTCTTTCCAAATATTAGACACCTTCTTTCATGAAAAATACTTTATATAGCTTTAAGTGTTCTCAAATGTTGCACATTGACTTATAACATCTAAATTACACAGACACTTTTCCTGCACATTTACTTTAAGCTGTCTGATGTTGTTATTATGCTCCTTTTTTTTTTTTTTTTTTTTTTGAGACGAAGTATCTCTCTGTCGCCCAGGCTGGAGTGCAGTGGCGTGATCTTGGCTCCCCACAACCTCTGCCTCCCAGGTTCAAGCAATTCTCCTGCCTCAGCCTCCCAAGTACCTGGGATTACAGGAACGTGCCACGGCACCTGGCTAATTTTTTGTATTTTTAGTAGAGACTGGGTTTCACCATGTTGGTCAGGCTGGGCTTGAACTCCCGACCTCAGGTAATCAGCCCACCTCGGTCTCCCAAAGTCTTATGATTACAGGCGTGAACCACAGTTCCCAGCCATGTTACTTTTTATATAACAGAAATAGTTGTGCTAATGGTCTTCTGAGAAGGAAGGTAGGAAACTACAAATCTTAAAGGAAGTAAACCAAAAGTCAAATGCCACCTTATATGGATATTGAGTAATTGATTTTGTGATTTAGTAGTTTGTTTAGCTTATCATTCAAAGGCATACGTTAATTGTTACTCAATTTCATTTTTGGTACATTAGGAAACTGAAAAACCTGACGTGCATGTGTCGATTTGTGTTTATAAGCCATGGACTTTGTGTGTGATCATTATATTAGCTGCTCTAATGAAAATTGTTACACTTTCAATGCTCTTTCAACCTGCAGTTTCTAATCTGTCACAAATCATTGTGGGTACCCCTACTGTAGCTAGATCACCTCGTCAGTGTTAAGACAATTGCAAGGCACAGCCAGTATCTGGAATTTTGTTTTCACCTTCTGCCCATAAACATTATTTTCATATTATCTACTCTCTTCACAGTCAGAGCCAAAACTTTGTCTTAATTCTAAAGTACTACATTACAAAAATTTTAAATATCTTAATTTCTGACTATATTGACAAATATATCCAGCCTGCTTACTCACCTTGTTTGTTCAGTCGATCTCTCTATTTGTCCTGTCCTAGTTCTACTTATATTTCTATCCAACTTAGATCTCTTGGGCCATTATTTCAATATTTTTATTGCCATTTCCAGAAGGAATTTTGTTGACTTTCTTCTAACAAAACTATAATTCTGGAAGAGGCCACGTCACCCAATATCAACAAAATGCTTATAATTGCACATGATTTATATCAAGCTTTTCTAACCAATATTTTTGGAAGGTAGGCCTGGCTACATAATTTGCTAGGACTAGTGCAAAATAAAAATGCAGGTCAAAAGCTTTATTTTTGTACAAACAGCTGTACTTAAAGGCATTAAAATATGTAGCTTTCCCCATTAAAAATATTTTATAACTTATAAAATGTAATAATGATACATGAAAACAACATAAAATTCCAAAATTATTAAAAAAAACCCAATATTATAAAATACAATAGAAAATAGCACCTTATGAATGTAAAATCTTGATTGATAAAATATTGTCCTGAATATTTATTTATTAGGACATTAAAAGTTATATATTTATCAACTTTATTTTTAATTGGTACAAATAAAAAGTGATGTTATTCACTCTAAAAATGCATGGTTATGAATAATTTTTGATACTTTTTGATTCTGAGAAGGATCTGTTGATGCAATTGCTATAGAAGCTGTTAGAGTATTTTGTAGACTGTTAATATATTTAGATAAATTCCTTTGAAGTATAAATTTTAGTACTTCTACAGCTAATAATTTTCGTGGAATGAAATATTTTTCTCAAAAGATTTAACTGTATACAAATCTGTTTGATATAAGTATGAATTTAATTTTAAATATAAATGTATTCAATAACATTTTAACGTTCTCTCTGACATTTGCTGTGTGGTGGTGACAAAGAAACCAAAGTCACTTCATGAGTTGTATCTAACTTAAAATTTTTACCTAACCACCAGAGGTTTGGTCTAGGTCCTGGTGCTCACTGCACTGAAAGATGATGACTGAGACAACAGGTATTACCAAGGAAGAAGGCTTTAAATCAGGCACTACAGCCAAGGAGATGGGAGCTCAGTCTCAAATCCCCCTCTGAGGAGCCAAAACTAGGAGTTTATATAGCAGGGAAGAAATTTAACAATGTGTAAGAAAACAGCAACTAGGGAGGGGCAAGGAAGCAATCACGATAAATGAGGGATCTGGTATTTCATTGTCTGAATGTGGTGATCTGGTGAGTTTCAGTTCTTTGATAAGTTTTTTTGGGGACCAGAATATCATTTTCTGAGGAAGCAACTCAGATAAAACAAATGTAAATTTTAAGTTTTAAGGCCAGAAGCATCCATTTCAGTTTATCAAAAACAACAACAACAACAACAGCAAACAACAACAACAAACCTATCTATGGGACTGTTGGGTCAGTTTCAAAATGGCTGTTTTTTTCTTAGTGCTATATTTTCAATTTAGGTAAAAAATAACTTTAAAAATATATTCCTCATTAATAATTTTTATGCCATTTAAAACTGCAAATTTAAGGAAAATGTTGTCAAGAACGTCAACACAGTGACCGCAGAGTGAGCAAGCTGTGTCTCATGCCCTTAAGCCAACCCTGTTAGAAGACATGGATGCAGCAACAGTATTTTTTAATCTAAATACTTTTATTTGCTGTCCAAAAGTATAAATCCACAATAGAACATAAATAAATAAATAAATATATCCATCACATTACATACTTTTTTTTTTTTTGAGACAAGTCTCTCTCTTTCTCCCAGCCTGGAGTCCAGTGGCAGGATCATATCCCCTCGCAGCCTCAAACTCCTGGGCTCAAGCAATCCTCTTACATCAGCCTACCAAGTAGCTGGGACTACTGGTATGTTCCACCATTCCTGGCTAATTTCTTTTAAATTTTATTTGGAACAGATGGGGTGTTCCTTTGTTGCCCAGGCTGGTCTTGGAAGCCTGGGCTCAAACAATCCTTCTCCCTCAACCTCTTAAAGTGATGGCATTATAGGCATAGACCAGTGCACCTGGCCTACATACATTTTTTATTTATTAGTAGGAATGCCTGAGAGTTCCAGGCCAGAAAATCAGAGACATGTAAATTCCGGAATGCCTTTTTTATTGACAGTAAGAATAATGGTGCTATTTATAAGTTTGAGAAGGCATAATGATTTTATGCTTTGTCATACTCAAGGAAGATTAGTTTTTTTCTCTTTATTTTTTAAGGACCAAAAAGTCTATATTGCAACTCAATATAAAAATTTGCAAAAACTTAATTCTAACAATAAACTGAATCATTTTGGAGAACTAACAGTGTATTATGAGCATGAAGATATGATGATGACATTAGAAGGAATGTTGGTCTAAAAGGGATACCTTGGTCCTGCCTAAAATTAAGGATCATTGGTTCCCTAACCTCCAAACCTTTCCAAATCACACAGTAAAAGAGAGTGACATCAGTACCTTGATCTCATAGATAAACTATTAATTCTACATTGATTTTGTCTTTAATTTTTTCTCTATTTTTTTAAAGGTACTAAGCCTCATATAGCTTTGGTGTGTTTAGCAGAATGACACAGATGAAACGTGGATAAATAGTAGTATGATGTATTCTTCCTCCTTTCACCCCAGGATGCATCCCCTAGTATTCAGATTTCAAAGTTGACTGAAATAGATATTGATATAGAGAATGCTTTTGTGGATTATTACTTGTTTGCTCAGTGAATTCCATAATCTACTTTTCTATATCTTGCTCAGATTCATTTCCTGGAAAGCTGACTTCTATAAACTATATCATCTAGGCCACTTTTCTCTTTGGGTTGAATCTGGATTTGAAAAATGGCAGGAGTTACTCAGAGATAGAGAAATTATTTGTAAAATTTAAGCCACCCTAATTTCCTGGTAAGCTGTTTTCACGGTTACCCTGATTATCCTAAAGTGTACAGATCCTGACAGATCGCAGTTTTCCTTATATGTTTAGATACATGCTCCTTATCAGATATATGATTGCAAATATTTTCTTTCATTGGTGGTTTGTCTTTTTCTTTTCTCTTGACTTTTATTTTAGGTCCAGGAATACATGTGCAGGTTTGTTAGATGAGTAAATTGCATGTCTCTGAGGTTTGGTGCATGAACGACCCCATCACCCAAGTAGTGAGCGTACTATCCAATAGGTAGTTTTTCAACTCACTCCCCTTCCATTCTCCCCAATAGTCCCAAGTGTTTATTGTTTCCATGTTTGTGTCCATGTGTTCTCAGTGTTTAGCTCCTGATTGTAAGTGAGAACAGGCGGTATTTGGTTTTCTGTGCTTGCATTAGTTCTCTTAGGACAATGACCTCAAGCTGCATTCATATGTATTTTGAAACATAGAAGCATGGAACTGTGAGGAAGACCATATTATCTTTTTTGGGTTTCTTTTACTTCTTGTCATTCTAAGAAACCATTCTAGGAAGTCATTATCAAATTAGAGGGTATTCAGATTTGCCCATAATAGTTTTCTAGTTTAAATTTCTACATTTAGGTCTTTCACCCATTTAGTTATTTAATATTGTGAGAGGTAAGAATCTCTATATGTGCTATCCAGATGTTTCAACAACATTTGTTGAAAAGACTTTTTGTTCATTAAATAATCATGGCACTCTCATCAAAATAAGTTGACCATAGACACATTACTTATTTCTGAATGTTAGATTTGATTCCATTGTTATACCTGTATATAAATACTGGTACCTCGCTATCTTGATTACTGCTGCTTTTTAGTAAGTTTTAATATTGAAAAGTGTGAGTCCTCCAAGTTTTTCTTCTTTATCAAGATTATTTTGTCTATTCTAGATCCCGTGCAATTCCATATAAATTTTAGGATTAGCTTGTCGGTTTCCAAAATTGAGACTCCAAAATTCCAAGATTGTGGTGAATCTATATATCAATTTAGTGAGTATTGCCATCTTAACAATATTAAGTCTTTCGATCCTTGAACATAGGATTTTTTTCCACATATTTAGATTTTTCTTTAATATTTTTCAACAGTTTTGTAATCTTCATAGAGTAAGTTTTGCATTATTTTTGTTAAATATTTTCCTAAGTATTTTATTCTTTCTAATGCTCTTAAACATAAAATTGTAACTTCACTTTTAAATTGTTTGATTAAAGTGTCTAAAACTAAAATTGATTTTTGTATATTAACCTTGAATCCTATAATCTTGCTGTACTTATTAGTATTAATTTTCTTCTAATGGTTTCTATAGAAATTTATATATACATATATAATATATAATTATGTGATCTTGTGTATATACGTATGTATATATGTATATATGATCTTGTGTGTGTATACAAGATCGTATAACACATATATATTAATATATGTTATATATGTGTGTACGTATATATAGAATAGTGTGTGTGTGTGTGTGTGTGCGCTTGTGTGAGAGAGAGAGAGAGAGAGAGAATGGGGATAGTTTTCCTGCTTTCTTTCCAATCTGTATGTCTTCCATTTCATTTTCTTGCCTAATTGCTCTAGCTAAAACTTCTAGTATAATGTTGAATAGAATTAAAAAGGGTGAGTATCATTACCTTGTTCCTGATCTCAGGGGGGAAAACTTCAGGCTTTCACCACTGTGATGTTAGCTGTGAGTTTTCCATAGATGCTTTTTTTCTCTTTTTTTTCTTTTAAGTGGGAATAATTTTATTTTCAAACTTTCATCTTGGATTTAGGAAGTACATATGCAGATCTGTTACCTGGGTATACTGCATGCTCCTAAGGTTTGGGGTATGAATAATCCCATCACCCAGGCACTGAACACAATGGTATAATTTGAATTGCAAATAATTTTGCCACACAATAAAATAAATTATGTATCAAGTAGCAAAAAGATTTCAATTTTAATAATAGGCAATTTTCATTGTTTTCAAAATTGTATGAGGGTTTTACCATTTATGAAAACGTTTCGCTTCTGTGGTTACATCAAAAAGAATTTTGTGATCACTTTTTCTTTTCAAAAAATATGACACACCTGTGAAAGATCAAATATATCAGACATATTCAATGTTACTATTGATAAGAAATATTTTTTATTCTGTCACTTTCTACAAAGTCAAAAAGAATCATAAACTTAAGAGGAGGTGAAAGTCCTCTTAGAAATGTTACCTCAAATAATTGAAAGAAGACATGACATCTGAATAAATATTTTACTTTATTTTTCATTATGGCACACTTGTATGTACTGGATTATTACAATTAGGTTTTTGTTTTCATTTAGGTAGACACAATGCTGTTATCATTAACGTTCATATTCTCCAGGGACAGAAGAAGAATAACATACAATGATTTTTTTATTGTCAGGTGAAATATTGCAATGTGGCAACCAGATTACTTGGGTGAAAGTGACATATCCTTAGGAGAAAAAATATATTCCTCACAGCAAAAAACTTTTCTTTTTCTTTCTTTCATACCCGTTGTATTATTTCCTGCACAAATGCAATTTTAATGTCATATTTTTAAACTGGTAAAAAAAATTTCAAAAGACATTCTTATTTCTACCCATTATATGCTTAGGAAATAACATAATTCATTTTCTGTTATTCATACCTCCAACAACAATGAAGAATAATTTTGAGCATTAAAATATAATTTTTTTCATTCATTTGTCTTTTATTTAAGTTCAATTGTTACAGTTTAGTTCTTACAATTGAGTTGCTGCATCACCAGGCTTAACCAACTGGTCTTCACCATGTTACTTAGAGACTATATACACACCATCATCCTAAGATTTATTAAATTATCAGTCTTATTCACTAACATTAAAACTGGAAGGTAATATGAGATTGATTATTCTTATTAAGTGCACTGTTTTGAAATAAGACAGGCATTCATAAAATTTCATTGAACAGTACTATACCAAAAGCTTATTTCATATTTTCTCATTAATCTTATTATTTTCCCAAATGGACATCTGACACAGTAAAAGGAATAAAATATTTACATACATATATGATACATATATAAATGATAAATGTATGACACACATATGATGTATATATATGCCTCATATATGTACCATACATGTGCATATGCATTATATATATGCATCATAGATGCGTTATTATATATGTGTGTGTGTATATATATATGTGTGTGTGCGTGTTTGTATATATATATAATTTTATCTACCTTCCCCAGTTTCTCCAAAAGTCAAACTGATGATATAAACTGGGCACTGGTTTCTAAGAGTCTGTGCATTGCAGGCCCTTTATAAGACAAGTGTCTGGGAAGCAACTCAAAATAGTTTCAGCCAAAGAAGAAACATAATGGGTCACAAAACTGAGGACATGGGTGGTTTTGTTTTAATAAGATGGAGTACAAGACTGTATGGAATATTGCAGACACTCTTACTATCTTTAATCTGTGCTATTCCTGTATTCTCATTGCCCCATTTAAGAGACCAATAAGAGGGTGCAGCTTGGATGAGGGTAAAGTGACTGCAGGCCTCTCCAGACATTTTTTTAAAGGGAGATGTGGCTACCACATGCCCTGCTTTCCTTACTGTGTGGCATCATAGACATGTTATGGTTGTTTTTAAATTTTATATGAATGGCATCATAGACAGTATTTTGTCTTTTTCCTAAGTAATATGTTTGTTAAATGGACCTACGCTCTTGTATAGAGTATCTATGTTAATTGTTACTTCTATAGGCTTGTATTAGTTTGTTCTCATGCTGCTGATAAAAACATACCTGAGACTGGCCAATTTACAAAAGAAAGACACTTAATGAACTTGTTCCACATGGCTCTGGAGGCCTCACAAGTATGGTGGAAGGCAAAGAGGAGAAAATCACTTCTTACATGGATGGTAGAGAGAGAGCTTATGCAGGAAAACTCCCCCTTATAGAACCATCAAATCTTGTGAGACTTATTCACTATTCATGAGAACAGCACAGAAAAGATCTGACCCCATAATTCAATTACCTCCCACCAGGTCCCTCCCACAAGAGAGGGAACTCAAGATGAGATTTGGGTGGGTACACAGACAAACCGTATCATTCCACCCCACCCCCTCCCAAATCTCATGCCATTACATTTCAAAACCAATTATGCCTTCCCAATAGTACCCCAAAGACCTATCTCATTTCAGCATTAACTCAAAAGTCCACAGTCCAACGTCTCATTTGAGACAAGGCAAGTCCCTTCAGCCTATGAGCCTGTAAAATCAAAAGCAAGTTAGTTGCTTCCTAGATACAATGGGGTTACAGGCATTGTGTAAATACATCCATTTCAAATGGGAGAAATTGGTCAAAAGAGTGGGGCTACAGGCCCCATGCAAGTTTGAAATCCAGCAGGGCAGTCAAATATTAAAGCTCTAAAATGGTCTCCTTTGACTCCATGTCTCACATCCAGGTCATGCTGAGGCAAGAGATGAGTTCCCATGGTCTTGGGCAGCTCCACCCCTGTAGCTTTGTAAGGTACAGTCTCCTTCTCGGCTGCTTTCATGGGCTGGTGTTGAGTGCTGGCGCTTTTCCAGGCGCACGGTGCAAGCTCTCAGTGGATCTACTATTCTGGGGTCTGGAGGATGGTGGCCCTCTTCTCACAGTTCCACTAGGAAATGCCCCAGTAGAGATTCTGTGTGAAGGGCTCCAACCCCACATTTCCCTTCCACACTGCCTTAGCAGGGGTTCTCCATTAGGGCCACACCCCTGCAGCAAAATTTCTGCCAGGGCATCCAGGCATTTCCATACATCTTCTGAAATCTAGGTGGAGGTTCTCAAACCCCAATTCTTGACTTCGTTGCACTCGCAGGCTCAACATCATGTGGAAGCTGCCAAGGCTTGGGGCTTGCACTCTCTGAAGCGACGGCCCATGCTCTATATTGGCCTCTTTCAGCCATGCCTGTAGCAGCTGGGATGCAGGGCACCAGGTCCCTAGGCTGCACACAGCATACAGACCCTGGGCCTGGCCCAAGAAACCATTTTTTCCTCCTAGGCCTTTGAGTCTGTGATGGGAGAGGCTGCCATGAAGTCCTCTGACATGTCCTTGAAACATTTTCCCCATTGTCTTGGGGATTAACATTTGGCTCTTTGTTACTTAAGCAAATTTTTGCAGGCAGCTTGAAATTTCTCCTCAGAAAATGGGATTTTCTTTTCTAGCACATCTTCAGGCTGTAGATTTTCCAAAATTTTATGCTCTGCCTCCCTTGTAAAACTGAATGCCTTTAACAGCACCCAAGTTACCTCTTGAATGTTTTGCTGCTTAGAAATTTCTTCTGGAAGATACCCTAAATCATCTCTCTCAAGTTTAAAGTTTCAGAAATATCTAGTGTAGGGGCAAAATGCCGCCAGTCTCATTGCTATAACATAACAAGAGTCACCTTTGCTCCAGTTCCCAACAAGTTCGTCATCTCCATCTGAGATAAGCTCAGCCTAGATTTCATTGCCAATATCATTATCGACATTTTGGTGAAAGCCATTTCACAAGTCTCTAGAGAGTTCCACAGTTTCTCACATTTTCCTGTCTTCTTCTGAGCCCTCCAAACTGTTCCAATCTCTGCCTGTTATGCAGTTCCGAAGTCCCTTCCACATTTTTGGGTATCTTTTCAGCAGCGACCCACTCTATTGGTACCAATTTACTGTATTAGTCTGTTCTCACGCTGCTGATAAAGACATACCAAAGACTGGGTAATTTACTAAAGAAAGAGGTTTAATAGACTTACAGTTCCACATGGATTGGGAGGCCTCACAATTATGGTGGAAGGCAAGGAGGAGCAAGTCTTATTCTACATGGATAGCAGCAGGTAAAGAGAAAGCTTGTTCAGGGAAACTCCTTCTTATATAACCATCAGATCTTGTGAGACTTATTCATTATCACGAGAACAGCATGGGAAAGACCTGCCTTCATGATTCAATTACCTCCTACAAGTTCTGTCCCACAACATGTGGGCATTCAAGATGAGATTTGGGTGGGGACACAGCCAAACCCTATCAAATATCAATGCTATAACATTATATCAATATTCTGCATTATATTTATGCATTTCAATTTGATACATTAGGTAGTTCCCAGATTTAGGACATTATGAAAAACATTGTTACTAATATAGCATTACTTTTTTTGGTGGTGTGTGGTAGACATGAAGACATCACACCTAGGTCACACTTCAAGGAAGACATCTATGTAGAGCTTCAGAGAATGCAGTCACTGAACAGACTCCAGGTGTCAATTCCTTCAGGACCAGCCTCCTATGCAGAAAGTCACCTTGCCCAAAGCTCTAAAAGTTTGAAAATTTGGTTTGATGTGGTACAAAGATGATGAGCAATTTCATTGCAGAGATCCCCTCTGGGTGACAGAGGCTTTCTTGGTCCTGCAGTTTGTCTAATCCAGCTTGCTTTGTTCCCTTTTCCCTTACTGATGTTGACTCTTAAAAAGTATCTTGTACTCCAAGCTCTGACTCACTTCCTGGAGTGGTCCCAGGAAGGAAGGAATAAGATGGGGTTTGGGAATTGCATCACTCACTGCGCAGGTTGCAATGAAGAACCCATCACTGCTGACAGAGCACACTGCCCCTGGCACAAGTGCCAAGCCAGCTTTTAAACCTTTCAGCCATGGTGAACTGGGAGGGTTTCCCAGTGGGGAAGAATGCAATAGCTGATGTGATATTTGAAGCACTTGAAGCATGAAAAAGCAAAATATCTATAAGAATAAGAGGATTGATGACTATTGCTAAATCTCATTAATGCTAACAATAGCTGAGGTCAACATCCCCCAAAAAACTCAAACTTTATTTTTCTAGTTCCTCAATATGAACCAGGCTTTAGAAATTGATCTCATAACTAAAAATTACTGAATCCCAGGCAGAAGGACTCCAAAATATTATGGCAAATATGTGATATACTGATTCAGTGCTTCTCCAAAGGGACATATGGCCATTTACTTAGAGAGCTATAATTAGAATCCATTGTTCTTTTCCCATATGGCTGCTTGGATAGAGTTAAAAGACCCTGCTAAAGGCATGAAGAAGTTCCATCTGAGAAGGAATACTCTTAAAATTTGGTGTGCCATACTCCAGGGTGAACTGGATCAAAAGAAACAAATCAAGGGATGGAAGTGAGAGTTTGTTGAATCATGTAACTTTTTATAATGCTATATAATCAATAAAAAGAATACCTGGTCAGAAAACTAAGAGATGAAAGCAGAAGGAGTCCCTCTAAGCACCATTCTCAATGACCTGTTGGGGAATTTATGCTTCCCATCCCTGCAGCCCTGGGATATGCAGGGTTAGAGTTTCTTATCCTCAAATGTGGCACCTTTCTACTGGGGACATAAGAAAGTCAGTTGAACTATAAATTATGGTTGCTCCCTAGGCATTTTGAGATCTTTTGTTTTGTTTTATCAACAATCAGAAAATAGAAAATTGAGTTGTAATTTTCAGTGGACTTCTGTTACACCAAAGGGCAAGGAGAAATCCAAGTGTAACCCACATGATCCATTTGAGCCCACTACTATTTCTTTGTCCACCCATGGTTTAAACAAACAGATACAGAGACTTTGGTATAAGAAGGGCATGGAAATCAGGAACTCAAACCCCTCAAGGATGCAGGTCTCACCTCCAGGTAAGCTACTAAGGTCAAGCAGAGCTATTTGCTGATTGAGAGAGATATAGAATGGTTAATGGAAGGAGGAGAAAATGGGTGTCAATTGTGGCCCTGACAATAACTGCTTCAGTTAGTTTCTTTTCTCTTAGTTTTCCCTCAGAAGAGAAAGAAATGCAAGAAGGAGTCCTGGGAAAGCTTTTCCCTGAAAATGTATATGAGAATGTATTTGAGTGCTGCAAGAGATCAACTGCTGTACACAAGAAGACATGCCACACAGCAATCCTTTCAGAGACATTCTTGCTGGGTTCTGGAATCTCTTTTCCTCTCATGCCTTTATCTGTTTATCTATTCCCACATTGATTACGCAGTATGGTATTTGTGTATTAAAATAAGATGTGATTTTTAGTAATGGAATTTCTCCAGGTTTGTTATATCTCTTTAAGATTATCTGGGCTATTTTGAGCCCTTTATATTTGCATATAAATTTTAGAGAAAGTTTATCAATGTATGCACATTAAAACAAACTCTGAGGAAATATTTTCTGAAGTGGTTGTGGGATTGCATGCATTTATAAGCATATTTGGAAGAAATGCTGTCTTCAAATCTATATTTATGTACAGGCCTCACAGACCTATTTATGTATTAATATCTTTCAGGAGTATGTTGTGTTTTTCATCATATAAATTGTTCCTATCTTTTGTTAGATATATTCATAGGTAATTAATTTTTATATGATTGTAAATGGTAAAATTTATCATTTTATTTTCTATAACTTTCTGAGTTTTGCAAATGCAATTCATTTATTTTGCATTGCTCTTATCTTTTCCAATATTATTGTATTAATTGATTAATTCTAATATTTGTTTAGTGTACTAGTCCATTCTCTTGCTGCTATAAAGAAATACCTGAGACTGGGTAATTTATAAAGAAAAGAGTTTTAACTGACTCGCAGTTCCACATGGCTAGGGAGGCCTAAGGAAGCTTACAATCATGAGGGAAAGCACCTCTTCACAGGGCAGTAGGCGAGAGAATGAGTGCAAAAAGGAGAATTGCCAGATGCTTATAAAACCATCAGATCTTATGAAACTCACTCATTATCACAAGAACAGCATAGGGGAACCTGACCTCTTGATTCAGTTACCTCACCTGGTCCTGCCTTTGAAATGTGGGGATTACAATTCAAGGTGAGTTTTGGGTGGAAACACAGAGCTGAACCACAGCACAGAGAATCTTTTGGATTATTTTTATTCATATTATTTTGAATGAGGAAACACCTTCACGATGTTTCTGAATATATTATACATTGAATTTTTTGGGTTTTTTTGTGTTGTGCTATCTTAGATCACTGGCACAAAATTGAACAGAAGTAGTGAATGTGGGTATCAGTGTATTTGTAATGATAATTCATGATAGTTTTCTGTATGGATGCATTAAAAAGGACATTTTATTTTTTTAAAATTTGCTTTGCTTTTAAAAGTTAATATTTGTTAAATTTCATCAAATATTTGAATACATCTATAAAGACAGTCATACATATTTAATTTCTTATGTGATCATGCAGAAAGATTAACATTAATTCTACATTGTCTTTGCATTCGTGATTTATAAAACAGACATCTGTAATTTAATACTAATCTTATTTGTTTCTGGATTTTTATTTACAAATGTTTCATGTAATTTGTTTTGATGTGTATACATATACTCTATGTTCTTGTTGGATTTTGTTATCATGGTTCTGCTGGCTTCACAAAAATACTTTTTAAATACTTTCCCTGTTTCTTCACTTTAGAAGAATATGTGTGAAGTTGCTGTTATTTTGGCAATAGCTATTAGGAAAAAATCACTGATAAGGTAATCTGTTTGTGGGAATGTTTTGGAGAAAGATATTAATAATAGGTTCAACTTCTTTAACTGGCATAATATAAGGTACAAGTAATTTTAAGTTGCCACACAATAAAAAGAACACAGAACATACGCAAGATGCAGACTGTGACAGCATCATTGGATCAGCCTCCTAAACTCTGGCTTCACTGAGCATGTCATTCCTCTAGACTCAGTGGCTCATGCCTGTAATCCCAGCATTTTGGGAAGCTTAGGCGGGCAGATCGCTCGAGCCCCGCAGTTTGAGATGAGCCTGGGCAACATGGTTAAATCTTGTTTCTACTAGAATAAAAGAATAAATAAATAAATACACAAAAGTTAGCCAGGCATGCTGGCATGCACATGTAGTCTCAGCTACTCGGAAGGCTGAGGATGGCTTGAGTTCAGGAGGTGGAAGTTGTAGTGAGCCAATATTGCACCACTTCACTCTACTCTTGGCGAAAGAGATAGACCTTGTCTCAAAAAAAAAAACAACTAATTTTTCAGTTCTCTTGCTTATCAGATACCAAGAGTTAGAATTGAGAATATTTATAGGATTTTAAAATGAAAATGTGATATAGTTAGTGAGTTGAATGATATCTTCTCAACATATATGGTCACCTGAAACCTTTTATTTAGAATAAGAGTGTTTGCAGATGAAATGAAGGATCTGAAGAAGAGTTCATCCAAGATTTAGCCAGACCCTAAATCTAATGAGTTTCCTCATAAGGACAGAAAAGAAGACACAAAGATAGACAGAGAACAAGTGAATGTGAAGATGGAGGCAGGAATTGTAGCAACGTGTCTCAGCCAGGGAATGCTACAGATTCCAGGAAACTACCAGAAACTAGGAAAGAGGCATGCACAGACTCTCCCTCAAAGCCACCAGGAGAAAGTCATTCTTATTTCAGGAGGCATCTGACCTCCTGAACTGGGAGATAATGAATTTCTATTGTCTTAAACCACAAAGCTTTTGGTAATTTGCTATAGTGGCCCTAGGAAACTAAAATATGACCCTTCATGTATAGATGATAAAAGACAAAGTAACTTTAAGGTTCTACTATATTGAAAAATGTGATTAGTTCTTTTCCACCCAGTAGTCTCTTGACAAATCCCTGAAGGCATTATATCTGTTCTTTCCTTCCACAGAGAAACTATTTGCTTTGGAGGAGAGTTTGTTTTCTCAAAAAGGAAAATAATCCATTGAACATGTAAGCCTCTGATCCTTTTTTTTAATCCACAGGAGAATCAGAAGATGATTTTGCCATGACTAACACCCTGCCGATGACAGAAACAAATAACTCTTAAATTCTTATATCCTGTCTTTAAACAATTGAAATGCCTTTGACAATTGACCTACACTGCAAAGTATGTTTTCCACTCTTGATTGTATTGATCAGTAAATAAAGCCAGAGCCAAACTCTGTGCCTTTTTCTTGCTTAGAAAACCTCAATATAATCCTTGACCATTTGGAAAATAAAATAATGGTGAGGATTGAAATGATTTTTAATAGGTAATTCACCAGTTTTAAAATTTTCATTTTACAGAATAGTCTTGGCTTCAGGCACATAGATAACTTGTTTGATTATTCAAGTTGCATATTGTAATTAGTTATTTTTGTTTAAATGAACCTGGTAAATTCTGTTTAATTATTTTTTTAAAAGATGGCCTGGAATTAAATCTTCTCTGTTTCAGAATACCTTCTCTTTATTATCTCAGAGTAGCATTAGAGCATTTGATCATTGTGACTGTTTGTAATGCATAAATGATGAGTCCGGTGACGGCTTGTACACTTTTATTAACCGAAATTACATGCACCCCATAGAAAAACCAATACTTGAAACTAATGAAGTCTCTGATGTTTTGAATATTTTTTGTACAATCAAGTGCATGTGTATGTTCATTTTGCTAGTCCAACGGGTATCTGAACCTCAAAAGGCAAAGAATCCCATTAATACTAGATGCAATTTGAGAACAGAAGCATAATCTTTGTTACTGAGATTTCAGGTGGAGCATCCCACAGCATCAGACTTTGTTAAGATCAAATAAGAGACTACATTCCAAGACAATTGAGAGCATATATCCTAGAGGCAGAAAATTGTTAACCTACATAGATACACCCTATCATCATCTCTACCACTACTATGATAGTAATATTCTGGAATTCTGGAATTCTGCTGATGGGAAGTACTTAAATCTTAAGTTTACCTGGTGTATCATGGTACATGCACTTTGCGTCAATCTTTAAATCTTCTATTTTTCAAATGGTCGTAGTTCTGAAATGGGAATCCTGTAACCTGTTAGGTAAATGTGATAGTTACTAACTTGAACAACTAGTAAATGTGGAGCGCGCAAATATCAAAATAAAAATTGGTAACACAAATTCTATAATGTCAAAGAGAATCAGAGAAGAAATAGGACACAAATATTTCTTATGTCCCTGAGAGCAAAATGCTCTCATGCATCACAAATATTTGAAGTACGCTATCCACCACTAATATTGAAGTACCAATGTGAGGTAAAATTTGTGGTTTGAGAAAAAGCAAACAAAAACAAATGGAACAATCTTTTGATGTATATGCACGTGTCTTGGTCTATTTCATGCTATCATAATCGAACACTGAAGACTGAGTAATTTAGAATAAACAGACATTTATTGGTTTACAGTTCTGGAGGCTGGAGTCTATTATCCTGATGCTGGCACCTGTGAGGGCCTTTTTGCTGCATCATCAAATGGCAGAAGGTGAAAAGGCTAGAAGCGCAAGAGGGGGCTGAATTTCTCCATTTATAATGGCACAAATCCACCCATGACGGTGGAGCCTTCATGGCCTATCACGTTTTAAAGGTCTCACCTCTTAATACTGTTAAATGGTGATTAAATTTCAAAATGAATTTTGAAGGAGACAAACTTTCAAACCATAGCAGCGTGCCCTTACAAATAAAAATTGCACGTGTTTTCATTTAGTATTTATAAGGCCCTCACTCTATATCCTACAGCCGCCTTTTCTATACATGGCAATGTGAAGGTAGGGGTGTGGAAGGAAATAATTGGTTGTCTATGAAGCTTGAAAGGTTTAGAAAAATACTTATCAAGCCAAGAAATAATACAGTGGCATACAAAATAATAATTAAAAATTCAAAGATTACACAAGGACAACCACCACCACAAACATGTAATACCTGTAAGCTATGCCTTTTTTTTTTTTACTTTGCTAATTGGAAATCAGATATAGTTTATGCAACGAACCAAGTATTCAAACACAATATGAGAGAAAATCTAAAATGTTCTTAATTGTTGAAGTTGTCCATATTTTACAAATTCAACATGGTTATAGTTTCTGAAAAGTACCTAGGGCTCTAAGTAATAAGCATTGCCTAGTATTCAGAGTAATATACATGCACTAGACTCAAGAGTCTAGCATAGCTCCTGTACATAGCATTTCTTCCCTTAAAAGAAAGAGTTACCAAGCTGTATGAAAATCATGTGATCCTTTAACTTCTCTCTGCATTTAAGTAATTAAGATCGATTTGAGAGTGAGCATGGTGACACTCTCATTGTGGCTATTCATTGGATATTGCTAGAGCAAAGCCTGTAAGGCATCTTTAAGGACAAGGAGCTCCACATAGGCAGATGACCTATTTTTATAGGACATTCTTTTACGTTCTAAAGTCAAGAGAAATATTTTAAGAAATTGACATTTTGTTTCTCTCTTGAGCACTTATGTTCAATGAAATAAACTACTGTTTGTTTCTATTGCTTACCATCTTCCTATGAGTTCTTGCGTGAAAAACAGCTGATATTTGCCTAGTTTGAAATTTTAATCGTGAATATAATTGTTTTCCTACTCTGCTAATTCTAACTAAATTGTGATGAGTCAAAATCATTTTAAAGAGAGAATATGGGGGTTGCATTATTTTTCGTAGAAAATAAATCCACAGAGGACATGTAAATCCCATGAATTCCAGCTTGTTATGAATTGCTTACAAAGTGGAAAGACTGTAGAGTAACTAATAGTTAGCAATGATTACAAATTTCAGATGGTTTATGCTAATTTCCATTATTTATATAAATACCTCTATCTGGGCACATGTACAATTGGAATCCTTGTTAGCCATAATTATTTGCTGCAATTCATAGGTGGGTGTTCACATCAAGTGTTTTTTTTCCTGCTTCAGTGAACTTCCTCAGAGCTTATTTATGTGATTAAAAATAATCTGGTTCTGAGTTCTCTTGAAATGGTTTATTGTTTTTCTCTCCAATGTAAGTGCAATGTACAACCATCAGCCGTCCCTAAGAAACTAAAATTGTTTGATTTTTTTATGTGCTAAGAGAGGACACTCCTCAGCCCTTGGGTGGTCGACGGGACTGGGCGCCGTGGAGCAGGGGGTGGCGCTCGCCGGGGCGGCTCCGGCAGCACAGAAGCCCATGGAGGGGGTGGGACGCTCAGGCATGGCGGGCTGCAGGTCCCGAACCCTGCCCCGCGGGAAGGCAGCTAAGGCCTGGCGAGAAATCGAGTGCAGCGCCGGTGGGCTGGCACTGCTGGGGGACCCAGTACACCCTCCGCAGCCACTGGCCCGGGTGCTAAGCCCCTCATTGCCCGGGGCCAGCAGGGCCAGCCGGCCGCTCCGAGTGCGGGGCCCACCAAGCCCACGCCCACCCGGAACTCCAGCTGGCCCGCAAGCGCCGGGCGCAGCCCCGGTTCCCGCTCGCGCCTCTCCCTCCACACCTCCCTGCAAGCTGAGGGAGCCGGCTCTGGCCTTGGCCAGCCCAGAAAGGGGCTCCCATAGTGCAGCGGTGGGCTGAAGGGCTCCTCAAGTGCCGCCAAAGTGGGAGCCCAGGCAGAGGAGGCGCCGAGCGAGGGCTGTGAGGACTGCCAGCACGCTGTCACCACTCACCGTGAGCCCGCACTCCTCAGCCCTTGGGTGGTCGATGGGACTGGGCATCGTGGAGCAGGGGGCGGCGCTCGTCGGGGAGGCTCGGGCCGCACAGGAGCCCACGGCGGGGGCGGGGGGAAGCTCAGGCATGGCGGGCTGCAGGTCCCAAGCCCTGCCCCGCGGGGAGGCAGCTAAGGCCCCGCGAGAACTCGAGCACAGCAGCTGCTGGACCAGGTGCTAAGCCCTTCACTGCCCAGGGCAGGCGGGGCCAGCAGGCCGCTCTGAGTGCCGGGCCCGCCGAGTCCACGCCCACCCGGAACTCACGCTGGCCCGGAAGCGCCGCGCGCAGCCCTGGTTCCCGCCTGCGCCTCTCCCTCCACACCGCCTTGCAAGCTGAGGGAGCCGGCTCCGGCCTCTGCCAGCCCAGGAAGGGGCTCCCACAGTGCAGCGGCGGGCTGAAGGACTCCTCAAGTGCCACCAAAGTGGGAGCCCAGGCAGAGGAGGCGCCGAGAGCGAGCGAGGGCTGCCTGCCAGCACGCTGTCACGTCTCAGCAATAGACTGCTCTTGAGGTAAGCAGTAAGAATAAAAAATGAAATCAAGTCATTTTGCTTAGTGTACTACAACAATAGAGAATATTTTCTTTTTAATACAAAGGTTATTTAATTTTCCAGAGTAACTCTATTGCATCCAGTGGTGTAATTCTCAATTCATAAGGATGAAGAGAAGTTACCTGTGACCTATTACGTAATTTATAAACCTCTTCTTACAGAGAATGATGTGTCTTAGAGGAATAAAAGTGAGGCATTTTATTTTCTTCAAAATTAAATATTAACAATTGTCTTATACTGATCATGGGAAAAGTAAGCTGCTACCACCAATTCCAATCTGTATGAGGTACTTTTATTTAAGAATTATAACTAATGATTCAAGAACTAACTTAAGTCCTATTTTATTTACAATGATTCCTGAATGTAAGAACACCTACTGCATTTGCTCTGTATCCATGTAGGACCTAATTAGAAAGCTGGGCTCCATATAGAAAAACCAATGAATATTTTTTGATTGATAACTAGCCAAAATGACAGAGTTTTCCGTCTGTAAGCATACAAACATGCATTTTATTTTGAACTTTCATTTTGTTATAATTCTTTATGATTTTATCGGCAAAACCAACAAAATAATACATTGTTCTTAAAGGAACACATGCTAAAACAGAGGTACATTATACATGTTTACCAAAAGTACTGTAGGGTTGTTTTTACATTGAAAAATGCATTTGTCTGTATCCTTTGGAAAATCAAACTGATCTAATATAATTTCATTAAGTCTTTAAACAAAAAATACTTTAGAAATGTATGCAACTAACAAAGGGAAGAACATTTTATGCTCATGGATAGGAAGAATCAATATCATGAAAATGGCCATATTGCCCAAGGTAATTTATAGATTCAATGCCATCCCCATCAAGCTACTGATGACTTTTTTCACAGAATGGGAAAAAACTACTTTAAAGTTCAAAAAAGAGCCCACATTGCCAAGACAATCCTAAGCCAAAAGAGCAAAGCTGGAGGCATCACGCTACCTGACTTCAAACTATACTGCAAGGCTACAGTAAGCAAAACACAGATATAGACCAATGGAACAGAACAGAGCCCTCAGAAATAATACCACACATCTACAACCATCTGATCTTTGACAAACCTGACAAAAACAAGAAATGGGGAAACGATTCCCTATTTAATAAATGGTGCTTGGAAAACTGCCTAGCCATATGTAGAAAGCTGAAACTGGATCCCTTCCTTACATCTTATACAAAAATTAATTCAAGATGGATTAAAGACTTAAATGTTAGAACTAAAACCATAAAAACCCTAGAAGAAAACCTAGGCAATACCATTCAGGACATAGGCTTGGGCAAGGACTTCATGTCTAAAACACCAAAAGCAATGGCAACAGAAGCCAAAATTGACAAATGGGATCTAATTAAACTAAAGAGCTTCTGCATAGCAAAAGAAACTACCATCAGAATGAACAGGCAACCTACAGAATGGGAGAAAATTTTGGCAATCTGTCCATCTGACAAAAGGCTAATATCCAGAATCTACGAAGAACTTAAACAAATTTACAAGAAAAAGTCAACCCCATTAAAAAGTGGGCAAAGTATATGAACAGACACTTCTCAAAAGAATACATTTATGCAGCCAACAGACACATGAAAAAAATGCTCATCATCACTGGCCATCAGAGAAATGCAAATCAAAACCACAATGAGGTACCATCTCATGCCAGTTAGAATGGTGATCATTAAAAAGTCAGGAAACAACAGGTGCTGGAGAGGATGTGGAGAAATAGGAACACTTTTACACTGTTGGTGGGACTGTAAACTAGTTCAACCCTTGTGGAAGGCAGTGTGGCGATTCCTCAAGGATCTAGAACTAGAAATACCATTTGACCCAGCCGTCCCATTACTGAGTATATACCCAAACTATTACAAATCATGCTGCTATAAAGAAACATGCACAGGTATGTTTATTGCGGCACTATTCACAATAGCAAAGACTTGGAACCAATCCAAATGTCCATCAATGATAGACTGGATTAGGAAAATGTGGCACATATACACCATGGAATACTATGCAGCCATAAAAAAGGATGAGTTCATGTCCTTTGTAGGGGACATGGATGAAGCTGGAAACCATCATTCTGAGCAAACTATAGCAAGGACAGAAAACCAAACACCACATGTTCTCACTCATAGGTGGGAGTTGAACAATGAGAACACTTGGACACAGGGTGGGGAACATCACACACTGGGGCCTGTCATGGGGTGGGAGGAGGGGGGAGGGATAGCATTAGGAAAAATACCTAATGTAAATGATGAGTTGATGGGTGTAGCACACCAACATGGCACATGTATACATATGTAACAAACCTGCACATTGGGCATATGTACCCTAGAACTTAAACTATAATTTAAAAAAAAAGAAATGTATGCAACTTCAAATAAAACAAGAACATTTAATTCTGAGTTCATGTAACGATGTTAATGCTCAATGTTTTCACATTTTAGTGAATAAAAATTTTCCTTCAAAACTGTAAAACAATTTAAATTTACATACACCTCTAACATTTGTGAGGCTCAGGGAATGAGTGTAAGTGAAGACATCTACACTATATGCCAAAAATTTAAGGTTATAAATCAAGCTAAGAAACAATTAAATAAAATATGCTTGTCCTCCTACCTTAACAAATGAGACTTCAGTGTTGAAATTGAAAAATGTATGTAAAGTTATCTGTGTATATTACTTCTAGACAACTATCAAAAATAATTGAATGTAAATATTAATGTCCATAGTTGTACTGATAGCCAAGAATGTGGTGAAGGATGTAATTTATAAGTCATTTTATATTTATAGTAAGCATAATTTTTCTTTGCCTTTCCACATAAGCAATAATTAGGTTATTAAATCTAGGCTGTTTTCACATGTTTTCTTCTATCTATATAGCACATATATAAGTGCTTAGATTACAATCGTATTAGAGGTGTACAATATTTTCCCAAAAAATATAAATGGAATGAAATATTTTTAAAAATATAAGAAACAATGTACGTTATTATAAAAGTCAATATTCTTATAAAATACCTAAATTAATATTAAAATGTAATAAAATAAAACTAATTTTAACCATTTTAACTAAATATCATTGAATACTTTTGTAAAATAAAACTACAATTTCACCCCCAAATGTCTCTCTAATTTTCAACATAAGTTATTAGCATCAAGCTTTATGCATTTTACATATAAAATTATATATACATAGATTTCAGAGAGTAATAAATTGTTGAAAAGTATGTATGTTCCTTACTCCAATTCTTACACATGATGCATTAATTTTTGAATAGTGCTACAACTAAAATTATAGTAATAAAGAGATTCAAGATACCCATGTTAGCATTTTTAGATGATACTACTTAAGGAAATATATATTTCATTGGTGCAATTTCAGTGGAAGGAAATGACAATTATTATTATTTTTTTCTTCCTTCCTAATTGCTTCTGCCACTAATAGCCTCCTCACACTTTGAATCAATATCCATCTCTAAAGTCTATCGGGGCACAAACCACACAAATTCACAGAATCTAGACGAGATCACAATTTTTTTTTTGTTTTGAAGACACAGGACTTCAAGGACATGTAGGAGGAGAAAAAAAAATACTGTGGGGCTGGGACAGTGTGAAACATGACTGTTTTTCCTTTCTTTCTTTCTTTTTTTTTTTGAGACAGAGTCTTGCTCTGTTGCCCAGGCTGGAGTGCAGTGGTGTGATCTTGGCTCACTGCAACCTCCGCCTCTCGGATTCAAGCGATACTCCTGCCTAAGCCTCCCAAGTAGCTGGGACTACAGGTGCGTGCCACCACACCTGGCTAATTTTTTGTTTTTTATATATTTAGTGGAGACGGGAGTTTCACCATGTTAGCCAGGATGATCTCGATCTTCTGACCTCGTGATCCGCCCACCTCAGCCTCCCGTAGTGCTGGGATTACAGGCGTGAGCCACGGCGCCTGGCCATGACATGTGTTTTTAGGGCTAAAGTCACTCTGCGTCAGTGTTGTATGTTAGACACCTAGTGAGAGACTATGCTTGATAAATGCATTTTTTTGAGTTTGTGATATATTGAACCCTTGAAATCATGAAACCCAAGGCAGAGGTACCTCTTGCATAGGTTTAAGTAAGTATTAATTACACGCATGTTATTGAGCAAACGTTGAACGGAGGGACACTGGATTTTTACTCAGGTTTCTATAGGTGATTAAGATTCACTAACAAGGTAAACAAAGTATAAAGATATATTAGAAATTTTCTTAGTGTCTTCAAAACTAGCTTTAATGGGATAAGAACTCACTCCAGAAAACATAGCATTGGCAAGTCAAGTTTCAAAAATATGACACTAAAAACATTCAAGCTGAGATCCAAATAAGAAATGCAATCTCATTTACAATAACCACAACTAGAATAAAATACCTAAGAATACAACTAACCAACGGGGTGAAATGTCTCTATGAGGAGAATTACACACAGCACAACTGAAGGAAATAACAGGTGACACAAATAAATTGAAAAACATACCATGCTTATGGATTGGAAGAATCAACGTCATTAAAATGGCCATATTGCCCAAAGCATTTTAAAGATTCAGTGCTATTCCTATGAAACTACCAATGCCATTTTTTACAGAATTAGAGAAACAATTCTAAAATTCACAAAGAATTGAATACCCCAAAATGAAAACATGAGTACAAGGAAATTTTCTGTGTGGAACAGTGGCATCACCAGCAGTAGGAATTTGAGACCCATCTCAATCTTGGTCATGAAATCAACCAGAACATGCCAATATCAAGGGAAATGTTCTATTCTTAGAAATGTTTCCACTGACCTGTTTGCAAATATCTTCTTTTTTTTCACAAATATGTTTATTGCAGCATTATATATATGTAATAGTATAAAAATGAAAAAGTATAAATATGTATCCTATATGGGTGACATAATATTTTCCTCTACAGATTTCCATACAGAGGTTGCAAACCAAAAAATGTAACTTGTATAATAAAATTTTTAATCTTTGGAAGTACCTAGATGTTCCCTTGGAAGATTCCATGCCCATCTGACAAATAATTAAACAGTTTAATTTTTATCAATTGTTTAAATTTTTATTTTATTTATACTTGCAACACTATTTGAGGATGGTGGCAATAGCAGTAGAAGTAACAGCTCTGTTTTCAATTCTAAGTGGCTTTATTCTACATTGTTTTCTAAAACATTCTTTCATCTACTAAATCATGAACATATTCTCATGTAAATACACACATACAAACACCGTTTCCTCCTACATATTAATATCCCTTTTCACTCTCTATTCTATCATGTATTTGTGTGTGTGTGTCTGTGTGTGTTGGTATGGGTGTAATTTTCAGTATCCAAATGTTTTACATATGTATACCTTCTGATGTGTGCTTTTGATGGATTGGGGGTGTTAAGTTGTGTTTTTATTCTCTTTTTGGAGTCTTTCTGTTTTTAGAATGCCGGCTTTTTACTCCATATTCTTTTATTTGTTTTATTAGTAAATTAGTACATTTGTGCTGGTACCTAGTGAGAAGAATCTCTTGAATGCATTTAGTTTAATTTTATCTTTGGAATAACATGGATTTCCCTTTTGCAGCTTAATAAATAACTTGAATTATGAAGAATGTTCTTTTACACATACTAGATGCAACTACTGCTCCATGAGTGGTTTTACAGAAGCATTTCATTATGTCTGCAAACATCTTTACAATTATTGAGACACCATCTCCCAAAAAGCGCTCTTCTGCCTTTGAGTGTAAGAAGATTGGTAGTTTTGCACACTTTGCACCATATTTTTTATGTATATGCCTTTTGTTTGGGGGGGATGATACCATTTTTATGTGACTCTTAATTAGATACATTATATGTAGAAAATTGTGTGTATATTGCTGGCCACTTTGTGTTTCTGACAAACCATAGTAACTTGGAATTGAATCATGAAAGTTTTCAGAAGTCTCTAAGTTTTTAACCTGAAAAATCTGTATGTAATTCTCTCAACCATAAGCTTCCAAAAAATTTAGGTTGTGTTATCTTCTAAATTTATGAAAGCTTGTTCTTCAGTAACATTTTTGTCTATGTTATTATCCATTACTCTTTATTTTTCTCGTTTTAGTTTGTGAGTAGAACAGCCGTGACATTTATTTTCAATCCTAGTGTGAAATTCCTCGGGCCTCTCAATTAGTACTAACTAAAAATGTGTTTTACTTATCCTCTCAAAAGTTACAGTAATGGCTAAGAAGCTAAACCAACCCATGTTCTCCTTGGAGTTTGATGCTAAACCAGCAAAGCTGATATTTTCTTGAACCCCCCTTTTTTTGACACTATTGACTATTCAAGACCATTCCAGTGACCAAGATTTCTTGTTTGTTTTTAGATGACATTTTTATAGGTATGTTTAAAATGAGAATGTAAAATGTGTAGATGGAAGATTCTCTCTTCCTCTCGTTGATTAGCCTTCACTTTCTTGTAAATATTCTTTTTCTCAAAAGCCTGTGGGAAATCACAGGAGATATTTTTTATTGCACATGTCACATGTGCATGGTTTAACTCACAAATGTTTGAGGCATATTATGACAGCAAAGTTATATGGCAGAGGACAAGCAAGTATATACAAAAATTGAGAAAGTAAGGATTTTTAACATGCCACATTGTGAAAATTTACGTATAGGAGGCTAGCGATGACCAGTGATACACTCCAATAGGTAGATTTCAAATTTATGAGACTATTTTGAACACATTGTTCCAAGGTTGTTCATAAGTACAGCACATTTGTTCTTCTGGAAGGTAAATCTTTTGTTATTTAATTCATGGATTAGAAAAATTGTTTGAAAATTCTATTACTTTTTAAAATTAAAAAATCAATCATAATTTTATATTCCAATCCTATCTGAAATTGAGTTAGATCATTTCTGTATTGGTTGCTTTTTATGCATCTATTTTTTAAAGTATTTTGGAGGCAATGACCTTAACAACAGATTCTAGATTACTTTGCCATTGTTTTCCAATTCTCAAATCCTAATCAGTCAATTGAGAGCAGGAGTCATACTTCATCTGCATTTGTAACTTGAACATATAACAAAATGGCCTATAAATATAGAATAGGTAAAAAGCAAGTAAGACAAGCAATACTTTTGCTTAATTAGAAATGTTTTTTAAAAACTTTAAGATATCCTGGAATGGTTCAAATACTGATTCACTAATATATTGCAATCTAGAAAGATAAAACTCCTAGTGTGTTTATTCTGTTTCAGTTACTAAGACACATGGTAAAGAAATTAGTTTTAGTAAATTATCTTTTACAGGGGATATTAAGATTGTGTGATTATAGAGTGTTTTTTTTAAGAAGTACCAAATATAACTAAACTTTAAATATTTAATCATATTTTGTTCAATATCAATGTAAAATTTATTTAAATCTTACATTAAAGTTAAAAGCCATGTTAAATAAAATATTATTTATGAAAAACAATTATAATATACTATGAAACATTTGCTTTTAATTCAGCTATGCTAATTATTTTTTCCATTTTAAAATAAATATAAATCATTGTCATCATAAAATAGTTTTCAGCCAGGTGTGGTGGCTCACACCTGTTATCCCAGCACTTTGGGAGGCAGAGGTGAACAGATGACTTGAGATCAGGAGTTGGAGATCAGTCTGGTTAACATGATGAAACCCCATCTCTACTAGCAATACAAATATTAGCCAGGTGCAGTAGCACACCTCTGTAGTCCCAGTTACTCGGGAGGCTGGGGTGGGAGGATCACTTGGGCCTGGGAGGCAGAGGTTGCAGTGAGCTAAGTAAGATTGCACCACTATACTCCAGCCTGGCTGACATAGGAGACATTGTCTAAAAAAAAAAAAATTTTTCTCTTAAAAGTTTTATATTATATATAATTAACATAACTATTTTTTATATTTATGGGATACAGTGTGATGTTTCTCTTTTTTTTCATTTTTACTTTTTGTGGGGACATAGTTGATGTATATATGTATGGGGCACATGAGATGTTTTTATATAGGCATGCAATGCACAATAATTACATTATGGAAAATGAGGTAACCATCCCATCAAGTATGTATCTTTTGTCTTACAAGTAACCCAATTATACTCTTCCAGTTATTTTTTAAATGTACAATTAAATGATTGTTGACTATAGTCACCCTGTTGTGCTATTAAATATACATTCTTTCTAACAATATTTTTTTGTAGCCATTAACCATCACCACCTTCCCACCACCCCACACACTACCTTTCCCAGATTCTGGTAACCATCGTTCTACTCTCTATATCCATGAGTTCAATTGTTTGGAATTTTAAATTTCACAAATAAGTAAGAACGTACTATTTCTGTCCTTCTGTGCCTGGCTTATTTTACTTAACATAATGACTTTTTGTCATATCCACACTGTTGCAAATGACAGGATCTCATTAATTTTATGGCTGAATAGTACTCCACCGTGTGTAAGTACCACATTTTCTTTATCCATTCATCTGCTGATGGACACTCAGGTTGCTTCCAAATCTTAGCTATTGTAAACAATGCTGCAACAAACATAGGAGTGAAGATATCCCTTCAACATATGGATTTTCTTTCTTTTGGCTTATATGCTGAGCAGTGGGATTGCTGGATCATATGATAGCTCTATTTTTATTGTTTTGAAGAACCTCCAGACTATTCTCCATAGTGATTATACTAATTTACATTCCCACCAGCAGTGTACAAGGGTTCCTTTTCTCCACATACTCACCAACATTTGTGTTATTACCTGTCTTTTGGATATAGGCCATTTTAACTGGGGTGAGATAATATCTCATTGTAGTTTTGATTTGCATTTTTCTGATGATCAGTGATGTTGATCACCTTTTCATATGCCTGTTTGCCATTTGTATGTCTTTTAATAAATGTCTATTCAAATATTTTGCTTATTTTTAAATCAGATTTTTAGATTTTTTTTCTACTCAGTTGTTTGAGCTCCTAATATGTTCTAGTTAAGAATCCTTTGTCAGATGAGTAGGTTGCAAATATTTTATACCATTCTGTGAGTTGTCTTTTTACTTTGTTAACTGCTTTGTTTGCTATGCAGAAGCTTTTGTACTTGATGTAATCTCACTTGTCCATTTTTGCTTTGGTTCCTGTACTTGTGGGGTATTACTCAGGGCATTTTTGTCCAGATTAATGTCCTAGAGATTTTCCCCAATGTTTTCTTCTTGCAGTTGTATAGTTTGAGGTCTTAGATTCATTTTGATTTGAGGGTTTTTTTATATTGCAAAAGATTCTGTAGGTATGCTGCATTATGGTTTATGCTTTTTTCTTTTGTCTACTCTGTGTATTTTCAAAAATAGCCTGTCTTCAATCTCACTAATTATTTCTTCTGCTTGGTCAATTCTGTTGTTAAAAGACTCTAATTCATTCTTTAGTATGTCTATTGTACTTTTTAGCTTGAGAATTTCTGCTTAATTCTTTTAAATTATTTCAATCTCTTTGTTAAATTTATCTAATAGAATTCTGAATTTTTTCTCTGTTTTACCTTGAATTCCTGTGAGTTTCCTCAAAACAGCTATTTTGAATTCTCTGCCTGAAAGGTCACATATCTCTGTCTCCAGGATTGATCCCTAGTGCCTTTTGTTTTTTTTTTTTTTGACAGAGTCTCGCTCTGTTGCCCAGGCTGGAGTGCAGTGGCGCAATCTTGGCTCACTGCAAGCTTCGCCTCCCAGGTTCACGCCATTCTCCTGCCTTAGTCTCCCGAGTAGCTGGGACTACAGGTGCCTGCCACCATGCCCGGCTAATTTTTTGTATTTTTAGTAGAGACAGGGTTTCGCCATGTAAGCCAGGAAGGTATCGATCTCCTGACCTCGTGATCTGCCCCCTCGGCCTCCCAAAGTGCTGGGATTATAGGCGTGAGTGACTGCGCCCGGCCCCTAGTGCCTTTTTTAGTTCATTTTGTGATATTATGCTTTCCTGGATTGTCTTGAGACTTGTAGATATTCCTATGTGTCTGGACATTGAAGAGTTAGATATTTATTGTAGACTTCGCAGTCTGGTTTTTTACCTGTCCTTCTTGGGAAGAATTTCCAGATATTCTTAAGAACTTGAGTGTTGTAGTCTAAGCTGTATCTTTTTTTATGGGGACCCCAAGTCCAGTAATTCTGTGGTTCTTGCAGACTCCTGGAATCTACCATCATGATAGTCTTTGATAAGATCAAGAAGAATTCTCTGTATTACCAGGCAGAGACTCTTGTTCTCTTCCCTTCCTTTCTCCCAAACAAACACAGTACCACTCTCTGTTCTGAGCTACCTGAAGCTAAGGGTCAAGTGACACAAGTGCCCCTGTGGCCACCACTATTAGGGCTGTGCTGTGTCAGACTCGATGCCAACACAGCACTGGGTGTCACTGAAGGCCTGCTGTAACCACTCCTTGGCTACCACCTATACTCACTCAAGGCCCTGGGCTTCTACAATCAGCAGGTGACAAAGACAGCTGGGCCCGTGTCCTTGCATTCAGGGTGGTGAGTTTCCCCAGAACCTGGGTAGATCCAGAGGTGCTTTTTGGGAGCCAGGAGATAGACTCAAAACCATAGAAGTCTGCTTTTTCAAAGGTACATGGTTGAGCTGGCACTCAAACCACAGGATGCAATCCTTCATACTCTTTATTCCCCTTTCCAAAGGCAGAGGAGCCTCACTTCATGGCCACTGCCACCACAGACCCACAGGGAGTACTGCCAGACTACTGGCAATGCTCCTGTAAGGCCCGTGGGCTCTTCAGTCATCCTGTGGTGAATGCTGCCTGCATGGTCTAGGACTCACTCTTTAGGGAAGTGGTCTCCTCTGTGGCCCAGGGCTGGATCAGAAATGCTGTCAAAGAGTGAAATCCTGGAACTGGGGACCCAATGAGCTTGCTTGGTGTTCTACACCTCTGTGGCTGAGCTGGTACCTGAGGTGCAAATCAAAGTCCCCTTCACTTTTCCTCCACTTTTCGCAAGCACAAAGAGTCTCACCCCATAGTCACTACAGCTGGGAATGTGCTGAGTCTCACCTGAAGTCAGAAAGTCTCAGAGTCTCACTCAAGGCCTTCAACATAGTATCTGGTTATCACCATTCTTCACACAATTAGAAAAAAGCTATTTAAAAATTCATGTGGAACCGAAAAAGGGCCCAAATAGCCCAGGCAGTCTTAAGCAAAAAGAATAAACCTGGGGGCATTATGCTACCAAAGTTCAAACCATACCACATGGCTACAGTAACCAAAACAGCATGGCAATGTTATGAAAACATGCACATAGACTAATGAAACGGAATAAAGAACCCAGAAATAAGACCACCCACCTACATCTGAACTTCAACAAATCTGACAAAAACAATCAATGGGGAAAGAATTCCCTATTCAATAAATGGTGCTGTGATAACTGGTTAGCCACATGCAGAATATTAATACTGGACCCATTATCTTCTTATACTACTCCAAGAAATTATATGAATTAATTTAAAAAATCTCTATGTCATCATTTTTCATAAATATTATTTATTAGGATTATTTTCCCCTGTTGGAGGATTGTGATAGCATTAATACAATTCAATTGTTTGTGATGGATATCTGCATTTTATCTTAATGGCATACCTTATCATAATTTTAATGACATACTTTGTTTTTTAAATTTAATTTGTGTCAATTTTTCATCATTACACATTATGAATGTGCTTATGTTTTTAATCTCTTTTTTCCTCAACTTAATTTCTAAACAAAATCAATTTAGTAAACATAAAACAAATTTATAAAACATTTGAATATAAGCAAAAATGAAAATAACATCACAATTGCTCATTGAAAAAGATTTGTTTAATCTAGAAATAAAAATGATGTGCTAACATTTTTGGGAATATCTATGTCATTATTATCAATGTCTGTATCTTACAGCATCTTGTTTGTACATCTATGTATTAAAGAGCCCAATAATGCCTATATATGTATTAAGTAATCATATTTATGCATATGACAATAATTTGTTTTATGCAAACACACACAAACATATACACACTCAAATAAAATACAACATAAACCACCCTTCAAAATGACAACAACCTGGTTTTCAGTTTGTTTTCAATAATCTTTGAAGAGAAAATATATTGCGATATATCCATGCTTAGTAACTTTTATTTTGAAACCTTTTATTGATAGCTTTTTAGGACATTTTAGAGAACCTGGGGAAGATTTCTTTTCAGTACTTCGGAATCACTCAATAAAAATTAATCAACTGTGATTAAATGATAATGCCATTCTGAGCTTAGTGACTGCAAAATAGATGTGTAATTAATGAGGACAAACTTCTAATAGACATCACAAAGGTAAGCAGCTATAGAAAAAGTCTAGACACCAGGATATTTTAGATTTCCTTCTACCCTCAGTCCTGACACTCAACTTTTTATCCCAATTTCTCTACTCCCCCTTATTTTTTACTCTCTTCTTCCCTTCCCTGTTAGTTTTTTGTCAGTCTCATCCAGCTCAACACCCTTGCTAAATTTTTGAAAAGTCTATTTCAGCTCTTTATTGCCTACATCCCCAACTTAGGATTTCTTCTAATCATGATTTAGATCTCCATTAATCCCCATTTATCTTGATTTCCAATGGGCAGAGAATTTTACCTTTAAATTATTGAGTGTAAACAAATAAATTATATTACTGAGAGATGTTTGGTTGGAGATACATCTGGAATTTTTTTTTCTGAATGTATAAAAGAGAAGAATAGTTTAGAATTATAAACAGAGTTAAGAGTAATTTATTCAATTGAAACAATACTGATACATCAACTTTTATTTACTTTCTGCTGTTATATTTCCAGCTATACATGTTACAAATATAACATACAATTCCTCCCCAGAGTGCTAATAGGGAAATAATATATACATATACAAAGGCAGCTAATAATATTATTGGATTATCCAAATATGTATCAAATTGACTTGTGACTTTAAATGCTATAAAAGTTTAGAATAGGGTAAGAGACTACTATACATTTTTTTCCTTTTCAATCACAGTTAAATTGGAACATATTTTAGATTATCATAATACCACCTAGAGAGGCATAATAAAAATTATTTCAAGCTCTCAGGTTTGATAAATAATTTGTATTTCATCTTCCACAGTTTCTCAGAAACTCTGTCAAATAGTGTTTGAAAATCTTGAAATGTCCTATAATCCTAGTACTTTGGGAGGCCAAGGCAGGAGGATCGCTGGGCTCAGGAGTTCAAGACTAACCTGGGCAACATAGCAAGATCCTGTGTCTACTAAAAATTAAAAAATTTAGTCACACATGATGGTGCACACCTGTTGCCTCACTTACTTGGGAGGCTGAAGTTGGAAGATCGCTTGAGCCCATGAGGTCAAGGCTGCAGTGAGTTCATGTTGTTGAGCTTATTATTAGCCTGCATATACACTCCCATGGCAGCATTTTTCATGAAATTCTTGTGCAAGCGCCATGGTAGCTCAAAACAGAATGGTTCACTATCTTTGGTATAAGTCATCCTGTCCACTGTGAGTCAATGCTTCTCCTGCAGTAGATGCTCTTTGGTGAAAATTAACATGTGTTATAAAGATTCTTATATATTTTGCCAACTCTCATGTGCCCACTCATTCACCATAGCCAAAATTTCCTTTAGATTAAGATCCCTTGGCATTTTTTTCTGGCCTCTCTTCCCATTGTTCCAAATCCTGGGATTAAGTTACTCCATTTACCAGCTGCTATTCTGGATTTCTACGATCTCCATTGTCACTAGGATCTATAATAACATCCCCTACATGAGCTGCAGATAGCTGTCACCTGAAGAGGATAGTTAGGCACTAGTGAGCATGTCTATGCTACCATTGCCTTTTTGGTAACATATTTCTTACTATATTAATTCTATGAATGTCTTCTGGATCCTTTCAAGAAACAGAAGCATCTGTTGCCTTCTCCATTATTGTACACTTAATTTGTTTGAGCATGCTGAATTTTTTATTCTTTCTTCAGAATCCTGCAAAGACATTTTGGTATTTCCAACTTGTTTAATATGGGACATAATTTTTCCCAAGGTTCCAACAGCCAGCCCAGTGGCATGTTAGTATTGCTCCCACTGGTAACACATTTTATCATGGCTAAAGGAAATTTCCCAACGTCAAAGAGCTCTCCATTACTTAACATTAAATTTTACCTCTTGGTCTATTGCCCTCAAGGTCTCCTCTCAAGTATGCTCTCTCAGTTCCCGTAGGTATGCATCTATGAGGTCCTGAAGCTCCCTTGGAGAATAATTCCCTTCTTAGTGTGGTCAGAACATTCCTGATTACTACTTGTTCTAATTAACTAACCCTAGATATTGGTATTAGCTGAGAGCTAAGGTAGGGAAAGTCTTGAGGAGGGCAAATACAGTCTTGTAAGTCATCTGCCCCGGTTGATGCCTCCAAGAAAAGCTTCTTGGTAGTCCAGCTATAATTCTCTAACAAAGGAAGGAGCTCACTCCTATTTGCCCAAATTTTTCAGGAAAATGTGATGTGTTCATTGCTATAGGTTTGACAAAATACAGAGATCCACATCCCAATTTCAGTGTCATACTCTTGTAAAGAAGACTGGCTAAAGATAAAAGTCCACATTTACCTGAAGCTCTTCTACTCATAGAATTAGCTATGATAGGTATGAGGTCTGGTTTTCAACATGATTGCAAACCTGGCTAGTGGAGATGATTGTCTCTTTAAATGTTAATGTGGAAGCCTACTGACTTTTCCAACATGCCTTATAATGGATTATGCTGGCAATATCTTTTTTATGTTTTAATGGAGCTCAGTAACTATTAGCCCATTTCATAGACCTTATAGTGTCAATTTGCCTGTTTTCTCCAGGCCATATCCACTGCAGAAGCCAGTGCATCTCCTTCCCCTCTACTGCACCCTGATTCCCTCAGGCAATCTGTTGGTAATCAGTATGCTACGGTATGCCAGGGGCTTCCAACTATCTATTTATCAACAGCCCCCGTTTATTTGTTGCCATGTTACTGGCAAGCAATATACCTCAGAATCTCATCCTTTTTTTGTTTTCGTTTTTTTTTGAGACGGAGTTTCGCTCTCGTTGCCCAGGCTGGAGTGCAATGGCGCGATCTCGGCTCACCGCAACCTCCGCCCCGTGGGTTCGAGCAATTCTCCTGCCTCAGCCTCTCAAGTAGCTGGGATTACAGTCATGCACCACCACGCCCAGCTCATTTTGTATTTTTTTTAGTAGAGTCGGGCTTTCTCCATGTCGATCAGGCTAGTCCCGAACTCCCGACCTCAGGTGATCCGCCCACCTTGGCCTCACAAAGTGCTGGGATTACAGGCGTGAGCCACCACGCCCGGCAGAATCTCAATCTTAATTCTTACAAGATATGAGTTGTCTAATGAGACACCTGCAAAAGAGTTATAAATTAAAAATTCATGTTCAGGAGATTAATTAACTGCTCCCAGGAGATACTGGTAAAGTCCTGAGGAAGGGAGGCCAGGGGAGGAGTGGAAGCCGAGCAAGGATGAAAGTTCAGGCAAACACCCACAGAAGCTTCAGCTCGACTACATGAAGGAAGTCTGGCATCAAAATTACATTCAGAATTATAATGACACAAGGCATTCTCTAATGTGCAATGTTCATAAAATTATATGCCTCCTTAAATATAAATATTACTATTTATTTTATATTACATGCAATTTGATATTTTAAATTGCATGACAATATGAGTCTTTTCATAAATGACACAATCTAATAGTATTCAATAATTATATTTTAAAATATATTAAGCATTTTTCACATTGTGCTTATTTTTTCTTTTAAAATAAAATCATTTTTTACAACACCTCTTTGCTTTGAGGATTTCTTTATTGTTCTTTTTAAGGTGCAACAATTTATTATTAGAAGAGTGATACATTTATAGAAAATGGGTCTATTTAATCCAAGGATCACTAGTTCCCCTTTAAATATCACATTATATGCACATGGACAGAGCTAAAGAAAGATGGAATAAACAATGTTAGAGTTAACTTGTAGTTACATTTCATTCAAAATGCATTATTTCTGAATGTATGGATTTCCCTTCTTTTCACGTCTCTAACACTTCCTTACTTTTATAAGATGTTTTCAAAACAGCCTCAGAAAAATAAGAGACAGTTGTACAAAGATTTTTTTAAAAAAAAAAAAACCCTCAATTTATGTTATTGTGCATTGAGACTAAATGAAGTGATATTTCAAGGACCAATTACTCGCCTTAATAACAACCAAGTTTTATTTACTGTTAAAGCAAAACAAAACACAAAAACACTTAGCTCATATACTTCATGGCTACTATGATAAAAGACAATAAGGCATATGGTTCCATCTAAATCTGGAAGTTGTATACTTTCCATAGAAACTTATATAAAATAATGCAATAAATTAATAAGGAAAGTAACCTATTAGTAATTTGGAAAATAAGTAAAATTTGGGATTTATTATTATTATTATTTTGAGATGGAGTCTTGCTCAGTTGCCCAGACTGGAATGCAGTGGCACAGTCTCAGTTCATTGCAACCTTAACCTCCCAGTTTCAAGTGATTCGCCTGCCTCAGCCTCCTGAGTAGCTGGGATTACAGGTGCCCACCACCACACCTGTCTCATTTTTGTATTTTTAGTAGAGACAGGGTTTCACTATATTGGCCAGGCTGGTCTCTAATTCCTGACCTCGTGATCCGCCCTCCTCAGCCTCTCCTCAAAATTTGGGAATTTGTCTGAGCAAGTAGTACTTTAGAATTGTTTTTTTTCTCATCTAATGGGTTTCTAGTTTATGAAATTCAATTCAACCTTAAATGTCAAATATTTAAATTCTTACTTGTTATATTACATAATGTATGCATCTTGATATTGTTTGTACACTAGAGACTATGCAGGCAAACTTCATTAATTTGTAGATGAGGAAATTTAAGCACAAATAATTTAAGTGACAATCATTTGTGATAATTATAAACAATGCCTAAGACAAAAGCCAATTGAATGTTAGCCCCGTGATATCTTCTTGCTGCTTCACAGTCACACTAGAGCAGCAGGAAGCTCTGTAGCTTGTACCTCTGATTTGTTAAAGTTATAAAATGTTAGAAAATGTGTTGTTGCACAATAAGTAAGACAGATCTCCTAAGAAAATTTACTCTGGCTACTAAAATATGAACTATGATCTTGCTTCACGAGAACGCTTCTGACAGAATTCTTGAAAGTATTGCTCTCCTGAAGACAAGTGCTTTAGAAACACATAATTGTCCCCTTCATGAAAGTCAAAACCTTCCCTTCTATGAACCAACATACGTCTCTCTCTATCTCTTTTTCAAGAGAGTGAGTCACTGTATGAAAACTTAATCTATACAAGATTCTTACAAACTGGAGTATTTTTAACCTAACTAAAATTCAGTTTTACTTTCATGGTCAGCCTTTCCAGAGAGCAACATGTATATAAAAACTGAACTCACAATTAGAATGGGCAACTATTATATGGTTAATAGTCTAAAAAGGAAAAGTATTAGAAAAGTTTTTTTTTCTTTTTATTTAGAGGAGACAGCAAAATATTTCTTACATAATCCTTCAGAGACAATGAAAAGTAAACCAAGAACTCTTAAATACTAAAGAGATACAAAAAAAATTAATTCCTCTGGGCAATATATCACATGTAGTAGATTGTAACACAAAAATCAATGAGACATAAATGAATGTAAATTCCCCATGAGATTTAGAATATTACGTCAAAATGCATGTATAGATCATCATCCACATGTTACAGAAGCACCAGCACCCTAATTTGTCTTTCAAAATATCATAACAAAATTATAAGTCAACATGTACTACATTTTAGATGCTTAAATATTTCAAGACAAAATTAACATTTAATACATATAACAAATGTTAGCAATTTTTAACCAGGTAGACAATGATAAGGTCATATATCAAATTTAATGTAATGGAAAGTCCATTTTATAAAGAATGAAATTTGCAAGTGTACAGAAAAATTATTCTCTTTTTGACCATTTTAGTTGATAAAAAGGCACTAGAATATAATTTTCTAGGAATACAGTAGAAAGTAAGATGAGGTTTCATTATCTAAAAACCATAGAGGCTATGACAAGCAGTTTAACAAAATCAATAATTGAGATTTTTGTTGAAATACATTAGAGACTTAGAAAAAGGAAAATGTAAGATATATATGTATAATCATAATGTATTCACTTTCTTCACTTAGAAATTCAATATTTTGCAAAGAATAATATATGCTCTCAACTTCAATTACATTTATTTTGTAATGTCTCAGTACAATATTATATATCTTAAATGTACTATGGCTTTCAAAATATAGCAAAAGGGATATAAGTTTAATGAGTTAGGAAAATGAGCTATAAAAAAGTGATGACTAAATAGAAGAATTTACAAGGATTGTAACTATGAGTGAGAAGGCTTACACAATAAGATCCATCAATTACTTCTTCCAGGAAAACTAAGCTTTAATTATGGAATGGCAGAATACATCTTCATTTAAACTTATTTCTCACATCAGTGTTTGGTTGGGAGAATGTTTCTGCATGGATTTTTGTGGCTTCTTTATTCCTAAACTAGAAACTAGTGTAAGCGCGTGTGTTTTTGTGTGTGTGTGTTTTAATCAAGATTATTTGAAGAAAAGAATAGTATTACATCTAAGGAGAAAACTATGTCAAGGAGAGGAAAATTATTAACAAAAACATTGGACACAGAAGAAAAAACAAAAGAGGAAAGCCATGTGTCAAAATTTCACAAGAGCCTATTACAAAATATAAAGAGACTCAGAGTTTCAAGATTATATGATAATTTTCAAAACTCCATTAAAGACATAGGAAAATCTATTTTCTACAGATGGAGTCAACTTACTCTTTAAATGAAGTAAACATGGAATAGCAATTTCTGAAGGCAGGTCATAGCAACTTGAGAATGAAATTATGTGAACTATTACAAATAATTAATTACATACATTTTATTTCTTTTTGTTAAATTGTATGAGATTTACAGGTTATATGAAACAACTAGCTCTATCAAATTGATATAAACAAAAGTTATTCATGTAAAAACAGTTCAATGATTTTAGCTTTTAATGTTTAATAATTTTTAACTTTGTAAAGGAAACATTTACATTAGAATTTTAAATAGGATTCAAATTATGTGACCACTAGTAATTGCTTTATTTCTCAGATGATCTAAAATTAATTGAGGGGGGTAAGCCCATACAATGTATATGGATATGAGGTAAAACATTTTGTATTAGTTACCAATCTAAAAAACATTGCCAAATGCTAACAAACTTTTGCAGTTTAGAATCCACAAATATAAAATCTGAATAATAATTCTAAATACTTGGGTAACATTGGGAGCTCTTTATTATTCAAATAAAATAAAAACTCTTTAGAGTGAATATTGAATGAGTTCATTTTTGTAAAATTGGAGTATTCCCAATGTATTAGTTTTCACATTGCTATAAAGAACTACCTGAGACTGGATAATTTATGAAGAAAAGAGGTTTAATTGACTCACAGTTCTGCAGGATTAGCAGGAAGCATGACTGGAAGACTTCAGGAAACTGACAAGGCAGAAGGTGAAGGGGAAGCAAGGCCCCTTCTTCACATGGTGGCAGGAGAGAGACAGAGAGCAAGTGGGGAAGTGCCACAAACTTTTAAACCATCAGATCTCCTGAGAACTCTATCACAAGAACAGCAAGGGGGAAGTTTACCCTCATGATTCAGTCACCTCCCATCACGACCCTCCTCTAATTTTACATGAGATTTGGGTGGGTACTGAAATCTAAACCATATCACCCAACATGCAGTAAGTGTTTTGATAATTCTTTTGCTACTGTTATAATACTGGGATATGAGAAAAGACATGTACATCATGAATTCCTTGACTTGTGTACAGTGTCCCTAGTTTAATAATCCTGGGAACTGGTAAGTAAAGCAAATTCAACTGGTCTCTTTGCTCAAGCTTCCTTCAGATATCCATATTTAATTGTTAATATCCACTGTAAATCTTTGAATGGTATATGTTATACATGTGCAATGCTTATTTCAATCTAGCTATACTTTCTTTAAACATCCAAAAGCCTTTTGATATAGGCACAACTTACCTTCCACATTGCACACAGAGTAAATTCTTAACTATCCAAATGCTGGTTATTAGTCTCAGCAATGGCTTTAAAAGCTTTGAAACAAATGATTAGTTAAGAACTCTATGTTCATTATTTTAGCAAAGGTAAAAATAATCTAAGTCATAGCCCTGATGTAATCTCTGTTATTCTTAACCAGTGTAAAGTAGTAGTTATATATACTTTGTTATTTTAATTTGAAAGACAATGATTTATGATAGCCTCTTCAGTTTGTGGGATCTCAGTTTACTTCAAATCTAAACCAAGATTGAACCAAATAGCAAATGGATTTTCATAAATAATGAGAGATTTAAAAGGTGTGATCTAGCAATGGATACAGAAAATAGAGTAATCTAGATGTTGTTCCTGTTCTTTTTTTATTTTTTATTTTGTTAAAGACAGCGTCTTGCTCTGTCCCCCAGGCTGGAGTGCAATGTTGTTATCATAGCTCACTGCAACCTGGAACCCCTAGTCTCAAGAGATCCTCCAGCCTCAGCCTCCCTGGTAAGTAGAACTACAAGCAAGTGCCACCATACCTAATTTTTCTATTTTTTTGTAAAGATGGAGTCTTGCTATGTTGTCTAGGCTAGCCTGTAAATCCTGGCCTTAAGGGATCCTCCTGCCTAGGCCTCCCAAAGTGCTGAGATTACAGGCATGCCACCATGCCAGGCCTGTTCTTGTCCTTAAGTAGGTCCACTGTAAGTGATTCTGGGCAGACATTTATCTCACTATAGCTGTCAGCTTTAGAAAAAGTCACTTAGGTAACTTTGGGCTGTGAAAAATTATATAATCAGTTCAGGAACCCCTTTGGTTTTCTATCTTGATTTATTTGTCCATAGCACTTGGATTAGAATTGGGTACTTAAATCAATTCAAGAAAAATATTAAGAAAGCCATTATCTCATTATACAACAAATTAAGCCAGGATTGTTGGCATGTGCCTACAGTCCCAGCTACTCAGGATGCTGAAGTGGGAAGACTGTTTGAGCCCAGGAGTTCAAGGCTGTCGTGCTCATGATCATGCCTGTGAATAGTCATTGCACTCTAGCCTGGGCAGCATAGTGAGACTCTGCCTCTAAAAATATAATAATAATAATAACATAAATTACTTCTATAAAAATATATGATAAAATGTGAATATTGAATTATGTTTTATATCAGGGATGTGTAGGGTTCATTTGCTGTATCTTCTTCACTTTCAAAACCAATCTCCTATCTTTATAATACAATAATATATCTTTATGTTAAATACAATTGGATATTTTTCTAATAAAGGATTAAGCAAATTAACAGTAGGAACTTTAAAAAAAAGTTAATTCTATGTGTGACTCATTTTCATCAATACCTGTCTGTAATTCAAAATTATTTTAAAAACAACACAATATTGTGTTGATTATATTAATAATTGAGCATTCAATTGAGATGTTCCATATTACTTGTTCCTAAATTGCCAAAATCTAATCAGGAAAATGCAAACAATTTGCTTTGTGTTCTGTTTGTAGATGTTCGTTGTTTACTGGAAATATTTGGAATGTGGGACAATTCTTATTCTACCTTCCTTGATATTTCTTCCCCACTCATTTCTTGTGATTCTATTTTCAATAATCATCTTTCTAACATATATAAGTCTATAACAGTAAGTTTTAGAGAAATGTAGTAACTATATTGCATCATATGAAGAGAGTCTGTATTCTTTTTATTATTTATTTAGGAACCTCTAGCCCAGAGTGTAATCGATATTAAATTTTTTGGTGAGTGTATAAGTGAGAGCATTAATCAATGAAACATATAATTTTTTATCTAATGGAATCACCTAGTGCTTTTTTGTTATTCATTTACATTTCTAGTTAAAGCCAGTTTATGTGTACATCTTTATACTAAATACCATCAATTTTTTTTCTGTCATTACACAATCAGCATATAAATTGTATGAGGATTAAAAAGTATTTGATTGACTAAAAATGCAATCATATTTAATTGTGACTTCCCTCAAAAGGAGTATGGGTACCTCACAAAACTATGTATCAACCCATAATATTCTGTTAGTAAAACCACTTATTTTAAAAAAGAAGTGCTTTGTCGTCAAAAACACTGAAGGCTTTCAACGACAATGAAAAACCATAGATTGTTTACACTTTTTGTCTTAAAGAACAAAGTATGAGAAGCCTTTTACATTTTGTTTCTTTTAATACTTGTTTTGAATGAGCAGATGAAGTAATCAAAATTATAGAGCAGCTCTACCCTGCTACGCTGCTAAGCTGCTATGCTAGCTCTACGCTAGCCCCTATTACTACAAGTAACAGCTAGACAGACAATGTAATAAATTCTGTTGTCTTACTGTCCTTATACAGACCTGACCTGAGAAAATATCACTCTAGTTTCACACACATGTTTCATCTTTTTCTATGTTTGAGAATTGCTCTCACTTTGATAAGATTCATGGCCATGAATTGGGACTATAGTTGGAACCCCCACAGTGTCAAGTGATCTTTTTATTTCTCCCTTGCAAGAGTTCTATATGCCCAAAGTTTTCACTTTAAAACTTCACTAACTTATCTCCAAAGAATAAAATCTTGCTTTTCACTTGATATAAATGGCTCTACCACTCAGATCACATATAAAAGGAATAAAAAGTTTTGTGCTATCTGTTTGTCTCTATTGTGATACCATATTGGTTTGCATGGAGGTCATGAAACTCTCTGTGACCAGAAGAATTCTCAGGTTGAGTGTGGAAGTGTGGGCAAAGAGAGGTTTTGCCCTCAAATCCACAACTTTGGCGTCTAGTCCACCTGTGTTCTCCAGGTCAGCTTCACCACTGAGATCTGTACTTTGCAAGGCACAGGACTTCTCTTAATATAACTGAATCCTTGATTCCCATTTCATATGCTACTTCTGTTATCCGTGGTTGGAACTTTTAGGAAGAGAAAGGTATGATTATTAGACACCCTATCTATAAGTGACCATGTCCCTTTTATTAAATGCAATAAGGGCCCAAAGTTAACATCATCTTGTTAAATTAACAAAAACATTCCAATAAATAAAGATTGTGAATCCCTTTTATTGCTGTCAAATGTATAAATATTTATTACTTTAAATGGAATATAAATGACACTAGACATTGACTATCATTCAGAAAGGTTTCCTTGTGTTTTTGTTTGTTATTTTTACCTTTCCTTTAAGGTTTTCTAGCTCACAGTTGGGAGGGGGAAACATATTACTTGTGAGACTGCTTGAGGCACATTAAAGCATTAAGCAGCCATTGGGCAATCGAGTCTTAGAAAGCTCCCTTGTGAACAAATGTGTATAAAAAGGGGACAAAGAATTCTGAATGATTTCATGCTGAAAAACATACAGAGTATAAGAAAATAACTTATAAATCTGGGGTTTTCTACGACTTATGACTTTTTCTCAGAAAAGAGATAACTCATCTGGAATTATTTCTGATTTAATTACTTGGACAAAAACAAGGTACATTTTGTTTCCCATTTTAAGGGTTCATTAGGGTCCTACCTTGCAAACCCCATGCAGACAGAGAGCACCCTCTTCTGTCACTTAATTTTAGAGCCAGTATACATTTTTCTCTGATACCAATTTAACAGGATTTTGAAAAGTTCTTGGTTATGAGGCATCATGACTAAAAGTACTTAACTGACAAAATGGCCCTGAATGAAAACCATGGAGTCCTCAGGAGAGTAGGGCTGTTTTGGGAAGGTGTTTTTATCATCTTAGAGATTCCGTTTGATGTTCAAAATGGCTTGTAAATACCACCATGGGGTAAGTGACTGTAAGTTTCTGCGTATAAAAAAGCCCATTCGTGACAACTACTGCTTCTACATTAAATATATCACTGGCTGTCGTATGAACTGTGTCCTCACTGCAGCAAATACAGTAGATTCTGCTTCTAGTGTCAGGAAATTAGAACTCTGAGCATTGATGGTCATGCATTTTTATCTTGGATCTATCCATAATACACTGGAAACTGATTTTCTCATAACATTGAATCTACTTATGTAGGATCCATCAGTGACTTTTTTTCTCATTTGAGAATTTGCACTTTTGAAATAATATCTGGTTATAAGTACTATGATGTGAATTTATCCAGGGAAATTCTAAAACTAGATTTAGAGTATTTGCACATTGGATCCCCTGTTTTTTTTCTGATTTAATAAGAATTCTACTTTAGAATACATGAAAATATGTGTGTGTGTATATATGTATATATGTAAATATGTATATATCTCCGTGTGTATATATATGCATGTGTAAACATGTGTATGAGTATACACATGTATATACTTATAAGCATACGCATATATACTTATACATATTTACACATGCATATATATTTACATGTTTCTATATGTGTAAATATGTATATAAGTATACATATATACTTACATATACATACACACATATACTTATATACATATTTACATATATATGTTTACATATTTGTGTATATATGTAAATACGTATATAATTATACATACATATTATATATACATACACATATACACACACATATATATTTACACACATATATATACACACGCAGATTCTCCCAATAAACTACTAAGGATATTTTGTATTTATCTGTGTATTCATTTATCTGGCATTTCCCTAAAATGGGCTTACTGGATGATAATAAAATGACACAGAATTTCAAGTATACATTTTAAAATATATGCACAATACAGCATAATAGAGTTAATTCTTCTTGAATTGAAAGTTTCAATGATTGCTTCTCAGACTACAAATATTTCTTATATTTCTTACTTTTCATACTTCTGCATTCTCTTGCTTCTCTTCTCATTCATTTACTTTTTTATTTGAATCATTCTTTTTTTTACAATACTCTTTTCCTGACCCAAAATATATTATAGAAAATATGTAGGACTGAACTCAGGTCTACTATTTGTACCCTGTTATTCAAAAATCTCATTTACTCCCATGGCTTTGTCCTATCACTTTACATTTTTCTATCTACATGTGGCCTTTCTCCTGAGTTCCATTAGTTCAGACTGCTTGCATGTAGGATGTCTTCATGTTGGATACCCTTCAATCAACTTGAATCCATCTTTGCTCCAAAAGCCATGATTTCTCTGGACTTTTCAATTTTAATTTTTTTTTTTTTTGAGACAGGGTCTCACTCTATCACCCAGGCTGGAGTGCAGTGGCATGATCATGGCTTACTGCAGCCTTGACCTCCCACACTCTAGCGATCTTCCCACCTTAGCCTCCTAAGTAGCTGGGACTACAGGCATGCACCACCACTCAATTTTCATTTTTGAAAGGGTAATTTTCCCATATCCCAAGTTTAAATTTTTATGGCTACCTTTGTCTCCCTCCTAGCTCTCATTTTTCTACCTACTCACATTTCTACTTACTAAGTTCTTTTTATTCCCTCTGAAACTAGTTCAATGCAGGCCCTTAGGACTTGGCACCAGGAATTTCTATTATTCTTCTAAAGCCCTCTCTGCCTCTTTCTTTATTTCTGCAAAGAAATTTCAAAAACACATTACTGGAACTTTACTCTACACGTTTCGTTTCCTAAGTTCTCACTACCAAAGCTTTCAAGAACAACTTCCTTCTTGAAGGTCCCGCATCCTGCTGTGCTTAGAACAGATTAGTTCAATACTTACACTGTTATACTTCTGCCAGGCTTCCAGGTCCCTCAGGCACCTGTGTGACTGAATCCCTGGCTCATCTGAAAGTTGACCAGAGTACTTTATAATAGGTTAAATGCCCATGTTAGCATGTTTTTTCCTCTTATGGAGTCATGCTTAATTTTGGAAATTCGTTGGTCACTAAAAAAAAAAATAGTAATATTTATTGTATTTTAGTCTATCATTAAATGTTGTTTGTTTTATTAGGACTTTTCTGATACCTAACACATATTCCCATAGTACATTTCCTAATACTTCTCATTCTCATTCAAATTATCTGTTTAGCCCTGGTCTGGACTTTCTGTAGAGGTCAGCGGGATCCATGTGACCTTTGCAATATATGTGATTAGGTAATTGATTTTTTTTAAACAAATACTCGTGCTTAGTACAATGCTCTGTATTAGGAATAGAAAAATTCATAAATACAGAATTGGTGCTTTCTCCATATTTTCAAACTCTTTTTTGGCATTATATATTTCTTATCTTACCATAAGATATTCTTATTCTCTTCTCTATTTATTTTACAATAAAATTTCTTCTCATTTTATTCTTTCTTTAACTACTGATTTATAAATTAGATTTTCTCTAATTTAATGCATTTGTTTACTCATACATCAGTGACCGCTGAGTACAGTATCACAGTATCATATTCTAACATTAAGCTTGATTGATATCACTATCTCAGATTGTTTTTACAAGCATTACTCATTTTACCTTGAATACAATCTTGGAGGTAAATGACATAATACTATTATAACCATTTTACATATGGATAAAATGAATAGCACAGTTTCAAAGCAAACTGATGATTTGACACACATGGCTGGTATTCTTATCACTCACATTCTGATTTCTTCTGTGTGTATATGTGTGTAATGACTTGCTCATTGGTATAAAATGTTAACTCTTATTATGATGATTTTTCCTGTAGTTTGATCAAACAAACTCTTTTTGTCCCCCAGAGAATAAAAACAAGTCAATAACCACACAAAGATTTTCGTTCTCAAGGGCAGCATATTTCATTTGCATGATTCAGAAAATGTTTAGTCTTGGCAGGATTTTCTTAACATCTTGAACATGAGATATGTGAATAAAATTTTCTGATATTGTTTTAAAAGTACACATTTTAAAATTGGTGCTGAGTTGAGATGAAAATTGAATGCATTGTGAATTACCCAAAAATAATAATAACTTTGGTTAAAGATACAATGTCTAACACTTTGCCTAATTGAAATTTAATTCATCTTTAAATCAATCACTAATTAGCCTTTATGTTGCCTAGAAAATAAAAAGTGTTTAAAAAAATATTTTCTTCCTGCTAAGGTGTAGTATTTCTTAAAGAATGTGTGGTATTTCTCAAAACACTCAACTCACTGAATTTTATTTGTACTCTACATAGAAAAACAAAATTGAACACTAGTCTGTATAGAAAGGTGTTGCAGACACCCATTCCTGATGTGGATATACAACATCAACTGTTTTTCTTCCACCTCTGAGTGATCATTTTATCCAGTTCTAGACAATAAGATAGATGTGGAAATCTGCTGTGTTTTCTCCAATTTTTCATCTTTTTCTGCCTCGTATATAGACATGTTTAAAGCCATTGGAGCTATGAATTAACAAGCATGTGGGAAAAAACAAATAAATTGCTCTGCATCCATCCTGCTACCACCTCTCACCATGTATTTACATAAAATAAGTTCTTATTTAAGTTGCTATTAACTGCTTTTTAAAAAATGTATGCAACAATAAGCATTTATAGCAGATATTGAAGGGTACCACTATATACAGAAAAAATGTTGTTGTACATCAAAAATATGGATTCAACAAGGAATATTATTATAATGAATAATCTAAAAATAAGATTGATGCCTAATTTTAGATATATACTTACATTTTGTATCAAATGAAATTGCAATGTAAAGTAAGATGTACGTTTTCAGTGGCATGAGTTTGAAGTATTTTTGTTTAACTTTTGAATATTTTTTCTTTTTTTTAATTATACTTCAAGTTTTAGGGTACATGTGCACAACGTGCAGGTTTGTTACATATATATACATGTGCCATGTTGGTGTGCTGCACCCATTAGCTCGTCATTTAACATTAGGTATATCTCCTAATGCTAGGAAAGCTCAGAAAATAACTCAGTATCTCTATAAGTTTTAACTTAAAATATTATAGAAGTGGGACAAAATCCTGGTAAACTATCTCTAGGTAATGTAGTAACATATGGCTAGCTATTTAATTGGGTCTAAACTTTATATAAAATTACAGTCTTTGCAGAAAGTTTTGGTATAAATTACATAAAGGCATCACCTCTGATTTGCTCCAATTGGTTTTATATGGTGTCTTGACAGCAAAGAGAAATTATCCATGATTGATAGAAACTGGGAGATAAAGCATCTACTTGAAACATTAGAAAGAACGAATATAATCAGTGTGGCAGAGGAAAAGCTGAAAGGGAGAAATGTTTCTCAGTGACTTTATTTTCAATGTTAAAAAATGCATGCCACTGTAATCCCAGCACTTTGGAAGGTCGAGGCGGGCGGATCACGAGGTCAACAGATTGAGATCATCCTGGCTAACCTGGTGAAATGCGGTCTCTACTAAAAATACAAAAAATTAGCTGGGCGTGGTGGCGGATGCCTGTAGTCCCAGCTACTTGGGAGGCTGAGGCAGGAGAATGGCGTGAACCTGGGAGGCAGAGCTTGCAGTGAGCAGAGATGGCACCACTGCACTCCAGCCTGGGCAACAGAGCGAGACTCCATCTCAAAAAAAAAAAAAAAGTATGCCAAACTTTAAGAAGTAATAATAGTAAGGTGTGGAAGGAAACATAAATTTAAAAGTCAGTAGAAAGTTTTGGTGGGAAAAAGTTTGCAAGACATGGAAGTTTGTTATAAACAAAAAGAGAAAATTGACCCACATATACTTTTTTTACTTTTTTGGTTTTACTTAAGCTTTTATTTTAGGTTCAGGGTTACATGTGCATGTTTGCTATATAGGTAAATTTCATATCGCAGGGGTTTGTTGTACATATTATTTCATCACCCAGGTAATAAGCATAGTACCTGACAGATACTATGATCCTCACTCTCCTTCCTCCCTTCACTCTCAAATAGTCTCTAGTGTCTATTGTTCCTTTCTTTGTGTACAGATGTACTCAGTGTTTAGCTCCCTCCTATAAGTAAGAACATGAGGGATTTGGTTTTCTGTTCTTGCATAAGTTTGCTTAGGATAATGGCTTCCAACTTCAGCCATGTTGCTGCAAATGTCATGATGTTGTTCTTTTTATGACTGTGTAGCATTCCATGGTGTAAATGTACCACATTTTTTTCTTTAATCCAGTCTACCACTGATGGGCATTTAGGTTGATTCCATGTCTTTGCTTTTGTGAACAGTGCTGCAATGAACCTACATGTGCATGTGTCTTTTTGGCAGAATGATTTATATTCCTTTGAGTATATACCCAATATTGGGATTGTTGGGTCTAGTGAAAACTCTGCTTTGAGTTCTTTGACAAATCACCACACTGTTATCACAATGGCTGAGCTAATTTACATCCCTTCAGCCATGTATAAGCTTTCTCTTTTCTCTGCAACCTCACCAGCATCTGTTACTTTTTGATTTTTAATCATAGCCATTCTGACTGTTATGAGATGGTATCTCACTGTGGTTTTGATTTGCATTTCTCTAATGATTTAGAATATGTGATAATATTTGAATATGTAACATTAGTTTACATATTATAAATATTACATGTTATGTAAAATTAGAATATGCAATGTCAGTAATGTTTAGAATATGTGATAACCTTTTCTAGTTACATATTTCTCTGTCAACATAAAAATTAAGAAAAATCATATTTATATTTTGTGGAAGCATCTTTCCCATTTGAATAAGATTTTACAAAATAAAGTAGATATATAGGCACACATTTTCTGAATTATATTTACTAAGACTTAACTGAACAAACTAATTTCAATATTACAGCATAAACCTGGAAAATATATAAAGTATGTGAATGCTTTAATTTGTACATTATTGGAAGTATGTGAATATCATCAATATTATAGGATTTCAAAAAAGAGCTGTGGAATGTATACTTTTTTCCCAGTACAATTATAGAAGTTTGATAAAATACCAAAAAACAAAGCCATTTGAAGGCATTGAAAATAAAAGATCAACAGATGTTCAAAATTCCGGAAAGAAGACAAGCAAATGATGATTATACCCACATCAGTCTTCTGTTTTCCCCCTTGAGGTATTTGTCAATTCACAGAAGGAATAATTTAGGATTAGTAGAAAGTGGATACTTTGGTTTGCTGGCAATTGTGTAGGTCTGAGGAGGCAAAGGTTAGGGTTTGAGGCTGCCAAGGAGCTGGGTTAAATGTGCTGAGAGAAAGAAAATCACAGGGAGTGAGCCTCAAATTCCAAGCGTAATTTATCCTGAGTCACTCTGTGGATTCCAAATCTGAAACTTTTGGAAACCAGACATAAACAACAGAGTCTAAGGTGCTGAGCAGAGATTTCAGCAGTTACATAGTGCTAAGAGACAGGTCTGAATTTAAATGCATGCCAATGATGTGAGACTGTTACACATGTTCTGTTTAACAGTGTGTTTCTGATGAGAACACAGAAGGTTTAAACTGTTGGAGCAAGAGCATACCTAAAATAGACGAGCCTTAACGATGTTTGTATAATTTTTCATACACAATGTCTGGTATACAAGTAAAATTTTTATAAAAAGCAGGAAAAGAAACAGTATCAGAAGACACTGAATCACAGAGATGTGATGAAATAATGAACAAATTCTGGAGATGGTTGGTGGTGATGGTTGCATAACAATGAGAGAATGTATACTTAATACTTCTGAACTGTACACTTAAGGGACATTGGATTTCTAACATTGAGTCTGAAAGAAGAGAGAAAGGAGATAGAAGCAATTTTTTCTAATTACTACCTGATAATTTTCTAAAACTGATAAAGGATATTAAGCTCTGAGCAAAAATCAAGGTTAAAAACATCCCCACCACAAAACAATCACAAAAACAACATAAACCTTAGAAAATCAGAGTTAAGCTTTTGAAAAAAGAAGTAAGAAACAGAAATATAGTTACAAAGACAGAGACACAATTCAGATTACCTTTTAGGGATCAATGTAAGGACAGACTGAAATTCTGAAGAGAGTTCCAAGAAGCTTGTTGATAGAATATAGTGGAATGATGTCTTTAAAGTGCTAAAAGATAGCAAATATCAGTGTATAATTTAATATCCAGCTAATATCTTTCAAAAATGGGATAAAAATTAATAGGTGTTCATAAAAAACGTTGTGATATTTAATTTTTAATAGTCCTATACTAAGGGGAAATACTAAAGAGAGTTCTTTAAAGTGAAAATATGTCATCGCAGATGGAATTGTGGAAGAAAAAATCAAACCTTCTGAGGGCACATAAATGTAAACAAATATTAACTAGTGATGTACTTGGGAGACTGTATGTAGAATTAACGTACATTATAATGATATGTAATCAAATCAAAATCACAAGATAAAACTTCGTATCAATTAGGCTATTAAGAAAAAATTAAAAATAACAAGTATTGGTGAGGAAATAACAAAATTGGAATCCTTGTGCATTGTTAGTGGGGATGTAAGATAGTGCAACTACTGTAAAAAATAGTACAGCAATTCCTCCAAAATTAAACATGAAATTAAAACATGATACACCAACTCCACTTCTGGGCATATACCCAGAATAACCAAAAGCAGGGAATAGAATAAAGATTTGTACACCAATATTCATAGGAACATTATTTATAATAGGCAAAAGATGGAAACAACTCCCAAGTGTCCATTCACAGCTAAATAGGTGAACAAAGTGTGGTATGTGCGTGCAATGGACTATAATCAAATTTGATAGGAATTACATTTTGACACATGCTACCACATGAATGAACCTTGAAGACATCATGCTAAGTGAAATAAGCCAGACAGTCAGAAAAGGACAAATGTTGTATGATTCCACTTATATGAAGTACATAGACTAGTCAAATTCATAGGGACAAAAAGTAGAAGGGAGCTTACCAGGGGTAAGGGGAACTGGGAATGGGGGATTATTTTTTAATGGGTAAAGAGTTTCTGCTTGGTATGATAAACGGATTCTGGAGGTGATGGTGATGATGGTTACACCACAGTTAGACTACTTAATTTTTCTGAACTGTTTACTTAAAATAGTTAAAATGATAAATTTTATGTTATATGTATAGTTTATCTTAATTAAAAATAGTATACAAGAATGGATTTGGGCTATTAAAATGTTATAAGTTTTTTTCAGCCAATAAGTGGTGAAAATATGACTTTAAAGAGGATATCAGCAAGTCAAGGTTGTGTGTTTAAGTTCAGGGTAAACACTAAAATAATAATAATAATCTATACCATAATCAAGAAAGTAGAAGGTACATTTGGCTACTGAAAATAAGTTTGAACTTTGGGAGGCCAAGGCAGGTGGATCACTTGAGCTCAGGCATTTGAGATCAGCCTAGACAACATGGCAAGACCTGTCTCTACTAAAAATACAAAAAATAGCCAGATATGGTGCTTTCTTGTTGTCCCAGCTACTCAGGAGGCTGAGGGGGAAGGATTGCTTGAGCCCCAGGGGCAGAGGTTGCAGTAAGTTGAGGTTGTGCCACTGCATTACAGCCTGGGTGACAAAGTGAGAACCTGTCTAAAAAAAAATTAGAAATCCAAAATTGGTTATGAATATTAAAGAAAGAAAGAAGAAACAACTAGAAAACAGAAAAAGTTGCTGCACATATCATCCCGTCATGCAGGTATTAAGCCCAGCACCCATTAACTGTTCTTTCTGGTGCTCTCCCTCTCCCTATACCCTGGACAGGCCCCAGCGTGTGCTGTTTTCCCCCATGTGTCTGTGTGTTCTTATTGTTCAGTTCCCACTTATAAGTGAGAACATGTGGTGTTTGGTTTTCTGTTCCTGCATTAGTTTGCTGCAGATTACCTCTTCCAGCTCCATCCATGTCCCTGCAAAGGACATGATCTCCTTCCTTTTTATGGCTGCATAGTATTCCATGGTGTATAGGTAACACATTTTTTTATCTAGTCTACTGTTGATGGACATTTGAGTTTATTCCATGTCTTTGCTATTGTGTGTAGTGCTGCAGTAAACATATCTGTGCATGTATCTTTATAATAGAATCATTTACATTACTTTGGGTACAGACCAAGTGATGGGATCGCTGGGTCAAATGATATTTCTGCCTCTATGTCTTTGTGCAATCATCACACTGTCTTCCACAATGATTGAATTAATTTACATTCCCATCAACAGTGTAAAAGTGTTCTTATTTCTCCACAATCCTGCCAGCATCTGTTGTTTCTTGACTTTTTAATAATTGTCATTCTGACTGGCGTGAGATAGTATCTCATTGTGGTTTTGATTTGCATTTCTCTAATTATCAGTGATGTTGAGCTTTTTAAAAATATGTTTGTTGGGTGCATGTATGTCTTCTTTTGAGAAATGTCTGTTTGTGACCTTTGCCCACATTTTATTGATTTTTTTTTTCTGCAAGTTCCTTGTAGGCTCTGGATATTAGACGTTTGTCTGATGGATAGCTTGCAAAACCGTTCTCCAATTCTGTAGGTTGCCTATTCACTCTGATGCTAGTTTCTTTTGCTATGCAGAAGTTCTTTAGTTTAATTAGATCCCATTTCTCTAGTTTTGCTTTTGTTGCAATTGCTTTTGGCATTTTTTGTCATAAAATCTTTGCCCCTGCTTATGTCTTGAATGGTATTGCATAGATTTTCTTCTAGAGTTTTTATAGTTTTGGGTTATACATTTAGGTCTTTAATCCATCTTGAGTTAATTTTTGTATAATGTGTAAGGAAGAGGTCCAAGTTCAGTTTTCTGCTTATGGCTAGCCAGTTCTCCCGGCACCATTTATTAAATAGGAAATCCTTTCCCCATTGCTTGTTTTTGTCAGATTTGTCAAAGATCAGGTGGCTGTATTTGTGTGGTTTTATTTCGAAGTTCTCTGTTCTGTTCTACTGGTCTATGTGCCTGTCTTCATACCAGTACCGTGCTGTTTTAGTTACTGTAGCCTCGTAATATAGTTTGAAGTTGGTTAGCATGACACCTTCAGCTGTGTTCTTTTTGCTTAGGATTGTCTTGGCAATTGGGGTCTTTTTTGGTTTTATATAAATTTTAAAATAGTTTTTTTCTAATTTTGTGAAGAATGTCAGTGGCAGTTTAATAGGAATAGCATTTAATCTATAAATTACTTTGAGCAGTATGGCTATTTTCACAACATTGATTCTCCCTATCCATGAGAATGGAATGTTTTTCCATTTGTTTGTGTCCTCTCTGATTTCCTTGAGCAGTGATTTGTAGTTCTTGAAGAGGTCCTTCTCTTCCCTTGTTAGCGGTATTCTTAGGTATTTTATTTTCTTTTTAGCAATTGTGAATGGGAGTTCATTCATGATTTAGCTCTCTGTATACCTGTTGTTGGTGTATAGAAATCTTAGCAATTTTTGCACATTGATTTTGCATCTTGAGACTTTGCTGAAGTTGTTTATCACCTTAAGAAGCTTTTGGGCTGAGGTGTTTGGGCTGTCTAGATATGGGATCCTGTCTTCTGCAAACAAAAATAATTTGACTTCTCCTCTTCCTATTTGAATACCCTTTCTTTCTTTCTTTTACCTGATTGCTCTGGCCAGAACTTTCAATATTATGTTAAATGAGAGTGGTGAGAGAGGGCATCCTTGTCTTGTGGGGGTTTTCAAGGGGAATGTTTCTAGCTTTTGCCCATTCAATATGATGTTGGCTGTGGGTTTGTCACATATGGCTCTTATTATTTTGAGGTATGTTCCTTCAGTATCTAATTTATTGAGAGATTTTAACATAAATGGGTGTTGAATTTTATTGAAGGTCTTCTTTGCATTTATTGTGATAATCATGTAGATTTTTGTTTTTATTTCTGTTTACCTGATAAATTACATTTATTGATTTGCATATGTTGAACCAGCCTTGCATCCTGGGGATGAAGCCAACTTGATCATGGTGAATAAGCTTTATGATGTGCCTCTTGATTTGGTTTGACAGTATTTATTGAGGATTTTTGCATAAATGTTCATCAGGGATATTGGCCTGAAGTATTCTTTTTTTGTTGTATCTCTGCCAGATTTCAATATCAGGAAGATGCTGGCCTCATAAGGAGAGTTAGGGAGGAGTCCCTTCTTTTCAATTGTTTGGAATAGTTTCAGAAGAAATGGTAATAGCTTCTCTTTGTACCTCTCATAGAATTTAGCTGTAAATGTGTCTGGTCTTGGGCTTTTTTGGTTAGTAGGCTATTTATTACCACCTCAATTTCAGAACTCATTATTGGTCTATTTAGGGATTCATTTTCTGATTCAGACTTGGGTGGGCATATGTGTCCAGAAATTTATTCATTTTTTTTTAGATTTTCTAGTTTATGTGCATACCGGTGTTTATAGTATTGTCTGATGGTTGTTTTTATTTCTGTGAGGTTTGTGGTGATATTCCTGTCATCATATCTGATTGTGTCTATTTCATTCTTTCCTTTTTTTTCTTTAAAGTCTAGCCAGTGGTATATTTATTTTATTAATTTTTTTTCAAAAGACCACCTCCTGGACTTGTTTTTTTAAAGGGTTTTTCGTGTCTCTATCTTCTTTAATTCCACTATCATCTTAGTTATTTCTTGTCTTCTGCTAGTTTTGGGATTTGTTTACTCATGATTCTCCAGTTTATTTAGTTGTGATGTTAGGTTGTCAATTTGAGATCATTCTACCTTTCTGATGTGGGCATTTAGTGCTATAAATTTCCCTCCTAACACTGCTTAGGTGCATCTGAGAAATTCTGGTATGATGTATGTTTGTTCTTCTATTTTTTTTTTTTTTTTTTTGAGACAGAGTCTCGTTCTTTCGCCCAGGCTGGACTGCAATGGCCTATCTCGGCTCACTGCAAGCTCCGCCTCCCGGGTTCACACCGTTCTCCTGCCTCAGCCTCCCGAGTAGCTGGGACTACAGGCACCCGCCACTGCGCTCGGCTAATTTTTTGTATTTTTAGTAGAGACGGGTTTTCACCGTGTTAGCCAGGATGGTCTCAATCTCCTGACCTCATGATCTGCCCACCTCAGCCTCCCAAAGCGGTATCTTTGTTCTTTTTACTTTCAAAAAACTTTTTATTTCTGTCTTAATTTCATTATTTCCCCAGGAGTCATTCAGGAGCAGGTTGTTCAATCTCCATATAGTTGTGTGGTTTTGAGTGTGTTTCTCAATCTTGAGTTCTAATTTGATTGTGCTGTGATCTGAAAGACTGCTTGTTATGATTGTTATTTTGCATTTGCTGAGGAGTGTTTTACTTCCTATGATGTAATCAATTTTACAGTAAGTGTCATATGACAATGAGAAGAATGTATATTCTGTTGTTTTGGAGTGGAGAGTTTTGTAGATATCTATCAGGTCCACTTGATCCAGAACTGAGTTTAGGTCCTGAATATCTTTGTTAATTTTCTGTCTCAATGATTTGTCTAATACTTTCAGTTATGTGTTAAAGTCTCCCACTATTATTTTGTCAGAGTCTAAGTCTCTTTATATGTCTCTACAAACTTGCTTTATGAATGCAGGTGCTCCTGTATTGGGTGCATATATATTTAGGATAGATAGATTTGCTTTGTGAATTGAAACCTTTACCATTATGTAATGCCCTTCTTTGTCTTTTTTGATCTTTGTTGGTTTAAAGTCCACTTTGTCATAAACTAGGATTGCAACCCTCCCTTTTTTTGTTTTCCATTTGCTTGGTAAATTTTCTAATTGTCTAATTTTCTTTGTTTTGAGCCTATGTGTGTCTTTGCATGTGAGATGTGTCTCTTGAAGGCAGCATACTGATGGGGCTTGAGTTTTTATCTAGCTTGCTATTCTGTGTCTTTTAATTGGGGCATTTAGTCCACTTACATTGAAAGTTAATATTGTTATGTATGGATTTGATCCTGTCATCATGATGTTAGCTAGTCATTTTGCAGACTTGTTTATGTAGTCACCTGATAGTGTTGCTGGTTTGTATACTTTGGTGTGTTTTTATAGTGGCTGGTAACAGTTTTTCCTTTCCATATTTAGAACTTCGTTAAGGAGCTCTTTCAAGGCAGGCCTGGTGATGATAAATTTTCTCAGCATTTGCTTGTCTGAATAGAATCTTATTTCTCATTTGCTTATGAAGTTTAGTTTGGCCAGATATGAAATTCTGGGTTGGAAAATGTTTTCTTTAAGAATATTGAATATTGGCCCTCAGTCTCTTCTGGCTTTTAGGATTTCCACTGAGAAGTCCACTGGTAGTCTGATGGGCTTCCCTTTGTAAGTGACATGGCCTTTCTCTCTGGCTGCTCTAACATTTTTCCTTTCATTTCGACCTTGGAGAATCTGACGGTTATGTGCCTTGGGGTTGATTTTCTTGTGGAGTATCTTAATGGAGTTCTCTGCGTTTCCTGAATTTGATTATTGGACGGTGTTGCCAGGTTGGAGAAGTTCTCCTGGATGATATCCTGCAGTATGTTTTTCAACTTGGTTCCATTCTCCCCATCTTTTTCAGGTACCCTAATAAGTCATAGGTTTTGTCTTTTTTACATAATTTTATATTTTTTGGAGGTTTTGTTCATTGCTTTTTATTCTTTTACCTCTATTCTTATCTGCCTGTCTTATTTCCAAAATACAGTCTTCAAGCTCTGAGATTCATTTCCCTACTTGGTCTATTTATCTATTGATGCTTGTGATTGCATTATGAAGTTCTTGTGTTGTGTTTTTCAGCTCCATCAGGTTATTTATGTTTCTCTATAAACTGACTATTTTGGTTATCAGCACCTGTAATGTTTTATCATGATTCTTAGTTTCTTTGCATTGGGTTAGAACGTGCTGCTTTAGCTCAGCAAAGTTTGTTATTACTCATCTTCTGAAGCCTACTTCTGTCAATTCGTTCATCTCAGCCTCAGCTGTTCTGTACCCTTGCTAGACAGGTATTGCAATCATTTGGAGAAGAAGAGACAGTCTGGCTTTTTGGGTTTTCAACATTTTTGCATTGATTCTTTCTCATCTTTGTGGATTTATTGACCTTTGATCTTTGAGGTTGCTGACCTTTGAGTGGAGTTTTTTGGGGGTCTTTTATGTTGTTGTTATTTTTTGTTTTTCTTTTAAATGTCAGGCTCCTCTTCTTTAGGGCTGCTACATTTTGGTAGGTGTCCACTCTAGACCCTGTCACCTTGGATCCTCCTGCACGAGAAGTTATCATCAGTGAAGGCTCCAAAACAGCAAATATAGCAGCCTGCTCCTTCCTCTGGGAGCTCCATCTAATAGGGGGCACTGACCTCATTCCAGCTGAGATGCTCCTGTAGCAGGTTTTTGGACATCCCTATTGGGAGGTCTCACCCAGTGAGGAGGAACAGGATCAGGGTCCCACTTAATGAAGTAGTCAGGCTGCCCCTTGGCAGAGCAGGTGCGCTGCACTGCAGGGAAGTCCCCTTGTCCAGATTGCCCAAACTTTCCAGAGCCAGCAGGAAGGAAAGTCTGTCAGCTGAGCTGCAGATATGGTGGCTGCCCATCCCCATGGTGGCTCCATCCCAGGGGGAGATCAGAGTTCTGTTTATAAAACCGTGGCTGGAGTTGCTGAAATTCCTGCAGGGAGACCCTTCTGGGTAAGGAGGGATGGATCAGGGTCCTACTTAAAGAAGCAGTCTGGCTACAATCTGCCACAGCAGCTGTGTTGCACTGTGGGGAATTCCTCCCTGTCTGGACCACCCAGTTTCCCTGGATCTGGCAGGTCAAAACCAAGGTTTTTAATATTGCTTTTGATGTAGACTTTTCGTTTTCCACCGACCAGTCTTGATTATTATAAAAATAGTTACTTGCTGTAATATATTGTGCCATTGTTAACATGAAATGGTTGATGATTCCCCTTTTACCCCCTTTATCCCCTTGGTGTTGATTAGACAACATTAGAAATAGTGACAAATAAGCAACTTTTACAAAATATCCTGTTTTGTTATAGTGATGAATGTGAGTTAGTTTGACCCAATAGGGAAGCTTTGAAGCACGTATAGGCTGCAGCTTAATATTTTACCAATATTTCAAACTCCAAACTTTTATTTTACTCCTTGGGTGTTTCTGGAAATATGAAATTACATATTTGAATACCTTTGAAACTTTAACTTACGATATATTTAGATACTCAGAATCTTGAGAATCGTCTTTCTACTCATTGTAAGGATTACCATTTGATTTTAACTGCACTCAGTATTGAAATGTGTAGTGTGATAACACTGACAAAACAATAGGCAAAAATAAAAATGCAACATGGAGGTTCTTCTATTTTACTTTGATGTTATGATTAACTGTTGTATCTTATGACAACGTACTGTATGTGTAACAGTGGAGAACTATTGTGAAAAGTCAAATTGTAAATTGTACTCATAGTATTGCTTCTATGAGAATGAAACTCACATAAATGAATTGCAGTCTTTGCAGTTACAACCAGTCTAGGAGAGGTGTTTGAGGAGAGTCTTTTAGACAGAAAAAGCATCAGCTTATGTTTATCAGGAGCCTAAGTATCAGCTACTAAGTGATTCAACTGCAGTATTGATAAGTCTTAAATCAATTAAAATTATCATCTCTAGTGTTTTGGCTTAAAGGATTACATTTTGGAAACAGGAAGTGAGTAGATTAAAAAGAAATAAACAAGGTTTTCTGGCAAATATATTTCCATGAAAGAAAATTAAGAATTTGTGAAACACAAACTACCAACCACTGTATCTCTAAATCTCCATGAAGAGATGTTGGCCAAAATCCAGACTTTGAGTATACTTCTGGTGAACATTCAAAAGGAAGAGAAGAACATGCTATTGGACACTAGAGAAAGGGGTATCTTCGCTATGTGCTGGAAGAAATCTTAGCAAAATTGTTTCCCTTAGAGCCAGTTAATGTGGAAAGAAGAAATTTGTTGTCTACTTAAGGAGATTTCCAAAATAAGGGTTGAAGCTATGGGCCTATGTATTTTTGTTGCTTATAACAAAATTTGAGAGGAAAAAGAGAAATTGAGGGAAGAACTTGTAAAGCAAAAAAAAAAAGGAAGGGCTTGACCATTTTGGATATTCTCAGCCTCTCCAGACAGCAAAGAATGCTAACATTTTGAAAAGGTTTCCAAATAACTTCAGGAAAATAAGGTCAAGAACAAAAGCCAGGAGTGTGACTGAATAAACTTCTGTTAACATTTCAGAAAGACAGAAACATGGACATGGTACTCAGTTACACAAAGGACTGTTTTAAGAGATTAAGAGTGTGCCTTGCAGACTTCTCAACCAAACCGCAGAATTTCTAGGAAGCCTATAGACTACGTCCCCAGCCTTGTCAGCAGAAGCCCAAGAAAGAAGAGCTTATCTTAAAAGCAGTCTGTGGGTATGGCTTTTTTATGACTGAGTGAGCCACAGGGATATTTTTCATGAGACTCACAAAGTATTTGAGAGTTATTTCAGCAGACATTACCAGCTTGGATCAAAAAAGACAGAGAGAGTACAAAATGAAAGAATATTGTTTTGTACCCCCAATTCTGCTGACAAACAGAAGGCAAGCAAAACTACTCAGCTGCAAATACTTGTCAGCTTTCATGAAAAAGAAAGAGGGCAGAACCAACAGCACAGAGAGTTGAACCCAGAGTAACTGAGAACTATATGCAGCCCTTAAATCCCAACCAAGCAACTCTGGACATTTACCCAGCTGGATTTCAGCACGGCTATTGATTAGTGACTATTTTGTGCCTTCACTTTCTCCATTTTTGAATAAGAATGTCTATAACTATTATGCTATGACTGTGCCACCATTGTACTCCAAGTTTGAAGGGCAAATAACTTGTTGGGTTTGCTTTCCAGATTGTCAGATAAAGATTGTTATATGCAAGGAGTCTCATCCACATGTGGAAGTAATTTAGATTATGACTTTTGGGGTTTTGATCACATGTTATAATAGGATTACAGACTTGGGGACTTGAAAGGGAATGAATGTATTTTGCATATAGGAGGAATGTGAATTGAGACTCTGGAGTGCACCCCATGATGCTCAACTTAATAGTGTTCTTACTCTTTCTTGATTCCCTCCCTTTAAGTGGAAATGGAACCTGTGACCTGCTTGTAACAAACAGATCACAGGAAAGGTGGTCTGTGCAATTACCTCAACCTGACTGTATTATGTAAGATTATAGTGGATCTTGCAAGGAGATTTTTGTCTTTCCCTTGGAGGTTTTAAGAAGCAAGCTCTTATACTGTAAGCTGCCACACAGGAAGGAGCCAAGGACAGCCTGTGGCTGACAGAAACGAACCCAAAACTTCAATTCAGCAGCTGGCATGGTCTGATATTTGCATCCTCCCGACATTTATACGTTAAAATCCTAAACTCCAAAGTGATAGTGTTAGGAGGTGGGGCCTTCGAGGGGTTATTATGTCATAGGAGTAAAGTAGAATTAGTGCCCTTACAAGAGAGACTTCAGACAGATCCCTTTCTCCTTACATCACGTGAGAACACAGTGAGAAGGTGTCATCTGTGAACGAGAAAGTGTGTCCACACCAGACACCAAATCTATTGGCAAGTTGATCTTGACCTTCCCAGCCTCCAGAATTATAAGAAATAAACTTCTATTCTTTATAAGCTACCCAGTTTGTAGTACTATATTATAGCAGCGGAAAGAGACTACGAAAGCAGCCCATGGAAACTGAGTTCTGTCAAAAACCATGTGAGTTTGGAAATGTCCCCGTCTCTAGTCAAACCTCAGATGAGATCACAACCCTAGGCAGTATCTTTATTGCAGCTTTGAGAGACCTGAAACAGAATACGCAGATAAATTGTTCCAGGACTCCTGATTCACTGAAACTATGAGATAATAAGTGTATTATTTTATTATTTAGAAATTATTTTTATAGTTTTAGTGGCACAATTTTTTTATTGTTATTGTTGTTGTTACATGGATGAATTGTATAGTGGCGAAGCCTGGGATGTTAGTGCACTCATTATTATTCAAGTAGTGTACGTTGTGCCCAATACATAGTTTTTCATCCCTCATCCAAGTCCCACCCTCCTTTGTTTTGAGTCTTCGATGTCCATTCTATCACTCCGTATGTCTTTGTGTACCCATAGCTTAGCTCTCACTTAGAAGTGAGAACATGCAGTATTTGTTTTTTGATTCCTGAGCTACTTCACGTAGAGTAATGGCTTCAAGTTCCATCCAAGTTGCTGGAAAAGACATTATTTCATTCTTTGTTATGGCTGAATAGTATTCCATGGTATGTAAGTGTGTGTGTGTGTGTGAGTGTATACATACATACATACATACCATGGAATACTACTCAGCCATAACAAAGAACGTATGTCACATTTTCTTTATCCACTCATTACTTTTTCTTTATCCTCTCATTGGTGGTTTGGGCATTTAGGTTGATTACATTTCTTTGCAATTGTGAATCATGCTGTAATAAACTTATGGATGCACACTTCTTTTTGATATAGTGACTTTTCCTTTGGGTAGATACTCAGTAATGGGATTACTCAATTGAAAGGTAGATCTATTTCTAGTTCTTTGAGAAATTGCCATACTGATTTCCATAGAGGTTGTACTAACTGTATGTGCACCAGTAGTGTATAAGCATTCCCTTTTCATCACTTCCATGTGAATATCTATTGTTTTTTGGCTTTTTGATAATGGCCATTCTGGCTGGGGTAAGATGGCATCTCACTGTGGGTTTAATTTGCATTTATCTGGTGTTAACGATGTTGAGCATTTTTTCATAGTTTTTTTGCCCAGTTGTATATGTTTTTTGAGAAATTTCTATTCATGTCATTTGCCCACATTTTAATGGGATTATTTGGTTTTTTTCTTGCTGATTTGTATGAGTTCCTTATAGATTCTACATATTAGTTGTTGGAGGCATAATTTTCAAATATTTTCTCCCATTCTATAGGTTATTAACTCTGATGATTACTTATTTTGCTGTGCAGAAGCTTTTTAGTTTAATTAGGTCCCATTTATTTATTTTTATTTTTGTTGCATTTGCTTTTGGAGTCTTAGTCGTAAATTCTTTGCTTGGGCCAGTCTCCAGAACAGATTTCCTAAGTTTTCTTCTAGACTTGTTATGGTTTCAGAAATTAGATGTAAGTACTTAATCTATTTTGAGTCAACTTCTGTATATGATGAGAGGCAGAGATCCAGTTTCAGTTCTTCTACAGGTGGTGATCCAATTTTCCAGCACCATTTATTGAATAGAGTGTCCTTTACCCAATTTATGTTTTGTATGCTCTGTTGAAGATGAGTTGGTTGTAAGTATTTGGCTTTATTTCTGGGCTCTTCTATTTTGTTTTGTTGGTCTATGTTTCTACTTTTTTATTAATACCATGCTGTTTTGTTTAGTATAGCCTTTTAATATAATTTGAAGTCAGGTCATGTAATGCCTCCAACTTTGTTCTTTTTGCATAGAATTGCTTTGGCTATTTGGCCTTTGCTTTCCATAGGAATTTTAGGATTCTAATTCTGTGAAAAGATGATGTTGATACATTGATAGAAATTGCATTAAATTTACAGATTGCTTTGGGCAACGCTGTCATTTTTACAGTATTGATCCTTACAATCCATGAATATGTGGTATATTTCCATTCGTTTCTGTCACCTATAATTTCTTTCAGCAGTGTTTTGTAGTTCTCTTTGTAGACGTGTTTTACCTCCTTGGTTAAGTATTTTCCTAGGTAATTTTTACTTTTTGTAGCTATTATAAAAGAAATTGAGTTCTTTATTTGATTCTCAGCTTGGTTGTTGTCAGTGTATAGCAATGCTACTGATTTGTGTATATAAAGATTTTGTAAACTGAAACTTTATTTATTTATCTGATCTAGGAGTGTTTGGGAGGATTCTTTAGGATTTTCTAGGGTTAAGATTTTATCATTGGCAAACAGCAATAGTTTAAATTCCTCTTTTCCAATTTGGATGCCTTTACTTTCTTTCTCTTGCCTGATTGCTCTGGCTAAGATTTTAATACTATGTTGAACAGAAGTGGTAACAGTGGACTTCTTTGTCTTGTTCCAGTTAATAGTGGAAATGGTTTTAACTTTTCTCCATTCAGTATGTTGGCTGTGGGTTTGTCATATATGACTTTTAGTATTTTGAGGTATGTTTTTCATACTTAGTTTGTTGAAGGTAAAAATCTTCATAAAAATCATAAAGAGATGCTGGATTTTATGAACTAATTTTTCTATGTCTATTGAGATGATCATATGGTTTTTATTTTTAATTTTATTTATGTGGTGAATCAGTTTTATTGACATGAGTATGTTGAACCATCCCTGCATCCATGGGATGAAACCCAGTTGATCATGGTAAATTCTTTTTTGATGTGCTGTTGGATTTGCTCTGCTAGTATGTTAATGAGAACTTTTACACCTATATTCAGCAGAGATATTGGTCTGTAATTTTCTTTTTGTTTGTTTGTTTGTTATATCCCCTTCTGGCTTTGGTATCCAGATAATACCAGCTTCATAGAATGAGTTACGGAGAATCCTCTCCTTCTCAGTTTTTTAGAAAAATTTCAGTGGAATCGGTCCTAATTTTACTTTGTGTATAAACCTCAAATTTTGCATTCTAAAATTCAAATTTTAGAATTTGGCTGTGGGTGCATCTGGCCCTGAGATTGTTTTGTTGGCAAGTCTTTTTTTTTTTAATTACTGGTTTAATCTCACTACTTGTTATTAGTCTGTAAAGGGTTTCTATTTCTTCCTGATTCAAGCTAGAGAGTAGAATGTTTTGAGGACTTTTTTCATTCAGTTTAGATATTCTACTTTGTGTGCATAAAAATGTTCATGGTAGTCTCAAATGATCTTTTGTGTTTCTACAGTGTTGGTTGCAATGACTCCATTTTCATTTCAAATTGAGCTTATTTGAGTCTTCTCTTTCTTTTCTTAGATAATTTAGCTAGTGATCTATCAATTTTGTTTATGTTAAAAAAAACACTAACTTTTGTTTCAGTGTTCTTTTGTATTTTTGTTTCAATTTTATTTGATTCTGCTGTGATCCTTGTTATTTCCTTTCTTTGGTTAGCTTTGATTTTGGTTCATTCCTGTTTCTCTAGTTCTTTGAGGTGTGATCTTACATTGCCAGTTTGTGATCTTTCAGACTTTTTGATATAGGTATGTAGTGCTATAAACTTTCCTTTTAGTGTTATAAGCTTTCCTTTTAGCACTGCTTTTGCTGTATCTCAGAGGTTTTGATAACTTGTGTCACTTTTATTATTTATTTTTTAAAATTAAATTTCTTTCTTGATTTCATTGTTCACTCAAAAATCATTTAGAAGCAGTTTGCTTAATTTTCATGTATTTGTTTAGTTTTGAGGGTATTTTATGGAATTGATTTCTAGTTTTATTCCACTGTGGTCTGAGAAGATGCTTGATGTGATTTAAATTTTTAAAAATTTATTGAGACTTGTTTTGTGGCCTATTATGTGGTCTGTTTTGGAGTATGTTCCATGAGCAAAATGTATATTCTGAAGTTTTGGTGTAGAATGTTCTGCAAATATCTGTTAGGTCCATTTGTTCTACAGTGAAGTTTAAGTCCAGTGTTTATTTGTAGACTTTCTGTCTCAATAATCTGTCTAGTTCTATCAGTGGAGTATTAAAGTTCCCACTATTACTCGGCTGCTATCTCTTTTTTTAGCTCTAGTAGTCATTGTTTTATGAATTTGGGAGCTCCGATGCATATATATTTAACATTATATATGTTATATGTTCTTGCTCAATTGATCCATCATTATATAAGGACCTTCTTTGTCTTTTTTGTAAACGTTGTTGCTTTAATGGATGTTTTACTTGATAGAAAAATAGCTACTCCTGCTCACTTTTGGTTTCCATTTGCATGAACTTTGTTTTCCACTCCTTTACCTTGAGTCTATAAGAATCCTTATGTGCTAGGTGGTGCATCTCCTGAAGATAGCAGATATTTGGTCTGTAATTTTTATCCTTTCTGCCAATCTGTATTTTTTAGTGGAGCATTTAGAGCATTTATATTCCACATTAATATTGAGATATGGGGTATTGTTTCTGTCATCATAATGATTGTTATCTAGTGACTTTGTTTTCCTCACTGTGTTGTTATTTTATAAGCCTTGTGAATTTTATGCTTTCAGGAGGTTCTATTCTGCTGCATGCTGGTAATTTGTTTCAAGATTTAGAACTCCTTTTAGCATTTCCTGTAGGGTTGGTCTAGTAGTGACAAATTCAGTCAGCCTTTATTTGAGACATACTTTATTTCTGTCTCATTTATAAAATTTGTTTTCTTGAATACAAAATTCTTGGCTGACAGTTTTTGTCTTTAAGGAGAATACAGAAAAGACCCCAATACCTTCTGGCTTGTAGTTTTAGCTCCCTCAGTTCTCTGCTGAGAAGTCTGGGTTAATACGATACATTTTCCTGTACAGGTTGCCTTGTTCTTTTGTCTCACTCTTAGGATTCTTTCCTTCACATTGACTTTAGATAGCCTGATGATTATAAGCCTTAGTAATATTTTTTTTCAATGATTCTCCTAGGAGTTCTTTGAGCCTCTTATATTTTAATTTCTAAATTTCTAGCAAGGCCAGGCTTATAACATAGCAACATAATGAGGAAAACAAAGTCACTAGGTAATAATCATTATTCCAGCAAGGTCAGGAAGTATTCTTCAACTATTCCCTTAAATACGTTTTTCAAATTTTTTCAGTTTTTCTTTTCCCTCGGGAACACCTATGATTCTTAGGTTTGGTTTGGCCATTTTACATAATCCCATATTTCTTGAATAATTTGTTCATTAATTCTTTTTTCTCTATTTTTCTGTTACTGGGTTAATTCAAAAGCCTTGTCATCAAGCTCTGATAATCTTCCTTTTACTTGGTCTAGCGTATTGTTAACACTTTCCACTGCATTTTGTAGCTTTCTAAATGTATCTTTTATTTCCAGAAATTCTGATTTTTTTTTTGAAATATCTCTTTAGCAAATTTCTCTTTCATATTTTGAATTGATATTTTAACTTTATGTTGGTTGTCACCTTTCTATTGTATTTCATTGAGTAAGTGAATAATCAATCTTTTGAATTCTTCATGTGTTATTTCAAAGATTTCATCTTGGTTTGGATTCAACAGTTAGTGAGAATTAGTGTGATCTTTGGGGATGTTTTAGGACACTATTTTTTTTAATATTGCCAGAAATATTTTTCTGATTTCTCCTCCATTTGTGTAGAATATTTCTTCTAATTATTTTTGAATTTATTTTTAATTCAACAGTGTTTTTTTAACTTCTTTAGTTTTTTCCCCTTAAGGATGTGATTTTACTTTTATTATTTATTGTCACTTAGCTTGGCTCAGGGTGCTTTAAGTGGTGATAATTATACCATTTCCATGATTATAGAGAATCTTAGTGTGATGATTTTTCAGATGCTGGTTGTAGTAGCAGTGTGCTAGGTGTGTGAGCATTGTCTCCTTTGAGACTGGAATGGCAGAATCTCATGAATCTTATCTCGTCCCCCAGTGGTGTGCACTTTAAAAACATTTTCCCCAATATTTTATTCTCTGTGTTGAACAGTTTAGGCTTTAGCCAGTAGAAAGTACCCATGGATGAAAAAACAGCTGTGGCTATAACAGGTTGGTAAATGCAATACCCAATGGTGGACAACAGTCCCAGCATTGACAAAGGCAGCTGGGGAAGCGCTCATTGAAATGCACTGAGGTATTTTCAGGGGTAAGAAGGGGCCATGACAGCTCTCCTTCCATGCCAGAAGGAAAGCAGTATGCCTCCAAGTCACACTGGCCCAGTCTTCCAGCTATTCAGATCAGACAAATACCTCTTTTCATTTGCCAGAATGCTGATGTACCCTGTAGAATGGGATTGTGACTCTCCCCCTTGTGCAAATCTGAACCTAAAAGGCACTCGTCTTGTGGGAATGTAGTCACCCTGAGTATTCCAGAAAGGCTGTCTATAGATACACCCCTGCAGAGCTCACATGGGAGAAGCCCCAGCAGTGTCTTCAGTGGTGGGTGAGGTGGAGAATAAATCTCATTCTCCGAGGTCCTTCATAACCTTTAGGGCTGCCTGACTGTTGTGTGAGAGCCACAAACTTTCCCTACTGAGCCCAGAACTGCACCTGTGCCTCTGTTGAAAGAAAATTTCCACAAGAGGAAAGAAAGTTCAGAGACACAGGGCCTGCAGTCTAGTTTCTTTTGTCCTATGGGGTGGTCCCTTAATGTCGTGCACTTCCCCTTCTCCTAAGAGTAGCAGCCCCTGAGGGCTAGGCAACTGTGAATTCTCCTGCTCCTTAGTGTCTAGCCACCCAGTAGGGCTGCCATGTTCCAGTGTGGTGCTATAGAATATCTGCATGGGATTCAGCTATGTGATTTGTTCTCTAGTCTCCCAGCATCAGGTACCAGCATCAGTTCTGATGGGGGTAGGAGAAATACAGATTCTTCAAGATTTTTTGGTTATAAATAGCCTTATTGTGTTGGTTATCTCAAATGCAAGCTGTTGTAGTAATGTGCAGATTCAGGACCTCCTGGTTATCCAGGATGATGCAGGCAATGCTAATAGCTACAGTCATGCAAAAGTTTTCTCCTAAGTAAGCACTGTTATTGTGTCTGCAGATGTTGTAATGGGCTGTGCCAGTTGGCTTCCAGCTGGGAGGTGATGCTTTCCAAAGAGCACCAGCTGTGATGGTAACAGTGAAATTTCTGCTTGTCTTATTTTACACAGTGGAAGTATTCTCGTGCCTCTGGCAATAAGCAGGTCCATGGAGCTCTCAAAAGTCCCTGTGTGTTATATTATGCTACCAGCGCAAGTAGAGGAGCAAAGCTGGGTGGGGGTTTAGTCATGCAATTCTGGCTCCCCACATGTGGGTTGGGGAATGTGTGTTTCCAGTCAAATCTTATATTGAAATGTAATCCCAAGTGTTGAAGGTGGGGCCTGGTGGGAGATGATTGGATCATGAGGGCAGGTTTCTCATGAATGGCTTAGTGCTACCTCTGCTGGTACTGTCCTTGCAATAGTGTGTGAGTTCTTGTGAAATCTAGTCATTTAAGTGTGTAGCACCTTTCCCCTCACTCTCTTGCTTCTGCTTTTATCATGTAACGTGGCTGCTTCCCCTTTGCCTTCCACCATGATTAGAAGTTCCCTGAGGCCTTCCCAGAAACAGATGCTGTTATGCTTCCTGTATGGCCTGAAAAACCATGATCCCACTAAACCCCTTATCTTTATAAATTATTCAGTCTCAGTATTTTTTTTACTGCAATGCAAGAATGGCCCAATACAGAAAATTGGTATCAGGAATGTGGCATTTCTGTAAAGATACCTGAAAATGTGGAAGCAGTTTTGGAACTGGGTAATGGGAAGAGGCTGGAAGAGTTTGCAAGACTCAGAAGAAGAGAGAAAAATCAGAGAAACTTTGGAACTTCTTAGAGACTGGTTAAATGGTTGTAACCAAAATTCTGATAGTGATACGGACAGTAAAGCCCAGGCTGATGAAGTCTCAGATGGAAATGAGAAACTTCTTGTGAACTAGAGCAAAAGTCATACATGTTATACCTTAGCAAATAACTTGGCTGGGTTGTGCTCATGTCCTAGGGATACGTGAAAGTTTTAACTTGAGAATGATGACCTAGAGTATCTAACAAAGAACATTGCTAAGCAGTAAAGTGTTCAAGAAGTAGTGTGGCTATTTCTAACAGCCTAGCTCAGATGCAGGAGCAAATAAATGTGTTGGAACTTATATTTAAAAGGGAAGCAGAGTATCTAAGTTTGAAAAATTTGCAGAATGGCCACATGGTAGAAAAGAAAAGCCCATTTTCAGTGGAGGAATTCAAGCAGGCTGCAGAAATTTGCATAAGCAAAAAGGAGCCAAGTGCTAATAATCAAGACAATGGGAAAAAGGCCTCAAAGGCATTTCAGAGAACTTCCCAGCAGCCCCTTCCATCACAAGCCCAAAATCTAGGAGAACTGAATGGTTTTGTGGGCCAGGCCCAGGACTCTGCTGCCCTGCACACCCTGGGGACACTGCTCCCTGTATCCCAGCCACTGTAGCTCAAGCTGTGGTTCAAAAGGGCCCAGGTACAGCTTGGTGACTGCTTCAGAGGATGCAAGCCATAAACATGGTGAGCTCCACATGGTGTTAAGCCTGTGGCTGCATAGAGTACAAGAGTTAAGAATTGGGTGCCTCCGCCTAGATTCCAGAGGAAGTATGGAAAAGCCTGAGTGTTTCAGGCAGAAGCCTGCTGTAGGGGCAGATTCCTCACTCTACTAGGGCAGTGAAGAGGAATAATATGGGGTTGGAGCCCCCACAGAGTCCACACCGGGGCACTGCCTAGTGGAGCTGTGAGAAGAGCTCCACCATCCTCCAGACTGTAGAATGGGAGACCCATCAGCAGCTTGCAGGCAGTATGTGGAAAAGCCAAATGGATTCAGCTATAACCTGTGAAGGCAGCTGCAGGGGCTGAACCCTGCCAAGCCACAGAAGCGGAGTTGTTCAAGGCCTTGGGAGTCCACCCCTTCCATCAGTGTGGCCTGGATGCGAGACATGGAATCAAAGGAGATTATTTTGGAGTTTTAAGATTTAATGACTGCCCTGCTGGGTTTCAGACTTTCAGAGGGCCTGTAGCCCCTCTCGTGTGGCCCATGTCTCCCTTTTGGAAGAGGAGTATTTTCCCACCTATATTCCCATTGTATCTTGTAAGTAACTAACTTGTTTTTGATATTACAGGCTCATAGGCAGAAGAGACTAGCCTTGTCTCAGATGAGACTTCGGACTTTGGTCTTTTGAGTTAATGCTACAATGAGTTAACACTTTGGAGATAATTGGGAAGGCATGATTGTATTTTGAAATGTGAGACGAGCACGACGCGTGGGAGGGGACAAGAGTGGGATGATATAGTTTGGATGTGTGTTCCTGCTCAAATTTCATACTGAAATGTAATTCCCAATGTTATAAGTGAGGCCTGGTGGGAGGTGATTGGATCATGGGGGCAGGTTTCTCATGAATGGTTTAGCACCATCTCCCTTGGTACTGTCCTCACAACAGTGAGCGAGTTCTTGTGAGATCTGGTCATTTAAAACTGTGTAGCCCCTCCTCACTTTGCCCTGTTGCTCCTGATCTCACCTTGCGATGGGCCTGCCCCCTCTTCGCCTTCCACCATGATGTTTCCTGAGGCTTCCCCAGAAGCAGATGCTGCTGTTATTTCTGTACACCCTGCAGAACCATGAGCCAATTAAACCTGTTTTCTTTATAAATTATTCCCTCTCAGGTATTTCTTTATAACAATGCTAGAACAGACTAATACATAGGGGCAAGCAGTGGGACTGGTGGGAATCAGAGGGCAGATCTCTGGCTGCTCAGGTCATGTTCAGGGAGGAGTGCAGCTGCCTGTCTTACATAAAACAACACACATGGGAGCTGGGTGCGGTGGCTCACACCTATAGTCTCAGCACTTTGGGAGGCTGAGGCGGGCAGAACACTTGAGGTCAGGAGTTCGATACCAGCCTGACCAACATGGTGAAACCCAGTCTCTACTAAAATTACAGAAAATTAGCCAGGCATGGTGGCACATGCCTGTATCCCTGTTACTCAGGAGACTAAGGCAGGAGAATCACTTCAACATGGGAGGCAGAGATTACAGTGAACCGAGATCACGCCGCTGCACTCCAGCCTGGGTGACAGAGTGAAACTCCGTCTCTAAACAAATGAGTAAGACCAGAAAAGAATACACATGGGGAGCAGGCGGCAGTCAGCCCCACTCAGCTCTCATGCTCTTGCCAAGGCAGGTCTCACACCCACAGTGTTTTGCTAGCAGCAGCTAGCTAGTTTCCAGGTAGTCTGCACTTGGTACTCCAAACTGCCACCTACCATAAGCCCTCCCAACTAAGAGAAAAACAGTGGCTTTCAGGCTGTGATCCTCCTGGTCCACCCTCAAAGGAGGGGTGCCCGGCTGAGGTTATATAGGTGGCTATAGCACACTTCCCGCTCCTCTCTTGGTTCTGGCCCAGGGGGTTCATCCCCACTTGAGATTATTTTGCAAACCTCAGTTAGGAACCTCTGGAAACCTGTAACAACCACCTGAGTGAGCTGGCACACTTCCGTGAGGTGTCCTGTGAAGTAGGATTAGGATGATTTTCCTACATCTCTGCTGGAGTCTGAGAGTACACACAAATGCTGCTCCTTCCCACATTCTCCCTACTGCTCACTAAGTCAGCTCCAGCGCTGAACAGAGTGAAGGCATTTCCCTGTGGCCTGGGTTGTCCTGCTGCTCAGTGGGAGTGTGTGTCATGGAGGCAATCTCTCCCCTCTCACATTCTGAAGACTCACAGTTTTCTGCCTCACTCATGGTGTAGGTTGCTGCCTGCTGCTTCTTTCATAAAGTCTGTAGTTATTTTCAGTTTTTCTGTTAAGTTCTTCTGTTGTTTCTTGGGAAAAAAAAATACTCACAGCATGAAACTCTGCACGATATTTTGTCCTTCGAAGTGGCGGAGCCATGCTAACAATGCCCCCAACCCGCCATCTCGGAAACAGAATTAAACAAACAAAGAAAAAACAAATACGTTGTTGTAATCTGAAATGTTGGTGGGAATATGCATCAAAGATAAAATTACAACAAATTTAAAGATCTTAACTGGTTTATATTTTTAATTCTAGAATTGTTCTAATAGGCTGAGCAAAGGATGTTATTTTATAGACAATAAAGGGCTGAGAAAAGTAAATATAGAGAACAAAAAGTGAATTGGTTGATTCAAAGTTACTTTTCTTATAAAGATTAAAGCAGAGGAAACTTTCTTATCACACCGACTAAAACTGGCCTGTTTGCGGATTTGGCTAGTATTTATCTTTCTTCTAATTTCCTGGACAGTCAGAAGAATATCTTTTGGTTTGGAGGTGTACTTCAGCATGAGTAATTTTGTACTTTTTGGGCTGTTGGACCTAACACAGGAGCTCAGTCCAAACCAATGGCCTCCTATAAATGTTATCTAACATAAGTTGGCTGGGTGTGGTGGCTGAAGCCTGTAATCCCAGCACTTTGGGAGGCTGAGGTGGGCAAATCACTCGAGGTCAGGAGTTCGAGACCAGTCTGGCCAACATGATGAAACCCTGTCTCTACTAAAACAAACAAAGAAAATAAAAAAAAAAAAAAAAAAAAAAAAGCTGGGCATGGTGGCACACACCTGTAATCCCAGCTACTCAGGAGGCTGAGGCAGGAGAATCTCTTGAACCCGGGAAGCAGAGGTTGCAGTGAGCCGAGAATTCTCCACTGCACTCCAGCCTCGGTGACAGAGTGAAACACTGTCTCAAAAAAAAATGTTATTTAACATAAATTATGCAGCGATACATAAGTCACACACAGATGCTAGTATAACTATACAATGACATTATACTTATAAGCTATATGGATGTGGCCACTAATTGTTGTTGTTTACTAACAGCCTTAAGCATCTTAAATCTCTGAGAAAATCATGCTGATGATAATGATAATGTTTATATAACACTGAATGTGTTCCAGTTATTGTTATAACTTTTGTATTAATTATTATGTCTTATGTATTAATTTTTGTTTTAATTATTGTAAAGTCTCCATTCTATAAACAAAAATATTGAGATGCAAAGAAGTTGAGAAATTTCCCCAAAGTCACATGACTTGTGAATTTTGTGTCACTTTTTTCTACATAATATTTATCCAATACTTTATCTAGTTTAGTGGACTGCTCCTATTTTTTTTACAGTTTTTGCTTCATCCTGTCACATATTCTAAGGGATAGGTTGAGACATCATGAGCAAATACCTTTAACGTTAAATCTGTGAGTATGTGAATATTTCAGCCTGAAGTTATAGGAGGAAAAGCAAGAATTATTATACCAAAGCATTGCAGAAACTCAGAAAAGGTGGAGAGGAAATTCCAGATATGTAGTAATTGGTTACAGTAAATCCCACGTATTTGTCTGTTAGTATTGGCAGAATTGTTAAAGCCTTGAGTTTGTTCAACACAAAAGGTACAGAAGGATATTAGATTTGATTGTTAGAGTGGAGTGGAAGTGATAACACAATTAATTGTTAAAAATTAGCCTTTTTTGCATTATAAATTCTGCAAGAATATAAACTATCTCACAGTTGGACAAAAAAAGAAAAGGTTGCAGAAAGCACACCAAATGCACTCTTTTGAAGAGCATAATTTGGGCTATATGTTTTGCTTTACCCATGAAGAAACAGCACGTAAGAAATACATTATCCTGGACCAACCAGGCTTTCGGGGATCACAGATGTTTGTCTCCATCACAATTAAATTTTCAGTGAATAAAATACCTGCTGGAATGTGTATTTTTCCTGCCTAGGCTTATGCTAACCGTTTATGATTAATAAGCTTCAGAAACCGACGATTGTGGAATGAATATGACATTTAACATAACATAAGCCTGAACGGGAGTCAGTGACCCAGATAACATCAATATGCTGACACTACATGCCAATATTTTGCTATAAAACTCTTTCTTTGACACATCTAGGTTGGTATGAGATATCATCTGTCCTCTACAGGTGGCCTCTAGGCAAACTGAGAAGAAAAATGTGTGCATATATACAGGACATAGTTTCACCTTCTCATTAATCATCTAGGAATTGGGTGAAACATTTTTGTAATGGCAGCGTGATAAATGGACTGATTTAGATTTTAGTTAAAATAATAAGTACAACACATTTCAGATGTATAGAATATTTTTAAAGGATACTTCCAGAACTACAAACCAACTGTCACAGATATTAACGTGTTTGACATAAACTTAATGTTTTTAATGAAAATTTTACACATTCAGTGGACTATTGATGTCTTCCATTCTCTCTCTCTCTCCCTCTTAAGAGGTAATTATGACTTTAAATCTGTATGTGTTCTCCTTATCCATATTTTTATACATTTGATGTATTTATTGGTATCAATAAATACATTTGCATTTTTATGACATTATAAAAATGATATAATACATGAATTGTTTCATACTTCCTTTATTGACTCTATGCTCTTGTTAATTATCTAAAATACATGTAAATATGTCCATGTATTTCTAGTTTGTACTTATGTCTACTTTATCATTTGTATGGTATTTCTTTCCTTATTGTGATATGTATTTCAATATTCCCCTTTCGAAGATCACTTATGCAGTTTCTTTTTTTGCCTATTAAAATATATCTCTGAAAAAAACCCATCAACAGTTGTGTATTCTAGTGATAGGTCTTCAGAACTGAAATTAGTATACAAGGGAGATGCGTATCTTCTATTGTACCAGATAATATAATAATAATATTCTAAGTGGTTATAACAGATGACATGGTTAGCAGAAAACTAATATCATTTCATTTTCTACATTTAGACAAAAACTAAAAAAAAAAACCAAAAATTTGAATTGAGCCAATAGAAATTGTGAAATATATGTTATATTTGTTCCATAATTTCTTTTGATTTATTACAAGTGACATTAAACATTTTTTCCTATGTTTATTGTCTGATTTAGGTTAACTTTGAGTTAACCATCCATCTAATTTTCCCTTTCTGTTGTGCTGTCTAAATGTATTTATGGATTTAAAATATTTATATATCTTGGATATATACCACTGATGATTACATGTCTGCAAATATAGCTTCATACGCTCTCACTTATCTTTTAACTTCATGCAGTTGTATTTTACCATGCAAAATTTGAAAGCATTCATTTTATCAAAATTCTTTATTATTTATTAGGTTGGGTTGTCTGTAACTTGTGTTATTATTCTACTGCAAATAAAATAACTACATTACTGTTATTTATCCTAGATTTTTTTCTATTTATTTTTATGTCTTTTTATCTATCTGGAATATATATATTTTTTGTGCATGGTGTATCATTGAAATCTAACTGTATCTCTCTATATATGTATACATGTGTGTACATATATACATATATATTTATACACTCACATATATACACATATGTCTTTTTCTAAAAAATGGAGATGTCTTGCTCTAGAATTACATATCGTTTAGCTTATTATTTATTCCATTGATTTTATAATGTCACTTCTATTGCATGGCAATATTTATATAATCATTAGCCTGTAGCTTGTATCTCTATGCTATTCCAGTTTTCTTTTGTCACCTTCAGATAATAAGCCATTAACATGACTTACTGTAGTACAGGTGCATTTCTTTTAGTATTTTCTTTCTTCAACTTTTAAAATTTAGTTTTTATAAAACTCTGTTTTGTATGAGTTTTAAAAAGAATGTAACAAGTTTATTTACAAAATGTGTATATTTACTAGTAATCCACTTAGAAATAGATAAATTGATAGTTTTACCTATTCCTTATATATTTCAAAAATTAAATTTAGTTTAATGTAATACCTTAATAGAAGAAAATATATCAAAATATGTTTATAAATTCAAGGTAAGGATGAATCCCTAGAGCAAGTCCCAATAAGCAAAATCTATAAAATTAAACTTCTAATAAGTTTGATTGTAACAAAAATTAAATAAAAAGCAACAAGCAACTGCAGTATGCTTAAATATTCTTATAACAAAGTACAATTTTATACGTGATTCTGAAAGAATCCATTTTCAAATAGATATAATAGACAAAGGATAAGTTGTCAAAAAATATTGAAAAATGCCTCTAATTGATTAGATCAGGTCAAAAAAGTTGATTAAAATATTGGAACAATATAGACATGAAACTGAAAATAAATGAATATTTGAAAAGATACTCTAACTCACTAATCAGGGTAGTGAAGATTTACCCAACCAAAATACCATTCGTTTTGGCAACCTAGAAAAATACATTCATTTTGGGCTGGGCCTGGTGGCTCACGTCTGTAATGCCAGCACTTTGGGAGGACGAGGCAGGCGAATCACGAGGTCAGGAGATTGAGACCATCCTGGCTAACATGGTGAAACGCCGTCTTTACTAAAAATACAAAAATTAGCCGGGCGTGGTGGCGCACGCCTGTAGTCCCAGCTACTCAGGAGGCTGAGGCAGGAGAACCGTTTGAACTCGGGAGGCAACGGTTCCAGTGAGCCGAGATTGTGCCACTGCACTCCAGCCTGGTGACACAGCGAGACTCCATCTCAAAAAAAAAAAAAAAAAGCATTTTGTTTGGAGTTCAGCTTGTGTAGCTATTTTAAGAAGAAATTAGATATTTGTAATGAATTAAAAATCTACATGACTATTTCCTATTAACTTCACTTCTTGACAAGTATCAAAGAGAAAGATGTGCACATAAGCACAAGTGACATACACAAGGAAAACATATCCAACTTTGTTTTCCTAGTGGAAAATAAAAACATTTTTATTATTCATCTCAACTATATAACACTTTGCAAGAATATAATACAGATTGGTTTCCTCTTAGCTTTTCCCTAAGTCAACTTTTGCAAAGAAACCTCCCAGTCAGGTTACAAACCCATTCCCTTACCTGCTCCTCTTCCTGAGAAAAAACTTCAACCATCATGACCCAACATTATCATAAATGTCTTTCCTTCATTTTTTTGCTTCTCTTTTTTTACTGCTGCTAGGTCAGTGAGGCTGGCTGCATTCTCACATGTAGTATACAGAAAATATTTCTGAGTGCTTCCTTTGAAGGTATGAACTTTTCCACAAAAGGGAGTCAAGGCATACATTTTATCAGATATCCAAACCACGTCCTCCCAATTTGCTAAAGAATTGTTGACCAGCCTGACCAACATGGAGAAACCCCATCTCTACTAAAAATACAAAATTAGCCGGGCATGGTGACGCATGCCTGCAATCCCAGCTACTCGGGAGGCTGAGGCAGGAGAATCGCTTGAACCTGGGAGGCGGAGGTTGCGGTGAGCCCAGATTGCACCATTCCACTCCTGGGCAACAAGAGTGAACTCTGTCTCAAAACAAACAAACAAACAAAACAAAAAACAAAACAAAACAAAACAAAAAACGAAGTGTTTACTGTGTTCTTGATTTCTTGAGCATGTGAGCCTTAGTAGGCGCGAATGCTTTGCTTGCCCTTTAATTATCAGTTTCCTGTCTTTATACACAATTAGATCCACAAGAATATATTCCAAATATATATGTCTAAATTCAGTTTGATTTACTCACACACTTTTGAAAATAGAATTGAAAGTAGTTGTCATTGTATCACTTAGGTATCAACTGCAGGCAGCAATTCTCCATAATTCATCCTGGCCAAAGGCAAGATCCCCTTTCCTCAACATGCCCTTATTTATTCTGTGGAGGAATATTCCTGTGCTCCTCCTTTTCAGCACCATTATCATTTCACAATATTTTATCTCTTCTTGATTGTGAGAGTGGCACAGAAGGCAAGATACAGCAGGGTATTTTTTCAGTATTCTGGTTCTCCCATAATATTTCAGGCAATGGCATAATTGTACTTCTGGTTCTCTTTGAGATTGGTTTTGGCTATGTTGCTAGTTTTGGCTGATGGGCTGGAAGGGAAAGAGAGAAATGCACCACTTCTGGGATGATGTATATAATGCTGAAGTAAGATCCTCTAGAAATCTCTTTGCCTCCGCTATGTTTCGTGAACAATGTTCTAGATTGTTGGCTGATCCATAAGCCTGGGTCCTAGAATGAGGTCAACCACAATGTGAGAGCAGAGCCTCAGATTACCTTTCAAAATTATGATGTGAGTGAGAAATAAACCTCTGATGTTTAAAGCCACTTTAGTTGGGTTTAGTTTGTTCATGTGTATAACCCTAGCCTATATATTCTTACTGATACACAGACTATGCTTTTAGTTCACAATCTCTTGCTTTTAAGTTAAAACATACTTTAAAAATTGTCACCTCCTTTGAATGTTTTGTGACAGTCTTCCAAATTTCTAGATTTTGAGACAATTTGAAATCAAGGTTTCTCTAGTAATTTTTCTAGTTCTGGAGTTTAATTTCACAACACTTTTGAACACACTAGATTCTATATGAGTTCATTAAGCTCTCTCCACAATTTAAATGAGTAAAAAAATCAATTTTGTTGCTTCAAGAACCAGGCATGAAAATAAATAAAGGGAGAACAAGTGACATCTTGATAGGACTTTCTACCTGCCAAATTTCTATCTTGTAAGTCATGCAAATGTTCCCTTTTTTTCAATCTTCAAACTTATCTTGTTGAGCTATTATTAACAACACCTGTGTATGCATTCTCACACAAACATTCATACACACACACACATACGCACTCATAGCTTAACTTATTAAGAAGATTTAGGTAGGACATGTCAGCATCTCAGCAAACTTTGTCACTAATGCTCCCTTTTAATCCAGGAAGTCATGGTTTCTGCTAAGTTTAAAAACTGACTGTATAACTCATTAATACTCTTCCAAATATATCTGCATATTTACATTTCTGAAACTTAAAAGCAAATAATTTATCCCTTAGTTTAGGCTTGCATTCTCCATCAGCTTTTCATTGAGAAAATAAGTTCTGATTTTGGAATTGGAAATGCAGGTTAGGACATTAAAGGCAACAAGTCAATGATGACAGCATTAAGGAAAGTGAGGTTTTATTCCTTTTTAATCTGCAGTTAACACATTGAGCACTAACTCTGTGAATGGGCCTAAAATATGCTGTCTTTTCTAAAACTCTCTCACCATTTACCCCAGGAGGTAGGTATTGTCAACCCATCTCACAGATGAGGGACTTGAGACTTGGAGCTTAAGAAGTCTCAGGATCAATGAGGTGGCCAATCCAGGTCTCGAATACAAGACGTGCTCACTGTAGGGCCCACCCTCTGTCCCTTATACTATGCTGCACACATTGTTCTCTTTTTGTTGACACTCTTTATGGGCTTTTCTGGTGGTCTAGGTCATGAGACCTAATCAAGACCAACATAGACAACAACAAAAAACTTAGATCGTCATCTCCCAAGAGAACAAAGTGTCAATTTTTGAGTCCTTCCAATAAAATGGTGAACAGAAAAAAAATAAAAACACAGAAGAGAATCACTACACCTGCTACATAATTGAAGATTTTAAGTACTGAGGGTTTTTGTTCCCTGCTATGAAATAATTAGTTTATTTAAACACAAAGATACAGAATACTTATCTGGAAATAAAAAAATAAAATACTTTGATAATAACCTGGAGTGAATCCTTTCTTGAGTGATTCCCCTGAAATCTAGCAATTACAGTTTGAGTTTTCTGTTAATTTTCTCAATGGGACAAGACAAGAGTTCAATAGAAATAAAATTTCTAATCTTAGGCAGTTCTTTGTGACTTATGAGATATCATGATCCCCAAAGTTTTTAAAGGAAAACAAATACCTATGATTGAGCAAAAACTATTTTTAAAGCCTTCAAGGCAAAACCAATACGTGTTCATGGTTACATGGTAGAGAGCCTGTCAGAGAGTGTTTAATGAAGAGCTAAAGAGTTCTGTGTCTTGGTTAGAGGGCATGCGATCTTTTCTTACATGATTATGATCTCATGTGCTGTGACTTTATTTTGTTTTGTGGATATCCTAATCATAAAATATATAGCCATTTGTTATTTTTCTGGAGTCATGTAGTGCATTACAAATCATAGGATCTCAACAAGGAGAAGTTGAGATACCAATAGCCTGAAATATTTACAGTATGTATAAAAAACACATTTTAGAAGTTGAGGTATAAAGTATTGTCCATATAATAATGAAAGTATATGGATAAAAGGAGTCATGCAATACTTTCAAGTGCTAAACACCTTCTAGACTAAATAGTAGAAACTAAATAGATTCTACAAAGTGAGTTCTGAACTGGATGCATTTTCTGAACTTGCAGCACATGGAGCAAATATAAGGGAATTTAGCAAAGTAAGTAAGAATTTCACAATGCAGGGCCTTAGAAGGTAGAGCAAAAGGTTAAAATTTTACTCTGACATTTTTGGGAAATCATCACCATAGTGTCAACATCTAATTGCCTCTGCTTGTATGTGGTAACAAGAGAAGAAGGAGGGAAATAAATTAAGTTCAATAAATTATGGTTAAATTTTAAAATAAAAACTTTGGACAAATTCAATTTAATAGAGTTTATTTGAGCAAGGAAAAGAAAAACGATTCAGGAATCAGGTAGCTCTTAGAATCACAGTAGATTCAGATAGACTCTGGAGCAACTGTGCAGCTGGAAAAAATTTATAAACTGAAAAAGATAAGTGATGACGGAAAGTGGAAGCGAAGTACAGAAACTGCCGGACTGGTTACATCTTTGCATTTGCCTTATTTGAACATGGTTTGAAGAGTTGACCGTGGATGAGTGGTTGACATCTGACTACTGGGATAGGCTTAAACACAGCTATTGTTATCAAAGCATACCATTAAGCTCTGTTTTCAGATTGCCTACCTACTAAGTTAGAATACAGGTTATCCATAATGACTCACGTATTTAAGTACAGAGGCTCTCTCAGGCCAGGTTTAATTCGATTTACCATAAGGTGCAGTGAGTCAGACAGTGTGATGACACATTGGGTTAGTGGTAATGGGAGTGAAGTAAAGTGATCAGATAAACTTAGGATATAGTTTTGACTTTAAAATGGCGTGATTTGCTGGTTGCATGAATGTGAAATATTGAGAAATACAGAGGAATCGAATTGTCTCCTATATTTTAGTGTAAACTATTGAGCAATGTAGTTTTATGCAGAATGACAAGGAAAGCAGAGGGGGAGAATACATACTACGGGCAGAGAGCAGGAAGTCAAGTATTTGGTTTTGGAAATGATACTTTTGAGATGACTATGACATATTTAAGTGCTAATGTCCATGAGTTTGTTTAATGTTTAAATCAGGGATGCAGAACAGGAACAAGATACCAGCGTTATTGACAAAAGGCCTAGGAAGGAGGGAATAGACATTGAATTAGAAAAGCAGAGGGCTCAGGACTAAAAACGCCAATACTGAGAGGTCATTTATAAAGAGAAAAGTCAATAATTTAAAGAAGAGAAGATTCCAAGGAGGAAAAGCAGAACACTTTTTCTTTGTTAGGAAGTTAGAGAAGGAGATTGCTTCAAGAAAGCAACAGGGAACTGGTCCAAATTATGTCACATTTTATAAATACATTATTTATAAAAACAAGTAAACAGAATCATTTTCACTCTGCACTTTCTTAAAGTTTTACTGTATGTATTAGTCCATTTTCATGCTGCTGATAAAGACATACCCAAGACTGGATAATTTATAAAGAAAACAAAGGTTAATGGACTCACAGTTCCACATGGCTGGGGAGGCCTCACAATCATGGCGGAAGAGCAAGGGATGTCATCTTACATGGCGGCAGGCAAGACAGCATGAGAGCCAAGTGAAAGAAGAAACCTCTTATAAAACTATCAGATCTCGTGAGACTTATTCACTACCGAGAGAACAGTATGGAGGAAACCGCCCCTATGATTCTGTTGTCTCCTACCGGGTCCCACACAACACATGGGAATTATGGGAGCTAAATTCAAGCTGAGATTTGGGTGGGGATGCAGCCAAACCATATCAGTGTATTAATAAAAGGTATACTAATATATGTATGTTAATATACTGTTTTACTATTTTCTAAATAAAAATTTAGAATGTAGCTTCAAAATTTTTCAACATGTTGTACAGTAGAGGAATTCTATATCTTGGCCATATATGCTTCATTCTGAAGGAAGTGTTTGTTAGCATAAAGAAATTCATAAAGATATATTTATTTTAGGTTGGAGAATAAAGTGATGCAATCATGTTGATAAGTACCAAAATGCACTTAAGAAAAGTTGGAATACATTTCTGATTTTAGGAGAAAAAAACTACTAACCAATAAGAAATAGACACTTTAAAACCATAATGTAGGGTAACTATGTTCATACAATATATACAACAATATAGGTATGTATATTTATAATATAGTGAACTATATTCTCAAAAAAAGTTGAGAAACTAATGGGGGAAAGATATATCTATTGGTTAACAATTAGAAGACTCAATCAAGGAGAATACCTGAATTCTGTATTACTGCAGTATTCGTTATATATTCAATCAACACTTTAAATCCAAAAGAAAACTTCAATCAATTTACTTATATCTGTCTAAACTGTATTTATTACTCAGTCTGCATCCTAACATGTCACTCAGAGAACACAGCAATAGTATACTAACTGGCAATTTTCTTCAGCCTTGCTCCTCCCCAATTTATTAGCTGTACTTCAGGTAGAATTATGTAAAAACACAAATTGGATCATGCCATTTCTACATGCTTCACCTTTCATTGAAGGTAGAATTCATACTTAGTATTCGAATTTACAAAGCCCTAGGTGATATCTACCCTGTCTACTCATAAAACCTCATCTTGCATCATCTTGCTTTCTTCTTGGTACTCAGTCTCTTCTCTACATCTTTTAAGTCATTTCAACTTCTCAAATTTTTAAATACAATTTTCGCTTTTATGCATACCACTTATTCTGCAAGCAGGTCCTCCATTCTTTGCACACACAGACATTTTGCCTGAGTGTATGCTACCTGCCTGTCATGCCTATGTTTGTTTTTATTGTTTCTGGAAAGGTACTTAAGAACTGTTAATTATGAGTTATATTTGCCTTTTTATATTCTGCTTCACATATAACTTTGTGCTTCCCCTATCATTACATAACCATGGCTTGTCATTATTACCTGCTAATTTTTCCATATCTCAATGAAACTACAAAGTTTATTGGAAGAGATACCATGATAGCATTCTTCCTTGAATGCTTGAGTTTAGTGGAGGACTTTTCTCATATGATGATTAAATAAAGAAATAAATAAGTAAAACACATTGTCTATGGAATTATAAAAAATAATACTAAGTATGCATTTTGTGAATAAAATATTGAAGAATAGACTTTAATATCCTTATTTGAAATAAGTGCGATTGTCAACACAAGTCTCAGAGCTCTCAAATCTATTAGGGAATAATAAAAAAATGAAAATATGATTTTTCAATGAAAGAACACATGATATAAAGAACAGTAATTAAATAAAGAATATAAATAAATCAAGATTGTTAGGGTAATGGATACACTAAATTTAGAAAAAATAAAATTGAATGGATTTTCTGGAGCAGAGACAAGAGCAATTCAAGAAAAGCAGCCATAAATCTAAGAAAAGACCGTGCAGATTTCGTTCAAGGAGCACAAACAAGTGAGTCTCTAAAAAATTCCAAGAAAAAATGAAGAAGAAAAATAAAGCAAGATGTGGAGGGGGGAGATCAAGTGGTCCCTTGTTGATGTGGTCAGGGTTGACATTTCATTTGAGTTTAACTGAAAGTTACTACCTACTCGTGAGCAGGTCGGAATCATGATGTAATTTTTATTTTTAAAAAGATCACTTGGGATGATGTGAGAAGATAACACAGAGCAAAGAGTTGGACCAATTAGGACCAACCTGTCATTACTAAAATGTTGATAGTTTGCTGAGCATGTTTTCATGAGAAAGGACGTTTGATTTAAAAAAACAAACAAAAAACCATACTGCACTAAAAGATTAAATTTGGCATGCTTTAAACTTTACACCTGAGGGAAGTACTTCACCCTAAATCTGGCCCTGATAAAACGCAGCAGTTTTAATGATAGACCACATAATCTAAGCTGATTAAAAAGGAACTTGAGGATGTTAGTGTATGAGTGACAGTGAGAATGCGGTAGGACCTTTCTCTCTGTCTGCCCTTAACATTTTTTCCTTCATTTCAACCTTGGTGAATCTGACGATTATGTGTCTTGGGGTTGCTCTTCTCGAGGAGTATCTTTGTGGTGTTCCCTGTATTTCCTGAATTTGAGTGTTTGCCTGTTTTGTTAGGTTGGGGAGGTTCTCCTGGATAATATCCTGAAGAGTGTTTTCCAACTTGGTTCCATTCTCTCCATCACTTTCAGGTACACCAATCAAATGTAGGTTTGGTCTTTTCACATAGTCCCATATTTCTTGGAGGCTTTGTTCCTTTCTTTCTTTTTTCTCTAATCTTCATGCTTTATTTCATTAAGCTGATCTTCAGTCTCTGATATCCTTTCTTCCACTTGATCGATTCAGCTATTGATACTTATGTATGCTTCATGAAGTTCTGCTGTTTTTCAGCTCAATCAGTTCATTTATGTTCTTCTGTAAACTGGTTATTCTAGCTACGCAGCCACAAAAAAGGATGAGTTCATGTCCTTTGCAGCAAACTAACACAGGAACAGAAAACCAAACACCGCATGTTCTCACGCATAAGTGGGAGTTGAACAATGAGAACACACAGACACAGGGAGGGGAACATCATACACTGGGGCCTGTCGGGAGGTGGGGGGCTGGGGGAAGGATAGCATTAGGAGAAATACCTAATGTAGATGACGTGTTGATGGGTGCAGCAAACCGCCATGGCACGTGTATACCTATGTAACAAACCTGCGTGTTCTGCATGTGTGTCCCAGAACTTAAAGTATAATTTTTAAAAAATTAAAAATAAATAAATAAATAAAATTTAAAGAGTGAAAAAAATAGATTGAATCTAAATGATGTGGTTGTGATTATTTAACATCTTTCTTCCTCTTAAATTTTTGCAATGACATGTATTATTTATATAAACAAATTTTTCAGTGTACTAGTAAATTAATTTACTTGATTCATTAAAAATGCATTTTTTTCTAAAAATTAATATAATCATTTAACAATACCAGGGTAATGACAAATTGAATAATTCTTTCAGTATATTTTTTCATAAGTTGTTCACTAGAGGTGAATTAATTCAGAGATCGATATCTTAGTTCCAGATCTATTTCCACTTATTTAGCCATCTAGGTGTCATATAAAACAATGAAAGTAAAATTGACAAAGATCCCACCTGAATGAGTGCTTTCCTAAACTTAATAAGTTTACAAGTCACCTGAGGATCTTATCAAAATGAAAAACTGATTTATTAGATCTGGGAATGGGCCTGAAATTCTACACTTCTTACAGCCAACCTTGACCCAATGCTGTTGGCTTATGAACCACACTTTTATTACCATGTCGCAAGATAAAAATTCTTCTGAGATCCTACTCTGGATTTGGAGACAATGTGTTTAGTTCTAAAGGAACAGGTGAAAGTTAACAGATAAATTTGACCAAACAAATTATATCAAACATTCATCTGCTAAGCTGAAAGTAGTCTAAATTTTGCTATAATTTTATGCACAGGAGATAGTGCTATGTCCTGGACACCCCTTCTGCATCACTTATAAATAATTGGCCTCAATTTTCTCTTTTATTCCAAGCAGTCCAGTGACTAGTTTCATACACCTTCCTTTCATCTCCAACGTGAATTATGGCAGCACTTTGCCACAGGAGGATTTTGTGCTCTTTGCTTCCATATTAAAGGATTCTCTGTTAATGCAGTGTGAGCTTCTGAGGGAGACTGTTCTGCACCATACTTATGAATCAACAGAGTTAAAGCTCTAGAGGGTGAAGTTTTCTAGACAATAAGGAACAAGAGCCAGTAAACAAATAGTTTTCCCATTCTGTCTTGCGGTCATGGATCCAACCAATAGTCACCCATAGCAGTGGGTCAAATTGAAGATGCATCCTTTATTGTATTCTCTTTCGTTCTTGCTTCTTTCCTCCAATTCTTATTCCCACCTCTGGGCCCACAGTTGTCAATAAAAAGACTTGTAAACAAGGCTTTGCCTCTGTACTGCTTTCCGTTGAGCCCAGGCTAAGAGGTTAAATGATTTAGTTTGTCCAGGATAAAAAGATTACTTATCTAGATTACTTCCCTACATGAACAGGGAAGATCAATATTTCTAAGGAAATTGTGTCCAGATTAAAGAGTATTGCTTTATATAGTAAATCCTTTTAAACACATGCCACCTTTAGTTAGTTACAAAATAAAAAAAAAAGTTGATTAGAATTACACTATTTCCTTAGACTTTTGGTTTTGGTGGCATTTTAAATTTAAAGCTCCTTACTACTTGTGACTCTTAACCGCCCTGACTTTGAGAAAAAATTTCTCTACCTAACATCTTTGAACATTTTAGTTTGCATTTGCTTTGAGGTTTATTTTATATTTTCTGGCATCAAACTATCCCATTTTCTTATTATGCTGAGTCCCATTAGCATTTCACTTTAATTTATTATGTTTGATAGCATTAATATTCTTTTTTTCATTGACTTGTTTTGATTGTAAATTTAGTTATACTGTAGGTGTAATAAAAGAAACAAATACAAAAACGAAGAAAAAATAACATTACTGAATAATGTTTATATCTAGTTAGTATACACTGATAGGCATCTCCTTTATATTGATACCTGTGCAAAATGAAACCTTTTATATTTTCTTGATAAAATAGCTAGAATCTTCTTCAGAGTTATTTCCTGCTTTTGTTTTATTTTTATATGCTTCCATTACCCTTGTATACAAATTATTTCCTGGATTGCCAGTTCCTTGTTAACAATTTTCCAGATGACTGATTAAGAAGTTTCTACAGGTTTGAAGTTGCATCAGACTTTTCATGCAATTGGCTACCACCTTGTGATTTCCATGTACTGCTGACACAAGATATTTCTTGCCATTAGTCTGTTTTTCCCCTTAGTTGTATACCAGACTTTGCATAGGTCATCTGTTTAAATCTATAAAATAAAATGTGAAATGTAGCATCTCAATAACTTTTCCCAGCTTTCATTAAGTAGCATCATTCATCATCTATAATGGCATCATTTTAAGTACTAAAACGCAACATATTCAAACAATGAACACATGAATAAAAACAAGAAATGATTTATTTGAAAATAAACTCTATTAAAAGCATGCAGTTAAAATGTTTAGCATAAACATTATGACCACTGCATAATCATAAACTTTTACTGAAATAAGTAACTATAGGTACTAAACTAAATTAAATTCAGTTTACTCATATATACTCACTCTGATATTTTTAAATATTATTCTGGACTTGGTTATATATTCTGTCCTTAATGTTGAGAATGGCACAAACCTAGGCATCAACAATTATCTTTAGCTACCCTATGTTTTTATAGGGTATTTAAAAACTCTATCCATATTTATCTTCTAAGTGATTTAATTCAGGATCTGAACTTAGTTGCCTGATGACCAAGAAACTAATTTATCATACCCTTAATATTATTGTAGGATTGGTGATCTGAATTCCTCATAACAGCTAGAAAGTCTCACCTAAAATTAGCGTATTAACAAAATTCTCAATACGAGGAAATATCAAGAAAATTAAGAAAATCACAGAATTAGGGCATGCATTTTACATATGTCAAAAGAAAATGAAGAGATGGGATTACATGAAAGAATAAGAAAGTAAAGAACCATATATGTGGAAGTTTAACAATAATGTGTAGATAGAAAAAGGGATAAAATTGATTAAGTGAAACAATATTTATTACAATTAAAATAATTGTAGATGGAATAAGTTCTAGTCTTGAAAAATATAAGAGAAAGTTTAAATTATTTAGAGAATTCTCAAAAAACACAATTCAAATACCGAAGTGTTTAAAATATGTTAAAAATGTTAAATGAAATAGAAAGCACATTTAACAGCTTGAGAAAACATCTAACAGGATTCCTAGAATGAGACACTAGAGGAAATTGTGAAGAAACTGGCATTTGAAGGGATAATAAAAGGAGGTACTTTCTTAGTGATAATTATTCAGGTGTGAAGAAAATAATGAATCCTCAGAAACAATGAGTTCTGAATACAAAGAGAAAATATAAAAATAAATCCATATCTAGAGGGCAGGAAAATGTGGAATACTAAAAATGAAGAAAACTTGGTTAAAAATACTGAAGGAAAACATGGTGTTGTCCTCCAAAATGAATAACAGACTAACAGTTCACTTGGTATTAGGGAAAATACAGTACAAAATAGAAGTATAAGTGCTGAAGGGAAACTGTGCTATATTACGTATCCCTACTCAGCTAAGCCATCAGAAAAACCCTTCTAGACATTGGCTTAGACAAAGAGTCCATGGGCAAGAACCCAAAAGCAAATGCAACCAAAACAAAGATAAATAGATGGGATTTAATTGAACTAAAATGCTTCTGCATAGCAGAAGAAATAATCAGCAGAGAAAATAAACAACCCCCAGAGTGGGAGAAAATATTACCAACTATGCATTCCACAAAAAACTAATATCCAGATTCTGCAAGGAACTTGAACAAATCAGCAAGAAAAAAAATAATCCCATCAAAAAGTGGGCTAAGCTCACACGTGGGGGTAGCTTACTGCCTGGGGTACTACCCTTGCCCATGCCTCTAGCTACAAAACAATTCAATTGTTGTTTTTGTAAATAAAATCTCAGCTAGCTCTGCCAACTGCCAAAAGAAAAAAAGAAAAAGTGGGCTAAGGACATGAATAGACAGACCATTCTCAAAAGATATACAAATGGCCAAGAAACTTGCTCAGCATCACCTGTTATTAGAGAAATGCAAATCAAAACCACAGTTTGATACCCCCTTACTCCTGCAAGAATGGCCATGATAAAAAAAAATAGATGTTGGCATGAATGTGGTGAAAAACGAACACTTTGACACTGCTGGTGGGAATGTAAACCAGTACAACCACTATGGAAAGTAGTATGAATACTCCTTAAGAAACTAATAGTATAACTACCATTTGACTCAGCAATCCCACTACTGAGTATCTACCCAGAGGAAAATAAGTCGTTATATGAAAAGGGCACTTGTACACACACTTATAGCAGTACAATTTGCATTGCAAAAATATGGAACCAGCCTAAATGCCCATTGATAAATAAGTGGTTACATACATACATAGTGAATGTGACATCAAGAAGACACAAAAGGAAAATGTCAATATCAATTATATATTGGTTAGGAAGGATTCATAGACATATAAAAAAGAAAGACTAATGGAATATTTTAACATTAACTATATATATATTTATAAATTTTATTGAGGTATAATATTCATAAACTAAAACTTTCTTAAAGATACACCCCATTACAAGATATATAGTATTTATAGAATCATAAAAATTCCTCTTGTTTTCCTTCCAGTAAATATTTCCCCAAAATATAACCACTCTGACTTCTACAAACACAGAGTAGGCTTGCCTGTGTTTGAAATTAATATCATAATATGGTAGATTATACTATTTTTATCTGAATTCTCTTGTAGATCATTGTAACTGTCAGATTCATTCATGTGTTGCAGTACTGTGGTAGCACATTCATATTCATTCTTTTGTAGTAATGCACAATATAAAAAGCACAAATTACTTCCTATAATGTTGAGAAATATTTGGGTAATTCATGTGTTCATTGTGAATAAAACTGTTGTTCTTTTACCATTTTAGCCATCATTTGTGATTTTCAAAATTTTTAATGAAGTTTAAATAATCAAATCTTTTAGCATGTCAATACTTTTGTTAACTGCTAATAAATATTTGTCTTCTTGAAAGTTGAAGAGATATTCTTCTCCATTTTCTTCTCAAAACTTTATCATTGTACTCAACATTTTGGTCTACTATTCATTTTAAATTGATAACTCTGTGTAGTGTAAGGTAGTAATTTAGATAATTTTTTCCCAAAGTAGGAATCTAATTTAAGCATTTTTTAAAGCATTTACTCACTGCACCACTAAATTTCAGGAGCAAATCTGTCATAATCAGGTGATATTATTTGTGTGGTATGATTGTGTTTCTAGATTCTCCACTAAATTTTATTGATATTTATACTTGTTTGTATCAATAGCATTTTTAAATTGTACTGTTATTTTATATGAGTTCTTATCTGATACTATATTCTGCAACATTGTTATCCTTCAGGACTGCTTTCAGTTTTTAAGTCCCTTGCATTTTTATTGCATCATCTTATCAATAACTGCCAAAAGGAAAAAAAATCAGTTAAGATTTTAATGGAGTTTTGCACCAAAAGCAATGGCAACAAAAGCCAAATTTGACAAATGGGATCTAATTAAACTAAAGAGATTCTGCACAGCAAAAGAAACCACCATCAGAGTGAACATTCAAAAATGACTTCATCAGATGAAGTGTTTCCTCAATATGCCAGCAGTCAACATTATAATTAATAATAATATTGTAAGCTTTGACCCTGTTAGTTCAAGGACATAATGAAGACTTACATTTCTGAGTTATAATAAACATTGTATTAAATGTCCTAACCAGTTCAATAAGAAGTGAATAGAAATAAAAGGCAATCATTTTTGGAAAGAACAACATAAAATTTTCGTCGTTTGCAGACTATTAGTTTTCTACCAAGAAAATGCAAAAGAAAGCACTAATTATCATTTAGATTTAATAAGTGAATTTGTTAAAAGTCTTTGGATACAAGACAATTATATAAAAGTCAAGTTCGTACCTAGTAACAACCAATAAAAATTAGAAAGTTTAAATTATTCCAATTTAAATAGCATGCAATATATTTAAGAAAACAGTAATAAACAGAATAAGTTGTACAAGTCTTCTCAGAAAACTGGAAGTATTACTTTTGTACATATTAGTTATACTGATTTTTAAATACTGTCTATGATAACTCTAAAATATGGATCATCCTATGGCCTCTTCTTTACTTGTACTAAAAGGAAGAAGTCCTTCTCAGATATGAAGCAGAAGTCTCAAAAATTAAAAGATTTTTCTAAGAAATTCCAACATAAAATGGGTAGGGAAAAAATGTTCAAATCTTTTGATATAAAGCAAAACAAACGAAATAGATAATTATCAATAAGATAAAAGTTTAAATTGGCAGCATACTTCTTATCAAAAACCCTGGCTGTCTGTAGAAACACAAGCCAAACTTTCAACATCTTTATTACACATACAATTCTATTTATAGCAAAAATGCACTTTCAATACATGTCTGCATGTGTGTTTGTGTATGTGTGTGAGACAGAGAGAAAGCCAGAGGGATAGAGAGAGAGAAGGAAACAGATTAGCATATTATCCAAAGTTTTGTGGATCCAGTCAAATTTGGACTTGTCAAAATTAAACACACACTCTCTCAGACACAGAAACACACACATTAAATAACAGTGCATAAAGATGGAAATTGTAGTTGTTAATATATTTGGTTAACAAAATTTAAACACATCATAATATTCTATGTTGATAAGGGTGTGTTGAACTCAGGAAATCTCAACTTGATAAGCATTTGAGAAATACAAGTTGTTAAATATATATTTATAAATATAAATAAATATATATTTTTATATATATATAATAAATATATATATGTTTGATTACACCTTTCTTTTACCCAAGTTCCATTTGCTTAGAAATTAATCTTATTGAAATAGTCATATGTTCTAATCATTTGATCAACTCTCTTCATTCATAGCTATCCATCAAAAACATGCCATCCATATCTGATTCAATGGTCAAAATACAGACATGGTTTTGGATGGTGTATTGTGTATATTTTACTAATAAGTATAGGGAGAATAAAAGCAAATCTGTAATATTAAGTAGTAGTAAACAAGAAGAAACTAATCTAACTAGGAAGTAGTAGAGATTTAGCTAAAGTGACAGTCTTAGGTGGAGACCTAAATTAAAGAGTCATTTTGGCCATGTAATAATAGCATGTTAACATGTGGTGACGGGGTGGGAGAAAGAAGGCATGAGTGGCTTATCTCAGGTCCAGAAGAAGCAGGGTGGCTGGGTGTGAGGGGCTATGAGAGAGAATGATATGGTTTGGCTATGTCCCCACCCAAATCTCATCTTGAATTGTAGCTCCCACAATTCCCATGTGTTATGAGAGAAACCTGGTGGGAGATTATTGAATCATGGGGCAGTTTGTCCCACATTGTTCTCATGGGAGTGAATAAGTCTCACCCCATCTGATAGTTTCCCCTTTCGCTTGGCTCTCATTCTCTCTTGCCTGCTACCATGTAAGACATGGCTTTCACCTTCCGCCATGATTGTGAGGCCTCCCCAGCCACGTGGAACATGAACACGAGTCCATTAAACCTCTCTTTCTTTTCTTTTCTCTTTTCTTTCTCTCTCTGTCTCTGTCTCTCTCTCTTTCTTTCTTTCTCTTTCTCTCTTTCTTTCTTTCTTTCTCTTTCTTTCTCTCTCTCTCTCTCTCTCTCCCTCTCCCTCTCTCTCCCTCTCTCTCTCTCTCTCTCTTTCTTTCTTTCTGACGGAGTCTCGCTCTGTCACCTAAGCTGGAGCGCAGTGGCACCATCTAGGCTCACTGCAACCTCTGCCTCCCGGGTTCAAGTGATTCTCTTGCCTCAGTCTCCCAAGTAACTGGGACTACAGGTGCCCGCCACCACACCTGGCTAATTTTTTGTATTTTTAGTAGAGATAGGTTTCACCGTGTTAGCCAGGATGGTCTCCATCTCCTGACTTCGTGATCCACCCGTCTTGGCCTCCTGAAGTGCTAAGATTACAGGCGTGAGCCACCGTGCCCGGCCGAAACCTCTTTTTCTTTAAAAATTACCCAGTCTGAGGTATATCTTTATAAACAGCGTCAAAACTGGCTAATACAGAGAATAATGGAAGCTGACGCTAGACAGCAGGCATGGAAAGGAAAGTAATGCCTGGTCACCATCACAAAGAGTTCTATTAGTTTCCCAGGGCTGCTAAAGCAAAATTCTACAAACTGGCTAGCTTGCATAAGCAGAAATAGTTCTATGTGCTAGATTTCTGAAATTAAGCTGCTTGCAGGGTTTGTTTCTACTGGAAACTTTGAGGAAAATCTATTCTATGTCCTGCCCTTTGCTTCTGGAGATTGCAGTCAATCCTTGGCACGTAGATGCATGGCTCAAAATTCTGTCTCTCTCTTCACATGGCCTCTCTGTGTGTCCCTTTGTGCCTCTCTTTCCAAATTTATCTCTTATAAGGACATCAGTCATTGGATTAAGACACATATTGCACATAACCAATACATGATTACAACTATACAAACCCAAATTCCAACATACCCTTTTGGGAGACAACATTCAATGGGATATCCTGCATGAGTTTTAAGTCAGAAAGTAATTTTCAAATATTTATATTATTTATTTAGAGCTGAATTGTATTGAGCTGGAACAGAAAAGCAAGACTGAAAGAAAAAAGGCCAACTAGATTACTTCTGAGGTAAATGATAGAATTGGAGAAAATAAAATAAGGTAGATAAGTAGAAGTGTAGAAAAGAAGAAAAAGTTAAGATATATTTGGAGATGAAATTCAAAGGACTTTCTTTAAAGAGATTAAGAGAGTAAGGAAATTAAGGAATAATAACATATGTATCTATGTATATATAACTATGTTGTTTACTGCACAGTCTTTAGCATAATGTGATTACTATTAATATAGATGTCTATCCACAGAAGAATAGTTAAATTTATTAGTATATAGTCCAACTAGAGAATACTGCGCACTCTCTGAAAAGAACAAAATGTCCTACAGATAATGGCATAAACATAGCATATCTTCCATATTAGTTACTAGCTGATAAAAGAAAAATAAAATGGACATAAAATATAATATTTATATACATGTGTATTTTAATTAAAGGACATCATTAGAAAATCTTAACAATGCTTTCTTTTGAGTATGGAACTGGATTAAGAAAAAAAGAGAAGGCTTTGAAATTTCTATTTACATTATTTCTTTATTTTGTCGGCATGTTAAATGATGTATACGTGTATTATGCTTGGAATAACAAACAGATGCTGCTTTTGTTATTTTTATAACATGATCATTTACCCAACTTTATGGTTTAACCCTAAAGAGTTCAATTCAGTATATTTCTTAATTCCATAAAATTATACCATGTGATTCATTTTACTTGATTTAACAAATAAAAATATAAATACATTGTAATTCATTTTTGGTAAACCATTTCACAAAAGTGTGGGGAAATTAATTTGGGAATTACTCTCCTCATTGAAAAATATCTCATTTGCTAAAATAAGACAGTAAAACAGTACAGTTTAAATATTTATAAAAATAGGAAAGTTTGGCAAAAAGAGAGGAGTACACACCTGTGACTACTGAGTTGCTGTGAAAATTTCATTTCCTGATACAAAATTGTCTAAAGCACTTGGCTTTTGTTCAGTCACAATCCAAAGAACAAAACCAGCCAAGTTTTATATAACGAACATCTAGTTCCCTAGAGCCTTGTATCAGAAAACCTACACAACTTTTTGAATTTTCTAGTTAAATTTGCAATAAAGTTGTTAAATGTTTTTGGGTATATAGCCCTCAAATTCTTAATTTGCTTCATACATTGCATTGGGGTTAAAATTCATAGTGTCAAAATCAGCTCCTTTCTTACATGTGGTATAAAATTCTGTCTGATGTTTGTCTGTCTAGCTCCTATCCTATCTAACACCTATCTTACTTGACTAGATCCTTTATAGGTACCAATAATTACATTATATTTTTAAGGAAATTTTAAATTCACTGAAAAGAGCTGAAAGAAGGACAAAAGCAGAAAGGGAGAAATATATTATTTTACATTGAGGACATATTTTGAAATGCTTTAATTAGTATGCAGCAGGAAGGTATAATAACAGCTGTAACTTCCTTGATTGGTGAAATGTCACTCCATAATACAAGTTTATTTACTTTTCAATTATTAATTGAAGAGTCTTATCATTATTTCATCCTATTACTGATGAAACCAATTACTAAACCTATTACTAAAACCAATACTAATCTAACATCAAACTGATGGTGAATTCTATAACCTTATTTGTGGTTCCAAATCTTCACCTTTTAAAATTTTATTTTGCATCGTGGCCACTTCCTTTCTCCTTATACCCAGGACAGTCATGGAAATTATTTCATTTCTAGGCCTATGATAGGAAACATAAATTTTATTAAACAAGAATGTCCAAAAGTACTTAGAAAGTTTCATGTTATTGATCTCAGTGATGATTACATGGTTGTTATCATGTTGTGAAAAATTTCTGCTGCAATATATTTATGATTTAAGCTTTATTTTTCATATGTGTTGTGTATCAATAAAATCTTTACAGAACGTTATCATCCAATTAAACACCTTATGAAATTAGAAAATCACACAAGACTGATGGATTAAGATTTAAGGGTGAAAATCACAGGAAGGCTTGATGATTTGAAGCTTTCTTTTCCCTATTGTATTTGTTATCTGAGACACTGAGAATTGAGACTTAGCCAAGGCAGTTGGTCTATGCTGGAATAGAAGAATGAGCAGAGTATATGGCTTTCTGTCTTCCAAAAATTCACTAATATTTTTCTCTAGATAGGAAACCATTTTATCTTTACAACTTTCTTGTGAATTTATTATCTTGATATATCATTCTTGATATTTCAATGATGTTTCTAGATCATTGTAATTGCTGCATATCTACTAAGTTTTCTATTTCTTTAGGTTCATTTGTATCTTATTCTTGAAAATTTTCTATTAGAATTGTGTATTTTACTCCTTAGAGTGTTTTCTCTTAAACTTAAAAAAGGTGTTCTTTAGTTCTTTAGCTTATCTTTCAGGGCCTTTTCATTTTACCCACTTACCAATTTCTATGCTTATTTTTCTTGTTGGTTATTATATTAATACAATTTAATTCCACAAATTAGACACTAATATTTTATCATTTGTAACAAACAATACTTTTCCACCATAAAATCACAGTTTTTCTTATGATTCATAGTCTGTCTAATAAATGGCATAATGTGAAGACAAACATTCCCCTAAGTCCTTTTGGGTCCTTAAAATAATTTATATAAATGTCATATCGTTATAGAAAATATGACATCAGATTTTTTCAAAGTCTTTAAATATCTTCTTATATGTTACTTTTCTCATTTTTATACTTGATTCTACATGAGTTATTGGAAATTACCAAATATCTTGTGTACTGCAAGTTCATCATCTAGGATTGAAACAAATGTTGGGGCTTATAGATATACTGTTTACAAGAGTGTGTGTGTTTGCATGTGTGCACGCTTGTATGTGAGTGTGTGTTTAAGCCTCATTTTCATCGGCAATTATAGAAACATTTTTCAGTGAGAGGCTTAAGGTGTTTTTCTGCATTTAATCCACAGAAATGTTTTTCTTCTTACTTGGTAACTTATAGAATTGCTAGTATTTCTGTCTAAGGGGAGGATGGAAAATAAACATAGAATCATCAGTGTGTTCTACATGATTGTACTGCTGGTATGTCTACCTTATAAAAATGAGAGACAAATTTAGCTTCTGGCTCTGAGTGTGCGTAGAGTTCAGAATAACATTTCTATTAAAATATCTTCAAAATTGAACAAAATATTGGAAACATTTTTCTTATATCAGACAATAGGCAGTGTAGGGCTACGATTCTTAAGAGACAGGAAGCTAACAAAGTAAGCTCAACATTTTCCCCAGACATTTTGGCCAAGGACAGTTCTACACAGTAGCTAAAGGAGGAGGGACTGGAATAAAAACCAGCAATCTTGCTGAGTGGAGCAGACAGAACACAAAGTTAAGGGAAAAGAAGAAAATGCGGAGAAGAAGTGTTCCAAAAATCTTCGTAAGTTTGGCCTTGAGCCTTTGGCATGCATAGAGTGAAATTCTACAAGGGAAGACTAAGAAAATGTTCCTGGAAAATAATTATGAGGGAGTTATAATTCAGACAATTCCCAGAGCTCATGGATGGCAACAAACCTTTGCGCCCTCACTAGCTGGAGAATAGAAGGTGGACTAAATACAAGCAATATTGAGTAGAGACCACTATGCTTGAAAAAATAAATTAATATAAAATAAAATATTATCTCTTAAAAAATAAGACATTTAAAATTTATTGTCTTTCCTATGGCCTTTGCCAGTTTTTGAAATTAACGTGCCAGCTTTCATAAAGTTGGAGAAATATTTGTTTATTATTGAGAACATTTTTCCAAAAATAATTTTTATTTCTGGAATTTTTAAATTATTCATACACAAAATTTTCTGCAACTGTACATTTTAAAGCCATATTTTTTTCTTCAACTTTTATTTTAAACAAATTTACTTTTAAAATTCTTGGCTGGCCATGGTGGCTCACGAATGTAATCTCAGCACTTTGAAATGCCAAGGTGGGAGTATTGCTTGAACTTAGGAGTTCATAACCAGCCTGGGCAACAGAATGAGACCTCATCTCTTACAAAAATTAAAAAATAAAATAAAATTCTAGTATGTGGCTTCAATATGTTCACTCTAATTACATTAAGTAAAAGATGAGAATATGCCCACATTTATGCTTTCTTCTTTAAAAGTTTCCCTTTCTAAATAACCACACAAGAGATCATTTTCCCCACATGTTAACATGCTCTAAGATATAAGTCTAAACTGTTATAGTCTAAATTGCATTTGTATAATCTCTCTCTGAAAATATTGACTGATTTCTGCTTTAAAATTATTATCATAATTATCATGTCATGTATTATCACCAAATTCATTTGATGGTATCACCAAATTCATTTGGTGATAATCATTCTTTTTAAATAGTTAAACCATTCTTTTAGTCGTAATTCAAAAAAGATACTTGCACACACATGTTTATAGCAGCACAATTCACAATAGCAAAATCGTGGAACCAACTCCAATGCCCATTGATCAACAAGTGGATAAAAAAACTGTGATATATATATATGATGGAATACTACTCAGCCATAAAAAGGTATGAACTAACAGCATTTACAATGACCTGGATGAGATTAGAGACTATTATTCTAAGTGAAATAACTCAGTAATGGAAAAGCAAACATTGTATGTTCTCTCTAACATATGAGACTTAAGCTATGAGGACCCAAAGGCATAAGAATGATACAATATACTTTGGGGAAGAGTGGGAGGGGGGGCGAGGCATAAAAGTCAACAAGTATGGTTCAGTGTATACCGGTCAGGTGATGGGTGCACCAGGATCTCACAGATCTCCACTAAAGAAGTTACTCATGTAACCAAATATCACCTGTATACCAATAACTTAAGGAAAAATAAAATTTTAAAAAGAATTTTATATACCAAGTAAACCCAGGAAAAAAAGGTAATAGTACTTTTTTTTTTTGGGCAGAAAAAAAACCCGAAAACACTCTTTTAAAATAACTAAACCATTCTTCTTAAATAGTTGTTACATTGTGAGAAAGAGGTGATGAATAATTATAGCATATCTCATTCTGTGCACATTTGCAAAGCTGTTGCTTTTGATCCTAAGGATGATACCTTACTTTTATCTTTAGTTTTTTTTCTGATTCTGCTGAGATGTGTGCATTTGTTCTTTTTCATGTTAATTTGAGAAAAGTTTTAATTCCCCGTAGTGAGGGTGAAATTATAACAAACACTCATGTATATTCTAACTAGAATTAAAAATAACATTAAAATTTAACATGTTTAACTAAATCTGCTTTAATAAAAATTACAAATTTTACAGACACAGTCAAAATAGTTTTAAAAATTCTTCCCACATTCTGTTCCACTCCCTTTCACACTCTCCCAAGCATCACTATTCTTAACTTAGGCTGTTTATTTCTAAATGTTGTTAATATTAAATTCTATTCCTTATATATTCATTAATAATAGATACGTATATCTTATATACAAGTGTTTTTATTAAATTTACATTGAACCTGTGGTATTTAAAGTATAATCTGGTGACTTGTTTCTTGATCAACACTTGACATTGAAAATCTATCCATATAAAATTGCCAGTTCATTAATTTCAACTGTTGTATGACATTAATGATAATGCGATTTATTCATTCATTCTCCTAGGGATGGCTATTTTTGTTACTTCTGAATTCTACTACAAAAGAGTGCTGCAATAAAAATCTTTGAACAAGTTCTAATGCCGTTCAACTGGAATTGAAGTTTTCAATCGTTGGATATGTCAAAATTTAATCAGATTGTATATTGCTCAATTACTTTCAAATTATGTACACCAAGTCATTCTTGCTCTGGCAAAATAAGAATATTTTCATTAATATATCATTCAACTTGAAATTGCCCAGCTTTTCCTTCTCATTTCCCCCCAGTCAAATGAGTTGAATTAATACTGTCTAAAAATATATATTCATTTGCTTACCTGTTAGTATTTGTTCCATGTATTAAGAAGCTTTGCTAGTATATGAAAATATATGTATTACCATGTCTTGTGAATTAGTACTTTTATCATTTTGAAATGTTTGTTTTCATTTCTGCTGACCGTTCTAACCTGGGTATCTATTTTGACTGGTTTTTAATGTAACTACTAACATCTTTTTATGTTCAGCACTTTTTCACAATTTTACTTTCAATGTCTTTATTTTTAAAATGTATCTTCTGTAGACAGTGTACAGGTGGTCTTGTTTTATTGTAAATCAAGTGACAATCTCTATTTCATAATTGACATATTTAATCCATATATATTTAATTTAATTGTTGTTATTTTGAGACTTAATATCCAGTTTTACTATTTTGGCCCATTTATTTTTGGTTTATTTTAGATGTCTTGCCTTATCTTAGATTGATTGATATTTTTAGTATTTAATTACATTTCTTTTATAAATGTAATTTCTTGAATATTTGTTTTTATTTTAGCAATTGCTCTGGGAATATAAAAATCATCTTTAAAATCTATTTAGAGTTAATGGTACTACTTTATGCAGTAGGTAAAAACATTTCACTAGCACAATTTCATTTGCAGGCACCTAACCTTCTGTGATAGTATTGTCTTATATTGTTATATTTATGAGATACAATCACTACAGTAAAATACTATTTTCTATTCATTGTGCCATCTTATAAATAAACAGATGAATAAACAGATATTTTTGAACAACCTTTGCTTGCCAAGATAAAGTAACGGGCCAGAATTTCCTTTCCAATAGAAATCAAAAAACAAAAGTTTGAATAACATAAATGTCAACGTTTTCAACATCCACAAGACACCAGGCATAGAGGGGCAGTGATTCCTGATAGATGGAGAACAAGCAAGATGAATCTGAAAGGGTTTCTTCAACTTATTGCCTTTCAGCAAGTTTCTAGACCGCAGCATTGGGAAGAGAACTTAGAGAGAGCCCTGAAGACTCCTGGGTTGAAGAGATGGAGCTAAGATTCCAGGAAGACCATGGCAACTAGATCTAGTATAGAGTATCCATAACTTTTGGGATATACTGTCTCCCCTCCCATGGGCATTTGAAAGATTACTGATTGATATATTCATGTGATAAAAGCACCTGGAAGAATTAAAGGTAACAAAAGCACCTGGAAGAATTAAAGGTAACAACACCCAGGGCTATACAGGATATGGAATACTTCTTGTTTCCAATATCAAGTCTAGAAAACCTCTTTAATTATGTACCGTTGGTAGAATATTTAGAAGATTCCGATTGCAGTTGTGAGCAACAAGTAAGCCTTAGACGAAGCACAGATCAAATCACACCTAAAAATTTTAAAAGCAGGATGAACAGTGATCAAGTAACTTAACTTCATGCCAGAGAAAAGCAAAAGTATCTATCATTTATCTATATCTATCTATCTAATGTATATATCTACACACACACGTATATATGCACACAAACATATTTATTACTCAACAAGATAAAATTCACCACCTGTGACAAGCAATCAAACTTTACAAGGCAGGCAAAGAAGCTGGAAAATATGATCCATGCCAATGAATCAATAACAATCTGTTGAAACAGTCCTTCAAATGACACAGATGTGAGAAGTGGAAAACAAAGAATTTAAAAGTTATTATAATTCATTTTTTATGTCCTCAAATTAAAGAGTCATTTTCATTAGAAATAAACAAGAATAAAACTAGGAAAAAATTACAATATTTGAAATAAATAAACTGCATAGGGCAAATGCAGATTCAACATTGCAAAAAAAAAAGATTAATGAATATGAACACATAGCAGAAGACAAGGGGAAACAATACAAAACAAAAAAGTAGAGAATCAGGGGAAAACATTATTAAATATAATGAAAAATAATTGGCATATCCAAAGGGAGAATAAGAAAAAACAATTGGAGAAATGACAACTGAAAATTTCCCCGATTTGAAGAATATTGTAAATGCTTAGATCCAAGCAGTTTAATGAACCGTAAGCACAGAAGGAGGAGGAAGAGGAGGAGGAGGACAGTGAAAAGGACAGGGTGACAATTACACCAAGAGGGATGATATAATTTTTCAAATCCAGTGATAAAAAAATCTTAAAGAAAATTGATGATGGAAGACACATTTGTAAGATACTGTGAAATAAAAAAAGAATGTTAGCAGATTATGCATCAAAAGCAATGGAAGTGAGAAGAAGGTAGAGCAACACTTTCAACTCATAGAAAAAAGGGAAAGAAAAAGTCTATTTTAGATATCTGTATCCAGGAAATATTATATTTTAAAATAAGAATTAAAAAAAGGATTTGTTCAGATTTACAAAACTTTGTTCTGACGACAACAAAAAGGATTCACCACCCGCAGACCCACAGTGTGGGAAATGTCAACGGAAGCTCTTCAGGTGGAAGGCAAATGATATAAGATTAATTCAGATTTCCATAAAGAAATGAAGAGCACAGGAAAAGAGAACAGTGTAGATACATGCATAAGAATGTTTTCCAAACATTTAAATATCTTTATGACTTAACTTACTTTTTAAGCAAAAGTAATATTATCGATTAACTATACTCATTATAGCCTTAGAAAAACAAGACCTACAAATGTAAACATAGACATACACAACTTAGTACAGTAACTGTTTGTAAAGAGATACCTCACTTTGCAAATACGTACTAAAAATTCCTTTAAATAAATTATTTTATTTTATTATTACCTTTAATACTTTTCTACAAATAAGAATACTTAAAGATTAGAATCTCAAAATAATAATCTCTCTTGCTGTCAGTAATAAGCAACATATGTAATCTCCTAAATTATCCTTAAAGTCAAAGTGGAAAATATAGTTTTTGTAAATTTTTGCTAAACACTAGACTATTCAGTAATTTAACTCATTTACCAAAATATTATGTTTATAGTTATCTTTGATTTTACTATAGAGTATTTATTTTTTTAAAATTTTATTTTAGGTTCAGGGCAATATGTGCAGGTGTGTTATATAGGTAAACTCGTGCATGGGGGTTTGTTCTACAGATTATTTTGTCACCCTCGTACTAAGCCTAGTACCCAATAGTTAATTTTTTGGATCCCCTCTCTCCTCCCACACTCTAGCCTCAAGCACGCCCCATTGTCTGTTATTCCCCTCTTTGTGGCCATCTGTTATTATTGAGCTCCCACTTGTAAGTGAGAACATGCAGTATTTGGTTTTCTGTTCCTGAGTTAGTTTGCTAAGAATAATGGTCTCCAGCTCTATCCATGTTGCTGCAAAGGACATGGTCTTGTTCCTTTTTATGACTGCATAGTATTCCATGGTATATATGTACCACATTTTATTTATCCAGTGTACCATTGATGGGCATTTAGGTTGATTTCATATCTTTGCTATTGTTAATATTGCTGCTGATCATTAGAGAAATGCAAATGAAAACCACAATGAGATACCATCTCACATCAGTTAGAATGGCTATTATTAAAAAGTCGAAAAACAACAGATGCTGGTGAGGCTGCAGAGAAAAGGGAACACTTATATCCTGTTGGTTGGAATGCAAATTAAATCAACTATTGTGGAAAGTAGTGTGACTGTTCCTCAAATAAGCATTCTTATTTGTAGAAAAGATCTAGAAGCAGAAATAGCATTTGACCCAATAATCCCATTACTGAGTATATAACCAAAGGAATATAAATCATTTTGTCATAAAGATACATGCATGTGTATGTTCATTGCAACACTGTAAGGCATTTTAATTTTCATTCTGACTTGTCTCTTGATCTCCTCTATATTAAGTCATTTTTTCCTTCACTAATTAAAAATTTCATAAGTCAACTGTGTTAACAGTGATTTACAGTTTTTTTCTTTGAGGCACACATTGCCCATATTTCTCACACTTATTCTTTTCTCAACACTATCACTAATATTATTTTTCCTAAAATGAATTTTTTTACATCACTTTTCCCCATCAAAGGTTTTTTGGAGTCTTTTTCTAAGAAAGTATTATAATCTGGTCCCAACTCAATGAGTTGTCATACAAAGTGCATTGAGCGAATCTAACCACAATAGGTGCTTAATACATCCACTTAAACAACTTTATTCCCTGCCACTCCACCTCATATGTCATTTATTCCAAACATGGTGAGCTCTTCATAATTATCCGAGTATAACTCAAGGTCATCCCTTCTAACAGTTTCATGCTTTTTCACCTATTATTTTCTGTCTTCACTCCTACTTTGATCTTTTCAATAGCATCAGAAGAAGTGCTCATGGCCTTCCTAATTAGGCATAGTTATCACCATCTCTCGACTCCCTAGTCCTTTGCTTGAACAAAACCAAAACTGTGGTTTATTGGACCTTGCTAGTTGCATTTTCAACCCTAAAATCATTGTACATGCTTAGGAATAAGTCATTTCTGAAATTATGGCATGAGAATAACAAAGAATGTTATTTACGGAACTCAGTAGATCCTGGTTAGCCTTTAGAAGTGATCCCAGTGGGCTCCTTTATAAAATATATTTTTATCCATTAAATATTGACATCCCTACATCTGGCATTGCAAACTACACAACTGCAAGAGAAATATGGTCCTGTCAGTGAAAACAAAAAATGACTTTAAGATGTAATTTTGATAGGTTTTGGTACACGAAGGTGTCATGTGGCAGGCATTTAGAAAGTCTTTTCATTGATATTTTACTAAAAATTTGAATAGCTTATAAACGACTTTAGATAGTGTTTTTCCTAAGACATTTTTTAGAGCATGTTTTAGAAAGAGCGGATGGATAATCCTCCAACCCAGGTGACGCACAAGGGCCCAGGAGATCACAAGAGTTACAGGAAAACAGGATGTGAAGAGATGCCTCAGGTGTGTTTGAATTGTAAACACTTCAGCATTATTTAGGAGCACTCTAATCCACCCTTCTCAGAGAATTGCTGACACACTTCAGGTTAACCCTAAATCCTATTTTTAGCTTATTGAGAAATGTAACTTCCAGATGTGCTTTTGGTTATGCCAAAATTTTGCAGTGAACATATTTTCAGGCGGTAAAATTGCAGAAACGTGACTAACATTTTAAATGTCAAACAAAGTTCTGTCATGAGTGCATTGATTTTTTAAAAGTCTCATAGTACTAAAAGTCTTATATCAAAACCAAGTCCCTTTTGAAACCCATATTCTCAGGCCACACTCTGTTCCCCAGTTAGTGACTTTCACTGCTTTATTTTTACCTGTATATTTTAAACAATATGTTTATAATTTAATTCCTTATGGTACCCACTTTAGACGATATGCATTTATTTATTGGCCTTTAGTGGTTGAAGGATCCATCTTGTTTACACAGCCATTTCTCACCTTTACTTTCCTCATCCATCTAAAATTCAGCCCTATCACAATATTTGGTTTCACGTTATTATTGCATGCATAATTGTTACCGGGGGTCCTTGCTCCCAGAGATCCCAAGATGGCAGCGGGCCGCTTCCAAAATGGTGGCAGGCCGCTTCCAAGTGGTGGCAAGCCTCGTATACTCTGACCTGGGGTTCTTGGCCTCACGGATTCCAAGGAATGGAATCTTGGGCCATGCAGTGAGTGTTATAGCTCTATTAGAAGCTGTGGGTCATGGAAGAGAACCGTGGAACCCAGTGACTAGTGTTCAGCTCGATTAGGACGAACCCAGGCACTTAGCCGTGCAGGAACAATGGCAAGCCTTTAGCCCGATCAGGAGCGGCAATTGGCGCCTTGCTGGATCATGAGCACAGTGGACACCCTGGTGGATCCGGAGGGATGGAACTCAGCAGCGGGTCTGCGACGGCGGAAAACAGCAGTGGTGGACAGCCAGCAAAACTCAGCTTGAGCTGTAACAAGCACAGACCAGAAGAGAGCGCAGTTGCAAGATTTAATAGAGTGAAAAAAGAGCTCCCATACAAAGGGAGGGAACCCAAAGAGGGTAGCCGTTGCTGGCTCCAATGCCTGGGTTTATATCCCGATCATTGTCCCTCCTGCTGTGCTCTCAGGCAATAAATGATTGGCTATTTCTTTACCTCCTGTTTTTGCCTAATTAGCTTTTTAGTGAGCTCTCTTTACTACCTAATTGGTTGGGTGTGAGCTAAGTTGCAAGCCCGTGTTTAAAGGTAGATGCGGTCACCTTCCCAGCTAGGCTTAGGGCTTCTTAGTCGGCCTAGAAAATCCACCTAGTCCTGTCTCTCATTATCATGTTCTGTTTGACCATGTGGTCTGCTATGATTGTTCCTTTATTTTACAACTTATATTTTTTACTTAAATTAATAATAACTTTGATTTTTGATGTTTCTTTTGTTAGTTTAACATTTATCTGCTGCTAAAATACTTTGCAAGAATTGATAACCACTTAGAAATTACTGTCCAAATGAAACAGCTCCGTTGTTTGGGGTATATTCACTCGTTCTTGGTTTGGGTAGAGAAAGAATTCAGGACATGGACACACATGAGGATTTAGGAGCAGACGAGGAGTGGATTTAGGAGTGGAAAGTTTAATGGAAAATAATAGGAGAGAGAGAAAAAGCTTCCCTGTGCTGAGAAAGAGGGTTGCCCAAAAGAGGGCCTCCAGTTTGCGGAGGAAGGCAGACTGTTTTGTATAGAGACTAGAGGAGGAGGTAATTGGTTTACATAGGGTCCAGGGGATTGGTTTGACCCAGTGTTCCATCTACATAGCAAGCGAAAAGATTGGCCCTCTAACCCTAATCTTTTATTATGCAAATGTGGCCTCCATTCAGCCGCGGCCCTGATGCCTGTATATGTGGTTTTGAGAGCTGACAACATGCTAGCAGCCCTCGCTCGCTCTTGGTGCCTCCTCGGCCTCGGCGTCCACTCTGGCTGCGCTTGAGAAGCCCTTCAGCCCACCGCTGCACTGTGGGAGCCTTCTCTGGGCTGGCTGAGGCTGGAGCCGGCTCCCTCTGCTTGCAGGGAGGTGTGGAGGGAGAGGTGCGGGCGGGAACCGGGGGTGTGTGCGGTGCTCATGGTCCAGTGTGAGTTCCCAGTGGGCCCAGGCTTGGCAGGCCCTGCACTTGGAGTGGGCGGCCAGCGCCGCCAGCCCTGGGCAGTGAGGGGCTTAGCACCCAGGCCAGCAGCTGCAGAAGGTGCACCGGGTCCCCCAGCACTGCTGGCCTGCCCATGCCATGCTCGAATTCTCGCTGGGCCTCAGTTGCATCCCCGTGTGGCAGGGCTCAGGACCTGCAGCCCGCCATGCCCAAGCCCCCCACTGTGGTGGGCTCCTGCGTGGCCTGAGCCTCCCTGATGGGCGCCGCCCCCTGCTCCGTGGCACCCGGTCCCATCTACCACCCAAGAGCTGAGGAGTGCAGGTGCGTGGTGTGGGACTGGCGGGCCGCTCTGCCCACAGCCCTGGCACAGGATCCACTAGGCGAAGCCAGCTGGCGTCCTGAGTTGGGTGGGGACTTGGAGAACTTTTATGTCTAGGTAGAGGATTGTAAATGCACCAATCAGCACTCTGTGTCTAGCTCAAGGTTTGTAAATGCACCAATCAGTGCTCTGTGTCTAGCTAATCTAGTGGGGACTTGGAGAACTTTTGTGTCTAGCTAAAGGATTGTAAATGCACCAATCAGCACTCTGTGTCTAGCTCAAGGTTTGTAAATGCACCAATCAGCACCCTGTCAAAACGGACCAATCAGCTCTTGGTAAAATGGACCAATCAGCTCTCTGTAAAATGGACCAATTAGATCTCTGTAAAATGGGCCAATCAGCAGGATGTGGGTGGAGTCAGATAAGGGAATAAAAGCAGGCTGCCAGCTCCAGCAGCGGCAACCTGCTCGGGTCCTCTTGTACTGTGTAGAAACCTTGTTCTTTCGGTCTTTTGCAATAAATCTTGCGGCTGCTCACTCTTTGGGTCCGCACTGCGTTTGTGAGCTGTAACATTTACCGCGAAGGTCTGCAGCTTCACTCCTGAAGCCAGTGAGATCACGGACCCACCAGAAGGAAGAAACTCCAAACGCGGCCGAACATCAGAAGGAACAAACTCTGGACACACCATCTTTAAGAACTGTAACACTCACCGCACGTGTCCGCGGCTTCATTCTTGAAGTCAGTGAGACCAAGAACCCACCAATTCCGGACAGTTTTACCTGGAGGCTGCCATGATACTGGTAAGTGTTGTGACAAGAAAGAGAGGGCGGAAGATGCCATATTGAATGTACCTGGCTTCCAGGTATAGCTGCCAGCATTTACATATAAAGGCTCCTAGTTTGCATATCTATGCCTGTCTTCTCAGGCTGCTTTCTGTTAGGGAAGAAACGGTTTGGGGGCTGATTTTTATTAAAGGAAAATTCCACAAGAACTTTCACCCTTTCTAGCTGCCTAAGAATTATTTCTTAACTCCTGTATTACAAGTATTTAAACATTTTAAATGATCTGTCAGTGCTGGTTGGTTTTGTTTCATGATTTGTGGCAAGTCTTTCACCACAGTCACACCCTTTTCAATATAACGTGCTCACCAGAGCTGGCATTTGCTGTTATGATCCTTGGCTGGATGTTCTGTTTCATGGATTGCATATCTTTTTTATTTACAACCTTATTTCACTGGTGCATATTCTCTGGTAGCTTCCTGCTGGCTGTGGTTGTGCATAAAAGGAAGAACTGAATACTAGCTATCATGGGCCAAGTTATGTCTATACAGCAGCTTAAATGGGCTGTACCCTGTAGCATTCCGAGGACAGGCCTGAATTCTGAGAAGGGAAAGTGGTAAAAGTATTGTCCAGTCCTTTTTAAGTTGGTGGCTGAGCTTGGTAAGGTGTGTTTTTAAAAGACCTTTAGTCCATTCTACTTTTCTTGAAGATGGAGGACCGTAAGGGATATAAAGGTTTCACTGAATACTAAGAGCCTGAAAAACTGCTTGGCTGATTTGACTAATAAAGGCTCGTCTGTTATCAGACTGTATTGAGGTGGGAAGGCTAAATTGAGGAATTATATCTGACAGAACAGAAGAAATGACTGCGGTGGCCTTCTCAGACCCTGTAGGAAAGGCCTCTACCTATCCAGTGAAAGTATCTACCTAGACTAAGAGGTATTTTAGTTATCTGACTCAGGGCATGTTGAGTAAAGCTAATTTGCTAGTCCTGGGTGGGGCAAATCCTCGAGCTTGATGTGTAGGGAAGGGAGGGGGCCTGAATAATCCCTGAGGAGTAGTAGAATAGCAGATGGAACACTGAGAAGTTATTTCCTTGAGGATAGAGTTCCACGATGGAAAGGAAATGAGATGTTCTAAGAGGTGGGCTAGTGGCTTGTACTATAGCATAACCTGCCTTTGCTGGTGTGTGGCTATTAGGCCTGGTGGAACCGCCATCAATAAATCAAGCGTGATCAGGGTGAGGAACAGGAAAGAGGGAAATTTGGGGAAATGGGGTGAATGTCAGGTGGATCAGAGAGATACAGTCATGGGGGTCAGGTGTGGTATCAGGAATAACGTGGGAGGCCGGATTGAAGTCTGGGCCAGGAACAACGGTAATTGTCGGGGACTCAACAAAAGAGTGAGTATAGCTGAAGGAGCCGGGAAGCGGAAAGTGTATGCGTCAGGTATGAGGAAGAAAATAGATTTTGGAAGTTATGAGAACTGTAGAGAGTGAGTTGAGCATAGTTTGTGATTTTGAGGGCCTCTAAAAGTATTAAAGCAGTGGCAGCCGCTGCACGCAGACATGAGGGCTAGGCTAAAACAGTAAGGTCAAGTTGTTTGGACAGAAAGGCTACAGGGTGTGGTCCTGGCTCTTGTGTAAGAATTCTGACCACGCTAACCATGCCTAGGAAGGAAAGGAGTTGTTGTTTTGTAGAAGGTGCTTGGGTTTGAGAGATCGGTCAGGCGCGATTGGCAGGGAGAGCACGTGTGTTTTTATGAGAATTATACCGAGATAGGTAACAGATGAGGAAGAAATTTGGGCTTGATTGAAGTAATGGGGGCTGTCTGTGAAGCTTTGTGGCAGTACAGCCTAGGTAATTTGCTGAGCTTGATGGGTGTCAGGGTCAGTCCAAGTGAAAGTGAACAGAGGCTGGGATTAAGGGTGCAAAGGAATAGTAAAGAAAGCATGTTTGAGATCTAGAACAGAATAATGGGTTGTAGAGGCAGGTATTGAGGATAGGAGAGTATATGGGTTTGGCACCATGGGGTGGATAGGCAAAACAATTTGGTTGATAAGGCGCAGATCCTGAACTAACTTGTAAGACTTGTCTGGTTTTAGGACGGGTAAAATGGGGGAATTGTAAGGAGAGTTTATAGACTTTAAAAGGCCCTGCTGTAGCAGGCGAGTGATAACAGGCTTTAATCTTTTTAAAGCGTGCTGTGGGATGGGATATTGGCGTTGAGTGGGGTAAGGGTGATTAGGTTTTAATGAGATGGTAAGGGGTGCATGATCGGTCGCCAAGGAGGGAGTAGAGGTATCTTATACTTGTGGGTTAAGGTGGGGGGATACAAGAGGAGGACGCAAAGGAGGCTTTGGATAGGAAAGAAGGGCGGCAATGAGATATAGCTGTAGTCCGGGAATAGTCAGGGAAGCAGATAATTTAGTTAAAGTGTCTCAGCCTAATAAGGGAACTGGGCAGGTGGGGATAACTAAAAAGGAGTGCTTAAAAGAGTATTGTCTAAGTTGGCACAGAGTTGGGGAGTTTTAAGAGGTTTAGAAGCCTGGCCGTCAATACCCACAACAGTTATGGAGGCAAGGGAAACAGGCCCTTGAAAAGAAGGTAATGTGGAGTGGGTAGCCTCCGTATTGATTAAGAAGGGGATGGGCTCACCTTCCACTGTGAGAGTTACCCGAAGCTCGGCGTCCGTGATGGTCTAGGGGGCTTCCGAGGCGATCGGGCAGTGTCAGTCTTCAGCCGCTAAGCCGAGAAGATCTGGGAAGGAGTCAGTCAGAGAGCCTTGGGCCAGAGTTCCAGGGGCTCTGGGAGTGGCTACCAGGTGAGTTGAACAGTCCAATTTTCAGTGGGGTCTCACACAGATGGGACGCGGCTTAGGAGGAATCCTGTGCTGTGGGCATTCCTTGGCCCAGTGGCCAGATTTCCGGCAGGTGTAGCAAGCTCCTGTGGGAGGAGGTTCTGGAGGAATGCCTGGCCGCTGCGGTTCAGGCGTTTGGAAGTTCTTGTGTGCTGGAGATGTGGCTGGGGTTTGTCTCACAGTGGAGGCAAGGAATTGCAACTTTTTTCTATTGTCGTACACCTTGAAGGCGAGGTTAATTAAATCCTGTTGCGGGGTTTGAAGGCCGGAATTTAATTTTTGGAGTTTTATTTAATGTCGGGAGCAGATTGGGTAATAAAATGTATTTTGAGAATAAGACTGCCTTTTGACCTTTTAGGGTCTAGGGCTGTAAAGTGTCTCAGGGTTGCTGCCAAACAAGTCATGAACTGGGCTGGATTTTTATATTTGATGAAAAAGAGCCTAAATGCTATCTGATTTCGGATAAAGAAAAAGGAGCATTAACCTTGACTATGCCTTTAGCTCCAGCCACCTTTTTAAGAGTAAATTGCTGGGCAGGAGGGGGAGGGCTAGTCACGGAACGAAACTGTAAGCCGGACCAGGTGTGAGGAGGGGAGGCGATAAAAAGATTATAGGGTGGAGGAGCAGAGGCTGAGGAAGAATTGGGACCTAGCTCGGCCTGGCGAGAAGCAGCCTGGGAGGAAGGGAGAGGTCAGATGGGTCTGTAGAAAAGGAAGATTAGAAAGACTCAGGGACGCTTGGGGTTGGTACTGAGGGGACAGGTGGGAGGTAAAGAAGGAAGATTTGGGACGAGTTGCACTGGGCACAGAGACTAGGAAGGGACTGATGTGTAAAAGGATGCCTGGACGTCAGGCACCTCAGACCATTTGCCTATTTTACGACAAGAATTATTTAGATCTTGCAGGATGGAAAAATTCAAAGTGCCATTTTCTGGCTATTTGGAACTACTGTTGAGTTTGTATTGGGGTCAAGAGGCACTGCAGAAGAAAATAAGGCATTTAGGTTTTAGGTCAGGTAAGAGTTGATGAGGTTTTAAGTTTTTGAGAACACAGGCCAAGGGAGTAGAAGGAGGAATAGAGGGTGGAAGGTTGCCTATAGTGAAGGAAGCAAGCCTAGAGAAAAAAGAACCCCCGAACCCCTCCCCTCCGTTTCTCTACTCTCTCACCTTCCAGAAAAGTGGGAAAAGGGGTTGGGGCACAGAGATAAGAGGTTGGGGCACAGAAATAAGGGGTAGGGGCACGGAAATAAGGGGTTGGGGTGCAGAGATAAGAGGTTGGGGTGTGGAAATAAGGGATTGGGGCACAGAGATATAAGAGGTTGGGGCGCAGAAATAAGGGATTGGGGCGCAGAGATACGAGGTTGGGGTACTTGCCCCTCTAGAAAAGCGGGACTTGCCGCTAAGAGTGAAGGAGAAGGGGTTGAGGGGTACTTGCCCCTCCCCCAGAAAAGCAGAGAAGGGGTAGAGACAAGGAGAGAAGGGGTTGGGGTACTTGCCCCTTCCCCAGAAAAGCGGGACTTGCCACTAAGGGCGAAGGACCAAGGCAGGCATCCCTGCGTGGCCTGACACCTTTGAAACGTGGATGAATAATCAGGCGTCCCTGCAATGATTAAACACCAAGGGAAGGCTGCCTTCCCAGTCCGTGACCGGCGCTGGAGTTTTGGGTCCACGGATAAAATGTGTCTCCTTTGTCTCTCCCAGAAAACGAAAGGAATTGAAATTAAGAGAAGGGAGAGACTGAAGAGTGGAAAGGAGAAAGTGGTTGAGGTACAGTGAGAGAGGTTGGAGAAGACAGTAAGAAGAGGCCGCTTACCTGATTTAAAATTGGTGAGATGTTCCTTGGGCTGGTCGGTCTGAGGACCTGAGGTCGTAGGTGGATCTTTCTCACAGAGCAAAGAACAGGAGGACGGGATTGATCTCCCAAGGGAGGTCCCCCGATCCGAGTCACGGCACCAAATTTCATGCGTGTCCGTGTGAAGAGACCACCAAACAGGCTTCGTGTGAGCAACATGGCTGTTTATTCCACCTGGGTGCAGGCAGGCTGAGTCCGAAAAGAGAGTCAGCAAAGGAAGATGGGGTGGGGCCGTTTGATAGGATTTGGGTAGGTAAAGGAAAATTACAGTCAAAGGGGGGTTGTTCTTTGGCGGGCAGGAGTGGGGGTCGAAAGGTGCTCAGTGGGAGTCTTTTTGAGCCAGGATGAGCCAGGAAAAGGACTTTCACAAGGTAATGTCATCACTTAAGGCAAGGACCGGCCATTTACACTTCTTTTGTGGTGGAATGTCATCAGTTAAGGTGGGGCAGGGCGTATTCACTTCTTTTGTGATTCTTCAGTTACTTCAGGCCATCTGGGCATATACGTGCAAGTCACAGGGGATGCGATGGCTTGGCTTGGGCTCAGAGGCCTGACAATAAGTATGATTCACTAAAATATATTAATAAGCTGGACTTTATTAAAATTGAAATTTTCTGCTCTGTAAAAGAAACTGTAAAGAGAATAAAAAGGCACGTCACAGAGTAGGAGAAAATATTTGCAAAAGAAATATCTGACAAATGACAGTTCTTAAAAATATACAAAGAACTCATAAAACCCAACAGTAAGAAAAGGAGTCATCCAAGTATAAAATGGGGTAGAAATCTTTACAAACATCTCATCAGAAAGATATACAGATGGAAAATGAGCATATGACAAAATAGTTAACATCATATATTATTGGAAAAGCCAATATCGGTAGGGCGTGGTAGGGTCAGATGTTGGTCTTTGAATCTCACAGGCTTAACAAAGAAGAGACCCTTTTTAACTTAGGCTGCCTTTACAACAGAGATCAGGGGCTTCTGCTAATTGCAGCCAACCAGAGGCCCAGGCTGCTTTTTCAACAGGCTTCCACTTCTCTAGAGCAGTAGAAATGGGAAGAGGGTATGGCCAACTTCACATTGGCTTTTAAAGCCCTGATAAAAACGTAGCACACCTTATTTTCATGCACATTTCTTTGAACAACGTGAAGCAAGGGAAATATTTGGGGAAACTGTAATACAGATAAAAGCTATACTCCACCTCAGTGAAGTTCATTTGACACCACCAGCGTCATGACACTAATCAGACCGCCAAAGACAGAACTTTTATTTTGATGATTTCCTTTCCCTATTTCCTTTCATGCATCGCCCTCCTTCTTCAATGCCATATGCAGAGAATGACATTAGCTCGTCTCCCTGATCATGAGGACATCCAGTCTTTCATGGGCAACAGACAGCACATACCACACTCAGTTTATTTCATCTCTCTTTTCTAATACCAGAGTTTAGTTTATTTCATCTCTTTTCTAATACCAGAGTTTAACAACCGAGGACATTTTCCCTTGCACATACCGCATCAGTGATAATCTGTTACTACTTCCCTATTTTTATGAGCTTTAATAACAAATACAATCATGATCACATTAAAAGATCATTGATATGCAGTAAGATGACATGTGTTGATCAGACCTTGCCTTTCATGATGAACATGTCTCTAAATTGCCGGAACTGTTCCTGTAATCACTTGTTCCACCAAAGCGTCTTTCCTGGGATCTGAATGGGAATGTGGGTGGGCATCAGCTCTCCTAGTGAATAGCTCCACACCACTAATGGGCCTAATTTACAGACTTTATTCAGGCTGCTGAGTGTGTCTCCAGGAATTTCCCCAGAATCCTGGAATGTCATGTGCCCCTCTAAAAACTAGTGGAAGTCATGTCCTTATTGAAGAAAGCATTCAATTCTATTATCAAGCTATGTATAAAAATGCCAAAAGTCTTTTATGTGGCATTTATAACTCCTCATTAGCATGATCTTTCTAATATTTGGAAATCCTCAAAGCTGCATCAGAGCTTACCTAATTTTAAACTTGATGGGTGAGTAGATTATTTTAGACAGAGTCAAAAACCTTTTTTACTGTCAATTTCACTATCATTTATTGATTATTCTCAGTAATATGGAACTTGCTAAAAATGTTCACAATTTAGTGGATACTTTTCACAATGAATAATGCAAATCCATTCTAAGAATCATGATCAAGTTATCCAATGTTAGACATTTTGAAACATTCCTTCATATAGTCTGGAAAAACATCTAGTACATGTAAGAAGATGAGGATATCATTTTCTTTAATATTTAGTACGTTTGAAATGTGCTTGAAATTCAAAAGCAAAAATGAACCAATATCTCACTCCAGTGAGAGCCTAGATTTAAAATAACACATACAGATTTTTAATAACATAAGTATTGTATAATCTTAAAATGTCTAGCAACGTGATACTTGCAGAACTTCCTGTTTTTCAAAAGAACAGGGCTGAGCTTTTCTATTGATACTTAAGGCTGCATGATAGCCCTTCAGAGTGTAGAGTAGTATAGAAGATTGCTGAAACCTGTAGCTTACTCCATTTTAACATAAGCCTCTTTGAAGTTAACATTTCCTTTTATTTTCATTACATATGATTGAGATATTAATTTTGATTTATTTTAAAACTAGTTTCTTTAATAAATTCTCAGCCCCTACTGTATGGTCATGATGAGAAAGACTTTGAGTGTCCATAGGCAATATTCAGTCATTACATTATATGACAGTATTTCCCAGAACACACCGTATTTTGTGTAATAATGAAATAGAAGTGGAGTTTAGTTATTTTTATTGTGATCACATTTTCTGTAGGAACCATTTGTCTTTGTTTAGATAGGAGTCTTCTGCCTTCCAATTTGTGAACGTTTTTCATAGATGGTTCAAAATCCCTGGGATTTTGCCAATCTAGAACTTGTAGTGTATTTATGCCACACATATGAATTTAGGCACCACATTGAAATGTACCAGAGCTTTATCAACTCCATTTATAATATTTATTTCCATCCATTTGTTCATTTACTTGAAGATCATTTTTCCCAACCCAGTGCTTTGGGTGACAGAGAAGTAAACTTTCTTTGTACTTCCCTAGATCAGAGAATAGTGTTTCTTAGTCATCTTTAAGAAAAAGGACCACTTCCTTCTAAACTTCTATTTTGCAAAAGCTAAGGTTAATTCTCCTTATCGTCTTTACTTTCTGCCCCATGCCTCTGAGGAGAGACTCTTCCCTATTCTCTGCCCTGCTCTCTGAACTCCAAAAATTCACCTGTTTGGATGACATCCAGGCTCTTTCTTACCTTCTGTCTTCTTTTTGTGTCTGGGCAGTATGAAGCCCTATCACACTGAAAGGAGAGAGAAGCGAGGTCAGTGTGGTTGGTTGGAGCCTGGGGTCCCCTCTGCTTGGTCACCTACCTCCTGGTGGCTGCATCTGCTGCAGAGTAGCTCAGCTCCCATAAGGTGGGCCTCCCGACGGCCCTCTGTATTTCCAGTTCAGATAGCACAGCCTTTCTTCTGCCCATCGGGCATAGGGTTACTATCAGCCCATCTTATAGCCCAGGAATCACCCCCATCTCATGTGATTTCCCAGTCACCTTCCTGTATCTATAAAATCTGCCTTTTTAGTAAAATCTTCTCACAGTGTCTTAATCTGACTATGCTGTTTTCTGCTTGACTGTGACTGATTATCAGTCACAGAATAAAGTTTAGAATCCTGTTAATTCCTCATGTCTGTAGTTTATCAATACAGAAGTGCATTTGTTCCTTATTTGGTTTTATCTGGCCAAGCATTTCTCTATCTCTTCCTCTCCCTCCTCCACCCTTGTGTATATATGTGTGGGGGATGGGATGGGGGTGTATGTCTATGTGTATATGTTTCTGTGTGTGGTGTTGTGGGAGAATGAGGCCAATTCCTACCATCATACTGACAGAAATTTACTACCATTATATACAATCTAAACTTGGATTCTACTTCTGGAAACATAACTCTGGGACAGTGCCTGAAATGTGACTTTACAATTTTCTTCAGAGACTTAAATAATGCAGGAAAGCAGAAATACTGGAAAGAAGCAAAGAGGTATCTCTGGATGAGTTCCATTATACCAATAGTGATTCAATAGTAGGAAGATTTACTTTGTGGTTTACTAATCAAATTTACAATGCAAAATGATCCCTCACATTAATAGTCATTAACATATAAGCTAGGCATTTTTTTTTGTCTGAAGCTTTGTTTTTTTAATTAAATACATGTTGAACTGTGCTTGCAACTAAAAAAAAAAAAAATCAGAGAAAGACAACCACATCAGCTGGATTCCTGAGTGCCAGTGGCAACATGAGAGGCTGGAGCTTAGAAAAAGAGGCTGTCTCATATTTTTCCTGACCAAGAGCACATAGAGCACAATCAGAGTCCATGTGTCAAGGGCTACTTTAGATAAGTAATAAGAACAAGTTAAGTGGCCAAGGCAGGCAGATGCTTGAGCCCAGGAGTTGGAGACCATCCTGGGCAACACGATGAAACCGCATCTCTACAAAAATGTAGTCAGGCTTGGTGATTCACAGCTGTAGCTCCAGCTACTTAGGAGGCTGCGGTGGGAGGGTCACTTGAGCCTGGGAGTTTGAGGCAGCAGTGAGCTGTGATCACATCACTGTGCTCCAGCCTGGGAGAAAGAGTGAGATCCTGTCTCCAAATTATAAAAATAAAAATAAAAGATCATGGCCAAATCTATCTTAAAATTTGAGAATTGACCAATTCCAAGGTGGGAAATGAGATTACTCAGAACACTTATTAAAATTGTTAAATATTAGCCACCACTGTCTTCTGGCTTGTAGGGTTTCTGCAGAGAGATCCACTGTTAGTCTGATGGGCTTTCCTTTGTGGGTAACCCGACATTTCTCTCTGTCTGCCCTTAACATTTTTTCCTTCATTTCAACCTTAGTGAATCTGATAATTATTATGTGTCTTGGGGTTGCTTTTCTCAAGGAGTATCTTTGTGGTGTTCTCTGTATTTCCTGAATTTGAATGTTGGCCTGTCTTGTTAGGCTGGGGAAGTTCTTCTGGATAATATTCTGAAGAGTTTTTTCCAACTTGGTTCCATTCTTCCTGTCACTTTCAGGTATAGCAATCAAATGTAGGTTTGGGCTTTTCCCGTAGTCCCATATTTCTTGGAGTCTTTGTTCATTCCTTTTTATTCTTTATTCTCTAATCTTGTCTTCATGCTTTATTTCATTAAGTTGATCTTCAATCTCTGATAGCCTTTCTTCCGCTTGATTGATTCAGCTATTGATACTTGTGTATTCTTTACAAAGTTCTCATGTTGTGTTTTTCAGCTCCATCACGTCATTTATGTTCTTCTCTAAACTGGTTATTCTAGTTAGCAGTTCCTCTAAGCTTTCTTGAAGGTTCTTAGCTTCCTTGCATTGGGTTAGAACAGGATCCTTTAGCTCAGAAGAGTTTATTACCCACCCTCTGAAGCCTACTTTTGTCAATTCTTCAAATTCATTCTCCATCCAGCTTTGTTCTTTTACTGGAGAGGAGTTGCGATCCTTTGGAGGAGGAGAGGCATTCTGGTTATTGCAATTTTCAGCCCGTTTGTATTGGTTTTTCCTCATCTTGTGGATTTATCTACCTTTGGTCTTTGATGTTGGTGTCCTTTGGATGGGGTTTGTGTGTGGACATCCTTTTTGTTAATGTTGATGCTATTCCTTTCTGTTTGTTAGTTTTCCTTCTAACGTTTAGGCCCCTCTGCTGCAGGTGTGCTGGTAATTGCTAGAAGTTCACTCCAGACCCTGTTTTCCTGGGTATCGCCAGCAGAGGCTACAGAACAGCAAAGATTGCTGCCCGTTCCTTCCTCTGAAAGCTTAGTCACAGAGGGCCATCTGCCAGATGCCAGCCAGAGCTCTCCTGTATGAGGTATCTGTCAACCCCTGCTGGGAGGTGTCTCAAGGTCAGGAGGCACAGGGGTCAGGGACACACTTGAGGCAGTCTGTCTCTTAGCAGAGCTCTAGAACTGTGCTGGGAGATCCGCTGCTCTCTTCAGAGCCAACAGGCAGGAACATTTAAGTCTGCTGAAACTGCACCCACAGCCGGCCCTTCCCTCAGGTGCTCTGTCCCAGGGAGACGGGGCGTTTTATCTATAAGCCCCTGACTGGAACTCCTGCCTTTCTTTCAGAGATGCTCTGCCCAGAGAGGAGAAATCTAGAGAGGCAGTCTGGCTACAGTGGCTTTGCGGAGCTGGAGTGGGCTCTGCCAAGTTCAAACTTCCCAGTTGCTTTGTTTACAGTTGAGGGGAAAACTGCCTACTCAAGCCTCAGTAATGGTGGACGCCCCTCCCCTCACCAAGCTCGAGCGTCCCAGTTCAACCTCACACTGCTGTGTTGGCCGCAAAAATTTCAAGCCAGTAGATCTTAGCTTGCTGGGCTCCATGGGGGTGGGACCCACTGAGCTAGACCACTTGGCTCCCTGGCTTCAGCCCCCTTTCCAGGGGAGTGAAAGGTTCTGTCTTGCTGGCATTTCAGGTACCACCAGGGTAAGAAAAAAAAACTCCTGCAGCTAGCTTGGTGTCTTTCCAAATGACCATCCAGTTTTGTGCTTGAAACCCTGGGCCCTGGTGGCATAGGCACCCTAGGGAATCTCCTGGTCTGTAGATTGTAAAGAATGTGGGAAAAGCCTAGTATCTGAGCCGGAGTGCACTGTTCCTCACTGCACAGTCTCTCACGGCTTCCCTTGGCTAGGGGAGGGAGCTCCCCAACTCCTTGGGCTTCCTGGGTAAGGCCACGCCCCACCCTGCTTAGGCTCTCCCTCCGTGGGCTGCACCCACTGTCTAACCAGTCCCAGTGAGACGAGCTGGGCACCTCAGTTGGAAATGCAGAAGTCACCTGCCTTGTGCATTGATCTCGCTGGGAGCTGCAGAATGGAGCTTTTCTTATTTGGCCATCTTTGGTCACCTCCAATATTAATGATTATGATTCAACATGGGATTTTGGTGGGGACACACATCCGAACTATTTCAGAAAGCAAATCAAATTATAAAAAGAAATATATGTAAGATCAACTTGTTAAATAATATAAATTGAAATACATAACATATTTGTAAAAATAATTTTAAAATAGCAGACTCAGGATTCGTGTGGCATTTAAAATAATTAAAACATTGTAGGACTAGACATGTTTATAGCCTGTGTTTAAAAAGTAAGTCATCCAACAAAGAAAAAAATAAAAAAACTTAATGAAGTCCTTTAGTATTTGTGCTAGATGGTGTAAAATTATATATAATCTGTAGTCATCATCATTATTCTGAAGATGGCATGCAAAAATCGATATGAAGATTTCCATTTGATAAGAAAAATATATTCTAAAATAATCAAGAGAATAGATACAACTTTTTGTCGTGAGAATAAGATTCTGAATTTTTTACAGTTGTAGAGGTTGTAATGTACAAAAAGTCTGTGCTTCATATCCCTCAGGTATGACAAGTTAAAAATTATGTGAGAATGGAAGATACACTTTATAAACTAGCAAGCTCATAATTGTTAGAGTACTCATGCAGAGCTTAAATTCTTGTGGACTTGTACTGTTGGGGAAATGAGTCCTAAAAATGTCTGAACTCTCATTTGAAGATATAATTTTGTGATTTTATGCCTATGCTAATGACTTCTCATTAGGTAGTATACATATAATTTTTATTTAAAATATAATGAAGTGTGATTTTATATCAGTTAAATAGTTAATATATAAGCAGTAAGTAGTTTGGAATTGTGTAACAGAAAAGTCAACTGAAACTTTTGCAAGCATAATTGATTGGTTCATTAAATGAATTTTTTATATAAAATAGATATTAGAAAGATTGAAAAGTGGCCAAAGGGCCTTTGTGATTCTACTTTGTAATATAAAGGATGGTTTCTTACTACGGTTGGTGTCCTTGCAGGAGTGGGAATATCATTGTAATATTCAACCCAACATGCTTCCTCAGAAAGTCCAGCTAGATTTTAATGATGCTTTCTGAAGTTCTTCCAAAAACAAAAAATAATAAGGAACCTTCTTTCCCAAAAGATACAAACATGCCTATCCTCATATATCACTGACCTGAATGGACCACAGTCTTTTCTAGTAAAAGACTGCAGCAAGAGTTATGAAACTGTTATAAGACCAACAGGTTTGTAGGACTGCTGCACAGCAACAGATCAATACGCTGAGACAGCAGAACTTGCAGCAGAGAAAGAGTTTAATGATCACAGGGCACTGAGCGAGGGATGGAAGGAGATCCTCAAATCCATCCCGTCTTCTGGTTTTGGGATTTTGAGGGGATCGTGGAGGGCAAGGAACTGGAAATTTGGGGTCATTGATTGGTATGGCTATTGGGATGCGGAAACTGCATTTTATGTTGAGTCAGCTATTTGTAGGATCTTTCAGACCCGCTAGCATTAGTAGTTTCACTGGTATGCAGAACCTAAAAGAATATCTCAAAAGGAAAAGTTAATATTTCTTAATATTCAAGTTGTTATCTATAGAGCAGTTAAGGCAATTATAATCTTGTAACAGGGTCTATGTGATTCTGAGGCAATAAGCAAGCAACTATGAGGGAGTAAGTCAGAGAGTGTATTAGTCTGTTCTCACACTGCCATAAAAAACTACCTGAGACTGGGTGATTTATGATGAAAAGAGGTTTAATTGACTCACAATTCTATAGGCTGTACAGAAACCATGGGTAAGAGGCCTCAGGAAACTTACAATCAGGGAAGAAGGCAAAGGGGAAGCAAGCATGTCTTACCATAGCAAAGCAGGAGGGGAGAGCAGGGAGGGAATTGCCACACACCTCTACACCATCAGATCTCACAAGAACTCACTATTATGACTGATAACAGGAAGGGGGAAGGGATCCCTCATGATCCAATCACCTCCCACCAGTTCCCTCTCCCAACACATGGGGATTACAATTCAAGATGAGATTTGGGTGGGGACACACAGCCAAACCATATCAGAGAGCAAGATGACCCAATGATTAATGCTTAATATGCTGCAAGTTTGGTTTATTTTCATTTCTCCCCTCTTTTTTCCTGATTAATTTCATAAAGTTTATAGGGATGGTTTTGAATTTTTTCCAATTAGTTTCATCACACTTTAGTCATGAAATGAATGTGGAATCATGTGATCCTACAACTCATGTAGTGCATGAGGAAATAGTGGACATTTGAATAAACCAGGGTTCTGTTTCAAGGGATGAAAGAGAAAGGAAGAGTTGATTTTGGAAAAGTTACAAAAAAAATTACACGGTGTAAAACAAAAAATATTAGCTTGTTTAAATAATGCATCTGACATAAAACATTTTGCTGCACTTATGAGATACTGTTACTGTTAGAAATTTTAATGTGAAATATTATAATAGAGTATCATTGATACTAATATAAAATACTTCAAAAATTATAAAAATAATTACATTTTTGGACAGCCAAATTAGTGGTAGTCACCTCATTGTGAAGTTCTCCATAAATCTTGTCAAATCTTCTGACACATTTTGTAGATCATATTAAACTATGCCAAAAGTCATGGCTTCAGAAAAACTTCAAGGAAGGGAACCCTACATACTTTAATAAACTGGTGAATTGAAAAATCTATTTCTAGCAGAGAAAACAGTTGAGATCATGCTGCAAGTCTTCGTGGGGAGCAAGAAGATGAAAACAAAGTACCAAAACAAAAGAAGCAAACAAGTAAAACAACACAGAAACAAAAACCAAAACAAAACATGTATGGAAGAGAGAACGTGACATTGAGGGCATAGAGTGCACAGACACAAGTGAGGTAGTCTTGGGCAAAAGATGCTTCTGAAGGAGAAGCAAGTGAAAGGGAAGCTGGTGGAGGTGAACTTTGAAAGCAGCTGGCAAAGGAAAAAGAAACAGAAAAGGAGAGCACAGGATTCTGAGAAACAAGACTTGGGCCAAGGGAATAGAGTGAGCCTTAAATATACTTCATTCTAGATCTAAGATTCCAGTAAAACAGGAAAAAGGGTGAAAACTAAGATATAAATATTGAACATACTGTCGCAATAGAAATAATGCAACTAAAACCACGGGAGGGAAACAAAGTGGGGAAGAGAAACAGCACATTAATGGTAGAAGCAGTAGATGGAAATCAAAAACATCATTGCCACTAACACAAGGATAATAAAAGGGTAAATACAGAAACAGGGGGTTAAGTGTTCCAAAAAACATATAAGCACAAAGGTAACCACTAGAACAAAAATATAAACATTTTTAGATTCCAAAAGAATTTACAAAGAACAAAAGACAGCACCCAGTACAAAAAATAAAGCAGGGCGAACATAATATATTACACATAGTAATAATTATAACAGAATAATAAGACAGAGAATACATCAAACTGACCTATCCCATCAATAAAAAAATTATAAAATTAGCCAGTTATTTACAAAAAATATTTTTAATTTAACTTACAAAGATTTGTTTACTGTATATAAGACACAATGCATTAACACAAGGTAATTCAGGTGGCTAAAAATAAAGAGATTGACAAAAGAATACCAGATAAATGAAAATAAAAAGAAAGCAGAATTTGTGTTTTTAATAATAAACATCTTAAAATGCATGCCAAAATAACTGAAGGAGCCAAGGGAAGACTGCGTTTCAGTGTTAAATAATGAATCACAGTAAAGATGTAAACCAGTATACACAAGCAGCAGATAAGACAGAAACTTTGTAAAGCAGAAACAATAGTAGATTCAAGGAACCATAGATAGAAATAAACTTATAAAAGTAAAATAAATAAAAAGTCACCACTGTCAGCATAATACTGATAAAACTGACAATATGCAAGACCTAACTGCATCATGAATAAAGTCATTGGTAAATACAGATATCAAACTATATACCCTAATAATAGAGAATATAAATTATTTTTATGCACTTAGAACATTTATTTTTTTAATTTTATGAAGAGAACAGCAATAAATGCCATAGAGTAGAAATATTTTTTAAAGTTTCCAATAATAATACATTAAAACCAGATATCTGATAGTAACTGCAAAGCCAAAGGCCATTTTAACTGAAAATTAAATAGAAATATTATATTCAATACCTCTTGCTTAAAATTGGTATATAAAAAATGTAATGAAAGAATCATAATCATACCATATTACTACATGTTGTGTATCTAAAACAGTGAAATGCCTAGGTTTATGCCTGAAGCACATATAATCAAAAATTTAAAAAATTAAATCCAATCTCAACACAGCAAAAAAGTACAAGGACAGAAATCATATAAAATCAGAAATTATAAGAACAAAAACAGATGAAATTACTAATTATAAGTCCTCTTTTTGATTAAATAATAAAACAACCTACTATCTAACATAATAAAGATGGAATAAAAATCTAGAAAAATTAAGATGTGACAAAGAAATAACTATTGCAACAAATTACATTAGCAAACAACAGATTTTGCAATCTTTATCTAAATAAATTGAAAACAAAAAATAGAAGTATATAATTTATCAAATTTGAGCCCATATAAAGTCTAAAACTTCAAATATATCGATTTCTATAGATGAAGAGAAATAGTTATTAACAGATTATACTGTATAAAAGCAATAATTCTGGCTAGTTTAATCTTCAAAAACCACATAGGCTTAGTACTCAATGAATTATTCCAGAGCATATAGAATGAAGAAAAATGTCCAAATTATTTTTATGACTAAAGGGTAACATTTATACCTAATTTTGAAATTTTAGCTTCCTAGAGCCGCTTTCATAAAATTCCATAACCTGAGGAACGTAAAGAACAGACATTTATTGTCTTACAGTTCTGGAAACTGGAAGTCCCAATTTAAGGACTCAGCAGAGCCATGCTCCCTCTGAAACCTTAGGGGAATTTTTCCTAGCATCATAAGAAAAGCAGTCATGGTTTTCTTTGCACTAAAGTGCGAGATACAAATAAAGACAATTTGCACTCATCAATTAAAGTTAATTCAAAAGAACATTCTGAATCATTTTATATAATACATATTTATAATTATAAATTATTTTAAATATATAAAATATGTATTTTATATAATACATATTTATAATTAAATAATTAAACAATTTATAATTAACTTATTCAAATAAATTTAAATAATTAATTTATTTAAATAATTTATTTAAATTAAATAAATTTAAATAATTGAATGATTTATTTAAATTAAATAATTCAAAAATATTTAAAGAGTATTGATATAAAATAAAACATATTTGAAAGTTCTATCAGGATTCTAACAGTCTCTGCTTAGTTATAAATCAATCAAGCATTTTGAAAATATTCAATATATAATTCAAGTACCAAGAAGATATAAGAAAAAATATTTCTATGGTTGTAGACTTATGATCAAATTTGTGGCAAACTGTACATCTACTAAATGAGAAAATAAATTAGAGGACATAAATTTGAAAACTGATAAATATTTCAGTATGTCAAATAAAACTATCTTTCTGATTTACCTAAAATGTAGAATTCAAAGCTTAGGATATGGTGTATTGGGTTTTGTTTATCTTGAAGTTTTGGAAAAAGCAGCATCTGAAATAATATATCAAAATTTATTATCAGTGTGCAATGGATTAAATATTGTATTCATGTATAGAGAGTGACCATAAGATGTGAGGTACAAAGTCTAGAGTTGTGGTCAAATACTTAGAAAAATTATGGAAAGTTATATTTACCTCTGTGTTAGTCTATTTATCTGTACGTAATTAAAAGATATAAATTAATTATCGCATTATCTTATTGTTATATTGGATATTTTGTAATCTTCATCAAAGAAGATAAAGATTTTAATAACACATTTGAAAAGTTGGGACTTAAAATTATAAAACATAGACAGTATCTGTAGCTTGAATGGAATTGTGTCTGGATGGATACATAAATCAAGCTGACATTTTAGCAAGTCTCAGATATTCATTGTTACAGAAATAGAGATTCGAAACTATTTGGATATTTGACAAAAAAGCCATACGTTTTATCTTAATATATTACATTATGACAGAGATGCAAATAGTCATTTAATGGTACAATAAATATTTGATTAATCCAAACTGGCAAATTTATTGGAGCAAAAGAGTGATTCCATAATTTAGATTGAGATATTGAATAAAAAATATATATATATAATGAATCAGTATAATAGGCTAGTATGCATAAAGAGTTAAATTTCTTCTGATTTGAAGTATGTATAAAGCACCTAGTTAGCCTATTTTTAGAGTAGCTGTAAGGTGTTCAGGCATTACTAACTTTGCAGAGATGACATTAGAAGACAGAAAAAAAGAGCTGGTATGATTTTCACTTAATAAGAAGCTTAATTATTCCTTGTAGCTCAAGCTTGAACAAATGGTTGTATTAGTTCTGCATAGCATATGATGAATTTTGATTGTGACCTTACTTACAAGTGAATACTTTTCTCTAATAGAGAATATAACTTATTTTATCTAAACATTGTATATTTATTATTCACTGTAAACTTTTGTGATAATGGAAATGCAAACAAAACACCCCCTGTAGAAGTTATTGATGTTGTACTTAGAAAAGTATAGTATGATATGTACTATTTGATTGGCCGTGTGATTTTATAATATATAGTATAAGCATATATATCTTGAATTCTTAATATTTTTGTTCTATCATCATACACGGACAGTACTATGCTTTATTTTAAAAAACAATATTTATGTGTATTTAAGTATTACATTTACAATAACTATTCGTTATCCCCTATAAATATAAGACTTTGCATTTATAAGATCTATATTGCATCATATAATAACAAAATAAATAAAATGTATATACTAATGCATATATAAAAATATATACATATACATAAGCTAACATATAAACATATCCTCATGACTAGATACACTCTATTGGAAGATTTTAAAATGGAAATTAAGTTTTTAAAAATTATTTTGAACTGAATCTTTCGGGGCAGAGGAGTCTGTACCCTCTAAGCACAATTTATCCTTTGTGTTACAACAATTCAATTACACTCTTATAATTATTTTAAAAGGCACAATTAAATTATTATTGACTATATTCATTCATTGTGATATCAAATATTAGGTCATTCTTTCTTTCTATTTTTTTAACCTATTAATCATCCCATTAATCATGAGTTTGAGTTTTTGACATTGTGTTGTAAGCCCTTCTCACCCAAAGGCTTAAGTGTATTACATATGTATTCCCCAACTTTTAAATTACCAAACATAGATAGATTTCCTCCATAGACAAAGCCATTATTCTGACTTTTCTGGTAATAATTTCTTTGCTTTATTCAGAATTTCATAACCTGTCATATATTTATAGTTTGGGGAAAATGACCACAAATTTAGTGGCTTAAAATAACACCCCTTCATTATTTCACAGTTCTATTGACAAGAAGCAGGGCAAGATGTGCCTGAATTAGCTGTTCATGGTATATCACAAAGTTGAAATCAAGGTGCTGGCCAGGTTGAGTTCTGGTTCAGAAGCTCTAGGATAAAGTCTGCTTCCAAGATCCTGTAGATTATTGGTATTATCTAGTTCCTTGCTGGTTGTCAGCTGGAAGTAGATCTCAGCTCTGAGAAGCTGTTCTCAGGTCCTTTTCAGGCAACCTCCTCCATCTTCAAGCCAGCAACTGCTTGTGGAATTCTACTTATGTTTCACATTTTTCTGCCTTCCTTCCCTGCAACAAATCCTTTAAAATAAACTATGCTATTAAAGAGATAAATCCCTTTAAAAGAAACTATGCTATAAAAGAGATAATGTTATTAGATTAGGATTATGCAAATAATCTTCCTATTTTAGGGTCAACTCTGCCCTTTAGCATAATCTAATCACAAAAGTGTTATACATCATATTCAGAGTTCCAGGGAATATGCAGAATGGTGTATACCAAGTGGGGAGGAAAATCTTGTGGGCAGTCATAAAATTTTGCCTATCACATTGCTTATGTATTATTCTTCCCTAAATATTGCATAAAGTTTTCTGGTCTTGAGTTTTACATAAATTGTATCAAACTGAATTTATGCTGGTACTTATACATTTTTCCTGCAGTCTTAGGTTTGTGAGAATTCTTTTTGATACTGAAATTGCACTAGTTTATTAGCTATTGTTGCAATATAATACTCAATGGTATAAAAATATGAAAAACTAATTTGTCCTTTCTCCTAGTGATAAAAATCTGGTTTGATTCCAATTTGGAGCAATTAAGTATAAAGCTAACATAAGTATTCATGTATGCATATCTTGACATATATATATACCAGAGTTCTTTAAGAATATACATTTAGAAACAGTTTTTGGACCCCATTTTGTCACCTTTTCAAATTTCTTCATAATAACAAACCATTTTCAAAAGTGTTTCAGCCAATTAATACATCAAAAATCAGTTTATGAATTTCTGTGTTTTTACAACTCTGCCAACACGTGGTTGTGGTGGCCCTTCAAAAACAAAAATGTGTTTGCTAATTAGGTGAATATGTAAATGTATCTGTAATGGTCAATATCAAGTGTCAACTTGATTGGATTGAAAGAGGAAAAGTGTTGTTCCTGGGTGTGTCTGTGAGGGTGTTGCTAGAAGAGATTAACATTTGAGTCAGTGGACTGGGAGAGGCAGACCCACCCTCAATGTGGGCGGGCGTGATCCAATTGGTTACAGGTACAGCTAGCAGCAGGTGGAAGAAGGTGGTATAAGCTGGCTGGCTGAGTCTTCTGGCTTTCATCTTTCCCTGGTGATGGATGCTTCCTGCCCTTGAGCATTAGACTTCAGGTTCTTTAGCTTTTAACTATTGGACTTAGACCAGTGGCTTGCCATGGGCCACAAGCTGAAGGCTACACTATCGGCTTCCCTACTTTTGAGGTTTTGGGACTTGGACTGAGCCACTACTGGTTTCCTTGCTCCTCAGCTTGCAGATGGCCTATCGTGGGACTTCACCTCCTGATGATGTGAGTCAGTTCCCCCTAATAAACTCCCTTTCATATATATGTGTGTGTGTGTGTTTGTATATATATTTATGTGTGTGTATATATACACACACACACACACACATACATACATATGTATATGTATTCTATTGGTTTTGTCCCTCTCGAGAACCCTGACTCATACAGTATCTCATTATGGTTTGAATTCACTGTTCTATTATTAATAATGAGATTTTAAGTATCTTTAATTTTTTTGGTTATCTGTCTTTACTAATTTTGAAGTTCTTATATTTTACTTACTGATTTCTAAAATCTTTCACCTCCCCTACTGCACCCTTATCCCACTTATTCAAAATGCACATTGCAAAAATTTACTCAGGCTTGTCTTTAATGTTTTTCCTTTTTAAGTCCTAAATTTGCATGGAATATATGGATAGAGATAGTAATAGAAATTCAATTTCATGATGTTTTCCACATAGGATACCAGTTTTACTCAAATAGCAACATGAAAGGAAAGAGAGAAAAATATAAAAGCATCTTAAATAATTTCTATGACAAAAATAACAATAATCAAAACTAAATAAACCTTAGTAATGAAGTGTCATCCATATTATTGCAAATGAGATAAAAATGAGAGAGACATGTAAATATTGGGGTCAGAAAATTCATGTTACATGTATTTCAAGTGTGTAAAGCAAGGATTAGCAAACTGTGGCCTCTGTGTCAAATGTTTCTGTACGTAAGATTTTATTGGAACATAGTCACATCCATCTACTCTCCTGTTGTGTATAGTTACTTTTATGTTGCAATGACAGAGTTAGGTAGTTGTAACAGAGAATGCGTGGTTTCCAAAATCTAAAATATTTTCTATCTGCCACTTTACAAAAGAAGTTTGCCAATCCCTTGTCTAAAGAATAATGTAGAGTGCTATGAATAAGCACTACTTTTTGTGTATGAAATGTAAAATAAAAGATATTTTATATAAAAGTTATATAAAAGTTATTTTGAAACATTTTATAGCCATAGGATAACTACTGAGCCTTTTACAGAATATGTATTACAAAGCCTGATTTATATACTTCTGCCATTTTTTATTGTTATGTAATAAAGTTACTCTTTAGTACCCACTAATTAAGCTTTAGGGTCAAAATCCATCCCTATTAGGTCTATATGGTGTTCCACAAGCTCACAGGGTGAGTCCCTCCTTTACTTGCTTATGCGTTTGCCTGTTACACCTATTTTTATTCATTCTAAAGGATAGATCCTCTCCTTAAAAGACCAGAAACCATGATACTTGATGTATAAAATCTTTTCTTTTTAACCGTCCTTTAATTATGTCATTTCCCAAGTAATACACTTTTTATGTTCATTCCACTAATTTTTTCTTGTAAAAGGTTCATCTTGAATTGTTCACATTTTCATCACTTATGTGCCTGTGGATTAAACATCATCTCAATAGATTATGTTAGGCAACTGATTACTAAGCAGTTATTCAATAAACATCTTTGTTAAAGGCATTATGTGAATAACTGGTCACCCTTTGTTAAAAGCATTATGTGAATAACTGGTTAAGCAAAAAATAGACTGTTACCTTTGTTAAAGTCATCTTTGTTAAGGGCATTATGCCAATAACCAGTTAAGCAAAAAAAAAAAAAAAAAATAGACTACTCTAATACTGGTTTCAAAACAGCCTGAATTTGCTCATGAGTGTTAACAGTTTCTTCGTAGTTTTCCCTGGGTAAAGACAGGAACAATTGAATGTAATTTGGATTCCCTAAACCCAGCTTGGCTTAACAACTTTTTATTTTATGCTTTTAATTGACATATAATAATTTTACATATTTATGGGGTACATAGTGATGTTTTAAAAAAATAATATATTATGATCAGATTATAGAAATTAGCATATCCATTTTCTCAAATATTTACCATGTTTTTGTATTAGGAACATTCAATATCTTCCTTGTAACTTTTTAAAAAAGGATTAGATCTATTATTACATATATTGTGTGATGGTTAATTTTATGTGTCAACTTGCCTGGGCTAAAGGATGTCCAGAAAGCTGGTAAAACATTATTTCTGGGTCTGTCTGTGGAGGTGTTTCCAGAAGACTATATACAATGTATTACATGGTTTATAGTTCAAGCGTTTTATCCCTTCCAATGTTGAGATGCATATAGCTTTTTCCTTCTGGAATTAATTCCAAAAAAATTAAGGAATAGTATACATATCTTTGGGTACACTAGGTTTTGCAACAACCTTCTTTTCCCCTGCTGTCTTTCAAAGTTATCTTCATAATAAATCAAATGTCTGCACACATGTAGACTTAAAAAAAGTTTTTTTTTTGCTGGCTCTATCCTGAAATGTTCTATTCTTTTGCTGATACCCCACTGTGTCAAATATTGTAGTTTATAATATCCTTGGTATTTGATAGAGTAAACACCTGCATTTTTCTTCTTCAGTATTGTGTTGATTAATCTTAGTTCTTTGCATTTCATTATATTTAAAATCAGCCTGATGATTTACACAAAAACGAAAACTATTTTATTGATATTTTATTGTTTCAACAGTTTGAAGAGAATTTACATCTTTAAAATATATCCTATAAGTTCTATCAATATACTTTTGTAGTTGTGCATTGCTTAATATCCAAATGTTTGAATATACACAAATTGTCTTTGTATTATTTATTCTTAGCTTGATTTTGCTGTGTTCTGGTAATATGATCTAAATGTCTAATAACTATAAAATGACTAATTTATTTGCCTTTAAACTACTTTTCTGTCTATTCGACCCAATCATGGTTTGTATGTTGTGCTTTCTTCATTTCTTGATCTTTTATTAGATTATTAGAGTACCTTTATCATTTTATTTTCCCTATTACTATTTGTTTAATTATTGGGGGAGGGTGCTATCCTAGAGATTGTAGAATGTAAGCCTGACTTAATAAAGTCTAAAATTAATCTGTGCTTTAACAGCTTATCAGGCAGTTCTTTTTCCATCTTTTACACTCAACATGCCATATTACAGTCATGGTCATATATTTTTATTTTGTATGCATTTTAAACTTAACAATGTATTTTAATTATGTTTACTACATCAATGTCTATTTACATATATAAACATATTTATCTTTTATATTGTTCTTTTTACCTATCTGAGTTTTCATTTTTCTACCTGGGATACATTTTATCAGTCTGAATATTCCCATTTTTTTAGCTCTACTCTGACAAATTATGTTATTATTTATCCTAATTTATCTTTATGTTGTCTTCATTTTTAATGTATATTTTTCCTGTGAACAGACTTCTCAGCTGGCAGTCAATTTAGCTCAACAGTTTAAATATATTGCCTCCTTGTCTTCTTTTATATAAAATTTTTATATACTCTGTAATAAATAAGCTATCTGTGAAGTTGCTTTTTTGCATTATGATATCACTTTTTTATGAATTAAATATTTTTTGTCTCTTTTTTCCAGCATTTTAACATTTGATATGCCTAGATGGTTTTTTACTTTACTTTTTAAAAAAAGCTTTGCTTTAGGTTTATATTGCTTTCTGCATTTGTGATTTAGATGATTTTATCACATGAAAATAATCGTCAGAATTCTTGCTTGGTTAGTTCTCAACAACTCCTCTTATTTCATAATCAGCAAAACCTGTGGCAAAGTGGATCTTAATAATTTTAATCTTAAAGCCTCTGGCATTTCTTTCATAGATAAAAGCTCTGCTGTCCTTCTCTAACTTGATTTTCTTCCACATTTATGTTCAGATTTTTAAATTTATTCTGAGGTTGAGAGATAATCCAAAACAATGAAAGCTGTTATTTCTAGAACAATAATACAAATAAAGTTTTAGAGATAATCAATAGTAATTTTTTTCTAAAATATCCTAGAATCTCAAAAAGTTCAATACATAAGTTACTAAAGCATAATTATTCTGAATAATTGTTGTAAAGTAACACCTGGCTTTAAAAGAAAATCTGCTTACAAATATGCCTATTATTTTCTTAAATATAGAATTATGGCGAGAATTACGGTTACCAATTCGACTATGAGAAGCTTCATAATATAGTATCTTCATAAAAACGCACACACAAAAATGTTTGGAATGTAAGGAATTCCCTTTATAGTTATTAGCCTAATATAGTTTGCATCTATTGTGTATTAGTGTATACTAGATAAGGTAGCATAGTATATATAAATATACAGTTAATAGCATATATAATTTGAAGGATGAATTTGTGATAAAATATATAGCTATTTACTCTTTCATATATATTTCAAGTAACTTCATCGGGATCCTAAAACAAATTGCAGTTGTTAACATTTGAGAAGGATGACGTTGCTCTTACTGATCAATTTTGTGAGACTAATATTATTTAATAAAATTTGTTCCGTTGAGGAATGTTAATGTGCGTGCCCTCAATGTAGAAGCATTAAGAACTTTCTTGTGGTGGTGCTTTTTTTTTTTTGAGACAGGGTCTCGCCCTGTTGCCCAGGCTGGAGTGCAATGATGTGATCTCAGCTCACGGCAACCTCCGCCTCCCAGGTTCAAGCGATTCTCCTGCCTCAGCCTCCTGAATAGCTGGGACTACAGGCACCCGCCACCACGCCTGACTATCACGGTGCTTTTAATCAATAAAGGACTGTAGTTGATGAACATATTTTTTAGTTCCTTTACACCTTGGGTGGGATAACCTAAGGTGTAAGGGAACTAAAGACATGCGGTACATGTCTTAAACTGTCTTCCGATGGCACCTTCAGAATATCTCTCTAGGAACTTGTTTTGCTTCACTTTCTCATTTCCTCACTTCCCTGTTAAAGTTTCCACGGATCCCATTCCAAACGAAACACACGTGAAGTCCAACCCTGTTTTCAGAGTCTACCCAAATTGACAGAACGGCCTTTCTTGTTCCCTTTGTTTATTCAGCATTATCTTCCTAATCCTCAGGCACTGGCTTCCCGAATGTGTCATTCCTCTCAATATGCCTTTCACTTGGGTCATTCTTTATGTCGTCCCATCCTGTGCCATGACTTTATCCCTTTTCTGTTGAGACTCTAATTTACATCTTCCGTCTCTTCCCCTCTCTCGGAACCCTAGACACACGCATCTACTGCTCACTCACCATTTCCATTTGCAAACCTAAAAAAATTATTCAACTTACTGTGTCCAAATTTAAGCCTTACTTCCTCTATCACCCACTTATCCTTCTGGGTCCTAATTTTTTTCTTTTCTGGGTAATGTCAACTACATTTTTGTGGCTTATTCATTACAAATTATTTAGAGCCATTATTTACTCCTGTCTTTCAAAAAAATGTTTGGCTGAGCTGATAGGGTCATCTCTGCTTTTGAAATGCAGATGAAATCTGACCACTTATTTTATACTTCTGCCCTTGTCAAAACTACCATATTTAGATTCCAATATATTTTTCTTATTTCCTGCCTTGCCACTCTAGGACAGATACAGTCATCTTGTAAAAATTATGTCAGACCATGGTACTTTTCTGTTCAAACCTCCATGGACTCTTTGTCACTCATGTTAAGATATAAATATCCTACTTTGGTTTATATTTCTTGACATGATCTGGCCTCTCCACCCACTTTGAACATCTTCTGTCACTGGCCTCGTCACTCACTCCATGCAAGCCTGTGGCCTTCCCATGGTGTCTGCAGCACATCAATACTGCTCTTTCCTCTAAGCAATTGCTTTTGCTTTTCTCTACACCTGGAAGACTATTCCAAAAAATGGCTCCATGATTTCTTCTCTACTTTATTTTCTTGCTCTCTGTAAATGTCTATCTGAGAGTTGCCGGAAAACTCTATGGTAAAATGATGTTCCTGTATCATTCGTTATTTCCATACCCTGCTTACTTTGCTTCATAAAATTGATTCCAATCTGATATTGTTTTATGTGTGTGTAGTGTGTCTGTACTTCTGTGTTGTTTTATTTTTTTCTCCTCCATTAGAGTATAAGTACTATGGTGGCAGCAATATTGTCTGTTGTGTCAGGTATTGTATCACCAGTGCCTGGTTTATAGCATTTGTTTAATAAATACCTGTCTAACAAATGAGAATGTGGATGGATGATTTTGCTGCAGTATAAGTTAAAAGACAGTGGAACAATTTTTATAGGCTACCAAAAGCAAAAAAAATTTAGTACTAAGTTGAACAAGTAGAAGGACTCTGAAATGGTTTTGTTCTTATACAATTGAAGAAATCAAAAAGTTCTTTTATGATATTTTCTATAATATTTCTAATTAATTCATACATCTCCTCTAGCACATTGTAAAATAATTAAAATGCAAGAACAAAAGGGAAATACATACGTTGTCCAAAAGATCACCAGGATGGTTAAGTATTAATAGTAAAATGGAGAGCTTTATTGGTGATGTTGGTTTGCAAAATGGGAAGAGACAACAATCTCTGGTGTGTGCCAAAGGTGCTCTCTCTCAGAAAAGGGGAAAGGCAGGTAGTTTTATGCCTCACAGGGTCTGTTTCACACAACAGAGTCATACATATTCACCAAGTTTGGGGAGAAATTTATAGATATTTATGAGATAGTTGAGCACATGAGCAGTGGGTTAAATGTATATGTAATATACAACCCATGCTCACTTTGGGGTAAGATTTCAACATTAAAATTAGGTAGAATTTGGCTCTTTAGGTCAAAAGGTGAACAATAGGACACAAAGACAGTTCGTGTGCAGTCTATATAAGCTGGCTGAAACTGACTTAAAGTCTGCAGTTCCTTATTAGGAAAGAATATTTGTAAAGCCCTTCCTCTGTCCAGTCAGAGTTGTAGTGGTCTGGGTTGTAAATCAGTGTTAAGAGGTGTCTTTACATTTGCTTGAAAGCTCTTTTTCTTACAGAGTTTAGCAAGAATGAGATTTTTCTTACAGCCAAAGGAATTTAGAGCTTTGCCATGCCAGCCAATTCCTGAACCGTCAACTCATAGCAAACTTTTTTTCCTTAACCTTGGGGTCCATTTTAGTTGATAAAGTTATGTCTATTTTGTTCTTTCAGATCACACATACATATCCAAATTTATGACATGAATTATTATTCACCTCCTATCGTTATTAGCTTGTGTATATCCTTTACTTATGACCCTGGACTGAGAGCCAAGTATTCATCCATAATTACTAGATTGGTAGTAGCTAGATGAGTTATAATTTGTTTTGGTTATTTTTTTCTGTGATTATTTTATGTAAATTTGCATATGTTATACAAAAATGTGTATGTGTGTGTGCATGTGTAGGTGTGTGTGTACATGCCTATCTGAATTTCTTTTGGGAAAAAATGTTTCTAGTTTTTAGAAAAAATTTAGAAGTCAATGTATAAAAACCCTTAAGAAAACCTATGGATATCTGATTCGAAGCACATACTTGTTCTGTAGATATACAGCTTGTAAAACATAATTAAAAGCAAGATGAACATATGGATATATATTTATGTATATATATATTATGTATATATATTTATGGGACTGGAAAAAGGCCTGATGTGCAATGGGTAAGAAAGGACTGAGACAGTGAATCTTTTGGTTCTGGGTCTGGAAGAAAGCAAGGAAGGTGAGTTGTTTCCTGTTCAAGAGTCTGAGACTAAGTTTGCTCCATGGAAAACGTGAAACTTCAGCTAAGGTAAACACAGGAACAGATGGTTGTCTCGTTCATGTAGAATCTGACAACACTGTTTTCCTCTGCTACCTGAGGACATAGCTCCGTTGAAGTGTATTGCCTAAGGAAGATAAAAGGCAGAGACAAAGTCTTCAAAACAGGAATTGAGTAAGCACACACGGGCAGAGTGATTGGATTTGTGACGTCAGGCGCTGACTCAACGATACGGCCTTTGGGCTCCCAGTGAATAGAATCCTCAGGATATCAGACAAGAGTTGGGAAAAGACGACAAGATAAAAGAGACTAAAAACATATACAGAAATGCACACAAGATAAAACTTTAAACCAGAATTACATGAAGAAATATAAGAATCAGAAGTTGGATTCACTGTCGGCAAAATAAAAACATTCTCACATTTACAGAGACACAGAGAGCATAGCTATCCACAGTCATACACTCACCAAAAATATTATTAATTTATTTCATTAGGCAGAATATGCAAGCAAGTGTAAAGAACAATAATGGGCAAATCAATTCATTAATGCGTATAATAAGTCACGGACTTTAAAAACATTAACAAATTTTCTTTGTAATTTTAAAAACAAATGAACAATGTGGACTCTATAAAAAGAAATATGTACAGAGCTCAGGGTTTTTTGGTGCTAAAGTATACTAAGATATATAAAGAACAGGGTAGAGATTCTGAGACATTTTAAACTTCTAGAAAATATAGCAAAATATAAATTTTAAAGAGACATATAGACACTATTGGAAGAAACTATGCTTCACAGCTTCTAAACCATCAGAAATAATGCGTCAGAGGGAAGTGTATTTAAAAAATTGCCTTGAGCTAGGCACAGTGGCTCACACCTGTAATCCCAGCACTTTGGGAGGCCAAGGCAGGCGGATCATGAGGTCAGGAGTTCAAAACCAGCATGGCTAACATGGTGAAACCCTGTCTAAAAATACAAAAATTAGCTGAGCATGGTAGCACACACCTGTAATCCTAGCTACTCAGGAAGCTGAGGCAGGAGAATTGCTTGAACCTGGGAGACAGAGGTTGCAATGAGCCGAGATTGCGCCCCTGCACTCCAGCCTGGGCAACAGAGCGAGATTCCGTCTCAGAAAAAATAAATAAATAAAAAGTTGCTTTTGGGAAATTACATAATAGAAGAAATAAGAACATGGAAATTTAGATTCCTGCAAGACAAAAGAAAATAAGGAAGAACACACAGCTATTCCTCCTTGCTACCCTCCACACAAACAACAAACAAACCATAGAAAAAATCACATACTTCATCACACTGACAGGTCAATAAAAAGAAGAATCTTATAAATCAGTACAGAATAGCTCCTTACAAACATCTTAGTAACTACAAAAGAAAAGACAGTAATTTACAGTGGAGAAAGCTGGCAGACACTTTTCTAGCGAGTGATCATGGTTAAAATCACAGCTAATGAGACACGTCAATACCACGTGCCAGCTGATCTAAGGCACCGCAAAGAACACAGCATCAACTCTGTGATGTTCCTGCAAATATTATGTGACTTAAATTAAATCATGAGGGATGATTAGAAAGACCTAATTGAATGGACATTCCAGAAGATAGCATCCTCCTATCTGCAACTCACTGCCAAATGATTCTAGAGAAGAAAAAAAGAGAGAGAAGGGAAGATACGTAGAGGACATAAAAATGACAGAGGGGGAGAGAGACAGAGAGAAAGGAATAGAGAAACAGAAAAAATAAGAGTTTGAGAGATATTAAAAAATGGTAAAATACTTTGCATATGCAAGAAGTGGGGGAAAGGTATACAGAAAAATTACAAGAATTTGTAAATTTTTGTAATTTTTGTAATTTGTAAAAATTACAAATTCTTGTAATTTTTCTGTAAGTGTAAAATTAAATAAAAATAAAAAATTTTAATCATAAAACATTAGAGATTAATAATGTTTTACTTTTCTATTTTAATTCATAAATAATAATTGTATATATTTGTGGGGTACACTATAAAAATAAGTATTTGAGGTGATGGATTTGTTAGTAATTATTAATTTTTTAAAACTCATTTAGTAACATACTTAGACTAGGAGTTTCGTGTTTGTTTTAATGAGCTGGTTTTGGGGAAATATAGCATAAAATGAGAAGAAATTCGATAATGTATAAATGAGAAGAAATTAGATAATTTATAAAATGGAAAATACAAAAAACAAAACCACTAATATTTCAACAAGAATGTAAAATAATGAGGGACTTCTAGGCATTAATATATGCTCAAAATGTAAAATCATAATTCACAGTAGAACAAGAATAATTTTATAAATAACATATTATTGATAGAATTTAACCTGTTTAAATGTTTTTCAACCAAATGGAAAATGAATGGGAAGGAAGCCAATACATAACATAAAAAGGCAAAGTTAAAAACATAAAAGAGGAATTTTGAAAGATTCCTGAGATAGGGAAGAATCCAGAATCCAATGTGGAGCAGCTTGTCACTATGAAAATTAAAGAGGAATCCTGGGACTGATAATCCAGATGATATGGATGTCTGTGTGCGATCTTCAATATGCCTATTTTGAGATAATGGCATTTGGACTTGCCAATAGAAGATTTTGAGTTGAGAGTCCTCTCCATGCAGTTGGTAGTTGAAACCAATGGAAAAAAAAAAAAAAAAACAACACAGAGAATGTGCATCAGATTTGGCCAAGAGTGAGTCCAGGACAGAATACATGAGAGTACCATTATTTAAAAGAAAGCCAGAGAATAACCACTCTGAAAGTGGGACAGAGTGGGAATTGGCAGACACTTGTGTGAGGGATCCTGGAAAGAACAGAAAGCAATGGACTGTTTTAACACTGGGCACAGTGGCTCACGCCTGTAATCCCAGCACTTTGGGAGGCTGAAGCAGGTGGATCACTTGAGGTCAGGAGTTCAAGACCCTTGGCCAACATGGCAAAACTCTGTCTCTATTAAAAATACAAAAACTAGCTGGGTGTGGTGATAGGTGCTTGTAATCCCAGCTACTCGGGAGGATGAGGCAAGGAGAATTGCTTGAACCCAGGAGGTAGAGCTTGCAATGGGCCTAGATCATGCCACTGAACTTCAGCCTGGGCAACAGAGCCAGACTCTGTCCCCTCCCTACCACACACACACAAAAATAAAAAATAAATTAAAAAAAAGAAAGCAATGGACTGTTTTAAGAAGATACTGATTTAGATTTAAAATGCATTTGATAATGTTCTAATGTTATCTGTTGAGGCTTGCTACCATTACAAGGCCAAAGCTCATTGACTTGTGAAGGCAAAAGCCAGATTGACTACTATTCTAGTAAATGCATGGAATGAGATAAGTTTTCATGCTTCTCTGCATGTGGGCCATATACATATATGTGTGTGTGCATGTGTGTACATTTGTGGTACCTAAACAGAAACTATACAATAGTGTTGGAATGTAAATAGAGTATGTAATGTTAAAAACAATTAGATTGGTTTATTTTTAGTTTAAATTTATTTTTTCTCTATATAAAACCTGTTATAATATAGAACCTGGCACATACAATAACAAGTAACTGAAATTAGTCGCTTTGTGAAAATGTGTTATTATTCAGTGACTTTTTACATTATTAAATAACTGACGTTGCTAAGACATATATATGTATATATGTATATAAATACATATATGTGTATATGTATATAAATACATGTATGTGTATATGTATATAAATACATGTATGTGTATATGTATATAAATACATGTATGTGTATATGTATATAAATACATGTATGTGTATATGTATATAAATACATGTATGTGTATATGTATATAAATACATGTATGTGTATATGTATATAAATACATGTATGTATATACATGTATGTATATATATGTATTATATATATGTATATAAAATTAACTTTGTGGCCTTCTGGCTCTAATTTTTACATTAAAAGTAAATTCATATAATTATGTTACAGCCCCCAGAGTTTTTTGTCGTGCACTCATAGATAACTAATGGGCTTTATCCAGCTTACAGTTATTTTAGCATGTTTTCAAGAGAGCAGGCTTATTATCTATCTTTACTTTTATTCCACGTAGGCATGCTTTTGCAATCTCTACAGTTACTCCAATATTTTAGACTTATAGGGAAAATGTAAACAAACCAAAGCTTAATTTTTCCTCAACTTGAAATTACACTGCCACCAAACCTTGTTATTCTACCCTCAAGAGAATTACTAGATCATATCCCTTCAATTTATATATTCTAGGAAAAATAAACATATGTCTACTTTAGCCTATCTTTCCTGAATTTCTCTACATCTCTTTGCCAAGATTTCATACAAAATAGTTTTCTCTATCTTTTGTTTTATTACTTCTTGCCTCCAAAAGAAACAGCAATCACAAACACTATGCCTAGAGAGTATTAAAAAGTGTCAAATCATCAGCTTTCCATTGTCCTATTTTTACAAAGCAGAACTCCATGTGGAAAGAGAGCATGTCAAGCACACTACATTACCATGTGATTTAACATGACAAATTGAATAGATCTGATATGGGTAATGGAAACATTGATGGACCTTTAAATACAGTGCTCAGGTTATGTTTCTATTCATAAAACTCATGCTCTCCGGATGCATCCTGAAACACTCTAGTGGCTTAAGATGCTAGAGTTAAGAAATAGTAAATGCCATTTTAAGGAGAGAGAAACTTTTCACCCATTTAAATAATGGGAAGGTGAAAGGTTTGTTTCATCAGTCACAGTTCAGTAATGTCCGTCTTCATTGTTGAGTCAATATGTACTTCACGTCCAGTCCCTGAAGGAAAGAGAAACAAATCAAAACACTACTCTGACATCAGAACATATTTATGAAGAACTCTTTCTATAAACTTTTGTCAATTTTCCATATTAACCATAATGCTGCCAGATGATTACATCTTTCATTGAAACATAACAAAAACTTTACATTTGGGATTCAGGGTGGTATTATTTATTTTTGGAGGGCTTTGTAGAGTCAGGCTATCAGGTGCCAGTTGACGTTTTTTATTAATCTGGATAGCATGATATTAGTTCAGAAGGCAATTTCCATTTTTAAGGTTATGTCTCAGAAAACTGTAAAAGGGATTTTAGCATGATGAAAACTTTGACTATTTTCTCATGAGAGTCTATCAAACTGTAATTTCAGGTTGAATTTTAAGATAATATCAGATGTGTGGATTGTGCTTTAACAATCAGTAAAGTGCCACAGGATCTCAGGTGTATTTTATGAAGAACTTTGAACCTGACAAGCCACAAGTTACCCTAGTCAGAAATATTCCCTCTAAAGAATCCCCAGGGATATTATACTCTAGGAGTATAAAAATATAAAGCTGGGCTTGGCATATATTTAGCTAGAGAAGAAGTTTGAAGTCTTTCTGAATCTACTCAAACTCCTGTCACATGGCCATGTCATTCACTTTTTGTGATTATCTCACATCTCTGACTTCTGTCTTTGATGCTGTTTATTTTGATCTTGTCTTTTGTCTTCTGGTGAGTGTCCCCACACTGTGTCATGGCTTCCTTATGTTAGTTCTTGTCAAGAAGATAGGAAATGATATTTCAGTGCAAGGCACTGAGGATATGTGTAATGTATTTGGAAAGTTTTGACATCAAAATAGTACTTTTAGAATCACATTAAATAATTCAATTAAAAAAGAAAAGTTAAGCCAATAAGATAAAACTGGTGACTATGACAATCATCAGTGTGGCAAATTTGGCACTCATTATAATTAGCAATAATATTCACTAAATTTTAAATGCCATTTCTTAAATTTCAATTTTGATAATAAATAATTATAGTAAAAACAGCATGGAATTTCTGGGATACTCTTGCTAATCAGTCAACGTTCAACTTCAAGAAATGCTAACTAAATTTAAAAAGAAAAAAATTTAATTCATCTCCTTCATGGTGATCTTCCTAATTTATATATGTTTTCCTTCTGTTCATCTTTATTTTTGAACAATTAATATTTAATCTCTCCATTATTGTCTCCAAGAACCTTTCTGACTGCTCAACTCTTTCAGTGGTATTCCTTTTATTTAGTTCCTTGGACCCTCTTTAAATTTTATTTCTTTTATTCATTCTTTCTTATCAATTCGTTTGCTAAATATGCTAAGGTAATTCAATGGGGAAATGGCATTAATTTCAAGAAGTTTATAGAAAGTACTAAATGTCAATATGAGGAAAAAATGAACCTAAAAACTCAGTTTATGCCATAAACAAAGATTAAAGTGGATCATAGACTTAACCATTCAAACTTATACATAAAAGTCCTAGAAAACAATATAGAAGAAAATTTCTATAATTTGGGGAGAAAGTAAAGATTTCTTAAATAGAAGAGCTAAAGCAGGAACAAATAAAGATACAATAAATGAATCAATATATTGTCTTCACCCTATAGGCATCATTAAGAGAATAAAAAGATAATACACAAATTGGGAAGTTATTTTATATTCCATGTATCTGTTAAAAACGGGTATATAGACTATATACAGAACTATTTAAATCAAACACAAATTATTACAAATAAGACATAAAAGCAAAATGGACAAACTATTTGAGCAGACATTTCACTAAAGAATGTTTATGAATGGCTAACAAATACATAATCCCATTAGTCATCAGATAAATGCAAATTTAAACTGCTACTGGATACTAATGCATACTCCTTATAATGACTATAAGTAAATAATAAAAATATCAAGAGTTGCCAAGGATGTGGAGCAACCAATTTTATATGGCTGGTGGGAAAAATATTTCAACTACGTTGACAAGCAATTTGGCAATTTTTAAAAATGAAGTTAATGCAGCTGGGCGTGGTGGCTCACGCCTGTAATCCCAGCACTTTGGGAGGTCGAGGTGGGCAGATCCATGAGGTCAGCAGATCGAGACCATCCTGGCTAACACAGTGAAACCCCGTTTCTACTAAAAATACAAAAAATGAGCCTGGCGAGGTGGCAGGCGCCTGTAGTCCCAGCTACTCGGGAGGCGGAGGCAGGAGAATGGCGTGAACCTGCGAGGCGGAGCTTGCAGTGAGCCTAGATCACGCCACTGCACTCCAGCCTGGTGACAGAGCGAGACTCCATCTCAAAAAAAAAAAAAAAAAAAAAAAAAGAAGTTAATGCTGGTTTCACTTCCAGGTATTTGCCCAAGAGAAATTAAAATTTAGTTTATACAAATTGTTTCAAATGAATATTCGTAGTAATTGTATTCCTAAATACAAAAATTTGGAAACAGCTCACATGTCAATTAACAGGTAAATAGAAAAACAAATTTGGATATATTTTGTAAAGTGTAATACTTCTCATGCATATAAATGAATAAAATGTTGATACGCACATGATATGTCCACCTCAAAACACTTTGTTGAGCAAAAACAAGCCAGTCAAAAGTGTGCATGCTGTGTGACTCCATTTGACTCCTCCTCACCACAAGATCGGATATGTCCCACAGAAAGACTTCACCTTCATCTCTGATCTCAAAATGAGAAGGCACGTGGATGAGATCCAAGCAAAGCTAAGCAGACTCAACCACAGTGGGAAGAGCACAGCTGCCGCTGCAGACGGGGCATAAGAAGCAAATCTTTTGAAGAAGTTACTGAGATTGAGATTTTTGTTATCGCAGCAAACCTGATAAGCACAGGAAAATACAAAAGACCCAGAAGAAAATGGATACAATTTCAAGAGTGATTTCTTTAAGTTTATGGGAAAAGGTATGATCTCATACACAATGCCTATGTCTGTGTAGAATATAATCCAATGTAAACTGGAACACATGGAAAAAAAATAAATTACATAAAATAATTGTATTTATAAATATGTATGGACATGCAGTAAGAAACCCTGACATGTACATTTACACCTTTCAAAAAATGGGCTGGAAAGTTTATTTAAATTACTTGAAACATCCATCCTTCAGTAATGGAGAAATCACAATGACAAATTCCTTCTATGTGTCTCTTTTGAAAATTTAATTACCTTTTTGTTAATATATTATTTGATTATCTAGAAAACTTGATTAAATTTCTTAATATAAAGTTACACTCTTCTCTATGATAGTAGATGTTATTTTAATTTGTATTTTGTGTAGTAAACAGATTCCTAAGAAATATATTTAAGACCAATCTCTTAAAATCATACTACAGATAGATATTTGAGGGTGGTTTGGAGATCACTATAATTAGCCTTAACATATATCTACAATTAAACTCCATCCTCTTACACTATGCATATCCTCAATCTCCAAGTTATGCCCATCTCTTAAATAAGTCCCAGAATTTCTATTTTTCATGTTGACTAACTCTTAAATTTATTCAGTTCTTCTAATTTATAGCATACAGCTTTATGTATTTTTTCTTTATTTCATTTCCTTGTGATCTGTTTTCTCACTACTATAAAAATAGTGCTTGTAAAATAAGAATCAGGATATATCTTTAACATAATCAGTAATGTCCTATAAATTCCAAAATACCTACTTTAGTGTTTAAGTAATTCATGATCTGGTTCCTGTCTAAATTTGCAGAAGAACCTTTAATTTTACTTCAGTACATGTTCTATAATCTGACCATATATACTAACATGTACTGAATTGTTATTTGAGCCAAACTGTCTTCTAAGAACTTTGCAGATATTAGTACATTTAAGAATCTCAACAATTCTATGGGATAGAAAGTCTGGGAGCAGTCTGTCTCCGAAACCACCATGATCTAACAAGACTTGAGGGTCACTGCAAACACGGTCTTACAACTTTTTACTAACTTTATAAATTTGGTATTTCCCCTATCTTGAATGCCCCCTCTCCCTGTATATAAATAGAAATTCATTTTTTTCAAAATCTATTAAAATCCTTGCATTTTGTTAAATTGTTAACATTTTAATTTAATTCTTAAAAAAATGTAAAACCAAAATTTAGTGTTTAATTCACTGCCTCCTTCCTTCAGTAGAGAATACATTCTTTGAGTATTGGCATGTTTTACCAAACTTTAATCTTCACTGAATATCACATAGATGTGTTTTGTACATGCTGACTGAATAAATAAACCAAATTTATGCATTAGTACTGAAAATCATAAGCCAAAACATTTGACACAGCTTTGTCAAGAGGACAATTGGGACAGAAAGGTCTGGAGTTTATAAGGAATCAACATAATGTGGCTGTCTTCATTGAGCACTCCATCCCACAAAGGATCGTTCTGAAGGTCATGTCTTACATTATAAATATTTTTCATTCAATACATAGAGATAAGTATGTAGCTTTGGGAACATAGGGAGGTTTCATCCTCTCTCTCTCTCTCTCCCCCTCTCTCCCTCTCTCCCTCTCTCCCTCTCTTCAAATTAAAATATGTATCTCTCCAGTCCATTCTCCACTTCTGCAGCATCATGTTTTTATTATTCATCTGAATGGGTTTGACTTTATCCAGTATTCAGTAATCCTTGATTGTCTTCTAGTTTGATCATAGAGAAACTGTCTGATGCTGAATTCTATGCAATTTCTTAAAACAACTTGATAATCAGTCATAGGTTTTAATTTAAAAGTCTATGTAAATCTTCCCTGCTCTGCAATGTTTAAAAACATTTAGTAACTACAGAGAAACATATATACTATCCAAACAACTTCATGATAATATTGAAAGGCCATTTACATTGCGTTTTTATTTTTTTCCTTTTTCTCAAAACCTTAAAAACTAAAACCTGGTTAAAGTGCAAATATCCATTTCTCTGTGAGTATACTGGTATAGTATTATAATTAGATATCAAAAAGGTTTAGTTATACTTTTGTCAAAATCCTGGTAGTTTTTTTTTTTTTTGGAAAAGGAATGTAAAATATAATTACCTACTCCCAATACAGATAATATATGCACATCTAAAACATACATGTGCACATACACCCATAATCATGCACAGACATACCTATGCACATTAAAAGGTAAATTTAAATTTTAAGCTGGTATAGTTCTGCAAAAGGTTGTCTAAGTTTTTCTCTGTGCATTCTGTTATCTCAAGCGAATATATCCGTTTAAGTTGGCCACTTACGATGGCATATTTCTTCCATTACATATCCTGTGTAGACAAGTAAAAATGCAAATGCTTCTTCTATAATTATGAATTTCAATCAAATCTCCTTTTTTAGGTATTAATTTTTCTACAGTGAATTATGAAGTCCCAATTACTCATATTGCCCTTACTACATACATTAGTCCCACATTACACAAACATAAATAATATTATAATAAACTACTAAACAAATTTCATTATAGTAAAATCCATGATTAAATCAAATACCAGTAACTACATATTATAAAAATAGGGCGTTTATGTATCTTGTAGCCCTTCTTGACTATGAGCTGATCAAAAGTGGAAATTTATTTTATTTACTTTTTTTTTCAAACCCAGTACCAATTCTTTGCCTTCCATAAAAGATGATAGTTACTTAATGATGACTTTTGATAAAGTGTAGTTTAGTAAATCGTACATTCATTAGAATTTTGTGAAAATTGCTTAAGGAATCAGGAATCAAAAAAGATTTATTATCACCTTAGAAAAGCTATTTAATGATTGAAGCTTCATGTTCCTCCTCTGTAAAGAACAAAAATAATATTAACTGTGATTAAATTACCTAATGAATATTGATAGGTTTTAGAGATGTGACATAAAATTTTTGCATATTATTGATATCAATAAAACTATGATGCTAAAAACATTGCTAACTCACAGCTATAGACAGGAAGGGTTCTAAATTTCTCTGTAGGACATTTGCAAATACAATTTTTGTTATTTTAATTCATTGAAACAGAAGACTAGAAACCTGTTTGTTTCTGGTTTCTTTCAACTCTGTGGATTTTGAGTTTTAATTTTGTAAAGCAAAGTCAAAGATTACTTACTCTGATTTGATTTTCAGTTCATTTGTAGAAAATGCATTTTTCAATGAAAACAATTATTTTGAAATATTAAAATTAGTATATCCAATAAAATGAAAAGAACAGAATCTAAAAATATTTTTAAAATATGTATCATCTACCTAAATTGCTATGAGTACTCTAAGTTCTATACAATTTTGCTTAGAAAGCTGTACTTCAATTTTCTTTATCACCTTTTTTTTTTTTTTTTTTTTAGACATGGGGTCTTTGCTCTGTTGCTCAGGCTGGAGTACAGTGCCACAATCATAGCTCATTTCAGCCTCAGACTCCTGGGCTCAAGCATTCCTCCCACCTCAGCCTCCCAAGTGGATGGGACTACAGGCATGTGCCTCCACACCTGTCTTGTACTTAAATTTTAAGTTAAATTGAGTTAAATTTAATAACTAGATAATTTCAATTATACAATCATCACTACATTTGCAAATACATCTTTTCTACAGTATTTAAAATTATCTGTTTTAAATAATACAGACGATTTTTTCTTCTTAATCCTCCAGAGTAATATATTGCATAATACATTTAAATATAATTGGCCTGAAATTTTTAAATTTCTTCTGATGGAAAAGATATGTAACTAACTTAAATATTTCCAGCAGAAATATGACAAAGACTATTGCAATAATCTTATCCAGATTTTGCATAGTTATGTTTTAAAAATCTGAGGTAAATTTAGGAATATTTTGATTTATTTTTTCCTTTACTTTCAAATATATCAGCTTTATTTTCATATGTAATCAGAGTGCTTTGAGAGCTCATATCTTCAGGTGACGATAATACCTTAATTCTGAGGCTTGCTAAAATACAATATACTTTGCTCACTAGGAGAAACCACTCTTAGTAGCATCATATTTTTTCTTATGGATACTTTCCTCCCTTTCAATATCTTGGAATATTTAAATGGCTCTTACGTCTACCAGTAGTAGTAGTGGAAATCAGAAGTGATCAAAATTCTTGTTATATTTTGAGGGCTGGGTAAAAGAATTTGCTAATGGGCTGAACATGGGATATGTAAAAAAGAGAAGTGTTTTGAATGAATCTAAGGCCCTATTAAATAAAGAGATGAGATGTCAAGTCTTTATATATAAAAATAATGCAAGAAGAACAATTTAGGAACTGGGAAGAACAGGATATGTATAATCATGATGTCATCTTTCATAGAGAAAAATACTTTTTCATGTCTACTAGAGATAGAATGAAAATACTTCATAGAGGATTGTTTAATAATTTTATAAAATGTTCAAGGGATGTCAAGTAAGTTATTTTTATGGAACTGGAATTCAGGAAAAACATCTGGTTGGTCTGGTCTATACATTTTGAAATCATTAGCAGTTAGGTGATACTGAAAATTCTGAGACTCGATTAGACAACTTACAAAGTGAGTATAGATAAAGAAGAGAAGAATCATTAGAGAAGGTCCTGTGAGGGTAAAAAGATGGGGAGAAAATGGAAAAGAAGACTAAAAGGGTAGTTATAATCTGGAGAATAACAAAGGAGAATGTGTTCTGCTGCTATGCAAATGAAACGTTGATTTAGAAGAGAAAAATCCAACTGTATTAAATGAAATTGAATAGTCAAATACAACCTTCTCCTACTTCCGATTTCAGCTGCTCACTTCTATGGTCATACCTTAGCCTTGTCATTAATAATACGGAAATCCTTCAATTATCTAAATATTATCTCCCTTTTTCATGCCAACTTCTCAGTTTCCACCTTATTGCTTCTATTATCCCAATTTAACTTTCCTTCAATGATACTAGGACTCATAAGCCATTAGTTTTATCACCTATTTAATGTATCACAGTCTCATATTCCTTTATATAACATTGATTATGTGGTTAATCTTATAATTATTCCCCTACCAATACCAACTTCCCTGTCCTACCTTGTGTATTGCTACATTGTATCTCTGGTTGAATTCAACTATATGCCTGTCTCATGCTTGTGCCCTCAGTGCTGAACATGGCTGGAGAGGCACAAAGGACAGCAGAGACACTTGGCTGTCACTCCTCACTGGTCAGTTACTTCACAACATATGCAGACCGCTTAGGGCCCAGAATTTGTGCATTGCCTTAGGAAATTCACTCTCCTTTCTCCTGAAGATATGTAACAAGATCTGTCATATGTCTTAATCCTACATTGCCTTCTCTTCCTACTTAATTGGGAAATAATGATAAGCTTTCTTCTGTGTTCAATGAGAAACTAGGAAACAAGAAAGCCATAGTATTATCCAGTGTCACCAAAGTTAAACAGGTTTCTTCCAGAGTATAAGCCACTGAACTTCTCTTTTTTATTTTTATTTATTTTTTTTAGAGCATTAACTTTAGAAAGCTTGTACTAGTAAATCCTTTCTCTGCCCATTTGAGATGTAAATCTTTTTTAAAAGCCTCTAACCAGTTCCAAACCCAGGAATGTCTTTCTCAAGGACCTGGGATCCATCTCTTGGAAATGTAATCATCAGGGAAGATAGAGCCCCTACCTCCCAGCCTCTGTGGGAGAAGAGAAGCCTAATTTCAGCAGGGGTGGCTTGCTCCAAGCTGTTAAACTACTCCCTGTCACGAGGATAGAAGAAAATTTACTTATCTTTTTTGGCAAAGCTAATGGAGAAACGTGAGGGGCCTGGTGATGGTTATTACTACATCTCTGAAGCTAGGAACTATTGGAACGCAGATGCCCAAGTCAGAAGCTCAAATTCTCTCTCCAGGACTGCCACCACACATTTCTGAAGGGCCACTACAAGTCAGAAAAAATATATAAAAAAGAGTAGGAAAAGTCATTTTCTCTCAGATTGGGAGTCAGATCTCTCAATCTGAAGGTAAGTCAGTTGAAGAGAGAACCTGAGAAATGTGATCTTCAGGCTTACCACTGTGGGGCGCATAGCATGCTAGAAAAAAGTAAGTATGAGGTTTAGAAGTGGAGAAATATACACTTTCCAAAATAGCCTCTGGATATTTAGTATTTAACCACATTTAAATGTACCCTTCTATGCATAAATAAACTTCTGTACCAGAAGAGCAAAAACATTATGCATCTACGTAACAGGAAGCAACTGTCTTTGTGAAAAAACAAGGACACACTTAACTTGCCCTCCAAAGTTGAGACAAAATACCTCAAGAGACCCTGTGTTCATTTCTGGTTATGTTAAATACCCCTCCTCTTCTAGTTCGTTCCTCATATAACCTGCATATTCTGTAACATAAAGGGAAATTACAGAAATGATCACAATCGTTGATATATACGGCGCGATTGTGTAATTTGTCTTTGAACGCTTTTGAGAGTGAAAGGATATAATAACTACTCCTGGATAACAAGCAGTAACTAGCAATTTTCTGGGCAAACAGGTATCTGTACTGCACTCTTTATATAAAATCATTTTAAAATGGGAAAGAAAAATTTGATTATATGTTTAAGTTTATTACAAATATGAAAGGAAATTTACATAGAATTGACTATTTTTATATAAATGGCCATATTTGATCTTTATCACTTTTCTCTTCCATTATGTTGTATTATTCTCAGCAAGTACATCAGTAAATTGTTACTTACATAATGGGGCAATTCAAATTTTAGTTTTGCAGGATATGAGACATTGTTGCTATTAGATTTATAAGGTTACTGTAATCCTAAGAGTACTAAAGATCCCTCAAGAGGATGCCCTGAGTTCCAGACAGATTCTTTATGTGCATTTCTCCTGATAAACACATTTAATTATACCAGGGTTTACAGGAATCCCTTAATTTCCTGTTGGCTCAGTATCAAAATGGTCAAATATTACATTATAACCGTAAAGAATCATTGTGAGCTTTGAAATAAATCTTTCTTTGGAATTAAAATATCAAAACCACTAAAATTCAAAATATTAGGGAAAGATTTAAATGAAGGTACTGTTACGTATAATAACATAAGGCATTCCCACTTAGATTTTAATTTCATGTATTCTGGCTTTGAGAAAAGCCATGCCAAATGTTGCTCTCTAACTTAAATAATTGATTATGTTCTTGGGGTAACAACTGAAATTTCTGCATTTCACATAGCTGCAAAATGATTTTCTTGTTAGAAAGCAATGTTGTATAGGACAGGATAAGAGTGAATTGCAGGAATTCTGAGAAGATGGTGGCAATATAGATGGAAATGTTTAATCTTCCCGGACAAAGCAACTGGAATAATAATTAAAAAAAACTACACGGACAACATTTGCAACAAACGAACAAACAACTAGGTCTGTTTCAGTTATATATTGCTGCAAAACAAATCACCTTACATATAAATGCCTTAAAACACACTTTGTATTATCCCTCACAACTTCACAGGTCAAAAATTTGGGGAGGGCTCAAGTTAGTAATTCCACTGTATGTTGCATTGACTGAGGTCTCTTAGTGATATTCGACTGGCAGCTGGTCTGATCTGAAGGGCCAAACACATCATCCCTTACATACCTGTGACCTTAAAAGGAAGGGCTGAAATACTGAGGTCAGCTTGAACTATCAGTTAGTTGACCTACTCAAGGACTGTCCTTCATATTATCAAAAGGGAGAAAGATTTCCTATGTGATAGCTCCAGGCTTACAGATGAGCATTGCAAGAGAAAGAAAATAAAAGCTAGTAGTGTCTTGAGGAATGGTATGGTGTCATTTGCACCATCTGCTGTTTATTTGTCTGAACACTCATGAGGACCTCCCGAGTTCAAGGTACAGAGCATAGACCTCATCTTTTGACAGAAAAAAAAATGTTAAGAAGTGACAGCCATATTTAATCTGCCACACTAGGTGACAACACATGCTAATAAATGCCAAAATATGAGCAGGTAAGAATAAAACAAAACCAAGACAATTATTGCATTGTTACGTTAAAAGAAACAGGAAAGGCAGAAGTGCTTGTGATGTCCCAGAGAAAGAGAACCCCCAAAGTGCTGTTGCAGTGTCACTGGAAATTTTGGAAGCAGAAATTGGGAAGGCAAACTGCAGACTGGAACAAAACTCCTACTCTTCTCCCCTAATTTAGCTCCTCTTAAGAAAGAGGAGATTCTTCTCTCTAAAAGGCACCACCACCATTCTTGTTTCTCTTTCTGCCTCCCATCAATCAACTCGCACACATCCCATTTGTTCTACCTTCAAAGTACATCCAAAGTCTGACTGCCTCCCTTCACCTTCCATTATTTCACACCTCTGATTTCAATACATTTCGTATTTACCTTCCCAGCTTCTTCCTTTGACTTTTTATTACAGACCACACTCAACTCCTAAAGTGTTTGTCAATAATCCTTTCAAAACACAATTCAGATCTGGATTTTGTAGTAAGCAGGATTAATATTCCTTTGAAAGGCAAATCAGGTATTTCTTCATTACCCTGCTGAAAACTCTTCCAGTACCTCCCATCATCCTTAGTAAATGCATCTCTTGAATATGAATGGCCTCTAAGCCCTATCAAATCTGGTTCCTTTCAGTCCTCCAGGACTCTTCCTGTACTGTTCTCTCCTGAGCTCACTGGGATAAAACATAGAGCTCCTGCTGCTTCTAGAGCCTGCCTCACCTGAGCCCATCCAAGGCCACTATGCTTTGCTGTTCCAGCTGGCTGGAATCTCTTCTCTCCTATGTGCACCTGGTTCTTTCCTCAACATTTTCAAGTATTATCTCAAATGTTACTTTGTCAGTATATGAATCTTTGGCTACCCTAATTACATTTGTAATCCCCTTCTGGCCCAGCAATTCCTAATTTTACTTTTAAGTAATTTAGCATGGTATGTATTCAACTTATTTTGTTTATTTTCTAACGTTTCACACTAAAATGTAAACACCATGAAGTCAGGGCTACAGGAATTTAGTAATCTTAAGTAATTTAGCATGGTATGTATTCAACTTATTTTGTTTATTTTCTAACATTTCACACTAAAATGTAAACACCATGAAGTCAGGGCTACAGGAATTTAGTAATCTTAAGTAATTTAGCATGGTATGTATTCAACTTATTGTGTTTATTTTCTAACATTTCACACTAAAGTGTAAACACCATGAAGTCAGGGCTACAGGAATTTTTATGTTTTGCTCATCACTCCAAGTACAGTGACTGGAATAGCATCTGGTACATCAGAGATAACGTTGAGTAAACTTGTGGAGGGATGAATCAATTAATGAATGGCAAGACCCCACTGTAATCGTAATAACATTAGGGGATATCTACTTCTCATTTCATATATTTCCAAGAATCTGTTTAGAAGTAAACAGATTCTGTTTAGAAGTAAAAATTCTAAACAGATTCTTGGAAATACATGAAATGAGAAGTAGATATCCCCTAATGTTATTACGATTACAGTGGGTTCTTCTCATTCATTAATTGATTCATTCCTCCACGCCAGGCACGGTGGCTCATGCCTGTAATCCCAGCACTTTGGGAGGCAGAGGCGGGCGGATCACGAGGTCAGGAGATCGAGACCATCCTGGCTAACACGGTGAAACCCAGTCTCTACTAAAAATACAAAAAATTAGCCAGGCGTGGTGGCAGGTGCCTGTAGTCCCAGCTACTCGGGAAGCTGAGGCAGGAGAATCGCTTGAATCGGGAGGCGAATGTTGCAGTGAGCCGAGATCACGCCACTGCACTCCAGCCTGGGCGACAGAGCGAGACTCCATCTTTTTAAAAAAAAAAAAAAAAAAAAAAAGAACTTTTAGCAATAGTTGTTCTCAGTTTTGAACTTTCATGATAATGTAGAATTATTTTCTAAGAAGAATGTTTTAATCATTGTAATTCATATCTATAGTCTGCAAAATTTTCAACTAACCCTTGTGAGCTCAAAATATCTGAGACAGGTCTTAAAGATGTACCCGTGACAGTCCTGATGGCATGTGCCCAAGGCAGTCAGGGTACAGCTTGCTTTTATACATTTTGGGGAGACATAATGCATCAATCAATACATGTAACATTTACATTGGTTTGATCTGGAAGAGAGAAGGAGGATGGCTTCCAGGTCATAGGTACATTTAAACGTTTTCTGATTAGCAACTGGTTGAAAGAGTTATTATCAGTAGAAAGAAATATCTGGGTTCAGGAGATTGAGACCATCCTGGCCAACATGGTGAAACTCTGTCTCTACTAAAATACAAAAAATTAGCTGGGTGTGGTGGCACAAGCCTGTAGTCCCAGCTACTCAGGAGGCTGAAACAGGGAAATCCCTTGAACCCGGGAGGCGGAGGTTGCAGTGAGCCGAGATCGTGCAACTGCACTCCAGCCTGGTGACAAAGCAAGACTCCATCTCAAAAAAAAAAAGTCTGGGTTATAATGAGGTGTTGGGGGCACTTAGGTTTTGCCATGCAGATGAAGCCCCCACTAGCAGGCTTTAGAGAGAAAAGACTGTCATGTTTCTTATCAGACTTAAGGTCTGTGTTGATGTTAATGCTGTCTGGGTGTAATGAGGCATGTCTGACCCTCACTTCCTGACATGACCTGAACCAGTCTTTCAGGTTAAATTTTAGAGTACCCTGGCTGAGGTCCATTCAGATGGCTGCAGGGGGCTTTCGGTTTTTATTTTTGGTTTTCACCTTACATGAAGCATAGAATTTGATGTATTTAGGGATGGTATGTTACAGATATGTTACTAATATTACTGATTTTTCTGGGTTTTATGAAACCATGATGACCAGTTGCTGCCATTTTAAAAGCCTAGGAAAGTGACCATAATTCAGAGAGTTTCCAATTTATGTTATCTCCAAATTTTGCTGATATATTGTTGGTTATACATAGGCAAAGTTAAAACATTCGTTCAGAAATAACCATTGTCATTATTTATTGAGTGTTTGTTCACTGAATAGTCTGACATTTTCCTTCATAGAAAAGTAGTGATTTGCCATCTTGCTCAAGCATAACTTTGCTTTGTGATTTTGTGACAATTTAGCTTAAAAGTTACTGAGTTTTAATTAGGCTAATAGCTTAAAATTATTGTTTTGATTACTATATAAATTTATTCAAAACTACTATAGTATCCTGATTAAAAAGAAGAGATTCTGATTGAAAAGATTGGAAAAGAAAGTCAAATATCAAAACTTTTTGTAATTTTAATTGTTTTTAGTTTTTGTAGGTACTGATTAAATACCAAAACTTGTAGCACCAATACTCATATTTAAATTTACATTTATGCATGTAATACAGTCTAATTTCTTGCCTAGTCCAGGTTCCTAAGTTGATTCTTGGTAATGAAGTCAACTTTTTCTAGGTATACTCTCTAATGGAAATCATTAAATACCCTTAATAGGAGTGTATGTATATGTGTGTGTGTGTGTGTGTGTGTGTGTGCCCATGCATGTGTGTGTACATGTATTTCATGTGAATGATTTTTCAAAATGTGCAATCAGATTTTATTAATAAGCACTTCATATTAAAACAATGTATTTTGATAAAACAATGCATTTAATCATGAATAAAAGTGTTCTTTCTACACCTTTAATACATGACTGCACATACTAACATTTGCTTCCTAATTTTTATAATATTTGAAACCAGAAAGGGTTACCATTTTTAAGAAAATGAAAACTGTAACCCTCAATTGTCTCTTAATATTTATGTATAGCTTCAAATTAAGAAACTGAGGATTTTCGTCATGCTTTCATGGATTTTGGAAGCTGGTCATTCTTGCTCAGTTTGCCCTTTGATAGTTAGTAGAACTGCAAATTTAAGTAAGTCATTTGCATTTATGTATATTGAGGTTTTCCATTATAAAAAGGGCATAATTGTAAAAAGTGAAAAAATGTATATCAAGAACTTGGCAAAGTATGTGGTAAAAATAAACACACAATAAATAGTGACAACAGTTATTTTTGAGTGAATGTTTTAACTTCTAGTTGGAGGGTGTTTATCAATTGTATATTCTTTTTTTTTTTTTTTGCATTTTACACCTGTGTGACTTTTATTTTATTTTATTTTTAGTTCCAGGATACATGTGCAGGATGTGCAAGTTTGCTACATGGGTAAATATGTGCCATGGCAGTTTGCTGCATCTATTAACCCATTACCTAGGTATTAAGCCCGGTAAGCATTTTTTTTTTCCTGATGCTCTCCCTCCCCATCCCCACCACTGACAGACCCCAGTGTGTGTTGTTCCCCTCTCTGTATCCACGTATTCTCATTGTTCAGCTCCCACCTATAAGTGAGAACATGTGGTGTTTGGTTTTCTGTTCCTGTGTTAGTTTGCTGAGGATAATGGCTTCCAGCTCCATCTATGTCCCTGCAAAAGTTGAAGTGTGCAATAAGACCATACATTGTGCTGTGAAATATATTTTATATTTTTAAATACTTTAATATATGCATTGTTTTATATAGTTTCAAATTATCTAAATGCATTCCTTGTTTGATTTGCCAATAATTGAGAACAAGCAAATGAGGCAAATTAATATCTTTTGAAGTTGAGTGAAGTAATAGAACTCCATAGAGACTTAATTCTAATATGACTATAAAAATATATTTTACTAAGAATTATTTAGTTTTCTTACAATGATGTAAAGAAGAAAAACAATTAAGTTTGATCTAAAAACAACCATTAGTGCTCCAAACCCAAAATAGTAGTAAAAATAACAGTTATTATTGTATTGTTATTATAAAAGAAATATCAAATTCAGGATGCACTCAAATTCGATAAAGTAGAGCCCCCTATTTATATGTTCTAGAGAAGAGTAAAATGTTATTAAACTCAATGGAGCATTTCTGAAAGGTGTAGACTAACAACTATCAACCAGATAAAATTTTGCTTGCCACAGGGCATTTGGAAATATCTAAAGACTTTTTCGATTGTCAACTAAGAGTGGGAGTTCTACTGTGATCTAGCAGATGGAGTCCAGGGCTGTTGCTCAGCATCCTACAATTACAGGATAACCTCTCACAACAAAGAATTATTCTACAAAATTTAATACTGTCAAGGTTCCTGATGTATAGAAACTTGAAAAGAACATGAAATTTTAAAAAAGAAACCTGTTGAACTGCTATGAGAAGGACATAGCCAGTGCTACTCAAGACCTGAAATATCCAAAAGCCAAAGCAAGCCAATGTTGTAGGCAGTGCATGGGAGAAGTTGCTGTTGTTGATGTTCCTCTTGTCCTTTTTACACACGATCTTTGAAAGCATCCATAGCATCCTCAGGTCTGGCATTTTCTAAATGGCGAGACTCCTGAAAGAGAGGACACTTTCCCAATAGAGCAGGTTTCATAGGTTAAGCGAATTCTGAACCCTGCTGTGGCCTAAAGTGAAAATGCCTGATTAGAAGAGTGTGTCACAGCCATGCTTAATCTCACTAGATCATCCCAGTGTGAGCATTCCATGGTTGATAGAAAAGATGACAATTAAGATGATGAAATATATAAAATAGGAATGAAAAGGGATTATTTTGAGATATCTCAGACACTAACTCAAAGTTTAGAGTGCAAATAGTTTATGTGGAAGTTAATCCCAGGATTCACTAGAAGGAAAATCGATAAAGTGTGACTACAAAGCCAGTAACCGCAGAACACCTGAAGCTAAATTCTTCTACAGAACACTATCCCACAAGTAAGAGCATATGCCATAGAGCTATCTCTAAATAGAGAATCAAGGCACTGAAGTTTTGGTATATGAATACTCATAAGTCAATGGATGAGGGCTGCTCTATTGGGAATATTTTGCTGTACAGGGGGAAATCTTCCTATAGTCACTTTGCCTTATTGATCCTTGTTTCCTTTGGAATCATGCTGGAAGGTAACCACTGGTATGTTGCAGCTGGCCTGTATGGCTGTGAGGGAGGGCTAACTGTGCATCTCTTCCCAGTTCAGTGGTCAGGGGCATCATATAGGTGGCTTCAAATAAATCCTAAAGAATTTGCACCAAGGAAAACAAGGTAAGAAAATCAGATATTGGAAAATTTTTTGCGATGTCTTTTTCTCAGTGAGTTGGTTGTTAGACCTTTATCAGCACAGCACAGCTCCCACTTCCACAGTCTTTCCTATAGACAGCCAAATTCACTGCCTGGAGAAAAGGCACAGCCTGGTCAGCATACATTTGCTAGATCCATTCTCGGTTGCCTCTGACTATTTTTTCTTTAAACACTATATTTACTGTATAGCAGTCTTATAATACAATACATGAACCAATATTGTACAATATTTTATATTGAACCAGAATGAACCAATAATACAATAAATGAACCAATTAATGAGACAATATTGCTGTCAAACAGCACCTTTTACCATGCATATCAAATCTAATAAATTTCCCTTATGGAATATCAGAAAGAAATTAATTGTTGATCTTTCTTTGTATCAGCTGTTTAATAATTCATCACAATAATAAAATTACAAGTTAATGCTTCAGTATACCATGAAGGAGAAAATACTAATCAGGAAATACCATTATCTTTTCCAGAATATTATAAAAACAGTTCTAACATTTTTTAACTGTCATGTTTAGGTGAAATAAAGCTTAAGTAGAAGAAATAATCTATTGGTATGTAACATAACTGAGTTTGAAAATCGTTCACCTTTAATAAGCAATAAGAGCCCTGTGGTGTCTTCTTTAATTCCTTTAAATAATTTATCATTTGAATCTCCCCTGCCTGGAAGTTATATAGGGTAAGTTACTACATATTTTTTTCTTCATCATGCCCTTTAGCTTATAACTACATCAAAGATAGTTCTGAGCTGCTCCGAAAAAATGCCTCCTCTTCAACATGCATGCCGTTATTTTAAAAGATGTTATGAAACAACATGGCTTATTTGAAAAGACCACAGGATTTATTTTAAGATGTCAAAATAGCACATTCAACATTGGCTTTGATTTTTATTTCTTTATTTAACATGGTTTTGATATAGTAAGCATATTAATTTGGTCCACTTAAAAATTTATAAGTGTTTTTCTATGCAAAGCAATGAAATAATCAGAAAACTGAATATCAAAGTATGGTTGAAAATGCCTGTGACAGCCAAACCTCAGTCTCACAAGTATTCATGAGTATTATTAATACTCTTCAATTTGTGATATATAAAAATGAGATCTTTAGTGAATGAGAAAATTTTCATTTTGGTTTTAGTGTTTCACTTAACATTGATTAAAAAGTAAATAAAATATTTCATAGGCCAAGTGCAGATCTTAAATGGGAGTATAAATCAACTATCATTCTAGATGTTATATTACTATTTCATTGTCCTTACCCAATTCATTATGCCTTTTCATCAAAGCTTAAATAAAATTAAACTGACACTTTCAGTTGAATAATGTGGCATAGAAGTTGAACGTTAGAATGATTTCTTTTAACATTTTCCCTCTTGTCATTTATTTTAACTACTGGCATTTCCCCAATCCAACTCTCTTGAAAATTTCCAGTGAATGCCCATGTTTGTGATTAAGTTAATTTACTTAGTAGGCAGAAATTCTTCCTAGAAGATAAGCAGAGAATATAACAAAATCAAGAAAAATAATTTATGTATTAATAATCTGATACCTTACAAATGTTGTGATAAATGTGCACATTTTTATAATCCTTAATTGTAGTTTATGTTTGAACACTCCAAAATATCAACCACTGTAACACTGCAAAGTATTAGGCACTGAAATGAGATAAGGAATTTTTCACTAAAATTGTATTTAATTTAAATACATATAACTTAACAAACTTTATATTTAAAAGTAACATTTTTATCTTGTAAAATTTGTCTTCAAATATTATTTTCTTTAAATATATGATCAGTAATTTAGAAAGCATTTTCATATAATGATATGTCTTTATTTACAGATATTAAAATAGTTGATGACCAATAACATTACAAAATTATCTTTTGCTATCCAAATTTTCATTATCACCATATTTGCTTTTTCTCTGAGGATATGCAAAAAAGTATGCAAAATTCATTGTCTGAAAAATTCATCCTAACTAATTTTCAAGTGAATATGAATGAAAATGTTTAGTTTTGTTCGAGTTCGAGAAACTATAGGAGATAGTGTGTCATATCCCAACTGTGTGTATGAGAGGAGCACCTCTTGTGCTCAGTAAATGTTGCTTAAATGTGTTTGTTGTCCCTCTTATCTTCCCTTTTCTTACTATGACCTTGTTTCTGGGTCCTCAAGTTTACTCTACTAGGCATTTGGAACACAACCACTCTAAAAATTTTAGATTCTGAATTCTATGATAAGTGAGGAAAGTTGATGGGCCTCCCTCCAAGCCTAATCCTCCTCGTGAGAGTAAGCTTGGATGCACGTTTCATCCACTCTCCCAAGAGACTGCACTCTATATTTAATTCAATTTAATATGAATGGTTATGTTGTGGCAAATTTGTTTAAAAATTACTTTAGTAAAATAAGCAATAAGCAACAATTATCACTTGCTGACACATGCATCATCTCTGTGAATAGAATAGAAGGAGAATAATTTAATAAGCCATACATTAATTGGATAAACTGCTAACGGATCATGAGAATATAATCTTAAATTGGCGTGAATATTATACTATGTTCTCTATTCCTCCAGAAATACCAACTTGTTAATATGAATTCTTGATCAAATGCCTATATGACTATACTAAAATGAAAAATCCCACTTAACTTTCAAAGTTATCTATTTGATTTATCTATAAGAAGTCTGGTTGAGGGACAAAAAAAACTAACACTGTATTATTCTTGCAGTACTTCTTTTACTTTTACTTCTGTGTTATGTTTCACAAGCTCTCAACTGGTCTAGTGGTTTGTACTGTATCAACTTAGCCAAGCTTCAAGATTATACCGTTTAGTTAAACAGCAGGTAGTCAATATGCCAAAACTTTAGGTATGTACAAGAACAAATTAAGGTGTACCATGAACTATCTATTAAAAGAGAGAGAGAGAGCGATTGTTCAGTAAATGGTTTTCCTGTATATTTTTCTAGCTATGATATATTTCTGATTCATTAGGGATAAACCAACTTTTCTGGAGTTGCATACTGTTACCAAAACACCAGGGGTTTGATCTGGGTCCTGCTGTTCACTGCACAGAAACCCAATGACTGAGATGATGAGTGTTGCCAGAGAAGAAGGCTTTAATTGAGTGCTATAGCCAAGGGGGGAGCTCAGTCTCAAATCCATCTCCCTGACTGACTAAAGCTAGGGGTTTATATAGTAGGGAAGAAATGTAACAATATGTAAGAAACCAGGAGCTAGGGAGGGGCAAACAAATCATGATGAATGAGTGGTCTGGCATCTCATTTTCTGGATACGGTGATCTGTTGAGTTTCAGCCTTTGCTAGTATTTTTGAGCGGCCTAAAGGAAAGAACTATGTTAAAACAAACATAAATTTCAAGCTTTAAGACCAGAAGGGTTAATTTATATGTTTATTTAAAAAAAGAAAAACTATCTATGGGACTAGTGGGTTGGTTTCAGTACTAAGCTTCAAGACACCCATTTGCATATAGAAATACACATATGTGCATACATGTATTTCTATACATATATTCATTTATAAGTCTATATGTCAACTTTTTAAATGAATTATCCAATAAAATAATTTAATGAGCATTATTGATGGCAGTGGCAGCCCATCTGGAGCAGCTGCTGCCATGATGCCTCCTGCAGTGGGAGAGGTGTGGCCAGGGCCGAACGCTCCACAGAGCCAGCGGGAGCTGGGAACAGTTGGAAGCCCTGCTCCCTTCTGAGTCGGTAGGGTGGGAACTTCATGCTACATGGCCACAGCTGTGGTTGCCCAGCGATGGCTTTGGACCCAGGCATCCCTGTTCTCTTGTGGGATGAGAGCAGGCAGGAGCCCTGTGCTCCTGGGCACTGCTGCAGCTGTGGGCCTGGGAGTCTCTTTGCTCTCAGGAGCCAGGGATACCCCTACAGGCTTACAACTGCCTGCTCCTGCTGCCTGGCCTCTCTTTACTCTCAGTGCTCAGTTTGATCTTGGAGAAAAGTTGAGGCCGAGCCTAGGCACTGTTGCAACCCACCCAAGTATGTGCACTCAGGGCAGTGCTGACAAGAGAGCCCCCTCCTGACTTGGTACCCTCCAGAATTTGGGTCCTAATGAACATGGGAAGGAGGCCAATGAGGGAGCTGTAGGCAGTTGGGTGCTGGCCTACAGGCACCCCTCAGCACAAACAACCTGGGTGCCATGGATGAAGGTAGGAGGCAGACAGGCTCCTGGGTGGAAAGTGGCAGGTCCCTGGTGAAGTCACACTCAGGCCAGATACCACCTGAAGCCTGGAGGATGGGCTGATTAACCAGAATAGGAACTTACGGTGCTTTTTCTAGGCCCACCCATGAACCAATCAGCATGCACATCCATCCCTCTGAAGCCCATAAAAACCTTAGACTCAGCCAGACTTGAGGAGATGATGGGACAGCCAGCTGCAGAGTGGACCTACCCAATACAGGGTCTCCTCTCTGCTAAGAGTTGAACACTCATTGGGACACCCTGGCTGCTGAGAGGAGCTACCCACTGTGAGTCTCCTCTGAGCAGTTCTATTGCTTGATAAAGCTCCTCTTCATCTTGCTCACCCTCCACTTGTCCACCCACTTCATTCTTCCTGGAAGTGGGACAAGAAATGGGGACCCACCACATGGTGGAGCTGAAAGAGCTGTAACACAAACAAAGTTCAAACAAGCTTCTTGCTCACCACATTGCCAGAGACAAGGAGAGAAGAGAGAAGGAGAGAAGTGCTGTGGCCCTTTTGGGATCCCAGACCTAGGAGCTTCCCAGACAGGGCTATGATACCCTCTTTGGGGCTTGGCAGTTCCTGGCATCTCCAAGCTTCTGGGTACCACCGCATTCCCTAGTGCTAGCTGTGGAAGCTGTTTGAGGTATGCCTGGTCCAGCTAGTCTTGAAGGGAGCTCACACCTATGCTAGCACCTGGAGCTGACCAACCCACTGCAGCCAAAATGCCTGGCTGTGTGTGGTGGCTGGACCTCATGCTCACTCACACACACCACTCTCTGCTTGTCTCACCTTTGGTGGCATGGGATCCAGGGTGGCAGTGTGAGCTGAATGCGGCCTACCAGGCTGAGTGAGTCCAGCAGGCCCAAGCAAAACTCAGGCAAAGGTGCCACACTGTCCACAGAGGCTTCCTACTGGTGAAGTGACATCTCAAGGATCCTGTAACATTATATTTATAAGACTTTTCTCAAAATATTAACAGTATTTCAAATAATATTATTTAAATATATGCCTAACCATTTAAAAATACCATTTAATCTAACCTCTTAATGGCGAGAGCCCGGGAGGCAGAGCTTGCAGTGAGCTGAGATCATGCCACTGCCCTCCAGCCTGGGTGACAGAGCGAGACTCTGTCTCAAAAAAAAAAAAAAGAAAAAATTCTGAATGCAGAGGTTATGATTACCCATTTTATAGATATTTATAAATATTTACAGATATTTAACAAATTGAAAGATTTATTCAAAGTACAGCTCAGTGGTGTGCCAAGGTCTATCTCTAATATGATTTTCATTGATTTTTCACTTGAATTATAGCTTAAATAAATACTCTTTCTTTTCAATGCCTAGAATTAAATAAAATCTATCTAGAGATTACGTATATGTATATATAATTGTAAAACAATATTATACATAATTCCATATAAATATATGTAAATATATTTATACAATGTATGTATAGATAGCATTCAGCCACAGTATCATTTAAAAGCCTTCTGTATTCTGCTCTACAAATTAATTTATTCTTTTAAATCTTATGTTATTTAAATGAATCCTAAGGACCAACCTAGACCTCAGATTTTTAAGGATACATCTTTATCTTCACCAGTTCTAATAGTTCCTCAGCTGTAGTCAAAATGATGATCTTTCCTATATAGAAGATTTTAAATAGATATTAAATTCTTCACCCCCTACTCTCAACATTATTGGTTTCTAAATTAAGTCAGTGCTACTTGTGTACTTCACGCAGGACAGCATTATTTGGTTATCAGTCATTCATACCCTTATTGCTTGGAGAAAACAAAAAACAATAAATAAAACCACAGTTTTGAGGGTGATAAGAATATCCCATGCTTCTTTCCCAGATACTCGGTTTCTAAGCATGGTTTGCAAACGGATATGGCCATGAAACCTGGTTATCACCTTTAAAGTGAAATCTGGTGGGGTTACAATAAAGTTAAGATCAACCCAAAGAAAAACCCTTTTTGCTCACCCTTCACACTCTTTGAATTTAGGAATGAGATACGAAGTTGAATAAAGAGGCTGTATAATGAAACTCAAGGACAACACACAAAAAATGGCTAAAAAGAGCTATTGACTGATGAATTTGAGGGTATGCTATTTGACTCTCTGGCAGTAGGATAAATAAATCTGTTTCTTTAGCTACCATTAGTTGAACATTCTGGGGTTCACCATTGATATAATTCTAAAGTGCATAAACAAATATTATTACACCTGTATGTGTGTGATTGATGAAACCAGTGCTAATTAATATAGCATTGTAATTGTCCACTTAAGAGGAAAAAGTCAGTCAGACTGCTCATAACATATATTATACTCTTAAATATGAGAGAAGAGCTTGTAAATATATGGAAGAAATAAAGTATATGCCATTTTCAATCATAATTTTAAAGAAAACAAGTGTAGTAACACTGATATTTGAAGAAATAGACTTGAAAAAAATATTACTAGAAATAAGGAGAGGTATTTGATATTAAAAGTATAAATTCAAGAAAAAAGTATCACAGCATAAATGTGTATGCACTGAATAACATGGGCTAAAATATATAAAACAACTTAGTTATAAGATGAATAAGTTCTAGCGACCTAATCTACAGCATAATGACTATAGTTAATATATTGTACATTGAAATTTACTAAAAAAGTAATCTTAATTATTCTTAGTACATGCACACACAAAAGTAACTATGTGAGGTGATGGTTTATGTTAATTTAGCTTGATTGTGGTAATCATTTCATCATGTTTATATTTCAAAATATCTCATTATACACCTTAAATATATAAAATTTTAATTTGCCAATTATACATCAATAAAGCTAAAAATATGTAACAAACATTCAAGATAAAAGGAGTAATATGTAAATTTATTATCATATTTGGCAATTTTGACTCACCACTCTCAGTGACTGAGAGAGCACAATGGAAAGGCAATTAGAATACAGAAGATTTAAACAATAAGATTATTCACTGTAACTTAATTGATATTATAGGACATCACAAACAATAGAAATCAGTTCCAGTAAAATATGACATTACATCTTGGCCATTTAGGATTGTGCTTGTCAATGGATAATTAGGCACATATAAAATGATTTTGTGTTGTTTGGGGGTGGCTAATACTGATTATTAAAGAGTAATAATGTTGCTATTACAAAATAAATTTCTTCAGTCATACTTGTTGTTTTCCTAAGAAAATGTCTAGATCTTTGAGGAATTTCCTCCTAAGGATAGATTTGTAGAAGCATTTATTTTTTGCGTCCTACTACACAAGTTAGAGGGTGCACACACACTCATCTCTAGGACAGTGGAGATACCCTCTTAACTGCTGTGTGACATGGACTTGACCTATCTGTAAATTGACATTTTTTTTTCACACTCACAAAAGTTTCTCGTTAAAATTCAGTGAACGAAGTGCAACGTGGGTTGGATTCTGCATCAGAGAAAGGACACTAATTGAAAAACAGATAATATCTGAAAAAATGTATTTCCTTAATAAAATCAGTTGAGATGTTTATCTTTGGCTATTGGTTGTTTTAGCATATGCTATGGTATGAATGATTGTCCCCTCCAAAACTCATGTTGAAACTTAATGTGGCAGTGTTGAGAGGTGGAGCCTTTAAGAGATGATTGGGTCATGAGGGCTCTGCCATGATTGGATGAATGGGTTAATTCATTAATGGATTAATGGGTTATCACGGGAGTGGGACTGTTGACTTTATAGGAAGAGGAAGGAAATCTGAGCTAGCAGGCTCAGTGCCACCTTAGGACTCTGCAGAGAGTCTTTACCAAACGAGGGACCAGGTCCAGTCTCTTCACTGTGGACTTCGCCTCCAGAACTGTAAACAATTCCTTTTGTTTTTTGCAAATTATCCAGTTTTAGGTATTCTGTTATAAGAAACAAAAATGGACTAAGAATATAATCATATATGAACCTGTTTCATTTCTTCTAATAGATTGTGAGTCCTTGAAGGACAAATATCATAACATAAACATTTATATAATTAACTCACTGATTTTAAAACTTTTGAGTGTCTACCATATCCTTGCTACAAAGATTATGTATTGATAAACAAAACACATGCTGCATGTATTCCATAGTCTTTTGGGTGGGGATACGTATTAAGAAAACATAAATAAATACATTGTTAAAATATACAAAGAAGGATGATTACAAGTTTTATGAGAAAGAAAGTTATAGTACAATTGGGGCTCAAAGAGATACTGTCTGAGTAAATAAAATTTAATCAGAGATTTGAATATTAGTAATACTTTTCCAAGAAAACTTCAATTGAGAAGGTTATGAGAATGATGGAGATTTTTCTGAGAAAAAGAATAATATGCATAAAGTTTCAGATTTGAGAAAGATGTCATAACAAATAACTAAAGTAAAACCAAAGTGGTTAGAGAGCAGAGCTGAAGGAAGAGACTGATGTCAACTGAAGCAAGATAATTTAATAAGGGATACCTCAAAATGCAGGCTTTAGATTCTATCCTCAGAAACAAGGTGAAAGAGGTTGACAATACCAATTGCTTTATAACATTACTTATGATGCTTTTCTTGTAAATACATATGATAAACTAAGAAAAACAGAAGTGGCCGGGTGTGGTGGCTCACCCCTGTAATCCCAGTACTTTGGGAGGCCGAGGCAGGTGGATCACGAAGTCAGGAGATAGAGACCATCCTGGCTAACATGGTGAAACCCCGTCTCTACTAAAAATACAAAAAATTAGCAGGGCGTGGTGGCGGGCGCCTATAGTCCCAGCTACTAGGGAGGCTGAGATAGGAGAATGGCATGAACCCGGGAGGCAGAGTTTGCAGTGAGCCGAGATCGCACCACTGCACTCCAGCTTGGGTGACAGAGCGAGACTCTGTCTCAAAACAATAATAATAATAAATAAAATAATAATAAAAAAAAGAAAAACAGAAGTGAGGAGACAAGTAGTAGGATTTTGGACCAAAAAAAAAAAAAAAGATGCCCATTTGAACTAGACTGAAAGAGAAGGAATTTAGAGGTATGAGAAGAATTTATATATATTTGGGGAAAAATTAACAGGATTCAGGATTTAGTGATTAATTGAATGGAGATGTTGAAGAAGTGTCAACAAAGGATTTTAGGTTTCTAGAATAGATCATTTTCCTTAAATGGAGCAGTACATATTTGAGGTGGGGATCAAAAAGTAAATTTTACTAATGTTTGCTTTATGATATTTGTTACATATAAATGTAACCATCAACATACGAGTACGGTCCACAAAAGAAAGTCTAGAATTAAAGATATACAACTGAAAGCCACCATAATATAAAAGTTACTTAGTGTCATAACTCACTTGCTTTACTCTCTGTATAACCTCAACAAATAGTTCATGATTGAGTCTCTTTCTAACACACACTCCTGAATGCCATTATAGCATAAATCAATCTGAATGTTTATGGTTGTTTTGAAAAAGCAGTACATGAAATCCCTGATAGGAGACAAGATATGCATGAGATATTTTTATATAAACTGCATTGTCATAAAAGTCCTTAGACTTTCATTTGTGTAAGCAGCATTTGAAGAAGGCTGCTTTAAGTTGAATGGTATTTGGGAATAAATCTGAATTACATTTTAATACAAACCATAAAACCAACAATAGGAAAAAAGTACTTTGGGCTTCACAGAAATTATCTGTAAAGATAAACGGACAATGAAAGGTTTTTAAAAAATCTTAATGAAGTACTTTTTTTCATATTGTGATATGACTAAGAGTGATTGCAATGTTTTAACAACCACCAAATGAGGTTAGATATGTATGATTCTAAAGAGAACAGGAGAAACATAGGGCTTTATTGCATATATAAATATTACTTTTAAGTGTTCTGTTTGAGATTGCTTGAATTTTTGAGATGAAATGCAACTCACATCTCTATATATGAAGTGCTATACAAAATAGAAATGAAGATATATAAACTGACAGTAACCTTTATTATATTAGAATATACATTCCCAGCTGAAGTTTGTTGACTACTCTCAATTTTTTTTTTTTTTTTTTTTTTTTTTTTTTTTGAGAAGGAGTCTCTCACTGTTGCCCAGGCTGGAGTGCAGTGTTGAGATCTAGCTCACTGCAACCTCCTCCTCCTGGGTTCAAGCGATTCTCCTGCCTCAGCCTCCCGAGTAGCTGGGATTACAGGTGCCTGCCACCACACCCGGCTAATTTTCTTTTCTTTCGTTTTTTTTGTTTGTTTTTTAATTTTTAGTAGAGACGGGGTTTCACCATGTTGGTCAGGCTGGTCTTGAACTCCTGACCTCGTGATCTGGCTGTGTCGGCCTCCCAAAGTGCTGGGATTACAGGTGGCTACCCTCAATCTTAAGCTATCACATTTGCTTAGTAAATGTCCACATGTTACCAAATACTTTTTTTTTTTTTTTTTTTTTTTTTTTTTGAGACAGGATCTGTTCTGTCGCATAGGCTGGAGTGCAACGGCACGATCATGATGGCATCTACCTCCTGGGATCAAGTGATTCTCCCATCTCAGCCTTCCGATTAGCTGGGATTATAGACGCATGCCACCATGCTGAGCTAATTTTTAAATTTTTTGTAGAGACCCTGGCTGGTCTCAAGCTCCTGGGCTCAAGCAATCCTTTCACCTTGGCCTCCCAAAGTTCTGAGATTCAGGTGTGAGTCACCATGCCTGACATACCTCATACTTTTATTCGGAAGGTCATAAAACATGCAGATATATTCTTTTTCAGTGATTTAAAATAATCTAATATTTTAAGAGGCACAACAGTTAAAATGCATACTTTAGAGAATTAACATTAAAGTCTTAAATATTAATAATCAAGTTTTAGTTATGTAAAACTGATTCTTCTTTGTATTTTCATGGTTAATATTAATTTGAGTGAAGTACACTTTGAGAAATAGTAGGTATTTTGAGTTGAAAAGAGGCAAAGAGTTAATTTACTATTGAATATTTTTAAATTTTTTTTTGATTTTTCTTTAGAATGTTTTTTTCCTCTGTATAATCTTACTAAAACTCCAAAATAAAATTTTCCCAAGCTGAGCGGATCTGGTTAGTGAGATGAAAGAGAAGCATATTAAGGTCCCACTAAAAAAATAGAGATTTGCCAAAAAGGGCTGAAAAAACTCTATATTAGTCTTATCAGTCCATATTTGGATGAGAAAAGTAAATCTAGCTAAGTTATTCAAGTTTGCAGGATTATATTTCTGTCCAGGACTCCATATAAAACTATTTCTGTCTAGGACTCTATAAAACTTCCTACAATGGCAGGTAATAACTTTTATTCATAATGTTGACAAGATCATTTCTGTGGCAAGATTTGTCATTTATATTTGCATAGTATGTAATTTATATAACCTGTTATGAATTGCCAAGTTTAATTGATATACTTTTTGACATGACAAAAATAATGAAAAATGATAATAATGGACTTTTCCCCATTCTAACAGAGACTATTGGGAAGAAGGGATCAACTTGCTCAAATGTCCTATAGTAATATTCCCACCCAGGTCAGCATGCTTTTGGTTCTGCCTAGCAGAAAGACTATGGGGAGTTCTTATGCAGGATGCACTTTATTTGTCTACATTTCTTATTGAAAAACAAACTGTAATTTATAAATTATGGAGCATGAATGATTAGAGAGTGGATACCATTCTAGTATATGATATAAATAACACAACACTGAACAGAAAAGTTCTGAAACAAAAAGATCTCTTTTTATAGGTGAACAAGGTGTCCCACATGTAGTTCTCATAAGTCACCTCATGTATTAAACCTGAAACTAAAAATTATCTTAATGTGGGAACAAATTTATAATTTTGGAGATCTGCATTTGATGACCTTAAGAGAGTATTTCAATAACAAAATATTATTTTCCCTGAGCCTGGTACCTTCATATATTCTTTGAATTTTTTAGTACAGTTTGGATTTTAAATGTCTGATTCATCTGAGACTGATTGTACAGTTCAACACTTTATATTTTCATGAGCATTATAATTTGTTATAGTTTCCATTTTATCGCTTTTTAAAATTTACTGTATTAAATATGTTTTCTTATATAGAAATCAGTTTTGATAAATGAATTTTTGACTTCATTTTTAGCTCTTTTGGAGTTCATTTTTGTAACTATCATGTTTATGCTATACAACTTAAGATAGCATATGTTGGCACACCATTATGTGCAATGATGAAATTAGTATATTATTTTGGAGTTATCTTTAGAGAGGATCAATCTCCCTTAACAGTTGGTAAGGAGCCCTTCCAAACATCTCTCCAGTAAGTTGTCTCCAGCTGAACTGCAAACACTGAATAAGATAAAAATAAAAATTCATAGTGATCACAGCAAGACTCTATCAATCATTATATCTTTCCTATGTAAGTTAAAAAAAGTCGCTGTTTTTAGATTTTGCTCAGTGTTTTCTTAATCAAGCTTCCATGCAATATATCACAGGCTAATTTTATACTCAAATAATATTCTTAAAGCAATTAACTTTGAATTTTCTCCATATTTTTATGTTTTTAAATATTATGATGTAAAATTATTTGGAGGATCCAATACATATCATTAAGAATTATGTTTGTCAGGCAATAACAAAGAATGTTACCCCAACAAATAACAGCAGTTTAAAAACTTGGATTGTTATTTTCTCATAAAAATCTTGAGTTTGGCAGTCTAAGGGCTCATTATGCTGTCTCTGTTCCAAGACATTCTCAAAGATTGAAACTCTTGCTACCTTTCTGCTCAAATATATGCCTCAAAGATGGTCTCCATTCTCAAGATCAACTCGTGTTCCAGTAGGTGCTTCAGGTCTGGTCATCATAAATATATTTTGACCAGCATGGAGAATGAAATAACAAATTAAAAAAAGAAAACTATACTGCACTTTTTTCTATGGAAAATGTTAGACTCTGACACTTTACATATTTGCTTACATCTCATTGATTAACCAACAAAACATGAGCCCATGGAAATAACCTAATACAAGACAGAACTGGAAAAATGAGGGATTACACAACAGTATACCCTAGCAAGGATTCTGGAAACAGGCTCTATTTAAAACTTGGCTTTGCCATTACTAACTCTGAATTTTGGCAAATTGAGCTGTCCTTAACTTCCTCAACTATTAAATGGAAATATAATAATAGTCTCATCTCCTATTTTTGTGAGCATTAAATTTAGTAATATATTTAGCAGACTTAGAACAGTGGTTATACACTATGAAATCTTTAGCAATACTATTATTATTACTTATTCTGGAAAACTAAGTGATAGCTACAAGTTGGGGATCCCATTAAAATGAAGAAGGGGAAATGGAATTAGGAAACTAATTGGTATTCTCTTCACCCAGGGTATGATAAAATTATAAAAGAAAAGTAATCTGTAACATTTATAGCAGTGTTTTCATTTATATCAAAATGAAGTTTGACAAAATATACAATTTCACAGATATTAAACCTGTTTCTGAATGACTTTTAGAAAAAGAATGAAATTAAGGCAGAAATCAATATTTTTTGATACTAATAAAACAGATACAGCATACCAGAATCTCTGGGACACAGCTAAGGCAGGGTTAAGGAGAACGTTTATAGGGCTAAACACCTATATCAAGAAGTGATATAGGTCAAGTGATATAGCTCAAGTGATAACTTGAGTTCTTTCTAGAGCTCAAATTAACAACATAATATCACACTTAGAGGAACTAGAAAAATAAGAGCAAAGAACAAATCAAGCCCAAAACGAGCAGAAGAAAAATAATCAAAATCAATGCTCAGCATAAAGGACTTGACATGCAAAAATTCATACAAAAATCAACTAAAGCAAAAGTTAGTTTTTTGAAAGAATAACACTGGTAAACTGCTACTTAGACCAATAAAAAAGAGAAGGTCAAATAAATACAATCAGATAGCACAAAGGTGACATTACCACCGACCCCACAGAAATATAAACCACCCCACTACAGACTATTACAAATGCCTGTATGCAAACAAACTAGAAAACATAGAAGAAATGGATAAATTCTTGGAAACATACAACCTTCCAAGATTGAATCAGGAAGAAGTTGAATAATACCTGAACAGACCAGTAAGGAGTTCTGCAGTTGAATCAGTATTTAAAGACCTGCCAACGAGGAAAAGCTCTGTACCAGGTGGGTTCACAGCCTAATTTTACCAGATGCATAAAAAAGAGCTGGCACCAGTTCTACTGAAACTATTCCAGAAAAATTGAGGAGTTACTCCTCTCTAACTCATTCTGTGAGGTCAGCATCATTCTGACACCAAAATCTGGCAGAGACACAGTGAAAAAAGAAAATTTTAGGCCAATATTCCTGATGAAAACAAAAGCAAATTCCTCAACAAAATATTAGCAAACTGAATCTGGCAGCACAAAAAACCTAATACATTATGATCATGTAGGCTTTACTCTTGGGACACAAATTTGGTTAACCGTATACAAATAAATAAATGTGATTAATCACAGAAACGGACCTAAAACCAAAACCACATGATCATCTCAACAGATGCAGAAAAGGCTTTTTATAAAATCCAACAATGCTTCATGTTATAAACCCTCAACAAGCTATATTTTAAGGGAACATACCTCAAAATAATAAGAACCATCTATGAAAAACCCACCGCCAACATTACACTAAGTGGAAAAGCTGGAATATTCCTCTTGAGAAGTAGAACAAGACAAGGATGCCCACTCTTACCACTCCTATTCAACAGAGTACTGGAAGTCCTAGCCAGAGTAATCAAGCAAGAGAAAAAATTAAAAGGCATCCTAATACAAAGAGTGGAAGTCAAGTTATCTCTCTTTCCAGACAATATGATTCTATACCTAGAAAACCCCATAGTCTCTGCCCTCCAACATTGATAAATAACTTCAGCAAAGTCCCAGGGAAAAAAAAAATCAGTGTACAAAAATCAGTAGTATTTTTATACACTAATAACATCCAAACTGAGAGCCAACTCAAGAACACAGTCTTATTCCTAATAGCCACAAAAAGAATATAATACTGAGGAATACAGATAACCAGGGAAGGAAAGATGTCTATAACAAGAATTGCAAAACACTGCTGAGAAATCAGAGATGACACAAACAAATAGAAAAACATTCCATGTTCACTTAGAGGAAGAATCAATATTATTAAAATGGTCATAGTGCCCAAAATAATTTACAGATTTAATGCTATCCTTCTCAAACTACCAATGACATTTTTCACAAGTTTAGATTAAAAAAACTTCTAAAATGTATACAGAATAAAAAATAAAGAGCAATAAGGGACAAGGCAATTCTAAGCAAAAAGAGCTAAGCTGGGGGCATCATGTTACCTAACTTCAAACTATACTATAAGGCTACAGTAATCAAAACAGCATGGTATTTGTACAAGAACAGACATATATACCAATGGAACAGGTAAGAGAAACCAGAAATAAAGTTGCACACCTACAACCATCTGATATTCAACAAAGTTAACAATAAAAAGCAATGGGGAAATTACTCCCTAGTCAATAAGTGGTGCTAGGATAACCGCTATCTATATACAGAAGAATAAAACTGAGCCCCTTCCTTTCACCAAATATGAAAACTAACTTAAGATGGATTAAAGACTTAAAAGCAAAACTTAAAACTACAAAAGTCCCCAAAGAAAAGCTATTAAATACCATTCTAAACATAGGAACTGGCAAAGATTTCATGATGAAAAGTCCAAAAGCAATTGCTAAAACAATAAAAGAGCCACCCAATTGAGAAGTGGGACTTAATTAAACTAAAGAGCTTCTGCACAGTAAAAGAAACTATGAACTGAGCAAACAGCCTACCTAAGAATGGGAGAAAATATTTGCAAAATATGCATCTGACAAAGTCTGATATACAGGATCTATAAGTAGCTTAATCAACAAGAAAACACACTACTAAAAAATGGGCAAAGGACATTAACATACACTTCAGAAAGAACATATGCATGCAGTCAAGAAGGATATAAAAAAACTCAACATCACTAATCATCAGAGAAATGCCATCAAAATCACGATGAGATGCTTTAAAAAGTGCTAAATGAAAGTACTACCACTCAGAATGGCTATTATTACAAACTCAAAAAAGAACAGATGCTAGTGAGGTTGCAGGGTAAAAGGAATGTATACACACTGCTAAAGGAAAATAAATTAGTTCAGCCATTGTGGAAAGCAGTTTGAAAATTTCTCAAAGAACTGAAAAACTACCATTTGACCCAGCAATACCATTACTGGGTATATACCCTAGGGATATAAATTGTCCTTCCATAAAGACACATGCAATTGTATCTTCATTGTAGCACTTTTCACATTAGAAAAGGCCTGGAATCAACCTAGATGCCCATCAGTGGTGGACTGAATCAAGAAAATGTGGCACATATACACCATGGAATACTAGGCAGCCATAAAAATACTTAAATCATGTCATTTGTAGCAACATGGAGGTAGCTGGATGGCATTTATCCTAAGCAAAGCAACACAACAACAGAAAACCAAATACTAGAATGTTCTTCCTTTTAAGTGGGAGCTAAATATTGAGTATACATGGACACAAAGATGGGAACAACAGACATGGGGTCCTACTTGAGGGTGGAGGCTGGGAGGAGAGTGAGGATCAAAAAACTACCTATCAGGTACTATGCCTACTACCTAGGTGATGAAATCATTTGCACACTAAACTCTAGTGACATACAATTTACCCACATAACAAACCTGCACATGTATCCCCTGAACCTAAACTGAAAGCTGGAAGAGGAAAAGAAAATGGAGTTTGAGCTCATGTGTCTCTTTCCTTTGAATGTGCCACTCCAGTTAGAAATGAAGGTAGATTATTAAAATATTATATTAAAAATAGCTTTGGTTATAAATATAAGAGAATTTCAGTAACGTGCTATCAATAAAATTCAAAAGAAGAATCAGTTTTTCATGTTAAAATTTTAGGTGTTTTAATTTCAAAAACTGGAAACAAGCAGATGTATCAAAATATTTTACTTTTGAGAGGTAGGAGCAGTGGGAGTTAGAAGCAGGGCCTTGATAACCACATTCTTGTATGAAAGAAGCAGAAAGAGACAAACTCTTAAAGCTAGTCCATTAAAGTGTAGAGTCAGCATTCTTGAGAAGCCATGTTCTGAGTCAGTGATGCTGAGAAACATAAGGACACAAACCTGCTTGGTTGATGCCATGAGCCAGCTCAGTGACTGCATCTACAATATCTTGATGGCATTACAGGAGTAGCAGCCTGTCTTTGCTAGAAGAGAATTTGGTGACGCAAAGAGACCCAATGGCTGTGTGCATCTCCAACAATTGGAATTATAATTCAACATGAGATTTGAACAGGAACACAAATTTGAATCATATTATTCTGCCCCTGGCCCCTCCCAAATCTCATGTCCTTCTCACATTGCAAAATCCAATCATGCCTTCCCAATAGTCCCCGAAACTCTTAACTCATTCCAACATTAACTCAAAAGTCCAAAGTCTCATCAGAGACAAGGCTAGTCTTTTCCACCTATGAGTATGTAAAATCAAAACCAAGTTGGTTACTTCAAAGATACAATGGGGATACAGGCATTTGCTAAATACTCTCATTACAAAAGGGAGAATTTGGGCAAAATGAAAGGGCTATATGCCCCATGTAAGTCCAAAACTTAGCAGGGCAGTTGTTAGGTATTAAAGTTCCAAAAAGTATCTTTTGACTTCATGTCCTACATCCAGTGCACGTTGGTGTGAGGTGTGGGTCCCCAAGGCCTCGGGCAGCTCTGCCACTATGGCTTTGCAGAGTTCAGACCCTGAAGTGGGTTTGAAGGACTGGCATTGAGTGCCTGCAGCTTTTCCAGGCTCAGGGTCCAAGCTATCAGTGGATCTACCATTCTGGGGTGTGGAGGACAGTTCCCCTCTTCTCACAGTTCCACTAGGCAGTGCCCTAGTGGAGATGTTGTGTGGCAGCTTCAACCCCACATTTCCCCTCCATACTGTCTTAATAGCGGTTCTCCATAAGGGCTCCGCCCCTGCAGCAGGCTTCTTCTTGGACATCCAGGCTTGTCAATACATCCTCTTAAATCTAGGCAGAGGCTCCCAAGCCTTAACTCTTGCACTCTGAGCACCCACAGGCATAACACCATGTGGAAGTTGCCAAGGCTTATGGCTTGCATCCTCAGGAGCAGTGGCCCAAGATATGTCTCTATTGATTTTATCCATGGGTGGAGTTGGACTGGCTGGGATGCAGGGAGTAGGACAGTGGGTCCCTGGGCCTGACCCATGAAACCATTCTGTCCTACTAGGCCTTCAGATCTGTGATGGGAAGGCTGCCAGGAAGGTTTCTGAAATGCCTTCAAGGCCTTCCATTGTCCTGGCTATTAGCACCTGCCTTCCATTTAGTTATGCAACTTTCTGCAGCCTGAATGAATTCCTCCTCCAAAATGGGCTTTTCTTTTCTACCACATGGCCAGGCTGCAAACTTTATAAACTTTTACACTCTGCTTCTCTTTGAAATATAAGTTCCAATATCAGGTCATTTCTTTGTTCATGCATATGAGATAGACAGAAACAAAGTCATCTCTTGAAGACTTTGCTGCTTAAAAATTTCTTCCACCAGATACACTAAATTATCACACACAAGTTAAAAGTTGCACAGATCCCTAGGGCAGAGACACAATCCAACCAAGTTCTTCACTAAGGCATTACAAAAGTGACCTTTGCTCCAGTTCCCAATAGGTTCCTCATCTCCATCTGAGATCTCCTCAGCCTGGCCATGTCTGTCCATATCACTATTAACATTTTGGTCACAACCATTCAACATGTCTCTAGGAAGTTCCAAAGTTTATCTCACCTTTCTGTCTTCTTCTGAGCTCTCCACACTGTTCCAAGCTTTGCCCATTACCTAGTCCCTAAGCCACTTCCACATTATCAGATATTTTTATAGCAATGTCTCACTCCTTGGTACCAATTTTCTTTATTAGTCTGTTTTTGCACTGTTATAAAGAAATATCTGAGACTGGCTAATTTATAAAGAAAAGATGTTTAATTGGCTCATGATTCTGCAGGCTGTACAGGAAGCATAGTGGTTTCTCCTTCCGGGGGGACCTCAGGAAATTTACAATTATGACAAAAGGCAAACAGACAACAGACATGTCTTACATAGCCAGAACAGAAGCAAGAGAAAAAAGGAGGAGGTGCCACACACTTTTAAATTTTATTTATTTATTTATTTATTTATTTTTTGAGGCAGAGTCTCACTCTATTGCCCAGACTGGAGTGCAGTGGTGCAATCTCAGCTCATTGCAGCCTCTGCCTCAGCTTCCCAAGTAGTTGAGATTAGAGGCACTCACCACCACGCCTGGCTGATTTTTGTATTTTTAGTAGAGATTGGGTTTCACCATGTTGACCAGGCTGGTCTTGAACTGTTGACTTCAGGTGATCCACCCACCTCGGCCTCCCAAAGTGTTGGGATTACAGATGTGAGCCACTATGACCGGTCGAGGTGCCACACACTTTTAAATAACCAGATCTCAAAAGTACTCACTCACTATCACAAGACCAGCATGAAGGAGAAAATCTGCCCTGATGATCCAATCACTTCCCCTCAGGACCCATCTCTAACACTGGGGATTACAAGTCAACATGAGTAATCCCCATGTTGGGGGGACACAGATCCAAACCATATCAGTGTCCTAAAGTGGATTGGAAAAAGTTTCAGAAAACCCAGTGATGGCGATCAATGATCTATCTTATAGTGAGCCTTGACGTGTGACAGGCTTTTTACAAAAATCCTTGTAGTATATAACAGGATGATACTACCATGAGAATAAATTTAGTAAAACATAGTATTATTGATATATAAGATACACCATTTAATATTAAAATTGTGATTTCTTATATTTTGTACAACATTATCAATGTTTTAATCCTCATTAATTAGTATATTTAAATTTAGTACTAATGCAATGTTTCTGCATGTTTTAGTGGTTTATCTTAATAATAGTTTTATACACGATGAAACATCAATTGTGACATACTACCTATGTTAGAAGTCTTAGATAGGAGGTAGTTCTCTGAAAGTGTTCTTTAAAATGTTAGTAAACTTCCTAGAAAATCAAGAATTTTTTTTTTGTAATTTCCTTTAACCAGTGAAAAGGCGATTTTGGCCTTGTTTACAAAATGCGTAAAACAGATTTCATACGTTATAACTTATATTTGGATTGATTCAGTTTCCTCACTTTTCTTTCAATTTATTTTTAATCAGTTTATATTTATTTTCAGATAGAAGAACAATCTCACTGAGCATTAGTTTAATAACCTATTAATTACCTTATTAAAATACTTGTATCCGTAGTCCCAGCTACTCAAAAGGCTGAGGCAGGGGGTTTAGTTGAGCCCAGGAATTTGAGGCCAATGTGGAAAATGTAGCAAGATTCTATCACTAAAAATAAATAAATACACAAGTAAATTTCATCGTAACAATTCTTCTGCCATTTATGTAGCTTGCCTTTAGAGTCTTTCAATGTTCTTCTCTGAAATGTATTTCTATGTGCTTGACTATATCTTCCCGTAATAATGTCAACTTCTGATATGGCACAGATTAGATAGGCTTTGCGAAAAAGGCTGGAATAGTAAAGTTTATTTACTTTTTTGTGTGTAGATTTGTGTTATCCATCTCTTTTTAAATTTTATTTAACTTTTATTTTAGGTTGAAGGGTACATGTGCAGGCATCTCTTGGTGCATTTACAGCTGTGCCATTTTAAAGATGCCATTCCTTAGTGCAGCTACATAATTCATATGGACAAAAAGATGTGATTTTTAGAGGAAGAGTGCTTGCACTCCTTATTTTTTCCTGTCTTTTCAAAAAAAAGACCAGATGTCCCAGAGCAAAACACACTAGGGAATTATTTTTTACCCTCTGCTAGCATGGAAATATTTAGTGCTAGAGTCAAGAGAACTGACAGTTATTTTATAATTTGCAAGAGGAGCAAAGAGCATACTTCAAGTAGAAAATATATATGACACACATAAATAATGAATTCCCTTTATGCATTTTTTCTTTTATTAGGTTCTTAGCTTCGACCAAGTAGCAGGTGAGTAAATCATGATGGATAGGCCCCAAATCTCATATTCCCCAGAGTAGTTTAAGGAGGAGAAATTTTCAAACATAGAGAAGATTCTTCATAAGAATAGTATAAATCCCTTTTCTCAGGGAGCTTGTTATACGTACAGTGTCCTGTTAGTCCTGCAAGTGGGCTTCTGGATTGTTGGTGGCACCCTTAGTTTCTGTCCAACTCTAGAACATTATAGGCCATCGGGAGAGTTCAAGGTACTCTTACTTCTCATCCCCAAGTAGTGGTGGGGATTGGAATTCTCAGCGTGGTGCATGGGTTTTTACATTTCAGGCTTCTACCTGATGTCTACTGACTTCCTCTGTATCTTTCAATCTTATCTAGAAAGGAGGTTCTTCTCCACAAATTAAGGAGACCCCCTCAGGCCCTTCCTCTGCACGCAGTACAAGATTCCACCCAGGACCTCTCCCTAGAAGATGTACCTCTTTGTCTTTTCACCTTCGGTCTTCAAACATGGAGCAGATGCAATAAGATTTGAAAAAAGAAACCTGGACCTGTAGCTCTGTGCCTTAGCAAAATGGTCCTGTGTTCAAGAGCAAAAATTTCTGTAAGCAAGACCTATAGAATGAAGACTTCTGCCCTGTCTGTGGTTAGTGCAAGTTTCACACCAGGAAAATGAAGTTACCCTTACAAAGTTACCCTTACGATGACAACATATGATCCAGGACAGGTTGACTAGAGCAGGGAGTTTTCCATGGGAGAGGTTGGAGCTAGAGTTCAGCATGGTTTCTGTGTGAATGTGTGTTTCTATATGTGTGCAGGGGCAGATGTACTTGAAGGTGCATCTGAATCTGTGTTACAATAATAGATAAATTATTGAGAACTTGAAATCTTAGGCCATTGTCAAAAATTACTTCAAAAATAGCATCTTAAGAAAGCAAGATTGGTATACACAAGGAAGCAGGGAATGAGATGAAAGACAATAATTAGCTTAAGAGGGCATATCTTTACATCTGGAGAATTCTCTAATTTCAAAACTGAAAATACAATTGAAACCAAATACTGTGAGTAGTGTTCTATAGGAAAATTAGCAGAATCTTCACTATGGTGATAAAATTCTTCAGGCCAAGGAAGCAGTCACCTTAAAATTGGTAGGGTAAATCTGAGAGGTCTTTGACTTTCTGCGTTGAGCTTTTTGTGGCTCCACAGCATCCAAGCATGAGGTGCTTTTGCTCATGCCATGTTGAGATAGTGTCAGGTCACCATGGAATAGTGCATTGGAGGAGGTGGGTTCCAGGAAGACTCTGGAAGACAGATGTCCAGTAACATTAGTCTGTCTCATCTTTTGTGTGTGAGAGGATGAAACTCCAATCTTATTTAACCACTTTTTAACCAGTGAACTTTAACAAAAATTCACAAAATAATTAGGGGAGAAAAAAACATACATGGTAAAGGATACAAGGAGAAGATTCACAACAAATTCACAACAGCAAGAAGACAGAAGTAGTAGTATAAACTAGTTTCATTTTCAAATTTTCTAACAAGCAAATAAGTATATATAGAAGTGATAAGATAAATCAAATGTTAACTACATAGATACTATAAGCACGTAAATTAGAGCTTGCAATAAATATTAAATTGTAAGGCGTTTATATCATGTAATATACATTATACTATTATAATGATATACATGTGATAGATTTTAGCAATTGGATTGTCAAGCTTTATAAAATTTTGTTCAAAATCTGTGTTGACTAACTTATTAGGTCCTCAGCAATTCTATAATTTACTTGCTTTTGGAAAGAAAACTGAATAGACCATCTGAAGTCCAATTTGATGATAAAATCAAATCATTGCAAAATTATCGATTCAACAATTAAGAAATAATCTAATACATTTCAAAATTATACTTATATGGCTCTACCTAACTGGCTGTACAAAAATATACAGTCATATTTAGAAATAATATCCATTATAAAACATAAATTAGGGATCTATGATCAAGCAACAAGCATATAATCTCTGAATTTAAAATTGAAGGCATATTATTGAGGATAGACAGACTTGGTTTTTCTGGAATGGGAGTAGATAATTTTAATGTCCAAATCCCTACCCTATTTCTATGTTGCAACTGATGCCACAAAAAGGAAATCTTGTCAGTATATCATACCAATGGAGCCAACACAGTTGATACTATGAGTGCACTGATTAATAGATTTTAATACTTATTGCTATACATGAATTTAAATTTTATTCTTAAGAAGAGCATGAAGATTTAGCCTGACCTACCATCACCTAGGAAGGCATTATTGCTAAAAAGAAATAATGTGAACTTTATATTATGGATTTTCAAACATGCTAAAACATTACCTTAAATTAATATGAACATCTTTCTGTTTTTCAAGATCCAAAAGCAAAGTATTTTATTATCAATAAAATACTTTGTTTTTGTAGTAAAAAATAACATTTTATTCTTTTAGTCAGCAATTCTCAAGATAAACATTATATATTTGATTTTGTTTTTCATTTAAATATTTGCAAGCTCACAGAAAATAAACCTAATTTCTGGGTAAATGTAAATTTTTCTTCCTCAAAAATTACATTATGTGGAGATAGACTCAGTAATCAGATAGCCGCAAGCCCCTGACCATGAATAATCATAGCACCTCACTTTTACCTCTCTTGAAAATTAAAAAAAAAATAACTCCACCTATGTATAGTTACCTTATTTTGGGGGCTTCTACCTCTGTTAGTGGCAATATAATGAATTATTTGGATAGTGTTGCCTTACATTTCATTTTGTAAATGAAACACTGATACAACATTTTATACAGTTTTCTGACAGAGGTAAATTGCAATTAAAAAATGAAGCTTTTATTACAGTGACAATTTTTCACACTGATGGAATTAAGTGTGTGCCAACATTACAATTAAATTTCTTATTTTCAGGAATTTCAAATCAATACATTAAATATGACTTATTCTAGCACTTGGCAAATAATATTTTAGGCAATAAAGAAATTAATCAGAATAGTTTTACAAAGACATTGAAGAAGTAGGATTAGAGACTCAAATAATGGAATGGAAAATGTGTACAGCAGTTCTAAAGTAATTTATATGTGCATATAATTTAAAATGAAGTAACATGTGCTTAATAAAATCATCATGCACCCTTAGACCTATGTCCTAAAGCTATTCAAAAGTGTAATAAAGCAAAAGCCAAAGCAACATTTCATGTATAATAGCCTAGAAAATTAAAAATGTATTCCTTTATTAAATAAGCAAGTAATGTAGATATATTTATACAAAATAATAATGATTTCAGTTTTATTATCTAGAGATTTCTGAATCTGATTCTTGTCCCTAAAATTCCAGTGACCACAGATGTATCTATATAGAGCTAAAAGTATAATATTATCTTTTAAAACTATTAAGGAAAAATACTTTAAATAAAGATAACTATACAGTCTGGAGAAAAATAAAAACAAAAACCTGAATGTAGTGTAGGATGAAGAAATGCAGTCAGATTCTAAAAGGAAGTGAACATTTGCAAGAACAGAATGGCAGAAGCTAAATTTCTTGTCTTTAGCATCTTATAGCTGGAAGGCATGCTGCAGTTCACCATATACAGCAGCTAAAACTCTGATAGAATGCCCACAAAAGAAGCCAAAGGGAGAGATAGGGACAACCACAGATGCTGCAAAATGTGTGTAAGTATCTAGGAGGGCTGTACCATGGGAAAGAGAGTCAGAGACAGATAGACATGTGTTCTACTCATAAACCCTGCAACAGCCTCTGGCTCATCCCTGAGCCACTTATGCATAGGACAAAGTCAAAGGAGCTCAGTATAGGATAAAATGCCTCAACTCTAAGATTCTATCCAAGAGATAGCATTTCCAGATTAAACCCAGCTGACTTATTTGTTGCTGAAACAAGCAAACAAATGAGAATCTCAACACTATCTAGTGGACTACAACAGAATTCAAATAGCACATAGCGTAGCATTCACAAAGCATAGGATACAATTTAAAATTACCAGACTTGGAAGAAACAGAGAAATGTGTCACTTTCTCAAGAGAAAGGCAGCAGATAATAACTCTGAAATAACTGAGATGTTGGATGTATCACACTAAGATTTTTTTTACGCATGAATTTTCATTATGTTTAATGTAAAGAAAGAATGTTTGCTATAAATGAAAAGTTAAAAGAATATCCATAGGAGATTGGAACAAATAAACACAAATGAAAAGAAAATTCTGGAATAGTGGAAATATATCTGAAATAAAAAATGCATTGATGGATAGCACAGCGAGGATTGTAATAGCTTGCTATGGCTGTCGTAGTAAAGTGTCACGATGTTGGTGGCTTACACAACAGAAATTTTTTTTCTTACAGTTCTGAAGCCCAGAAATCCACGATTAAGGGTTGTCAGGTATAGTTCCTTCTGAAGGGTATGAGGAAGAATTTGTTTCATGCCTCTTCCTTAGTGTCTTAGTCAGCTTGGGCTACATTAACAAATTACCATAGACTGGGTGGCTTAAACAACACATGTATTTCTCACAGTCTGGAAGCTGGGAAGTCCAAGATCAATGTGCTGGCATATTGTATCCTCACATAATAGTGAGCAGAGAGATGAAGCAAACTCTCTCAGGCCTTTCCTTCTAAGAGCACTAATCCTATTCCTAGGGCCTCACCCTCATGATCTAATTACCTCCCAAAGTCCCTACCTCTAAATGCTGTCACATGGAGGATAGTCTTTAACATATGAATTTTAGGGGGATAAAAACATTTGGTTCATAGCACCTTGCTTCTGGGAGTTGCTGGCAATGCTTGACATTCCTTAGCTTGAGAAAACATTTTCCCAATCTCTGCTTAATTCCATATGCCATTCTTCTCCTGTGTGTCTGTGTCCAAAATCTCCCTTTATATAAGAACACTAATCATATTGGAGTAAAGTCCAAGAGAATGACCTCATTTTACATTAACTAATTACCTCTGCAGTGACCCTATTCCCAAATAAGGTTCTTAGATGCTAGGGTTTAGTACATATAAATTTCAGGGGAAACAATTCAAAAAGAACAAATTAATTAAAAAAGAATTAATTTATCTTTATGTTACTCAATAACAAAAAGAAATTAATGAAAATTTTCTGGAAAAATAGACAAAATGATTTAAAAAAAGAATACACAAAAGAACATCCCCTCATGAAATCTTTGGGGAGTATTCAAAGATCTAACAAGAATGTAACAAGAATCCACAGGAGAGAAGAGAAAAAGCAAATGTGGCTTTAAACAAAGGATTTGAAGAAATCGTGACTGATAATTTCACAAAAATGGTGTGGGGCAAGAATTTACGGTTTTATGAATAAGAGTGCACCACAAGAAAAATAAAGTCAAATTAAGGTAGGCAAGATGATAAAAAACAAAGATGTAAAATTTTGAAAGTAGCCAGATTAAAAGAGCACATTACTGAAGAACAAGAAATTGAATAACTGATGACTTCTAATCATAAACAGTAATGCCATTGACCAATATTTTTAACATGTGAAAAGAAAAAAATTACCAATAGAGAATTCTATATCCAATAAAAACACCTTTCAATAATAAAAGTGGAATGAAAATATATATCCTCATATGTAATCATATTATAAAACATAAGAAAATTCTAATATACTTCCAGAATGTGCTATAATATTGTCATATTTCATATAGGTAGCAGGAATTACATTACTATGAACACTAAAGATCCAAATAAAATAATTAACAAACTGTTCTTTACAATTGCACATTAAACACTTATAAAAATTGAGATTGAGAACCATGTTGAATACAAATTGCAAAGGATGATCATAATTCAATGTTCCCCAGCCACATTGAATTAAGCTGTACATTAATAACACAGGTTTAACTAAAAGCATCATTACATAGACATTATAATATATTTATAAATAATCTATATGTCTTAAAAGAATGCAAAAGAGAAAGAAAATATTTCAAAATGAATAAAAACATACCACATTTTATTGTGTTTCACTTTACTATGCTTCACAGATATTACATTTTTTACAAATTCAAAGTTTGTGGCAATCCTGCATCAAGCAAGTCTATCAGTGCCATTTTTTTTTCAACAGCCTGTGAAGGTAGCTACACTAAAAAGCAGATTTTCAATGTAGACACAACAGCCTTCTATTGGGAGAAGATACCATCTAGAAATTTCATAGCTTGAGAGAAGAAATGAATGCCTGGCTTCAAAGGACAGGCTAATTCTCTTGTTAGGGGCTAATGCAGCTGGTGACTTTAAGTTGAAGTCAAATCTCATTTATCGTTCTGAAAATTCTAGGACCCTTAACAAGTATGCTAGTTATCTGCCTGTGATTTATAAATGGAACAACAAAGTCTGAATGAGAGGACATCTGTACAGCAATGCTTACTGAATATTTTAAACCGTGTTGAGACCTACTGTTCAGAGAAAAAAAGATTTCTTCACTATATTACTTCTCATTGAAAATGCAACTGGTCATCCAAGAGCTCTGATGGAGATTTACGAAGAGAATAATGTGTTTTCATGTCTGTTAACACAACATCCATTCCGCAGCCCATGGGTCAAGGTGTCATTTCAACTTTCAAGTCTCATTATTTAAGATACACATTTTGTAAGGCTATAGGTGCCATATATAGTGATTCTTCTGATGGATCTGTGCAAAGGAAATGGAAAATCTTCTGTAAAAGATTCAACATTCTAGATGCCATTAAGAACATTCATGATTCATGGGAGGTCAAATTTCAACATTAACAGGAGCTTGCGAAAAATTCACTCTAACCCTCATGAATGATTTTGAGGGGTTTAAGACTTTAGTGGAGAAAGTAAGTTACAGATGTGGTGAAAATAGCAAGAGAACTAGAATTAAAAGGGGAACCTAAGGATGTTACTGAATTGCTTCAGTCTCATGATAAAAATTGTATGGATGATGAGTTGTTTCTCATGGATGAGAAAAGAAAGAGATTTTCTGAGGTAAAGTCCACTCCTGCTGAAGACGCTTTGTATGTTTTTGAAATGACAACAGATGAATTGGAATATTACATAAACTTGTTTGATAAACCAGCAGGATTTGAGAGTATTGACTCCAATTTTAAATGAGGTTCTACTGTGGGTAAAATGCTATCAAACCGCAATATATGCTACACAGAAACTTTTCATGAAAAGAGTCAATCAATGTGGCAAATTTTATTGGCATCTTATTTTAAGAAATCGACACAGCAGACCGGGCGTGGTAGCTCACGCCTGTAATCACAGAACTTTGGGAGGCCGAGGCTGGAGGATCACCTGAGGTCAGGGATTTGAGACCAGCCTGGCCAACGTGGTGAAATTCCCTCTCTACTAAAAATTCAAAAAAGTAGCCGGGCATGGTGGCGTGTGCCTGTAGTCTCACCTACTGAGGAGGCTGAGGCACAAGAATCCCTTGAACCCAGGAGGTAACAGTTAAAGTGAGCCAAGATTGTGACACTGCACTCCAGCGTGGGTGACAGAGTGAAACTCCATCTCAAAAAAGAAAAAAATAAATCGACACAGCTACCCCAACCTTCAGCAATCACCACCCCGATTAGTCAGCAGCCATCAACATTAGACAAGATCCTCTACCAGCAAAAAGATTATGACTTGCTGAAGGCTCAGATCATTAGCATTTTTAGCAACAATGTATTTTTCAATTAAGGTACATACAGGTTTTTAAATATAATGCTATCGTATGCTAAGTAGACTACAGTATAGTGTAAACTTACCTTTCATATGAATGGAGAAATAAAAGTTGTGTGACTGGCTTTATTTCAGTATTTGCTTTGTTGTGGTAGTCTGGACTAAACCTGCAATATCTCCGAGGTTTGCCTGTAATAGTGAAAGTACAACCATATATTAAAATTTGTAGGATATATTAAAATCTGTTAAGTTATGCTTGTAGAGAAATTCATAGGCATAATACATAGAATCTCATATGTATATATAACACATTTATTTTGGACAAATAGGTAAGAAAAAAATAAAAATACAAATCCAATAATCTTACATTAGTAAAATGGAATAATAAAATCAAATTCAAACTATGGTGCTAGAAAAAGTAATTACTATAAAAGGAATACTATTAATAAAAAATACCAATTTTTGGCTTACTTATTTATCATCATTTCCTTACCCTTTTCATTTTCCCCTACCCATGCTCATCTTCCCTTTCACCTCTGTTACCTGCCAGAACAGAGATGTTCAAGGAGGCAGAGCAGTGAGTAGGTGAGGGTGCCATGTACAGGCATTGGCTTGCCTGGGTGCCTAGGACATAAAGTGGGGACGGGAGACAACACGGTTATCTCAGACAAAGGAGATATCTGAGTAATTGAAGACTCCATTGCAGTGAGCAAACAAATTACGTGATTTAAGATGATTATCTATCAATCAAGCAATCCTCTCTCTTTCTCTCTCTATTCACCTATCTACTTATCTATCATCTATCTATTTTCCCACAGTCCTTTCAGAGAAAGCGTTTACACATGAAAAGTCCAAAGACTGGAAAGTACTCTCAGATGTTCTGTTAGAACTGCAGTAGGTATTATCTTTACAAATGTATCAGTAATAACTGTTAGGTATTTAAATAATTGTATATAAATAAAGATGCAGAAATATTTATGCATATAAAATACATACATATAAAATACATAATAGTTATACATCTTCGTCTCTGTGTATTTTCATTTCTATGTGATTATGCATACCTCCATACCCCTAGGTCTGTCCACAGGGAAAGCCAGGCAGATTGACGCCTTTAAGCAATAGGTGCAACAGAGGGTCCATAGCTTGCTCTCCAAATTCCAAATTCCTTGGGTCCAAATTATTTGGGTCAAGGGACCCAAGGCTTCTTGAAGGAATAGGTGAATCCAAGACTGAGGCACATGAATCCTAGACATCAGGTACATAATAAGTGGAAAACATTACGTTGGAAAGAAAGCAAATGCTCTAAAAATGATGTAAATAGGTTTTTGAAAACGATACGAACAAACAAAAACTCAGAAAATAGTTTGACAGGGCTCTCACTGCCCAAATCTAGTACAAACTGAGCATAAACAAAATGAATGAATATAATTAACAAAAAGGGAGAGGCCGGGCATGGTGGCTCACACCTGTAATCCCAGCACTTTGGCAGACCGAGGTGGGTGGATCACAAAGTCAGGGGTTCGAGATCAGCCTGGCCAACGTGGCGAAACCGCGTCTCTACAAAAATACAAAAATTGGGTGCAGTGGCAGGCACCTATAATCCCAGCTACTCAGGAGGCTGAGGCAGGATAATTACTTGAACCCTGGAGGCAGAGGTTGCAGTGAGCCGAGGTGGCGCAATTGCATTCCAGCCTGTGAGAAAGAGTGAAACTCCATTTCAAAAAAAAAAAAAAAAAAAAAAAGGGAGAAATTGCAGAAAAAACTTAATGAAATTCAACAATGATTCATTAAAAAATCTTCTAGCAAGTTAGTAATTTAAGGAATTCCTTTAATCTGACAGAATATTAAAAATCTGAAGTTTATATCAATCTCAATTACAAATAACATTGAATGTTGTTTAATTATATTTTATTATAATCAGAGATCCTCAGTGTACCACAGTAGTATGAAAAAAAGGCTAATATAGTAAAATCAAATTATTTTTACTGCATATAACATCAGAATAAACGGAGTACAGAAAGGCGACATATTCTTGATACATATATCTGAGAAAGGACTCTTATCCTGAACATGCAAGAGTACCTGCAACTAAAGAAAAAAGAGATAACCCGATGAAAAAATTAGAAAAATTCATGAACAGAGATGTTACAAAGGAGCTACACCAAGGACCAATAACATGAGAAAAGTTTCATAAAGTTATTGATTGGCAGAGAAATGCGATTTAAAACCAAATTATGGCACCCTGTGGCTAAAATTATTTTTTAATTGAGTATTTGTGAAAATGTGGAGTAACAGGAAGTCTTCAATACACATTCAGCTGTCGGAATGCAGATTGACAAAATCGATTTTTGCAGTATTTCCTGAAGTTGTGCATATGCGTTCATTACCACACAGGAATTCCACTCTGAATTACAGGTTCTTATATTTCCACCAAAGATAGTTGTTGTTGTTGTTGTTGTTGTTGTTTTGTTTTTTGTTTTTGCTTTCTTTTTTTTTTTTTTTTTTTGAGACGGAGTCTCGCTCTGTAGCCTAGGCTGGAGTGCAGTGGCACCATCTCAGCTCACTGCAACCTCTGCCTCCCGGGTTCAAGCAATTCTCCTGCCTCAGCCTCCCAACTAGCTGGGACTACAGGCGCATGCTGCCATGTCCAGCTAATTTTTTGTATTTTAGTATAGACAGGGTTTCACTGTGTTGCTCAGGCTGGTCTTGAATTCCTGAGCTAAGGCAATCCACCCATTTTGGCCTCCCAGTGCTAGAATTACAGGTGTGAACCACCACACCCAGCCCAGGGATAGTTTTTAACACATACTTATATAATGATATTTACAAGTCCATATATATTTTTATGTGTATGAGTGTGTGTGTATGGGTGTGTGTGTGCATGTGTATGGGTGTGTGTGTACACAAATAAGACAATTTAAAATCAGTCCTCTATTATTTCTGATCTTTTGCTGTCATATATAATGCTCCAATCAGTGGTCTTTTATTAAAATACTATACCTGTCCTTAAATGAAAAGGTTAGAGAGATGCTTCTCAACTTACAATGGAACTGCACCTGGATAAACCCATTGTAAATTAAAGTTAAGTCAAAAATGCATTTAATACACCTAATCTACTAAACATTACAGCCTAGTTTAGCCTATGTTAAATGTGCTCAGAACACTTACATTAGCCTATGGTATGGGCAAAATTATCTGGCAACACTCCACTGTCTGGAAGCTGGGGCCTACTGAATGCGTATGACTTTCACACCATTGCAAAGCTGAAAAACTATAATTGAGAACTGACTGTGTGTGTATACATATATGTACGTATAATTTTTAGATTTTGATAAAAATACATTTAAATTTTAGTCTTCTGAAGGATGAATAGAATCTGCTTGGATTTTATTGTATTACCAGTTTTTTAAAGGAGTTTTTTTGTTTTTTGTTTTTTTGTTTGTTTGTTTTTAGTGTGAGTATAGAAAAATATTATACTGTGATCTCACAGCAAACTATAATTTCCTGAAGGGTGAAGATGGTGCTAGGTCAAAAAATAGACAAAACAGGAAATAAAATGTGGTTTAGGTAAACCATATTATACAGTGAAATAAAACCATATCACCTGGCTTTTAATCACACTGTCCCCAGTTTACTTGTGTGAGTTTCTATTTATTCTTGGCCTAATTCCCCTTTTCTCTAAAATTAAAGGATGGACTCGTGAACTGTGAAATGTTCCAATAATAGTTCATCCAGAATGGTTTCTATTTTCTACCTATCATCGCAACATGTAGACAACACTGAAGAAAATCTGCTTTGATAGAAGGCAATATGGGCCAACCACAAAACTTGCAGTGTTTGCTCCCATTGCATCCCCAGTGTCTGCAGACCCAGCTCTTTCTAGATGATCTCTGGTAAACAGCTAGAGTTTCCAAGGATGCAGTTTGAAAAGCCCTGCTCTAGAAAGTATATCACGAATGTTTTGAGATCTAAGAGGCTATGTTATTCTTCCCATAGCAAAACAATTTTTAAGATATTCTCTAATAGTTTGTCCTTCCACTTCTCAAGATAATTATTTGTGACCACCACAACTAAAGACTGAGTACATAAATGCTTGTTTTGAAGCTTATACCCAACTTAGTTTGCTACATCTGACTTTGAGTGGTTTGAGAGTTCAAGAAGGCCTTGGGTTCAATTGCAATGACATTTTACTATCAAATATTCAAATGATGGTGTTTGCACTAAAATTTTGTAGTTTCAGCTACAATCCCATGCAGTAGTCAGTTTTGCACGTTTAATTGAATACCTTGTATGAGTCATTTAGATGCAACTTCTTGCAAATAAGCTTTGATTTTGAGTAAGAGAAGACTAAAATATATGTAAAGCACCATGGTAATGCATGGCAGAGAGAAATCAAGTGGAGACAGCTCTGTGATTGCACACCAATGTTTTGATTTGTAGGAAAATAAATCAAAATATAAGAAAGCATAGTGTATTAAATTTTCTACCTACCACCATATTTCATTATTATACATTGTTTTAATGTATCAAAATATCACATGTACCTCCTAAATACACACAACTATTATGTACCAATAAAAATAATTGAACAAACAAACAAAAAAGATATAGTGTACTATAAATACTTGTCATTTTATTAAAAACCTTTTCTGGTCGCCTAGGATGCTATTTGAAGTGCTCTTCACTCGGCTATAATACGAAGAAAGTGCACATTGATTTACATTCTTCCTGGCTATGCTCTATGGGTAATAATTTAGATAGTTATTATGTTCTTATATTCATAGAGTTTTATGATTTATAATTAGTGCATTTATTATACTCTCTTACTTCATGGAAGGCAGTTAGATTCATTAGATCAAATAAAGTTATCCTTGTGAATCTAAGGGAAGACTAACTTTTCCCTACAGATCAAAACTGTATTTGTAAGTTTTAATCCAAATTGCATGTGATTATGGTACACATTTTACAATTTTAAATTCACTTTATATGGTTAAAATATACATATGGTAAAAATTGAAATGTTAGTAAAGAAAAATATATAGAGACAATAGTGAAAACATTTCCTATTCCCCTAAATATTTATTTACATTATTCATAGTTGATGAAATACTGTTACAACATTTACCCTTACCATATAAAATCTTGAGTCACATTGAATAGATTATAACTCAGATGAAATAGAAATAGTATTTTATTATAGTATTCTGTTACTAATAGTATTCTATTAGTATAACTAATGATTATACTAACCTAGAAGCAACAATAAAATTGAATGGATCCTATACTAATTTCCAGATAATTATATCAAGTAAAATTTATAAATAAGACAAAGAGTATTTAAAATTCACAAAATAACAAATGCAAGGTATCAAGGACACAGTTCCAAATAATCAGGAATTAAAATTAATATTTTTAAATGAAATTACTTGATCAACTTTATTTTGAATAAACAAGAGAAAACTTTTTTTGTACTGGTGAAATTCCTTTTCTGTATCCCAGGCCAATTTCTGTATTTCCTTTTTTCCTGAGAAGAACCACTGTTTTGAATTCACAATGTGCCATCAGAGCTATTTTATATTTTCACAAGTGTAGCCAAGATTTTGGGGAAAAAGCAAGCTACTATTCTGAGCAGTTTTCTGGTTAAGCATTAATACATTGGCAATATTAGGTTAAAATAAAATATTAAAATTTTATATTTTTATTGCTTGAATGTATGCATGCACACATGTATGTATATAATGTATACACACATATGTACATATATGTATAGCATATGTTATGCATTATGTTGATCAGTGTGCATAGATTTTATGTCTTTATACATACATATAATCACTTAGGTGCATGGCACATAGACATATACAGAGCTCAATTTATTTTAGCTAGTATTATTTTGTCACACATGTTTAAATAGTGTAGCTTTTAAATAAACATGGCAGATGTTGATCTGAAACTTGATTTATTTTCTCCCTCTCGCTATTTCTCTCTCTCTCTCTCTCTCTCTCTTTGTTTGTCTCTCTCTTTCTTTGTTAATCATGCCATTATGTCTTTCCCATTCATGGAACTTTCACTTTTTTATAAAGTTTAGAATCAGTTTACCTTGTTCCATGAAAAGGATCTTTTGTTTAAATGTGATTGCATTGCATTTATAGATTATTTTGTTCAATATCTGTGTGTATGGTGGAACTTTTTTTAACGTGTTAGTAACATTTAGCTATTTTTCTGTAAATAGCTTACATATCTTCAGAGAAAAATATTATGAAATACCTTCAGTACAAATGTTTTATAATATTTGCCATTCCTATTAATATATGAAACTTGAACCCTCAGATTGTGAATTGTACACATATAACATAAACTGTTAGGATAATTACTCCAGTAAAATATTTTTTCCCAAAAAAGACCTCTCTTTGCATAGTGATCTGTCTCATTATTACAGAACTGACACTGTCTTTACAGATTCTTTCCACACTAGAATAAAATGGTACCTTTCCTAGTTTTCTGTTATTTCAGAAAATGAGGAAATGAATCCTGGATGAAAACGGCCTTCACATTTTGCTCAATTCTTCCTCTGCAGAGGTGACACTTGATAGTTCACTTTCTGACTTGACTCACAACTAACAGTCTGTATTATAGCACTGACACCTACAAATTTACAATGGCCTTTCTTACATGTTTTGAAAATAAGAGCAGAATAATGCTAGTAAAAATATGTAGGAAAATCTAAGTTCCAGGTTGTTCCATACCAAACACTTTAATGCATATTTAAAGTATCAAATATCCAATTATTTCTACAAGTTAAGATTTGTTTTGGTGTCTTGGCTTCAGGCATGCCCTAAGCAGGTGCTTGGGTTTGCTATCAGTGGATTCATCAGTACTGGCAAAGCTAGGCAAGTGTGACATTATGTGACTAATATGAGGCTGATAGATCCCCTGTCACAAGGAGATGTTCACAAAGGATTGGTCTTGAACTGGATGGCTCATCAGATGTTGATTAAGATTATGAATGTTCTGTTACATTCTGAAGAGTCTAATGAGAGTCATCGAATGCAGTTGCATTCATTTAGAGTAGTTGAGCAGATGAATATCATCTAATTATTATATATCTTTCTGATCACATGGCTTGCTGGGGTTGAAAAAGAGAAAGACGTGGCTTGAGGATTTCTTTGATATGTTTTATTATTATTTTTCTGCAAGCAATTTTAATATATTTAATTCACATATGTATTATATGTACATTATTGCATAAAATATTTTGTATGGCCCACACAATTGTTGATTGACCACTGACATTTTGGCTATTTCAGAAAAATTACTACTGAAACTGTGATTCCAACTCAGTGTAATTGTTAAAGTAGAAAAGATTTTTTCTTGACCATGTTCTTCTTCAGTTACTAATAAACTAGGTATGACTTGCCCTTGGCAAGATTTGCTCTGTCTGATTGGACATAGTCGCTATACGTGATTTTTAATTTCTTTTATGAAGGACATGGCAGGGATTCTGAAAGATTAATGTTGTCAAATTGAAGTCTGAATGCCCCCAGGAAAATATGCCAAGCAAAACATATGCATGGCAAGTTTCCTGAAATCACTGGTTTTTAAAAATGTATATTTTAGTTATAATCCAAACAGATATGATACAGTGAAAACTTTAATTAGTATTAATGTAAACACCAGACAGCAAAAAAAAAAAAAAAAAAAAAAAATCACACATAAGACTGTTCTCTGCAACTTACACTTCAGAGTAAGTAAGGATATCTGCACAGCTTCTTCACAGAGAAGCAGTGAACATGCTTCTCTGGAAACATTTGAGGAACACTTTTTTTTTTTTTTTTTTTTTGGAGACGGAGTCTTGCTCTGTCGCCCAGGCTGGAGTGCAGCGGTGCGATCTCGGCTCACTGCAAGCTCCGCCTCCCGGGTTCACGCCATTCTCCTGCCTCAGCCTACCGAGTAGCTGGGACTACAGGCGCCCGCCACCACGCCTGGCTAATTTTTTTTGTATTTTTAGTAGAGAGGGGGTTTTACCGTGTTAGCCAGTCTGGTGTCGATCTCCTGACCTCGTGATCTGCCTGCCTTGGCCTCCCAAAGTGCTGGGATTACAGGCATGAGGAACACTTTTCTAAAATGCAAAAATACGTACAGTAAAAGTATCAGTTCTACTCTTTAAGATGTTATTTACAAAGGGTAAAATTCATAAATCTTAAGGGGACAACTTAATAAATGTTTACACCCAAGTAATCACCCAAAACAAGCTGTAGAACATAAATGTGTACTTCGTCTCATTATCTCAACAAAATATTTAGAGATATATCCATGCTGTTGCATATTTTATTTGATATGTCTACTAAATAATCAGGAGGATTTTTATTGCTTACACAATATCCCATTGTATGAAGATGCCACATTTCTTTTCCATTGTCTTTTTCCTAGGTAGGAGGTTGTTTGTAACTTTTAGTTGGCATGAATAAATCTATTGTGGACATTTTTGTGAACATATTCACTAATTTTTCTTAAGAATATACCTAAAAGTGGGATTTCAGTGTGATAAGGTAACTTTAAATGTAGCACTTAATTCAAAGATTAAAAATGGTTTTCTGAAATGTTTTAAAAATTTTACACTTACACAAGCTATTTGTGAGATTAATATTTTCCTCGATTTCTCTGCGTGTTGCCATTCTATTTCTTAATAAAATCCTTGCAATTAATATAAGATGAAAGGTACTCATTTTAATAAATAGTTTTATTAAATTATGACAAAACTAGACAATTGTGTAACTACAAACACGATCAAGAGAATACTAACACTACCCATTCTAGCTTTATGGTAAACTATCAGTTACTACAAGTATAACAACTTTGTATTTTTCTATTTTGTAGTAATGGTTGTTGCATTTTGTCACAAGTGTTGAAATAATTGGTTGTTTTCCTTTTTTAGTCTGTTGATATAGTAAATTACAACCCTGCTAAAATTAACTACATTTTTATAAGAAAATAAGAATTGACTCATTTTATGTAATAAAAATGAAGGACTATAATTCTAAATAGTAATAAAGTGAAGATAGCAAAATATTTCAGAGTGAATTAAAGTATGCTGAATTATTTGTCTTGTTATTGAAGACACTATGGTGACTACAGACATTTAGATATTAATATAAGTCAAGGTTAAATAAATTTAATAAAAGCAGAATATTCAAAAAGTAAATTAAAAATATACCTTCAAATTACATAAGAATGAATGATAAACAAGATAATTTAACAATTTAACACAAAAATTACAATTTTACAAGATAATTTAACAATTTAACAGAAAAATTAAAATTTGATAAAGTTTAAAATTAAAATTTTAAGAGCATTAAGATTTTAAGGAAATTTTGAAGTAATTTCAGTTATTTATTTTGTGCCTTTTATGTTTATTCAAACCTTGGAGCATTTTATTTCCACTGAAAGTATCAGATTTTTATAAAACTGTCAGAGTGAAATTATTGATTTTCTGAGATAAGAAATAGTGTCACAAAATTTGAGCTTATTTTAGTTACCCTTTTATCTTTTGAAAAGACATTATTATTTTTATGTACATGTATATCTAATTCATTGCACAAATCCTTACCTCTTAAATAATACAATTAATGATGGCTTTTTCTATAAGTGTTAGCAATCTTTCTATGTCCTTAGTGACAATATTTAAATATATTTCATTCGTATTAATTTTCATATTTTACTAGTTTTGAATTTCATTTGTTTCACATGCACATATTTTTATATAAAGTGCAAAATGCAGATAATTTGCAAATATTCAACTAATATGATTATATATATTATAAAAAACAAAGCAGCATAAAAGGCATGATTGATGACCACAATGACATAACAAAAGTTGTATGACTTGGATGTCATGAGAGACCCCAACATAGCTCTTAACTGATTTACTCTACCTCTTTAACAGTTTATCAGTAGCATAAGGAGTTAGAAATCTAAAGAAAATGAATGAACATTAAAACTGAAGGATAGAAAATAGAAAAAAATTTTATTTGAATCTTTGAATAATTATTGAAGAGTAAAAATATGATCTAGACAGTATTTTATGTAATTAACATGACAGTGATTATATCTAAATTCTCACATCACTTTTAGCTAATATATTAGAGAATTTAGAGACTTGAATAAATGTACTTTCTTTTTAATATCTAAACAGTTTTGAAAGATCTTCCCAAAAGTTCTCTTTTTACTTAACAAATAGTTAAAATGTATTTTAAATGCTTTGAGTCAATATTTTCTTTTTAAATATTATATTAAAATTAATGTACAATAAATTCTACCAAGTGTAAAATGTGATGAGTTTGACATACACATATGTCCCTGTATATGTATATGCCCATATATGTATATATCCATGAAACCATCACCACAATTGAATTAATAAAATAGAAAGTATCCTGTTGACCCTCTGTAATCTATCCCTTCCTTATATCCCTACCATTCTCAGACAAACAGGAATTTGCTCTCTGTCGCTATAGATGACGATAATTTCCTGTTTTTAGCTATTATAAACAAAGCTGCTATCAACATTAGTGTTTAAGTCTGTGAGAACTCATTTTGATATCTCATAGGTAAACACTTAGGTGATAAACTTGATAAAGGTAAATACTTAGGCTGAACTGTATGACAAGTATATGATTGACTTTTTAAGTAATTGACAAGGTGCTTTTCATGATAATTGTATCATTTTACATTTTCACCAGCAGTGTTTGAGTGTCCATTTTTTAATCATATTCACTAATAACTGTTATAATTACTCTTTTTAAATTTTTAGCCATTCTAATGGTATATAAAAGTACCTAAAGGTGCTTTTCATTTTCATTTTTTCCTAAAGATTTGTTGATTTGAGCCTCTTTCCATGTGCTTGTTTTCCATACATACAGTTGTTGAAGTGTCTATTCATATTCTTTGCGCATTTTTTGTTGAGTTGATTATTTCTAATTAGTAAATAATAAAACTCTAAAACTCTTTATAAAACAATATTTTGGAGGATCCATATTTTACAATTTTTTTCTCCGTCTGTAATTTGCTCTTTTATTTTTTAAATGATGTCTTCTTATAAAGAGCAAAATTGTTGACTTTAATGTGGATGAACTTTAATTTCTTTTTTTATTTAGTAATTAATGAGTTTTGGATTCTATTTAAGATATTGTTGACAAATTCAAGGTTGTCTGCAGGCTGAGGAGCAAGGAAGCCCGTAGTGACTCAGTCCAGAGTCCCAAAACCTCAAAAGTAGGGAAGCTAACAGGGCAGCCTTCAGTTTGTGGCCAAAGGCCCAAAAGCCCCTGACAAACCACTGGTCTAAGTCCAAGAGTCCAAAGGCCGAAGAACCTAGAGTCTGATGTCTAAGGGCAGGAAGTATCCAGCATGGGAGAAAGATGAAAGCAAGAAACCTCAGCAAGCCAGCTTATCCCACCTTCTTCCCCTGCTTTGTTCCAGCCGCACTGGTAGCCAACTGGATGCTGTCTACCCACAATGGTGGCGGGTCTTCCTCTCCCAGTCCACTGACTCAAATGTTAATTTCCTCTGGCAACACCCTCACAGACACACCCAGAAACAATACTTTACCAGTTACCTAGGCATCCTTCAATCCCATTAAGTTGACACCTACTCCTAACCATCACATCACATCAATGATTTTTAAGGATCACATATTTTAAATAAAACTCTGCTCATAGGCTCAAATGCAAACTTATTTCGGTCAAAATATTGATTCATCTTTTAATATCATATTAATTAGTTATCTTTTTCACATAAAGTAATTGCTTAATAAATGTTGAATAAATGAATGCAAGAAATATATATGAATTAATGAAATATGTTGATAATAACAATACCATTGCTTTTAATGAAGAGGAAAAAAGGGATAAAATTATGATAGGAGTAAGAGGCAAGAAAAAATGAGCATGATTTTGAAACAAAGTGGGGAAAATAAGGGAAGATAAATATATAAATTTAGATATAATAGTTCACAGAGCTCTTTAAGGAGATGCCCAAATAGACATCTGCCTCCATCCAGTCACAGGTGCCAACTTGCATTTGAAATGTATTACAAATTTGTATCATTACAAATCCAATTGATAGCACTGAGAATATAATCCAAAATTATTTGAAAATAGTTTTTCAAAAAAATGTATTCCTACAAGAGGAGAACCAAAATCATATACAACTTTATCTGACATTTCCATATTAGAAACAAATCCGGAAAGTTTCTGTCAAAAAGCTTTACATTTGAATAAGAAAAGATTTTTAAAATTATCTCGATGAAACCAATTAATGATGGCAAATTTTATAAGCCTATTGCTATAATTAAGGAATATGTTTGCTGTGCAAGCTGCTAGTCTCTGAGTAGTTGAAGTTGACCTAGATCTTTGTGATACTCAAAACTGGCGCAATTCTTGTGTGAAGTGCTAAATTCAACATTGCTGGTAGAATATAATAGCTTAGTCATCTGTCACAAATTCACTCATATGTGGCTATTATTAGAAACCACTGATTCGCCTAGGTGTAAGTCAAGAGGTAATTTGATACATGATAGGCTGTGATGGGATGTGAGAGAATCAATTTTCATTTTGGAGCAAATGGAATAAATCTGCACCTGCAGGTGACATGGAGGTCACAACCTCATCCTAGGAACGCATAGTAAGCCACAGATGTTCATAGCTTTACAATTTCTAGATTTGATTACTGTAATTCACTGAGTCTACAAACTGGAACTACTCAGTGACTTCTGCTTGTATGGGATGAAGTGGATCAATAATTTAAAATTGGCTATTGATGGTAACACTTCAAATATGATTTCATACACATTGTCTCTACTTCAGTGACACTTCACCATCATTTCTAAAGGCCAAGTACAGGAACCTGTAATAATATGGTTGAAATACTCTGTGAACCTTCAAATAAAATAGAACAAGGCAGCAAAGCTTTCCTTTAATCACATACTTTACTGCATATCAGATAGTGATACAGGCATATAGAAGCAGGCACAAATGTTTAGCTCATTTCATAATTAGAATGACTCTGTTATTTTGCCCTTATTGCTTCCATGTTAAGATTAGGATTTTAAAACTGAATAATAACAATAATAGTAAGAAAATGCCATTGCAAAGTTGGAGATGATTGACTTTAAAATCAAACTCAAGAATCTTGTCAAGAGTATGGGTACATGCAATTTTTATTATTCTGGCTATAGTTTCAGTTCTTTGAAATCATAGGGTTTTAAAAATGTTCCTTTTCCTATTACAGTTAATATATCAATGTAAACTTTTATTTATCTCCTTTATGCCATTTTATATTACAGAATGTGTTATGTAATATTTAGCACAATAAATATATTTTAAGTAAACAGAAAAAACATTTATATGTGAATTAGAACTGGAAAATATTTGTTCTTCAAAGACAAGTAAAATTTTGGATAGAAGCCGCATTCAAATGGTAATTCTTTTCCTGAAAACCATGAGTCAACTATCATTGCTACCATTATAATTAAAACACTTTACTTCTTTTTCTATGAGAGAAATAATTTGAAAATACTAGAGAAAGTAATTACTGGGTATATATCCAAAAGAAAATAAATCGTTCTACCAAAAGACATATGCACTCATATGTTAATTGCAGCACTATTCATAATAGCAAAGAGATGGAATCAACCTAGGTGCTCATCAGTCGTGGATTAGATAAAGCTAATGTATCACATATACATCATGGAATACTACACAGTCATAAGAAGTGGAATCAGGCCCTCTGCAGCAACATGGACGCAAGTGGAGATCATTATCCTAAGTGAATTAACACAGGAACAGAAAGAAATGCCTCATGTTCCCACTTACAAATGGGAGCTAAATGTTGAGTACACATTGATATAAAGATGGCAACAGCAGGCACTGGAGACTAAAGAAGAACAGACGAGGGAGGCAAGGGTTGAAGAACAATGGTTGGACACAAAACTCACTACATGTTGATGGGATCATTCGCACTCCAAACCTCAATGTCACTCAATACAGCCATGAAACAAACCTGCACAGGTACCCCCCTGAACTAAAATAAAAGTTGAAATCATAATAAATAAATAAATAAAGTTTCTCTGTTATGTTTAAAATACATAAAAGGCATGGAAAAGAATATGGAAGAAAAGAAAACAGAAGTAGTTCTCATTGTCTTAGATATCTGTCATCTTTTTTGTATTGTTCCATAGATCATCTTCAAAATAATAGAGATTATTTGGTGATTACTTAGGCAGGCCTATAATGAGAGTTTTTGGGGGATAGGGAGTAAGTCAGAATGGACAAGATATGGGTTGGACAAAGAAGGCTAGACATAGACATGCTTCCAGGAGTTAGATATTTCTTTTCCAAATGGAGATAGAGAATTTGACCATTAATATTTGAATTCACCCATATCTATGGGCAAGCAAAAAGAAGTGAACTTGTAGACATTTATTGTCAGGCTGAATAACTTCAGGGTTGTTCTACGTGATGGGTCACTTTTGCAGAGGGTGCCAGGCCATGGTCAGGTTTATGGAAAAAAGGGTCAACTCCTGGGAGGTGGAGGAGGCATGTGCTAGACAGATTGTTCAGTGCTATAGGGACAGGTTGTCATAAGCAAAAACAGAAACAAGATTATAATGACTGGATCAATATAGTGGTCATTAATAAAATCTTTCAGCTTGATGGAAAAGCAAATGCACAGCCTAGAAACTAATTCTGGGAATTTTCTGACTTGTAGGTGTGAGGCTAAGAATCATCTTCATACCTTAATTACAATTGGATCAGTTATCTGGGGGGATAAATCAGTTATCTGTAGGATAAATTACTTTATAGCCTAATATTTAGGGGACTTAAGAGAAGACTGGGACAAAAAACTTTTAGTATTAATTTTTAATAGGGAATTCTAATGAAATTACACTCCATCATATTATGGGTGTCTAAATTTGCCTTTGAAATCTATCTAGAGATGAAAATAAGGAGAAAAAAGAGGGAAAGATTAAACAGTGTTATTTATGGCAAATGCTTGACAGGCAGGAGATTAATCTAGGACATTTGAATGGCCCTTTTATCTTATCAACAAAAACATGAGGTGAGGTCAACAATTCCTTTCTTGCTCTGGTAAGACTGAGACTCAGTAAATTTAAGTAACCTGACTACATCACATTTACAGGGATGTTGTATTCACTATATGAACCAAGGTTTGCCTGACAAGCTCTGTCTGAGGAGAAAATTCAGGAGCTTTCAGACACATTAACACTTCTGATGTGCCGTTTCTCAATGTATGCTTTTTTCCAACACTACTGATCCATGCTAGATTGACTTTTAAAAATGCGTGTGAGCTGGATTTATCACATGGAAGTGCTTTCCAATTTTCTGCAAAACATGAGCAGTAGAATTAAGTAGTGGCAAAAAAACTTTTTGAGAGCTAAGGGGACTGAGCAGTGTTAATAAATAAATGGGGCTTTTCTCTTCTTTTGTGGCTAGAGAAACAACTTTCAGATACAACATTGAATTATATCCTCCAAACTACAGAAAGAGATAATGTATGTTGTATATCAACTAATTTTTAATAGCTAAGATGGATTTAATATGTCAGTATCATAGACATATATGTATAAATTATAACTATTTTTAATATTATTTACTGAGATTCTATTAGAAAAGCATATGATGGCTAATTTGGACATTTAGAAAAGTTTTATAAATAGGCCGGGCGCCGTGGCTCACGCCTGTAATCCCAGCACTTTGGGAGGCCAAGGTGGGTGGATCACAAGATCAGGAGATGGAGACCATCCTGGTGAACACGGTGAAACCCTGTCTCTACTAAAAATACAAAAAATTAGCCGGGCGTGGTGGTGGACGCCTGTAGTCCCAGCTACTTGGGAAGCTGAGGCAGGAGGATGGCGTGAAACCGGGAGGCGGAGCTTGCAGTGAGCCGAGATCGCGCCACTGCACTCCAGTCTGGGCGACAGAGTGAAACTCCATCTCAAAAAAAAAAAAAAAAGTTTTATAAGTAAATAATAAAAATAGCATAATGTTGCTACCTAAACCAGTAGTCAGCAGGCTATAGTCTGCTAGGCAAACCCAGCTGTAGCCTGTTTGTATAAATAAATTTTATTGGAACACAGACATGCCCATTTGTTTATGTTCTGTGTATACCTATTTTCACGCTACTGTGGTAGAATTGGGTGCAGACTACACCAGCTGGCCTGCAAAACCTAAAATACTGGTTGGCTCGCCCTTTATAGAAAGAGTGCCTGTTCCTAACCCAGAGGATAATACTTTTTACAATTGACTCTATTATTTTGCTGTTTCCCTGTGCATTGTATATGATTCCAATTAACAGGCAGATAATTATTGAAGATAGCTATAAAATGAGAAAATCTATAATCTTTGTCCAACATTCTAGTTATTTTTAACATATTTGTGAGAAGATGTAGATAATAGGAGAATTTTCTATTTAACCTGTAGTTCCATTCATTTATCTAACACATAATGTTTGCATAAATGGTACCAAGGTCTGTGCTAGGTGCTGGGACTACTGTAACTCAGTTTTGGAAGTTTTTAATTTGACATACTTATTAGACATCCAAGTGGAGTTATACAGTGTGCAATTAGGTAAACGAGTTTTGAATTTAAATCGGAGGTTCTGGAAGAAGAGTATTTTTATTATATTACCTCCTATTCCCTCCATTGGTGAGAGAGGGATTCCCACGCTATTGTTACATGGATGGCCAAGGAGCAACAGTCAACATGGGGAAGATGAGCTAGACATCAGTGTATTAGTCACCTAAATTCAGCTTAGGGGAGGAGACCCAAGTAGAAAGGAGATCTACTTTGGGCCAATTACAGGGAAGCCCAGGAATTATTCCCATAAAATTAATGATAACTTATGCTATCTTTATCTTCCTGGATATGAATAAGAAATATATAATCGCTCTATTTTTAACAGTCAAGTAGTTAACAAATCTACACATAGAGTACCTGTGACCAAGAAGACACATAGGGAAACAAAATTGAAACTGATCATGTTGAGAACCTCGATGTATTCCTAAAGTTTTGCTTGAGACACAGCATTTCAATGTAGACAGTGATAGGGTTCCTTTATTGGTTAAGCCCATTTTTAATTCTATTTTGTGTTACTCACAGATACAAGAGTTATGGAAAAGCTGCACTCTTCTACTTCCAAAGTTTAACTTCTTCACAGAAGTCAGTTTCAGAGTTGAGAAAAGCAAATACTTGCTACATATTTTGAGGAACAATAAGTATTGAAGTTGCAAACAGGTTCTATGGATATTTGTCAACAGAAGATAGCTGATCACAAATGCGCAGAGAGGTAGAAAAATGACACAATGACCACCCTACCCTCTGAGTCAGCAAATTGTTTTCTCAGTACATTTCTACTCTGGTCCTTGTTTAATAAAACCTCTTTCTCCTTACAGCTGCGTGCAGTAATATTTATTATTTAAAGTTCTTGTCTTCACCTTAACAATCTTAGTTTCTGCTTTAAAATAATCTCTTAAATATTCATAGGGATTGCACATGTTTTTCAGCTGCCAATAATTATTATTTACTATACACTGTATAGATCTAAATTTTATGCAGATTATTCAGACAATTTTTAAAATAATAGATTCTGTCCTTCTTGTGACAGAAAAGTAATTTCTTACCAATGATAATAAAAGATTTTTTGTGTATTTGCTACAGTTAAGTTTTTTTAGATATTCCTGCTTTAAGAACTCTAAATTATTTGGAATTTGCTTTTATAAATAATGTGAAGTTGAGATATGGCATATTTTTTCTTCTAAGTTCATAACTTAGAGTTCTAACTTCTTTTTCTGGCTGATTTGAAAATGGTGCATTTTTAATATGGTAAAAACCTCCATATGCCTGTGTATTTCTTCCATATTTTATATTATTATATTTATCTGTTCATTCTCCCTTATGAGAAAAAATGTCACCTTTAACTACTATGGGTTTTTAGCACATATAGGATACAATATAATTAAGCACATTTAAAAATATTTTTTAAATTCTCACTTATTTTTTCTCATGAAATTTAAAATTGATTTGCCAATTTTCTTTCAATTTCCTTAAGTGTATACATAATTTTGGCCTGTCTCCTATGGTTTGTATCACTACTTATCCTATTTTAAAATTGTAAAACTTTTGTGGTTTTCTTAATATGGACTTTCCTAATTTCTTACGAAGTTTATTTCTACATAATTTAAAGTTTTATAACTTTTGTGACTGGGATTTGTTTTTCATTGCATTTCCTAAATAGTAATTTCTGTTACATAGTCAAGCTATTGATTTTTGTTTCTCTATGTAAAGAGTGCCTTACTAATATCCAGATATTCTAATGACTTTCCTAGGGTTTTCAAAGCAGATAAACCTTATATAATATAATGCTTTTGTTCCAATATGTATAACTCAAGCCAAAGCTTGAAAAAATGATTTTTAAAAGCAGCTATGAATGTGACTATTTACATCTAACTATATTTCTGCATATGTCTTAAATATTGATATTTATTTTGACTTTCATACTTCTAAACATATTCAATAAATATCATTTTGATTCATTTATCTGAGCTTTTTTTAGTTTTATCCTCTACATCACATTTGGCAAAAATAATGTGATTTTTTTTTTCATTTTAAGAATTTACATGATAAAATATTAAAATGCTTTCTAGTAGTGAAACCTCCTGAGTGTTACTGACATCTACCAATCCCATTCCTGCCTTATCGCTTCTTTTGGGCAGTCATGTTCTCGACTTGTTAATATTTTCTTAACATTTTTTAATCAAAATGCATCGATAAATTTTACACACTATTTGTCCTTTTTCTTTCCATTTTATCTAGTGGCAACAGAATTCTGTACAATGCAAACTGTGGAACATATTTGCTAATACTAAGGGCTTTGTATTTATACAGTGCTGTATTTTAATCCCAGCTATGTCATTTTCTAGCTTGATCGTATTAGGTAATGTGTTTTAATCTACATTTTTCTGTTTCTTCATGTTATAAATAGGGAACCCAATAGTGTTTGGTGATGATTAAATGAGGTAAGAGAAAAGGCAAGCCAACCAGCTATCCCAAAGGCTGGAACCTCAACATTAGTCAATAAATATCAGTCATGAAATAATGGTACAAATCTTGTCTCTTAATTTGTCATTTCTTATGTTTAGATGGTATTTTCTAAGTTGATAGGTTGTTAATAATGAAAATACTCATACTTTTTCTTGGACATTTTGAGGGGTCCTCTTTTCCAAGTGTAGACCAAACAAGAAAGCTACAATATTTCAGGTACCCATCAGCTTGTTAGAAAGAAATAATCACAATTGGTATAATTGCTTTCTCTATTGGAAAGTTTATTTTCCCTGATCTATAGCATCTGTCGATTAGCTTGAGTAGTGCCTCTATTCATTACTTGTCATGATGTTATTTGCCGTATCAAGCAACATGAGACATTTAACTCTCCCAACCCGATTTGGCTACCATGGCTAGCCCTACTTTTTATTATTATTTATTATATACATTTAAGGTATACAACATGATGTTTTAATATATGTGCATATATTTCGTGAAATGATTACTACAGTCAAAGAAATTAACATTCCGTTATCTCACATAGTTACCATTTTGTGTGTGTGTGTGTGATAAAAATACCGAAAATATATTATTTTATTGAATTTCCGGTATATAATCTAATATTGCATAGTATTATAATATTATTATATAACAGGCATATGCCCACTCTGGAGCCTAGACATGCTTCCTAGAGATGCTTCAAGGAACACAGTAATCCCCAATTCTGAAGCAATCTTTGCATTCTGAGAAACTGATTTTGCTGGCAAATCTTCCATTGACTTCCTTTATATTCAGAAAGTCATGCATTAGGTTGAGCTGCCTTCAATTTTACAGATATATAATAACTGTACATGTTTGTGAAGTACATGTGATTTTTAATACATGCAATGTGTAATGATTAAATTGGGGTAATTAAAGTATCCATCACCTCAAACATTTATCAGTTCTTTGTGTTGGGCACATTTCAAATATTCTATTTTGAAATATGCAATAAATTGTTAACTGTAGTCATCCCGCTGTCCCATCAAACACAAGAAGATATTCCTTCTATCTAACTGTATTTTTGTACCCCTTAACCAGCCTCTTTTCATTGCTCCCCAGTTCTGGGTTCTGTTAACCCACCATTCTACTCTCTACTTCCACGAAATCAATTTTTTTAGTTCTTGCATATGAATAAGAACATGTGATATTTGTCTTTCTGTGCCTGGTTTATTTCACTTAACATAATGACCTCCAGTTCCATCCATGTCTCTGCAAATTACAGGATTTCATTCTTTTTTATAACATGCCTTCCTTTTTTATTCCATTTGCAGTATTTATGAGATTTTTTCTTTAATGACTGTCCCCATTTCCTTTTTAAAAATACTGTTGTAAGTTACTTTGTCTTATATATTCTATCTGTGATTTCAACAGATTGGTGGATAATTAATACATGTTCCATCCTTATCTTACTGAGAGTCATCTTTATCTTTGAGCCAACAAATACTCCTTCCTCTTTTATTATTACAATTATTAGGTCATGATGTGATTCCTCAGAGTCAGCAATAAAGAAAACTAAGTAACACCTGAGATTACAGCATCTGCTGTACCCAATTTAATTTCTCCTTCATAACAATTTAGGGAGAAGTCTATCATATTTTAGAATAGTTAGAGAACAGCTGCTGAAAAAAAATCTGCCTGTCAAAGTTATATCCTGATGTTAAATTAGCCTGTTACCTGATTGTTGTCTTCTGGTCCTGAAAAACCATAAAGACTATGCCAGCAACTCACTTAGAAGCAGCACACATGTACATATTACAGCCCATCATCATAATTAGTGGAGGAAAAGATAACACAAAGTGAATGCTATATAAATATATCTAAAGGCATTTATGGAATGGTGGGTAACAATATAAACTAGTAAAATATATTTATAATATAAATATTTCTAAATATATAAGGCACAAGTTCAGCCATAGAATCATAACATTGTAGTAGTATGCAGAGAAGACATGCAAAAAAGAAAGCTGATTGACGTTTTGATATGTGTGTATGTGTATAAACAGGTAAATATACCATATATATGTATATTTAAGAATTTTCAGGAAATATGTGGTTATTGGTACCCACACAGGTAGGTAGCCTCAGCTACCTACCAAACATTTAATATTAATGTTAAAGAAGTTATAGAATACATATATATGTGTTTTACATATGTGTTTGTAATAAAATGTCTATAACGTGTTTTACCATAATTCAATGCATATTTAAATTAATTAAGAGTACTAAACTGTGCTCAGATTTCATGCAGTATCAACAGAAGTTCTGCCTTAGAGGCCTACAGACTCTTACTTAGTTCCATGGCACGTTGAGTGTGTGGGATTCCCTTAGAATGATTTCCCTTTAATGGAAATGAATATTAAATATATTGGAATGACCTATTTGCAAATACTCCTTCACTGATTAAACTAAAATATTTTCTTTAACATTTGGCAAATCCATCAGCTTTCTTTTTTGTTGTTACATAAGTTCAACACCAAAATCTGTTTTAGAGTTAGTTACCCCGAATTTGATTTAATACACATCAGGCATAAACTTTCATTGGTTGTTCATTTATGTGTTTATTACTTATTCTACCTGTTGTTCTCATTTTTACAAAGTAGTTTATGCCATTCAGGGATTTTCTGTTTTGTACTAAAGCTCTAAGTAGCAGCTTGTTAGAGAGAGTGTGGAGTAAAACCTTCCTTCACTCCATATCCTTCCAGTTACCTGAGCAGTTTATTTTGGAGACCTTCTTCTCCAATTCAAAAACCCTATGAAAATTGTGTTATTTTCATAACCTGTGCAAATAACTACTCTTCTAATTGGTGATTTTCATACATAAAAATCCATTATGGATTTTTATGTATGAAATCCATTGTGAATTTTTATGTATAAAATTCACCAATTAGAAGAGTAGTTATTTGCACAGATTATGTGATTGGTAAGGAATGAATTACCGAAAATTATTAACCAAATTTGGGGACAAATTCAGAAGGGAAAAACATCAAAGGCAAAAAAATTACAAGGGAAAAGTCTGATGTTTCATGGTCATGAATATCACAAGAGAAAAATAATACTTCAAGGTTTTGTATAAGAACCATTTTCCAAGGGAAAGAGCACAAAGTACTTATTCCTAAAACTTGATCTCTTTTTTCTCCCGTACCTAGAATCATAGAACAGGAGACCTTGCCTGTATATTCTAAACTTCATTCCGTACAAATTGTGTAACACATTTCATCATACTGACTTTTTCCTGTGTTAAAAACCTGCCAAGATGCTTCTCACTTCAGGATATTTTCATTCAATTCAAAAACCATTTTCCTGGTCTTTCACAAAGCTGGCTTCTCTCATGAGCCAAGATTCACAGCTAGGTCCATTTCCCAGAAAGGCCTTCCCCAAACACATTATGTTAAATGTCTTAATATACTCCATGACAGCTAGTATTCATTTTACTTTGAAAAATTATATTCATTTATTTGCTTTTCTTTTTTCTTTTTTTATTATACTTTAAGTTTTAGGGTACATGTGCACAACATGCAGGTTAGTTACATATGTATACATGTGCCATGTTGGTATTTGCTTTTCTTTAGAGTTCATCTCTGATAGAATGGAGACAAGCAGGGAAAACATTTCTCTTATTCCTGATTTTGGCAGATGCCTGAAGGACATGGTACTGAATGCATATGTGTTGAATAAATAGATGGATAAATGCAAAGGAGAATGATGTCAAGACAAAGTGTTTGTGAGGAAAAGGTAGTAGCTACAAATTTTGTCAGCAAAGTAAATTAATCCAATGTAGATAAACTTACTTTTATTCAAATATAATATGAATTCAGAATAGAACACAAATTTCTCGGCTGCCCACAATTTTACAGAATGAACACTTCTATATAACCAGCATACAGTTTAACAGGTAGAATATTATGCTTCTATTCATGCCTGTTTTAGTCATTACACTCTCCCAAAGTTAATGTCTAGTATTATTTAGCATATATTAGATTAGTTTTAAAATTTATAAAAGTAGAACCATATAGCTTGCATCTTTAGTCTCTGCTCTTTTATTCCATATAATCTTTTTGATGATAGTGTTAGTCTGTTTCTCATTGCTATAAAGGAGTACCTGAGGCTCGCTAATTATAAATAAAACAGGTTTATTTGGCTCACAGTTTTACAGGCTGTACAAAAAGCATAATGCTGGTTCCTGGTCAGGACCTCAGGAAGCTTTTACTCATGGTAGAAGGCAAAACGGGAGCAGGCATGCCACATGGTGAGAGAGATAGCAAGAGAGATGTCAGGCTCTTTTAAATGACCAGCTCTCATGTGGACTAACATAAGAACTCACTCTCCCACTGGAGGCCACCAAGCCATTCATGAGAGATCCACCCCCATGACTCAAACCCCTCACACTAGTCCCACCTCCAACATCGGGCGTCACATTTCAACATGCAGTTTAGAAGGGACAAATAATCCAAACCCTATTACTTTCTTCCATATCGCTGTGTATTGTAGTAGTAGTTTCATTGCTGTTGGTGTCTGGCATCTCCTTGCAAGAATTTAATATAATTTATTATTCATTCTACTGTTGGAAAACATTTGAGAGTTTTTTCCACTTGATGTGATTACTAGGTGGGACAGCTATGAAAAATTTTGTGTATATATATTTTTGTACATGTATGTAAGCATTTCTCTTGAGTATAACTTTAGGAATATACTAACTTGTCCATAATAGATTCTTATGTTCAATTTTTTAAGTACAAGTTTCCAAAACAGATGTACTGCTTTGTAGTCTAACAAGAGGTATAATGTTTCTGGTGTTTTGACATCACTGCCCCACTTAGTGCATTCAAAAACAGTAAAATTTAGCACCATATCATATGTGATATAGTTTGGATAGTTGTCCCCATTCAAATCCCATGTTGAATTGTAATCCTTAATGCTGGAGGTGGGGCTTGGTGGGAGGTGTTTGGATCATGGGGGCAGATCCCTCATGACTTGGTGCTGTCCCTTCATGGCTTGGTGCTGTCCCCTCATGGCTTGGTGCTGTCTTTGCAATCGTGAAGAGTTTTCCTGAGATCTGGTCATTTAAAAGTGTGTAGCACCGGCCGGGCGCCGTGGTTCACGCCTGTAATCCCAGCACTTTGGGAGGCCGAGGCGGGTGGATCACGAGGTCAAGAGATCGAGACCGTCCTGGTCAACATGGTGCAACCCTGTCTGTGCTAAAAAAACAAAAATTAGCTGGGCGTGGTGGCATGCACCTGTAGTCCCAGCTATTTGGGAGGTTGAGGCAGGAGAATCCCTTGAATCTGGGAGGCAGAGGTTTCAGTGAGCCGAGATTGCACCGCTGCACTCCAGCCTGGGTGACGGAGCAAGACTTCATCTCTAAATAAATAAATAAATACATACATACATAAAATAAATAAATTGTATAGCACCTCCCCACCCCATTCCCTCCCTCTATTGCTCCTGCTTTCGCCATGTGGTGTGCCTGCTCCTCCGCCACCTTCCATGAGTAAACGCTCCCTGAGCTCTCCCCAGAAGCAGATGCCAGCATGATGCCTCCTGTACAGCCTGCATAACTGTGAGCCAAATAAACTTCGTTTCTTATAAATTTATAAATGACCTAGTCTCAGGTATTGCTTAATAGCAATCCAAGAATGGCCTAATATGTTTAATCAATAGGTTTATTGAATATTTCAAAATTCTTCTTTGAAAAGTGTCTATTCAAGATTTTTCCACATTTTAAAAATAGGGCTGTCTATCCTTTTCTTATTGATCTGTAGGAGCTCTTTACACATTCTGGATAAAAATTCTTATATAATTATTGCAAACATCTACTTGTATCTTTTGATGATTAGAGTCTTCTTATTTATTGGTTCATTCATTTATACTCTTATTTATTTATGGATTTTAATGTGAACTACATGCAGTCATGAGTTGGATGTAACATTTACAGGATCCTGCCCTAGTTTGGCTAATGACATTTTGCTTAAGCAAACTTGATGAAATCAACTCTTCATGGACTACAAAAAGTTATTTAACTATAAACATTCCTAGACCATGAGATGGAATAGAAAAATACAGTATTTAGAAGAGTTGACTGTCTACAAATCCTTTATAATACCCTTCCTAAGAATCACTATTAGTATTTTAAATCTTCTTAATAGTTTAACAATTGTGATTTTCCAATTGTGAACCCAAATATGACATTGAAACACAATAGAGTATGAAGCTATCAAAGCCACATTTAATGTCTAGTTTTACCAACTGCATCAAAACACTTTATGGCTGCATATTACTGCTATTACTATCATTACTGCCACTGATATTACAGTCATTTCTGTATGGCCAGCTGCACTGTGCATACGAGCTCCTCAATGGATATACTTCATTTTTAAATCAAGGTCTACGATCAAAATATCTGAATAGAGAAAATAAACAAATAGAATGTAAATCCTCTACATCACTTTTAAACTCTAAGATAGTTTACTTGTACATGTTACAGGCCAGAGGAGACTGTTTTCTCCAATGAAATTCTATGTATGGTAGTAATTAATTCCAATGGAAAAATCTACTGGTAAATGGCCAAATCATTCTTAATTGAAAATGATGTCAATATTAAATTATTTGTATGAAGACCAATGCACCAGAAGAATTACTGACCCTTAAAAGTTCTTAGCTTAAAAGATAAATAGATTCCTTCTGACTGAAGCAAGTTTCTCAACAGTGACTAGGAAGACAGGACAGGGTTTCCCTCATGAAATAAAGGCATTTACAAAGACTGAGGCATATCATCAGACCTCTATTAGTTTACTCTTTTATTCAGCATTTTTTAAAGTTTGTAACACACTAGGAATTGTTCTGAGTTAGACTGAAGTACAAAATGAAGTCTCAAAAATAGACGTGGATGTGAGACATGCAAAAGGAGAAAGTGCATTCAATTTCGGCAATAACAGTAATGTGTGGGCAAATCCATAGTGGGTGAGTTTGTGATTGACTAGATATTACCTTTGCTTATCAAGCCTGCGTTTGAGAAAACAAAAATATTTCCAGCTTTTACTTGTAGAAGCAATTTTTTTTTTTCAGGAAAAATACATAGCTAAGTAAGGTGCTTAAATTAAATTAGTTACTACTGATCTGTTTGGAAAGAGGCAAACACTGACTCTTCCATAAGCAATTATTTGTTAATTTTAGAATTAGTGTTTAGATGAAAAGTGTTGTTGAATGTTAAAATGAGTACAATTAGAGCATTTGTTTCAGAAATGTCAAAATTCTGAGAATATTTAAAACATTTAATTATGAGCTGAGATGGACATACCTAACATAAGGCACACATTGCTAGTATCCTTTATGTAAAAGTGCATACAAATATAAGCCAAATAGAGAAATACTAATATTAAAGTCATTTTGGAAAATAAACTAACACCTATTGATTATGAAAGCTGATTTACAAGAATTGTAAGAATCCTGAAACATAAATGTCAATTGCAGATTCAAAGCACACTAGCAGGAAGGAGGAAACAACCCAGCTTGTCTCTCTGGAGGGGCTCAACCTTCTCAAGTACAACTGCCCAATTTTCCCTTTCTTCTGAAATAAGGTCGCTTCTGGTTTTGAAGTAAGAAAACAAAAATGTGCGCAGAACTTTGTTCTCAGAAGAGGGAATTTTGGTTTGGATCTTGCTATAGTTTGAATGTGTCACCAAAAGTTTGTGTGTTTAAAACTTAATCCCCAATGCAACAGTTCTGAGAGGTGAGATGTTGTAAAGGTGATGAAAATTCTGTTCTTATGAATGGATTGCTGCCACTATCTCGGAAGTGGGTTCCTGATAAAAGAATGAGTCTGGCCATCTTCCCTTCTTTCTCTGTCTGTTATACTCTCTTGCTTTTCTGCATTTCATCATGGGATGACACAGCATAAAGGTACTTACCAGAGGTGGTCCATCAATCTTGGACTTCCCAGCCTCTAGAACCATGATCCAAATAAATTTATGTTCTTTATATATTAGCCAGTCTCAGGTATTATCCTATAGCAGCACAAAATGAACTAAGACAGTTCTTCCTACTTTTATATTACAATATGCATGCAGAGAGAAAAATATCTGCCTAGCTCTCTTTCATACTCCAGCCGGATATGCTCTGTTAAACCGTGACTTACAAGTATACTTACCCATTTAGACAGACTGAATATGTCCTGCTAAATATATTTTTGTCAAGATAAAAACTCTCTAGTATCACACACTTAGCAAATATTATTAGCATTTACAAATAGGTCCATCTTTTGAGTTTGTCATTGCCTACAGAGTCCCCTAGGAAGGTGCACACTACTATATCTTCCCTAATTTATAAAAGAAGATGGGGCCGGGCGCGGCGGCTCACGCCTGTAATCCCAGCACTTTGGAAGGCTGAGGCGGGCAGATCACAAGGTCAGGAGATCGAGACCATCCTGGCTAACACGGTGAAACCCCGTCTCTACTAAAAATACAAAAAATTAGCCGGGCATGGTGGTGGGCGCCTGTAGTCCCAGCTACTCGGGAGGCTGAGGCAGGAGAATGGCATGAACCCTGGGGGGCGGAGCCTGCAGTGAGCCGAGATCGCGTCACCGCACTCCAGCCTGGGCGACAAGAGCTAGACTCCGTCTCAAAAAAAAAAAAAAAAAAAAAGAAGGTGGTCAAAACTTTAGTCAGCATGTTGGAAAAAAAATCTTACTCATTATGAAGTAATAGCAAATTACAACAATAGTTTTCTAATACCAACTATTAAATCAATCATTTTTGTTTTGTTTTTTATTATGACCCCATTTCAGATATCGTGTAATGCTGGAAAACTATTTTACAATTTGGATAAGCATTCTTAAAAATTCTCCTAAGATTTAACCTGGTGATTTTACTCCTAGAATGTTATCAAAGATAATTATCAGTAAATTTGTGAATAATGACAAAAGAGTCCAACATGATCTTAACATTAATGTGTCACAAATTAAAGATGGCTAAGTATATGGTGCTTTTATCTAAAACTAAATTTTTCTACCATTTGAAATGTTTTGGAGACTTACTGACCCAAGGGTATGCTCATGGCATAACTTGTAGCAAGACCCTTTAAAAGTCTTATAGCTTTGAGTCAGTAGTTCATCTAACCTGAAAGCTATCTAATTAAATATAGAAACATCGAAATATACTAAAATATCTCAAATTATGTATTCAGTAGAAATAATGTGTCAAACAGTTGTAGAATAGTAATATAAAATTGCTAATTCCATACATGATAATAGAATACAGTTATTATAGTTGTTATGAAAAATTACAGTAATATTAGATGCTTATAATAAGGTTAACATTTTAAAAGTATACAAAAGTACACATAAGATAATTAAGTAAAATACATTTAAGATAAAATTACATGACATCTTTATAAAAATTGTATTTTAGAGAAAAATGGATGATTTTCTAGATAAATGTAAATTACCAAATGTCATCTCTTTGTAACAGTAATATCATCATAATTATTATTACATTGTAGAAGATATCCCAAGCTTTCTGTACAACATCTTAGTTAATCTACATAATAGGTTTGTTATTATAAAATAAGGTGACATTAGTGTCAAAGAACCTTTTATCACCATCTTTGGAAAGTGAAAGAAATGAAATCATACATTGCCTATGTGTTTCTTATTGTTAAAATAAAATACAGGTTCTTTTACAGAAGCTCATAAAAGAGTGACAGTAATACACATACTAAATGATTATGTAAATTCTACTATTAAAATAAATCAGCTTCCAACCAATTTCAATAAGCTTGTAAATTATTTGAGGTAGGATTTTCCTTTCTTTTTGTGTCAGGTTTATAAAAATTACTTAATCAGCACAAGGAAAGATCAATGTATATCCTTAGAAAAGTTTTATTTTATTTGTTTCACAAACAGGCAATTTGTAAAATATGAATCCAAAAATAAACGTGGATTTAATGTATAAAAGGTAGTAAAAATATATTTAAAATACCAACTTTCCATCAAATCTTATATATTGTCCTTTAAATACAAGAAATGAGTAAAGACATCTATCTATCTAGATAAGTAGATGTATAATGTGATTCTATTTTAGATAAATCACTCTGTACATTCAAACAAGAACATAAATGTTTTTTTACATGTGTCAGCTCTTAAAACCTGTTTGTGTACAAGGCTTGAAAAAATACGATCATAATAAATAAGACCAAAACTTTCATAACAATATTCAAAACACTCAGATTTTAATCTGAAATCACTCATCACCAAGAACGAGTTTTCTCAAACTGAATGAGAAAAGACAGTAAGTGGATGCCCACAATAATAAAGACATTAGAAGTATTTGGCTAAGACTCTATAGCAGACATCATAAATATGCTTTAATACTGAATCACACATTTGAAATAAATGAAAACATAATTATACTAAATAAATAAGGATTCTGAAAAAAGTAAAACATGAAGGATAAAAATTAAACTTTGAGGACTGAATAATATCATGACAAACGCTAATAATAAAATAACACTTAGTGGAAAGTCTCAATAGCATGAAATACTGAACATAAAAAATAATCAGTGACCTTGGAAATAGAACTACAGGTTGTCCCTGATTTACAATGATTTGACTTACAATTTTTTTTACTTTACCATGGCATGAAAGTGATACACATTCACTACACCCCTTGACTTACAATGAGGTTACGTCCAAATAAATCTACTATAGGTTGAAAGTATTATGTTAATTTATGTTATTTTCAACTAATAATGGGTTTATCAGAATGTAATTCCATCATAAGTCAAGGAACATTTGCTTAGAAATTATCCCACCTGAATAGTAGAGAAGAAACACGCTAAATAAAAATGAATAGAAACTCAGATATATGTGAGACTATAGCAAAATAATAAGTATTTGTGTAAATGAAGTCCTTTAAGAAAAGAAAAAAAAAAGGATGGTTCTGAATAAAGATTTTTTAAAATGGCTGAAAAATTTCCAAATTTTGCAAAAGACATAAAACAACACATTCAACAAATTCAGATTGACACCTGTGATGGTTAATATTGCCCGTCAACTTGATTGATTGAAAGATGCAAAGTATTGTTCCTGGGTGTGTCTGTGAGGGTGTTGCCAAAGGAGGTTAACCTTTGAGTCAGTGGACTGGGAGAGGCTGACTCACCCTCAATGTGGGTCAGCACTATCTAATCAGCTACCAGCATGACCTGAATAAAGCACGCAGAAAAAAGTGAAATAAAACTTGCTGAGTCTTCCAGCCTTCATCTTTCTCCCATGATGGATCCTCCTGCCCTCGAACATCAGACTCCAAGTTCTTCAACTTTTGAACTCTTGGACGTACACTAATGATTTGCCAGGGGTCCTCGGGCCTTTGGCCACAGACTGAAGCCTGCACTGTCAGCTTCCCTACTTTTGAAGTTTTGGGACTTGGGCTGGCTTCCTTGCTCTTCAGCTTGAAGACGGCCTATTATGGAACTTCACCTTGTGGTCATGTGAGTCAATTCTAATAAACTCCCCTTCATATATACATCTATCCTATTAGTTCTGTCCCTTTAGAGAACCCTGACTAATATAACACCTCAAAATTTCAAAATTCAAGGAAGGAAATAAGCTCCAAAAAGGATAGTTTCAGAACAATCTGTGCTGCACCATACTCAAACTTCTGAAATCTAAAGACAACAGAAAAAAATCTTGGCACATCAGTGTGATGTGAATGATGATGACCTTCAAAGATGTCCACATTCTAATCCTTAGAACCTGTGAATATCTTACCTTATATAATAAAAGGTGCTTTGCAGATGTAATTAAGAATATCGACTGGGGAATTTCATACAGGATTATCTGGATGTACCCAATATAATCAAAAATATCTATACGAGAGAGAGGCTGGAAAGTCAGAATCATGAATGGAAGTATAATGATGAAAGCAGATGTGGGAGCAATACCAATTCTGGGAAGGGCTCAAGTGCCAAGGAACATGGGCAGTTTCTGGGAATCTGGAAAGGACAAGTACACAGATTTTTCCCCAACAGATCCTTTAGAAGAAACACAGATTTTGTAAACTACTTTGGCTTTCTGACCTCCAATATTGTAAAATACGCATTTGTGTTGTTCTTTGCCATTGAATTTATGGTAATTTTTTATGGCAGCAATTGAAAACTAATGTAAGAGGAGGAAGAAGAACACTGTAATATGGGTAAAGGCAAGAGACTGTCCTTCTTGATCTTTTTAAAGTATGTTTGACTATGGAAACCAAAATTATAGCCCTGTCTTATACAAAATAATACACATAGTAATATTCTAGATAAAAATAAATGCTAAAAATAGTTTAAGAAACCCACAGGAAGGCAAAAAAAAAACAACCTAAATACACTCAAGAAAATACAGAAGCAGAAAATCAAACAAAAAGAAAAAATTGCAGATTGATGTCTTAAAATATAAGTGAATATATTAAACATAAATGATCTAGGCATACAAATTAAAAGGCAGAAACGGGCAGAGTGGACTACATAAAAATGATCAGTGTATGTCTTGTTTATAAGACACTCATTTTAAACAAATCAATACTTTATAAAAGAAGAGCAATGCCCAAATACATATCGTTTCACTGAATAATTCTACAAAGATTTAAAAAAAAAAAAACCAATTCTACACAATTTATTACAGAAAGCAAAAACACTTACAACTCATTTGTGAGTTTAGTATTATCCTGATATTAAAACCAGGCTATGACAGCACAAGAAAGAAAACTGTAGATCAATATTCCACATGAAAATAGATACTGATATCTTCAACAAAATAAGATCAGAAAAAAATTCAGAAATATATTAAAAATTGTACACCATGACCAAGGGGGATTTATTTCTATGGGAGCAAAGCTATATCAATAATTTTTAAAGGACAATTTAATTCATTATATTAACAGAGTTACAAAGAAATATTACACAATCATAGCATTAAGTGTAGAAAAAGTAATTGACAATATCATTCATGAAAATCTTCTAGCAAAATATAAATAAGGAAGGCCTTTTTCGAATTGATAAATAATATGTACAAAAACATCCTACAGGTAGCTTTATATTCAATGGAGAAAGACTTAATGGGAGAAACACTGAATGCATTTTCCCTGAGATTGTAAACAAGACAATGGGGTCATCTCTCAATATTCTCAATCAATTCAATTCTAGAAGCTCTAAAGACTTCAATATGGCCAAATAAATAAATAAATGAAGGGCACGCATGCTGCAATTGAAGATAAAAAAAAGTCCCGATTTGCCGATGACATAATTGTCTCCACTGAAACTCTCAACTAATATACAAAAACCTCCTAAAATAAATTAGGTCATCAAGGACACAAGATACAAGCAGGATACAAAATAAACATCCAAAAATAATTTGTATTTCTATATGCCAGCAATAATCACATAGATACTAAAATTAAAAATTTTATACCATCTTCAGTTGTTCGCACACACGAAGAAATGTTTTGTTGTAAATGAAATATGTAGAAGACTTGTGTATTATAAAGATGTGCAATGGTTATGAAAAGATCAAAGAAGATTTAAATAAAGAGAGACATATACTATGTTCATGAATTGGAAGACAGCACATGAAAGATGTTAATTCTCCATAATTATATACAGGTATAACCAAATTCATATCAGAATATCATTAAGATTTTTATAGATATAATGAACATTATTCTAAAATTGGTATAAAAAAGCAAAAGACCTGAAGAATTAAAATAATATTGAAAATTATGAATATAAAAAGAGGAATCAGTCTATCCATTTTTAGACTCACTATATACCTACAGTAATCAAGTTTGTGTGATATTGATGGAGGAATCAATACATAGATCAACAAAACAGAATAGAGAACTCAGAAATAGACCTATATGAATATGCCCAATTGAGTTTTGACAAAAGTGCAAAAGCAAAATCATAAAGGAAACATAACCTTTGCAACAAATGTTCTAACATTCGTTATAGCAATTGGACATGTCTCAAACTTTATAAAAAGATTAACTCCAAATGGATTACAGACAGAGTGGGAGAAATAGAGAGATGTTGGTCAAAAGATATGTTTCACTTATGTGATGTGAAAACTTTATAGAGATCTAATATACAGAATAGTGACTATAGTTATTAATACTGTGTTGACTATTTTAACTGTGCTAAGAGAGTAGATCTTAAGTGTTCTCACCACACACACCTGCTAAAAGGTTACTATGTGAGGTGACCAAGATGAATATGTTAGTTTTCTGTAGTAGCCATTACTCAATGTACATGTATATCAAAACATCATGCTGTACACCTTAAATTTATGCTTTTATTTTAAAAGTGATTGCAGACAAATGTAAAATGTGAAAAATAAAACTTTTGAAAATTAGGAGAAAGATATTTGAGATCTAGAGCTGGGTAAATAATTCTTTTGCTGTGCAGAAGCTCATGTCCTGCACATGTACCCCTTAACTTAAAGTAAAAGTTGGGGAAAAGAAAGAATTCTTATAAAAGGCACAAAAATCAAAGAAAACTTTGATAAGTCAGACTTCATTAAGAACATCGAAATATATTTTCACTGTGAATGAACCTTTGAAGAGGGATAAAAGACAAGCTGCAGGCTGGAAAAAAACAATTTCAAATTACATAGCTATCTAGATTTTACAGAGAAGTCTCAAAAGGCAACAGGAGGAAAATGAGAAATCAAATGAAAAAATTGGCAAAGGACGTGAAGAACCATTTTAATAAAGAAGGTGTATGGATAGCAAATAAGCACATGAAAAGATATTCCTTATCATTAGCCACCAAGGCAAGGCAAATTAAAACCGCAATGAACTATTACTACAGACATATCAGAAATGCAAAATTTAAAAACAAAATCAAACCAAACCAAAAAATGTGGCAACACCACATGTTGATGAACATGCAAAGAAGTGCAATCACTCACACACTGATGACTGAAATACAAAATGGTTCAGCCACCCTGAAAAACAATTTAAAATTTCTCAAAAATCTGAACATATCACTACCATATGAACCACAGTTTGATTACCATTTGCCAACAATAATTGACATTTATCCAAGAAAAATGAAAACGTATATTCACAGAAAACTTGCGCATAAATAATTATAGAAGCTTTATTTGGAAATAACTCAGATGTTTTTCAATGGATAAATAGAAACCCCACAAAACCATGGTATATCAATATCATAGAATATCTCCCAACAAGGGAGAAAAAACCACTCTTTATAAATATAAGAATCTTGATGAATTTTCAGAGGAATTATAGTAATAAAAGCCAATCCCAAAAGATATATTTTATGATACAATTTATATATAATTAGCAAAATGAAACTAGAGAAATAACAGATTAGTAGTTGCTAGGAGTTAAAGGGGGTGAAAATGGAAGGAAAGTGCTCGTAGATATAAGAGTAGCATAAAGGATGCTGTAGCGATGGAAGTGTTCGGTATCTTGTCTGTATTTTATGTCAAAATCCAGATTAAAATATAGTTCTATAGTTTTACAAGATGCAATCATTAGAGTAGATCTAATAAAAGGTACATAGTACTTCTGTATTATTTTTTACAACAGCATGGAAATCAGTAATTTTCTTAAAATAGAAAAAATAATTAAAAACATTAAAATCTTGTTTGCTTTTTAATTTGGTATTTACAACCATATTTCTCTAGTATTTACAACTCTATTTCTAAACCAAAAGTATGTAGAGCTATTTTTAAATTTTCATGTTTGAAATATATTTATACTATACCATATGAGGATTTACCTTTATTAAAATGTGTTTATAGTCACACATATAAACACATAAACTCACCGTCTTCATCAGTATTCTCAGCCTAAAGTTCACAGCAACTCATGGTTAAATCATTATTCACTCATTTCAATTATTTAATATAAAAATATTTTTATGATCAAGCCATGTTATAATTATTATTCCTCTGTAATCAAACTATTTCCTTTTCCCCGATATTAATTATTTTGGACATTTAGTTCTGTCATGAATTGAGAATGTTTGGCTACATAAGACATAAAGAATTTGTGGAAATCTAGCATGCATGCTGTGGAGGCAAAACAACTGTAATAGAAGGGTAGTAAATATGGATAACAGAATGGTGATGTAGGACCTAGAGATGGTAGGAAGTAAGTGAAAAGCAGGGAGATTGTGGCCTGAGATATGAATGTATCAGGAAATGACCACAGAGAGACTAGTCATCTGCCTCTTGCCAAACATTTCATGTACAATGCTGAAAGTGTATATTGACAAAAGTCCTTACTGAAGTGAAGCTAATCAGAAGAAAGGCTTCTTATCGCCAATATTAGGCTGAAAATCATCTTTCTCTCTGTCTCTCTCTCTTTCTTTCTTTCTTTTTTTTTTGGACGGAGTTTCGCTCTTTCACCCAGGCAGAAGTGCAATGGCAGGATCTCGGCTCCTTGCAACTTCAGCCTCCCCGGTTCAAGTGATTCTCCTGCCTCAGCCTCCTGAATAACTGGGATTACAGTGCCGGCCACCACACCCAGCTAATTTTTGTATTTTTATTAGAGACAGGGTTTCGCCATGTTGGCCAGGCTGGTCTAAAACTCCTGACCTCAGGTGATCCACCCACCGCGGCCTCCCAAAGTGCTAGGATTACAGGAGGGAACCACCGCTCCAGGCCTAAAATTCATATTTGTAAATCACTTTGTTAATATTGGACACTAAGGAGATTGCAATACAGACACTTACCTCTTCTGAACTGACATTCATGGTAATACACGCAACATTTACCTTGGTAGTTATTCTTGTTATATAGTGGGAGGTAAGGCTTTATCCTAGACAGCCTTTTAAGTTAGAAATGACAAACTATATCAATAAATTATATTGCAAGAAAATCAACAGGACCAGATGGCAGTCATTCAAACATTCTGCAGACTCTTTAAAATTAATTCACTGAGCTAAAGATAAAAATATGTATAATCCATCATTGACAACAGCTATCCTGCCTAAAGACTGGACATCAGCCAATCTTCAACGTCTATGCTGCCACAAAAGTAACTAACATAAGAAGCATATATAAAAACATTTGAAAGAGATTCTATGGTTTCATATAATAAAGTAAGCTTACATCCATTTTTCTGAAAATTGTCTTAGGAAATATAGTTTGTCTATATTTTCTATAAAGTCACATATTTATGTAGATAAATAGATAATGTGAGTTGTAATATGATAAAATTAGGCTTCATGTAAATGCAAAATCATTTGGCTAACCTAATTATCCAGGATAGTAGAGGATTGGTATGTTAAAAGGTAGACTTAAACTTGGTATAGTTTGGATACCATCTCTAAGAACAAGCTGTGTTAGCTTAACAGGCATGAGATTTTCTAGGATTTCTAAGTATACTGTGACAATACTGAGGGTAAAGGATTTTTCTAGAGAATGCTTGTCAGCAAACCTGTTCTTTTGTGAAAGCGGTGGACCCAGAGCATAATTTAAAGATGTATTAATATGGGATATTATCTGACTCTTTTTTAGAAACAAAAGTTATAAAGAGAATCTGTATATTTCTCCAAGTAGTATCAATGGTTTTCACAAATATGAGAATTGTTTTGCACTTGCAAAAATCCTATTTGCCATACAACAAATAATCATAGAAATCATATTCCCTCATGTCCACAGGTCATGTTCATAATCAAAGGAAAGGAGTTACACAGGAATAAGTCACTGGGGATCACTTCAGCACTCTGAAAACCACAAAGTTTACTTTGTTTCTAATATGCATTTACTCTTTGAAAAGCATAGTAAATTTATGTGATTGCAAAGTAAAAACAAAACTTTCTTGATCCCACTCTCCAATTTTAAGTTCTAATAAAAACAGTTAAAACTGTAAAACAAAGAAATACATAAAGGTAGGAGAAAGTAAAATTATTCTTTACATTATAATGTCAACTAACATGTGGAAGAAATGACAGTTAAACTCATTGTAATAAGATTTTGATATGTATCAATGGATGTTCAAACATTAGATGAATGTTTGTTGAAAACAGGATCAAAATTGCTCCCCGTAAATGACTTATCAAATTCTAAGGGAAGGAAGGAAACTGTGTGTGGGAAAATCTGATGGTCACTTCCACACCAAGGTTACCAGCATCAATGATGGCGTGCACTGATACCAGGTGTTCCTTGATGTATCATTTTACACTGAAAAGGATACAGCTTCAAGTATATTATATTCCTGCCAAAAATTAATTACCTGGATCTAGTTAGGATAAAATATGCAAGCAAACACAACTTGTGGGACCTTCTATAAAGCTCTTGGCCTCTACAATTCAGAAATATCAATGTGAAAGGCTGAAAAACAGTTCCAGAATAAAGTATGCTAAAGGAACATTAACATTGAAAGTAAAATACATTTTTGTGTTGGAACTGGAGTTGAATAAAAATTGCTATGAAGGAGGTTTTAAAGGTAATTAATAAAAGTTAAACATGAATTTGATGAGAATTATAAGTATTGCATCCATGTAAATTACGTGAATTTGATAAATGCCTTGTAGTTTCATAAGAGAATGTTCTCCTAGTTCCTAGGATATTCATACTAAAGAATTTAAGGGTGAAGGATCATGTTATCCAACACTTAATTTTGGATGTTTCAACATAAATATTAATAATCCTAATAATATGTATATATTTATTGATAAGTAGGAATAAATAAGGAAATGTTAGAAATCTGTAAATCTAAGCAAAGTTTAATCCATTTTTATTGTACTATTCTTACAGTTTTTATTTAGGTTTGATAATTTTCAAAATAGAAATCAAATAATAAAAGTCTGTTTAAAAGATTTAAAATATTCCCAAAACACAATTGGTTCCTTTCCAGTTGAAATAAGAGCTATTTTAACCCCTTCTGGAAAATATTAATTGAAAAAATAGTGAGAAACTTACACTGAGAACCCTAGAAAAATGTATGTTGACATATAAGGGAACAAAATTAGAGAAAAAGAGAAAACAAAAGCAAAGGAAGATAAGTGCAATTGGAGTACACACAATAATTATGTTATTTTTGTTTAAAAACAAATTTGTCCCTTTGTACTATTAATCTCATATCAATACAACAGATTTTATAAGCAGAGCAGTGAATATATTTCAATGGAAATCACATATACGACAGTTTTATATGCACTTTGGACAAACTCTGCCCCAAAGATAAAATATAGCATCTGTTTCACTATGCATTGAGGAAATGCAGAACAAATTTAAAAATGAGGCAAAGTATTATATTCTGCCAATCTATTTAATCACTGCTTCTTTTGGTCTTTATTTTTTAAAGTTAAAAATAAGCTGTTCACATGTGGACATGGAGACACAAGAAAAATGTACGTTATGTCGACATATGTATGCTTAGTCACATTTTGGAGCATGCGCACTGTTGCTACAAGAAGTAAATTGCATCATTATTGGTAAAAGTCAACGAAAAACATTCAATTTAAAATAAATGCCGGGCTCTGGGATTTCTTCACCAAAATTTTTAATAATTATTTCTATTGTTAGTAAAAATTTACTAAAACACTAAAAAAGAGTATTAATAATAGAAATATTCTAGTATCTCAGATATATTTATACTAATGATATTACTAATGAGATTACATTTGCTATAAAGTCACACTGTACTACAACAAATAGAGCAAAAATCCCTCCCTCATAGTAAGTAGAAAAACCTATTGTTCTTGTCCAGATGAGCACCCTGTTTCAGGTATGCAAGTCTGTTGCTTAAAACACTGAAGAGACGATGTCCAGGGGTTGTTGACCCAGTGATGGTGTTGGTGTTTCAGAGTCAAACCTTGATGCTATGCGGTAGCTTTTACTCTTTGGCTACTCTTTAGCATATAGCAGTATTCTTTCATCCCCTTCCTCCCTTCCCTCTTTTTCTTCCTTACTTCCTTTCCTCCTTTCCTTCTTCTCCCCTCCTTCTCATTTGACCATATCCATTTGGCCACAGTGAGCTGTCAGTTAAACTAACACTAGATGACACACAGTGACCTTGCTTTGATGTCTCTTTGATTGCTGGCTTTTGGCTGAGATACTTTTCATACAACTTTTCGTGTGACTTCACCAGCAGCCTAGCTCAGGGTAAAAATGTTCCAATAGAGCAAGAGCAGAAACTACATGTCCTCTTGAAGTCACGGCTTAGAACTTACAATTTGTCATTTCTGCCTTATTGTATTTCTCAAAGCAAGTAACATGGCCATCCCAGATTTAAATGATGGCAAAAAAGACTTGATGGGAGAGACTACAAAGTATTTTCTGCCATCTGTAACCTGGTATAATGCCTCTTCTACAGTGGATGCTACCTGGCGAGTGTGGAGACTTTCACCCATCATGTCCCTTTCCACTAATGCATTCAAATGCTTCTTTCTTAGGCTTCTTTGTTTCTAATTGTCTACTTGCTCCTTCCAGGACTCTGATAATAAATTGATAATTACTTTTAAAAAGCTAAGCCACACTCAGTTCCTAGAATTCCAGGAATATCCCTACCTCAGGCCACTTCTCCTTCCTCACAAATTTCATGGCCAGAAACACTGGTCAAAGTCATGTGTACTAGGAGCATTTTGGGGCCACCTAGATTGGGGCAGTGTGTCCATTCTGGTAGCACACAATCATATCAAGTTGATGTCTCCATAGAACAGAACTGTAATTTTTCCCTCTGACATCTGCTGCTCTTAAGGATCCTCTCGCAAGGCTACAGAATGAGATAAATTAAATAAACTGTTCCTCAGAGGGCATATATGTAATACATGAATACTCCAGACTTGATCAGACTTGAAGCCAAAACCACTGCTATTTCATTGGGCTATGGAGTACTATGGTTCCCACTCAACTTTAGGACTGGCTGGGCTGAAAATTTCCAGTTTATGATGAGCAATACCAGTTGTAGAGTCTTTTAATGGCCTTTGTTTAGGTATGCTGTCTACTATGGCAAGCATGCCTGGAGCTGCTTTTTATATCATGGAGAGCTTTTTACATCATGTAGACTCTATATACTGCTACTTAACAGAGAGCAGTGGTTCATGATGGAGCTTTGGTTCATCTGATATTAATAAGTTGGCCCTGTAGCCAACATCCCTAGGAAAACCTCTTTATGTTTTTGACCCTTCTATCAATATTCTTATGAAACAATTCTGATATTTCCACTAAAGTGTTAAGTATAGATATTATATATAATATTTATTATATACATACACATATATATCTATTTATATACACACACAAATACAGAGAGGGAGAAGAAGAGGGTGAAGGAGAGAAGAAGAGAAAAAGAAAGACAAAGAGAAAGAGAAGTAGGGAGAAAGACATAAACTTTAAAGAGCCATCCTAGAAGTGTTTTAGGACTATCTCCAGGTGTCCTGTTCAGAACTTTATATCCTAAGTTATCTGAGTTATGGGAGCATGCTCCCACATCAATATTTTTATATTATTTTACTTTAGGGATATGTTCTAGAAGAGTTTCATTCTTTATTATCAAGATCCACTTTTTGCATTTTCTCTGATTCTTGGTCCACATTTGCCAAGCCCTGAAGTTATTTTGGTGGGGCAGGAACACTTTCTCCAATTGGTTCAGCTAGTTCATCCTTCCATAATTAATTATGGAGGTACAATTCAAACAGATTTTGGTGAGATAAAATATCATCGTGTGAGACAGACACTTCATCTGAGAGCTTCATGTACTTTTCAGTCTGCCATTCCTAACAGAGAAGACAGAGTTATTTCTTCTAGCCCAGAGGTGGACAGTTGGAAACTGCTCATGAGTTATGAGAATGTTAAGAGTGGTAAGACCAAGGGAAATTTGGCGACTGGGGGACCTAAAGTGCATCCACCCAAACGCCAGCATACCAGGTCCCAGGGTTTCCTCACTTACCTCTCAGGGACCCCATTCTAGCATAAAACATATCCTTGTGATTCACATTTAACCTTTTTTCTATAACTCTTATACTCACAAAATCAGTGGCTGGAATTCTTATCAGTGCAGTTTTTTTCCTGGCTCCAGGAGATGAGCGCCTTTGTCACGGAGGTGTTCTAGCTTTCACACCAAGCCATGAGTTTGTGGTTACCTAACATAAGCCTATTATTTCCTTCCTTCACAGTATTTGTGGTCCTTAGCTACAATCAAAAACTCTGCAATACTTAAAATTACTTTTTTGCATCTCAAGCACTATGGATATTACATAGGTCCGTAAATGCTTCCAGTTGTATGCTGTACATCTCAGTTCACAATATGTAATAGTCTTCAGAATTGTAATGCTATATATGACATGTCAAGGAGTGTCACCACCCTATCTAAAAGCAGCAATGAGTCCCTGACTGCCATCTGGCCAGCATAATAGTCAATGTCACAATCCCATTCCGAAGATCTGCTTCCTAGGACAATACCAGTTGTCTTAGTTGAGATTCCCCTAAAGATACCCACAAAGTTTTAATTACAAGTAGCTTATTTAAAAGGTAATCCCAAGAATCACTGGCACAGAATAGGGAAGAGTAAGGGAGAAACCAGTGGCCATGCAGTAGACTGTACATTGTCAATAAATTACTTTCATGAGTACTTGGAGCTTAATCCCACCAAAGAATTCTGAAAGCCAGTGTAGAAGCACCTGCCTAAGAATGAGCCCACTGGAGGATTTACTCATTAAGTGTTTTCACTCATTGTTTGAGGGCTACTGGAGAAAAGTCTGGGAATAATAGTCATTATTTCCTCACCATTTCAGTCTGGTATGGACTGAACTGTGTCTCTCTAAATTCATATGTTGAAACCTTAATCTCCCATGTGACTATCTGGAGATAGAGTTTTTCAGAAATAATTAAAGTTAAATGAGGTTGTAAAGGTGGAGCCCTAATCCAATAGTATTATTGGTCTTATAAAAAATAGGAAGAGAGAAAGAGCTTGTTCTTTCTCTCCACCATGCGAGGACACAGCAAGAGGGTGGTGGTCTGCAAGCCAGGAAGAGAGCCCTTACCCGAAATCAAGCTCTATTTGGACTTTGCAGTCTCTAGCACTATGAGAAAATAATTCATAATTGAGTCACCTAGTCTATGAGATTTGGCTGATTAAGACACAGGTCTACTACGCATGAAGGGCAAAAAGATATCTTTTGTCAGAGGTTGACTGTGGGAAATTGGACAAGGGTGACAAGAACGTTAAGGGCAAGTGTGACAAAGACTATGGGATATTAGTGTGGTACTGACAGCCTCTGTTACAACTATCATAGGAAAATTGTATACATTCATGGATATTTTACTTCAAGCATCTTATACATGTAAGGATGGCGTTTACTCAAAAAAATGATGTTTTATGGGGATAGGTGCTCACTGTCTACCACAAGATTTCAACAAGTACAGAGAGGTCTTGTTAGGCTTAGCATTAGCTGAACCTTTTGCATAATATGACAAACAGTTTGATAATGTTAACAATTTAGATACTAAAATAATTAGTACTGAACCTATTTAAATATACAGTAGGATAATAAGGATAGATAGTTTTAATGATCCAATCATTGTTTAAAATTGCAAAATCAATTAGTGTTTTTTATTTGACAAGACACTCTGTTTTCCTATTGAGTAGTGTGATTTATAATAATATAAACTATTGATTATATGTTTTAGTCATTCTAAGTAATTAAGACCCAGGAATTGTAATAGAAATCTAATTCATTGTTTTCTTATTCAAATTAAGAGCCCACTTTATTATAACAAACCATGCTGATAAACTGGTACACTCATGCTGTAAATTATACTACATTATGGAATCTGCAAAACACACTTCCATGGACCTATACCTCTTCCCAAGTATTATCTATACTTTATACCAATTATTTTCTGATATTTAGATCTGAAGACCTAATTTGATTCAGTTTCCATTTCTAGAAAAAATGCTTTATACCTGAACATGTGAAATTTCAACAAAACCTACCCACTATTCACTGGTCCTTGTTTTATGGATGATTACCCCACTCATGACTATTGCCTACAATCTATATTTCAAAAAGGCTTGAAAATAGTGACATTCAAATTATATCATGCCTTATTCACTTATTAACTAAAATTATTTGTTTTTTAGATTTAATAATCTGATCCATTTGGGATTTATCTGGGATATACTGTGAGAAATTGATATAGTTCTTTTTCCCAAATGACTAGCAAGGTATCTCAAATATTCCTTATTGTAAAACCTAATTTTTCTTCATTTTTTTGAGGTAATGTCTTTTTATACTCTAAATTTTGAAATGTAGTAGTGTTCACTTATGGAATTTCTGTTCTGTTCCATTGGTCTGCTTTCTTGTAGGCCAATATGACAATCTTTTAAATGTAGAGACGTCATAATACTATTCCATACCTGGTAGATTAGCACACCATAATTGCTCTTACATTTTAGGAAATTTGTTACTCTCCTTGACTGTTTGTGATTCCAACTATAATTAATAATCAGCTTGCTTCCGAACAAAACTTGATGGTATTTTTAGTGGTAATGCATTATATTTATAAATTAACTTTTGGGCAACTGATAACTTTATGATATTTTCTTTCTGTGCAAGGATATAATAGGTCTTCAAGTATAATAGTGAGCCTTGATAAATTTTTTATGGTTTTCTAGATTAGGAATATTTCCCATTAAGCTTATGACTAAGATTTTGTCTGCTCATTTTTTTAAGTTAAATAATTTTGTTTTTGAGCAGATTTAATTTTACAGAAAAATTGACTAGGAAATATTGACACTTCCCCTATGTCTTATCATGACCTTCAGTTTCTCCTATTTTGTCTTACATCAGTCTGGCATATTTGTTATAAATAATGAATTCATATTGATATGTCATTGTTAAAGTTTATAGTTTACATTAGAATTCACTCGCTGTGTCATACATAATGTAAGTTTTGACAAATAAATAATGGTATTTGCCCACCATTACATAATCCTCAAAATAGTTTCATTGTTCTGAATATTCCCTGTGCTTTATCTATGCATCCCTTTTTCCTTCCAAAATTTTGGAAACCACTGTTTGTTTTACTCCCCATGGTGTTGCCTTTTCCAGAATGCCACATAGGTGGAATCACATAATGTGTAGTCTTTTCAGACTGGTTTCTTCCACTTAGAAACCTGCATTTAAGTTTCCTCCATGTCTTTTCATGGCTTGATAGATCATTTCTTTTTATTATGGAATAATATTTCATTTCCTATATGCACTACCATCTGTTTATTCATACACTTATTGAAGGAACATATTCCTTGCTTCTAAGTTTTGGTAATTGTGAGTAAAGTTGCCAAGGAGCACCATTTGTGGTCATATGGAAAGAATATGTTTAGTTTTTTAAAAGCCTATCAACAGCCTTCCAAAATGACTGTGCCATTTAGCATTCCTCCCATCATTCCTTGTTGCTCTGCATACTTGCTACTTTTGGTGCTGTCAGTGCTTTAGATTTTAGCCTTTCTACCTGATAGGTGTGTAGTAATATCTCATTTTATTTTTAATTTTTTGCTTTTGTCTTGTTTCCATTAAAACTAATAGCCACTTCTTGCTTTGTCTATATATGTTTTATTGGTTTTATGTTAATTTTACCTAAAGTATTTATCTAACATCACTTTCATTATTTTTTTAGAATATTTTGGTGGTCAAGATGTATAATTATGCTGTCTAACTAGATTATTTTACCTCTCCTTTTGAATTTATTTTGCCTCTAGTTGTTTTCTCTCCTCTAGTCAGTTTGTACTGACCAGTATAGTCATAATGTTAAATAAGCAGAGGACCCAGAAGGCATCATTAGTCATTACTTTTATGATAAGTACAAAGTGTATAGTTGTATATACACATGGACTACGTATTTTAATGTATTTTTTATAATTTTTTTCTTATTTGTCTTGTTCTTGATTGAAGCATTTATGTATGCATACATATATGCTTCATAATAAGGAAGTAGCTCCCCATTCTTATCTGAATAAGTAAGTTATATTTATTTAGATTATTCAAAGGCATGATAAAACAGAAAATTCCAAATTACTTTTATCTAAGAAATATAATATTTATCCCCAAACCTGCAACAAAAAAATTAGTGACAAACAGTATTTTAAACAATCAATCATGTAAATATATTTACTAGAGTATTAGGGAAAATGATTACAAGACAACATTTAGACATAATATGTTATAATCACTTGAGTTTTAATGCAGGAATTCAAAAGATTTTAGGAAATCATAATTCAATTCATAATAGTATAGGAGCTGAGGAGAATAAATTAAATTGATAATCTACGAGATACAGAAAAGTATCTGAACTTAATTTACACTTCTGAAATCACTTAATTTTGCTTATATCTGGTCCTTCTACTTTGTTTGGCTTTGCTGCTGTTTTCTGACACTGGTGTTTATAGTTATATAGTATTATGTTGATATATGTGTCTAATACTATAATATTCCTCTGATACCTGATTTTGCTGAATTCCTTAGATTGTAGTTTATTAGCTTTGCATTATCATTACACTTTAAAAAATTATAATTTACCTAATTTTTTTCTTTGAATCAAGGGTATTTAATATAGCATCTTTATTGGTGCTTATATATTTTAAATTTTTGCAGCAAGTAGCATTTTGATTTTGTTATTAATTTATCCTATTTTTATCCACAAAATTTATTTATATTATTTCTTTACATTTCTTGTGTTGTTCTTTTCAGTCAAGCTGTTAGAAAACTTTTGTGAATCTTCCAAGTATATTCCAAATATAGTGGTTATTTTTGTAACACACAAATTTTCATCTGAAAGTATATTGTTTTAAGCAACAAATCAAATTTTAGTGCGAGTACAGCATTCCTTCCCCCGCAAAAAAAAACTCTACTCCAGAAAAAGAACAAAGAGAAAGAAACTCATATAAAATACTAAGTAATCAAAGCAGCACATATAAAAAGTCTTTCCTTTTTGAATTTGTCTTTATTTCTCCTTGAATCTTTTGCTGTTTCATCTTTATATCAGTTGTCGCTATGTACTGTGGATTGTAGCCTTTTGCATTATAAAGTATCCAGTTTTGTCTCTTCATTCTTTTGATCAGATTTCTACCTTTACATATAAAGGCATAACTCAGAGATACTGGGGGTTTCATGGTAGACCACTGCAATAAAGCACATTTCAAAAAAAAGGGAATCACATCATTTTTTAAATTTTGTAGTGTATACAAAGTTATATTTAAAGAACATTGTAATCTATTAAGTATGCAATTGCATTATATATCAAATTATTTACATACCTTAATTAAAAATACTTTATTGCCAAAAATAGTAATGATCATCTGAGCCTTGAAGGAGTCATATATTTTTTTTTTTGCTGGTGGAGAGTTTTGCATCGATGTTGATGGCTACTAACTGATCAGCCTGGTGGTTGTTGAAGATTGGGATGGCTATGAAATCAGGAATGATTTTTCTGTAACATGCAATGCTGTTTGACAGCATTTTAACCACAGTAGAACTTCTTTCAAAATTTCAGTCAATCACCTCAAACCCTGGTGGCTACTTTACAAATAAGTTTGTGGAATATTCAAAATCCTTTATTGACCTTTCAACAACGTTCACAGAATCTTCCCCAGGATTGGATTTCATCTCAAGAAATCATTTTCTTTTCTGTCCATAAGAAACAACTCTTCATCCATTCAAGCTTTATCATCATATTGCACCAATTCAGTCACATCTTTAGGTTTCATGTTTAATTCTAGCTATCTTTCATATGACTAATCTGACACATCTGTAGTTGTTTCCTCCAATGAAGTCTTGAACCCCTCAAAGTCATTCATTAGGGTTGGAATCAACTCTTTGTCCCAGATCCATCAGAAGCATCACTATTTATCTCAGCTATAGCTTTGCAAAATGTATTTCTTAAATAATAAGACTTGAAAGTTGAAATTACTTCTTCATCCACTGGCTGCAGAATGGATGTTGTATTAGTAGGCATGAAAGCAATATTAACCTCCATGTACATCTCCATGAGAGCTCTTGGGTGACTAGGTACATTGTCAATAAGCAGTAAAATTTTGAAGGGAATCTTTTTCTTTTTTCTTTTTGCCTGAGAGGTAGGTCTCTGCAGTGGGTTTATAATACTCAGTAAACCATATTGTAAAGAGATGTGCTGTCATCCAGGCTTTTATTTTTTTCCATTTATATAGCATATCAGAGTAGAATTCGCATCACTGTTTTCCCTAGGATTTTTAAAGTGGTCAGTGAGTATTGGTTTCAACATAAAGTCATAGCTACATTAGTTCCTATCAAAAGAATCAGTCTGTCCTTTGAAGTTTTTAAGCCAAGCATTGGCTTCTCTCTAGCTATGAAAGTCCTAGATGGCATCTCCTTCTGATATAAGGCAGTTTTGTCTACATTAAAAAATCTTGTTAGTGTAGTCACCTGCATCAGTGATGTTAACTAGATCTTTTGGATAAGCTGCTGCAGCTTCTCCAGCAACACTTGCTGCTTCATCTTGCACATTATGTTATGAAGATGACCTCTCTCCTTACACCTCATGAACCAACCTCTGCTACCTTCCAACTTGTTTCCTACAGCTTCCTCACCTCTCTTAGGCTTCAATAAATTGAAGAGAGTTAGCATCTTGCCTGGAATTAGGTTTTGGCTAAACAGAGTGTTGTGTCTGGTTTGATAGTCCATTGAGAACACTCAAACTTACTCTACATCAGCATAAGGCTGTTTCAGTTACTTATCATTCATGTGTTCACTGGAGTCACACTTTTAATTTCCTTCAAGAACTTTTCCTTTGTTTTCACTGCTTGGCTAACTGTCAGGTATAAGAGACCTAGCTTTCAGTCTGTCTCTGCTTCTGTCCTATCTTAGCTTTCAACATGCCTTCCTCAATAAGCTCAATCATTTCTATCTTTTGATTTAAAATGAGGGGCATGTGACTCTTCCTATCAGTTGAATAGTTAGAGCCCACTGTAGGTCTATTAATTGGCCTAATTTCAATATTCTTCTGTTTCAGGAACTAGGGAGGCCTGAGTAGAAATAGAGAGATGAGGGAGAGAGCTGTCAGTGGGGGAGCAGAAAATAAACATGTATTGATTGAGTTCACCATCTTATATAGGTAGAATTTTTGGTGCCCCCAAACCATTACAATAGTAACATCCTAACAAGAATACAGCAAAAAAAACTAACATAACTCTCACTCTAGTTGTGTTTAAGAGGTCTTTACCCATACCTGCATGTAGACTAGGATAATTTTAGAGCACTGAGATAATATGCAAAAACAGCAATCATGTAGTTTTTAAAACTAACTCTGAGATTAAAGAGAAAGTATGAAAACAGCTAACTATGTTTTGTTACAGATATATATGAGCATTGTGATCTGACCAAGGTTAAAGACATTCCCAGTCTACTCAAACCCTCACTGGTGCCCAGATGTCTGTGGTTGTTGGTCACCTCTTGATAACAACCTCTTTCTCTTTGCCCACCCTTAACATAAAAAGACCCTGAAATATGTTTTGACTTAAGACAGCACCTTAGGATACTAGTCCACCATCTTCTCAGATTACTGGCTCTCCAGATAAACCTGCTTTCTTCCCGCCATCGCTCCTCTCCTGTGTTTGGCTTTTGACAGGTGAGCAGCTGAACCTGGGTTTGATGACAACATCGAGGGTCACTGATCACAGATCACCATAACAAATATAATAATAATAAAAACTTTGAAATTTTGCAAGGATTATAAAAATGTGACACCCAAACCGAAAGTGAGCACATATGTTGGAAAATATTTGAAGAACATCTAAATATATTAATAGAATAAAAAATCTATAATCCAAAACAGCATAATTAGAAAATAATAGACATTTTTAATAAAGATTGAGAAAAAAGATGTGAAGAAAATATCATACAGACCCACTTGCAATTTGAAATTATAGAAAATATTTCATCAATGAAGACTAAATTAAAACACAAAAGCTAAAAACCCAGTGTAAGCCATAAAAATATAAGAGAGAAGGAAAATATAAAGAAATGAATAGAAAACATAAAACTATTTCAAAAATTCTAAAGAATTAATTAATTTGTAGAGGTTGAAAATAAATTATAGATTAAGACTTACTAGAAAAACACATGTCAGAGAATGGTGGATGAGTAATGGAGGGAAACATGGTTTCCTTAGTAAATACTTCTTGTCTATGCTACATTCCTTCTTGCTGGTCTTCAAATATTTTTGTGTGTCCTTTTTCCCACACAAAGAACAAACTTAATCCATGCTGGGAAAAATAGTCCAAAAGTTTCATCCTGTCAGTTCATCTAGCTTAATGCCCAGGATTTGATTCTTACACAGCATACTTTGTTAATTGTGCTTTGGTGATACTGCTCTTTCTATAAAATGAAGGTTTGTGCAACTCTGTGTCCAACAAGTCTATTTTTCCAATGCATGTTAAAAATGTTAGAGCAAGTTACACCTTCAGGTGTAATATTGAAGTCAAATGTTTTCTAACACCACGTTTAAATCCATCACTATCATTAATCACAAAACCTCACCTTTGCCACAGATAAGTTGCGGTTAGTACAATTCCTGAAATTAATCAGCTTCAGTAATGGCCTAGAAAATCACCTTTTAAAAAATGTCTGCAATGACTGCCAGTGTTTTTCATCTGGTTTATTATAGTGCCCAGTAGTTCATCAAGTTTTGGGAAGACTATTTAAAGTGGCACTCTCCACCACCCGTCATCTAAAAGAAGGTGCTCATTTTCCTTGTTTCATTAATTATTTGCAAACAATTACAAAACTAAAATCTTTCTTTCTGGAAACTTCTCAGTGGTTGGGTGTCTCCCAACTATATCATGACTTTATGTCTCTGATCCTCACCTTCATGACTAAGATAACCTTGTCTCTGCCTGACAGAGGATGGATAGAATATACCCATGCTGCACTGTTAGAAGAAATGACCTTTACAATCTTAAGCAGTGAGAATATTAGTAACATAGATAATAACATATTTGCAATGTGACTCATACCAAACCTTCAAATTTTAGTTCTTCTAATACTGTAAGTGTGGATGGTATGGGGGTATGTACATGTGTGTGTGAAATCCTGTGAATCAGGCATGTATTGAGCTAAAATCAATTTAGTGAATACCAGTTCACTAAAAACCAATTGAACAAAATTTTGATTCACTAAAATTTTGTATATATTACATATTTATAAAGTTTATAGATTATTACTTCAACAGGTTTCAAATTGTTTTGAACATTCTTTTGAGGTTTCAATTTCCCAGTAGCTCTTTCATCTTAGCAACTGTGTTATATTTGTTTAGTAGTCAAAATTGTCCCTGTTTTATTGAATAAAATGATAAGAATATAATAGTATGTTGATTTCTGCTTCCAAATACTGAGCATATTTCAGATGCTTAAATGATATACAAAGTAGTGTTTCTATCAAGCAAGCTAAGAAAATGGTAAGTAAGAAAAAATAAGAAGACATTAAATATTGTGAAAATCTATTGGAGAAAGAAACTTGCTTCACGTATTATGCTTGAATTTCAAAAAATATCTATATAACTCTCATCTTGCAATGTCATATTTCCCAAAGTACTGAAAATTATACTCTGGAATTAACTAAATTTTATTCTGCAGTGGCAAAATTATTTCAGCTGTATTAATATTAATTATATTAAGCTATGTGATGATTTTAAAGAATATCACAGGTAGTAAAATATCCTAGACACAATGAATAAAAAAGTAGTTGAGAGGGTAATTTTGTGAATAAATTTTTGGTAATGACCATTTTGTAAATTAAAAATAACTAGCCTTTAATGGTCAAATATAATCCTATGTGGAGGTCCTATTTTACCACCCATAAAGATAAGTAAAGTGAGGCAGAAAGAGTTTAAGTAATTTGCCCAAATGCATTCTTCAAATAATGTGGAAGATTAGAAGCATGCCTTTAGAACTTGTACTATATTGCTACCTGATTTGTGCTGAATTGACTTTCTGTGACTTTCTCTCTCCCTAATTGGTCAGCTAACTAAATGATTTTTTGCAAATTGATTTCACTAAACAATTAGTACATAGTTAAGATTTTTGGACCTATAAGGAAAATAATATCCTATCACATGCTCAGTAAAAGTTTATAGTAGCGTATCATTTTCAATCTTTGAAGCATTTTGTCTTTCTATCTATATACCATCCATCTATCTATCACCAATCTGTTATCATTTATCTACTGTATCTAGAATGGTCCAAAGTGAAATAAAGCTGAGGTAGCAATTTCCAATATCAGTATAGGATAGATGGCTCTCAAGATACATCCAGTGAGGTAGGTAGGGGAATTGGAGTCACTGTATTTCACTTGAGGTTAAGCTCCTGCTTATAATTATAGATAATGTGACTATATAAGCAAACATACCAACATGTTTTCCATATGCCAAATATTAATTCATTATTTTTCAATAAAATACATATATCTTTTAAACAAAACCAACACTTTCATTTTACTAATTACAATATTTCACTATGGAAAGGCAACTTGGAAAACAGAAATCTCAGCTCAGGGGCAAAGGCAAACTCTCTTGAGAAAGAAGGTAGCCCAGAATCAAAGGCCAACAGCAGGTAAGTGCTAGGTGGTGGAGTTATGGGGAGGGGAGGCTTCAAAACTACTCAGGATTTCGGTTAATGGCTGGAACTTTGGGAGACCTCACAGGTAACCACAGGGCAGGCAGGCCATTCACAAAGTGGGTAGATGTTGATTCCTTCTGTGAGTCTTAGAGGATGCTCACAGAGGGTCACAGCTCAGGTGGTGTAGTGGGGTGCGCTGTTTTCTCTTTCGGCCTACTCTCCTGGAGGGGCAGGGCTCGGAACATAAAGCTCTGGCATCAAGGCACGCCTAAGGCTATCAGGGCTAAGAGTGGAGATAGATCTCAGGCCCAAAATCCTAGGGGAAGAGGAAGAGGAACTCTGCTCAGAAAACTTAGATGGGAGGAGGAGCTGGAAGCACCAGAGGAGGAGGAGCTCTCATTGCTGATGGATGGGAAGGAAGAACCTCCCAGGTGGAGAGGGTGAGGAGGCATGCATACGGACTGCATGCCAACCAGGCGGGGAAGCACTTCTTGGGACCTCAGGATCAGAAGAGCCTGAGCTGCTCTGAAAGGCCAGCTGTCCTAAGCCAGCCCCATGGGAAAGCGTGTTCTCATCAGCTGGCCCAAGCTGAGAGCGGCGGCTGAGAAGGGCTGATCTTCGCTGGGTGGAACGGCTCCGGAGGGCAGTGCCTGGCGTCATGCTGGTGCTGTGACGAGCAGGGCTTGACCTTGCTGTGCGGCCGCGAAGGGCAGGGCCTGGGGGGTTGCCACAGCGTTGGAGGGCAGGGCTTGGCCCGGATGCACCTCTGCGGTAAGCAGGGACTGGCGGGGTGGCTCGGAGAAAGAGCAGATGCAGTAGCAGGACACAGTGCCCGGAAGGCAGAACAATGAGGCTGCCCCTGCCTCCGGTGATGGCTGTGGGACCGGGAATGAAGATCCTGTTGCTTCTGTCCCACCTTCTCCTGTGACGCGTCTCCCTGCGGCAGCGCCGCGCTGAGGTGCCACACTGCTGGTTCCAACACCGCAGCCGCCACCGCCGCCGCCATTTTCGTGGCGGATGAGGGCCCGTGGCTGCCCTTCATGGCTGCTGTGCCGGCGAAGAGGCATTCTGACCTCCAGGGCTGCCGCAGGCCTCACCATGTCCTTGGATGTGTGATGCCCTACGGGGACAGCCAGGCCGCTGTGGGGCCACCCCCGAAGGCCACTGGCCACTCCGACGAGCACCCGGCCCAGACCAAGAGCCCTGCAAACAACCGTCATAGGAAGCGGCCAGGCCGCAACCAGGCTGTCGCAGCTCAGAGGCCTCCAGGGCGGGGTCTGTTTCCTCGGCCTTTGCAGCCATCTTCTCCAGGGTCCCAGCCTAGCAGCCGTTGCGGTTCCCGGGCTTCTGTGTCGAGTCAGGCAACGCAGCCAGGCCCTGCACTCCTCAGCCATGCATCTGGGCCAAGCCATGCATCTGGGCCAAGCCCTGCTCGCCGAAGCAGCATCGTTCTGCCAGGTCCTGCTCTCCGCAGACGTGCATCTGGTTCAGGCCCTGCCATCCGACGCTGCACCACCCAGTCAGGCCCTGCTCTTCCACGCCGCGCCACTCATCCAGGCCCAGCTCGCCGAGGCCGTGCACCCGCGCCGGGCTCTGATCTCCGCAGCCATGCCTGACTGGGTGGCCTTAACGCCAGGTTCTCCCTCAGAGAGCAGGAATGCGGCTGCTAGTCAAAATACATGTATTTTTTAAAGACCTACAAATGTGTCTACAGTTCAGGGCACCATTTTCTTGGTTTCAGTCAGAACATTTCTTTAATTAAGGCATAGATAATTGGATGTTTTTCATTTAGGCAGTCACGTCTAGACCCCCAGAGCCCCATCACAGAGGTTGGCACAGATGTAAAATGTGATAGCATGTACCTATTAACAATGGGTAAACATTGGAAGGGCCTAATGAACTATTCCTTTCCCTAATCATATCTCTCAAGTGTCACAAACCTCATGCACTCAAATACTCTCTATAATTTCCAGATGTGGTAGATAAATATGGCAAAAGTCTTGCTCTTTGTGACATTGCCTGCATCAAATGAGTAGCGACTCAATCCTTTTTATTTCAGCATAGCTACATAATGATGTCATCTTCATTTGATTTCTAATGTCTCCTCTTTGTTCCTTTTGTTTGCATTGCCTGTATCTTTACTTGTCCCTTTATTTTCAACCAGTTAACTTTGTTGTCAGTGTGCTTTCTAGCACGTATAAATAAATATTTTGCTGATTAGCACAATATGTGCCATGATAGTCAGAGGTGAAGCCAGCTGGACTTCCTGGGTCAAGTGGGGACTTGGAGAACTTCTGTCTAGCTAAAGGATTGTAAACACACCAATGAGCACTCTGTAAAAACACACCAATCAGCGCTGTGTGTCTAGCTAAAGGATTGTAAACGCACCAATCAGCACTCTATAAAAACGCCCTAATCAGCACTCTGTGTCTAGCTAAAGGATTGTAAGTGCACCAATCAGCACGCTGTAAAAATGCACCAATCAGCACTCTGTGTCTAGCTAAAGGATTGTAAACGCACCAATCAGCACTCTGTAAAATGGACCAATCAGCAGGACATGGGAGGGGACAAATAAATGAATAGAAGTTGGCCACCCCAGACAGCAGCAGCAACCCATCGGGGAGCCCCTTCCATGCTGTGGGGGCTTTGTTCTTTCGCTCTTCACAATAAGTCTTGCTGCTGCTCACTCTTTGGGTCTGCACCACCTTTAAGAGCTGTAAAATTCACCACGAAGGTCTGCAGCTTCATTCTTGAAGTCAGTGAGACCATGAACTCACTGGAAGGAAGAAACTCCAGACACATCTAAAGGAACAAACTCCAGACACACCATCTTTAAGAGCTGTAACACTCACCGCGAAGGTCCGCGGCTTCATGGCTTCATTCTTGAAGTCAGCAAGACCAAGAACCCACCGGAAGGAACCAACTCAGGACACAATAGGAGTAATCAGAACATTAATATGTAGAATGTTAACTTCTGTGTTTTTGATTTCTGCATAGGGGAGAGCCATTCTCATAATTATTTACATAATGGAAGATTCTGTCTTATAGTTCTTAAGGACTAGATTCTCTTTTTGAACTTTAAAAAGTGAGGTTTCAGGTTGTGAGACGGCCTGTGAAAGAGTCATCTGCCAGGGAACTACAGGCAGCCTCCAGGAGCTAAGAGCAGCCAGCGAGAAAGCAGGGACCTCGGTTCTGCAACTGCAAGGAACTGAATTCTGCCAACAATTGCATAGTTTTAGAAGAGAACACTGTGCTCTAGAAAGAAGTAATGCCTGATAGAGACATGTGTTGCAGCCCTGCAACTCTCTGAGCAGAGGGACCAGCTAAGGCGCACCAGGACTCTCTGACTCACAAAAGCTAGAAGATAATCAATAGATGCTGTTCTGAAACAACAGAAGCTTATTTCTCACAGTTCCGGAGACTACGAGTCAAAGATCAAGAGACTAGCATATTTGGAGTCTGGTGAAGGTCCACTTCCTGGTTCAGAGATGGTGCCTCCTCCCTGTCATCACATGGTGTAAGGGGAGAGCTGGTTTCTTGGGATTCCTTTTATAAGGGCACCAATCCCATTTATGAGGGTAGGCCTAAGCACATGCCAAAGGCCCCACCTCTTAATCCCTTACCTCCTAATACCTAATACTTCCTAATGCCCAATCATCTTGAGGATTACAATTTCAATATGTAAATTTTAGGGAACATAATTAGAACATAATATGATTATTTTTCATAAACTTTATTCTTCTTTACTCTTAATGCTCCACCTGTTTAAAGATTTTGTCAGTTTCCTCTGGTAGTTCTGTGTCACTAGGTCTGAATTTTGACGACTACACCTGAGATCTTCTCTGTGTGTTATTCTTTCCCATAGATAAATTTTCAGTTTCTTGTTCAGCTTATTTTTTACTAAACTCAGGTTTTAGGAGAGTACTAAAGAACACATTTCCATAGACAGGAAAGAAATCTAGTATTTATTTGCATGGCCATGTGATATATAAAGTGTGGCAGGCTCTGCTTCCTTCTCTCTGGTCTGCTGCTTCTCTTTCAGATGCTAAGGTTTAGCCTGACCCTGAGGTTATTACACTCCTAGCCATTCTTGAGTCAGAAATTCCCAGTACACACGAGAATAAAAAACCTTTATGGAAATGAGGCTGTTATGTATACAACTTTGAGCATCAAGCTCTTCCCAGGATCCCACCTTTCTGACTGTTCTCCACGATTTTCTGTAGCCAAGAAGGTAGAAATTGTGCACAAATCCCTCTTGCTGAGATGCAGAGCAAGGCCGTGGTTTCACTTACATGAAGTTGCCACATCTCAGGAGCCCTTTGGCCCATAGGAATCCAACATCATGGAGCTGGCAGGAGAGCAGAAGGGAAGCCAAAAGCTGTGTTTCCTACACCCAGAATTCCCCCATTTCCCTTGTCACTTCCATTCCATCTCCTTCTCTTAAGACCCTTCTATACCTTCCTACATTAGCTTGGGGTATGCCCCTTGGGAATTTCCAAAAGACATGCTTTAAGAGTGAACTTTAATAGTTTAATGCTAAAAATAAAAATAAAGACATGGTAAAAAATAAGACAAAGTAAGAAACAGGCCCTGTAAACATGGACAGCACTTTTTAAAAATCTAATTAGCATTTTCTTTTTAAATACCAATATTAAAAATGTTATAATTTTAGATACAGCACTTCTAGATAGAACAAAAATATCACATGAAAAATAATCAGTATTTTACAATCTGGAGAGCTAGTTATTATCTTTACATTAACTGAGAAGGGATAATTCAGTTAAACCTTTTGTTTTGTTGTTGAAACGGGTCTCGCTCTGTCACTCAGGCTGGAGTGCAGTGGTGCCATCTGGGCTCACTGTAACTTCTGCCTCCCGAGTTCAAGTGATTCTCCCCTCTCATCCTCCTGAGTAGCTGGGATTACAGGTGTGCACCACCACACCCAGGTAATTTTTGTATTTTTAGTAGAGACAGGGTTTCACCACGCTGGTCTTAAACTCCCGGCCTCAAGTGATCCACCCACCTCAGCCTCCCAAAGTGCTGGGATTACAGGCATGAGCCACCACACCTGGCCTGTTAAACCATTTTTTAAGTTCATTTATTATCATTTGCCTTCATCCTTTAAAAGACAAGTATTAATTACCCTCTTATGGAATGACAATAAAATCTAACATGTTCTTTGTTTTCCCCTTAATATAGAATATCTTAATGCATCAAACTCTATTCAAGTAGATTCAGGAGACATGCAGTCTTTAAAACTGTAGTTCTCTTCTCACATGAAATTAACGTGCACACAGACACACATGCACAGAGTGGGAAGAATATTTCAGAAAGCATACCTTTAATCATTTCATATTGGATTTATCATTTTAACGTATTTAATAATATTTGAAAGATAACTTTAGATCTTAAACCAATTTATGTTTTCATCATACTTATGCAATGAAAATACACGTAATTTATAATTTATACAATTTATAGTAGAAGTCATAATTAAAATGCTGTTAGAATTTATTTATAAATTGTTGATTTTAATCATCAATTTAAACGCTCTCCTCCCTCAACACCTAGTTTTGCCACCTACATGCACGCTCATTCCAGCTATTCTAAAAAATTTTAAGAAGAATTAAAAGAAAATACTTTCATTTATACACCTGAATCTCCGTTGTTATATAAAGTCATTACAGTATTAGTAAAATGCTTTAGTGATAAAGATAAGTAATGATCTGAACTTGATTATTTTGAAAAGATAAGCACAAATTCATTAAGCCTATGACATTTAATGATGTTGTGTTCCTCTTCTTCTAACAATTTGAAAAATATATTTTTATCTGTCTAAAAAATATAAATGAACATTAAACCCACTATTAATTTAAATTTAAACTAATATCCCCTGATCTTGAAGAATTAAGCAAATATGTAAACAGACCATTGTTTCTTTTGAAAGGATCTATCAATCGCCATAACATACTTACTCTTTAACATAATGAATTAGAAATCAAACTTAGCATCTTATCTTTAGTGTTCCTCTGTGTAAATAATTTTAAAAAGCTATTAAAATGTGGGAGAATAAAGAGTGAGGATTCACTTTATTCATTTCAGACTAAACCATATAAACTAAATTTTGAACTAATTTTGGATTTATATTTGTAGAAGACAGTGCAAATGACAGATCAAACAGTGATGCACCTAATCTGTGTTTCTGCCAGTATGACCTTAAGAGGGACATGGCTTGCAAGCATAGGAGAATCTGATGGGTGCTTTCCTGAGGTGATTATGGAAATGTTGTGTATAAATAAATAATCAGTACATATATTTATAAAGACTTCTAATCAGAGACTATAGCATGTGTGATTGCAATCATATTCTATTTATTAAGACTTGTTTATGACAATGAGACGTGTTTTATAGCTAAGAGTTTTTATTCCAAAGAAGGTTTTTCACATTATTTTTTTCTTAATTCATTTAATAGTATTGTTCAAACTGATTGCTTTATTTTATTAGATTTGCAGACTGGGGACTTTATTCTTTATCTAAGTACTAATACTGCTTACTTGTTCAAAAGCAAAATATTAAATGCAGCCCTGTACAATTTAGGACATGAATTTAAAAAATAATGCAATCTAAAGGCAAAAAGTGATATTCTCTTAAAAGGCCCCAGTAGTAACATAACAGCTGAAAGTAGCAACAATTCTGGTTCTAGTTAAGCTCATCTCATAAGCAAAATTACTTTGTGAACATCTATACTCTAACATAAACCAGACTAAAAATATTTTTAATATACAGCTGTAACTTAACAATAAGATAACTTTTCTAAAAATGAGTTTATAATCCTCTATTTCTTCACGATGTTCAAAAATCTTCAATCACCCTATTCAAAAACTCGGAAAATGCCATAGTGTATCAAAGAAATATTAATTTATCAACTTATCTGAGACTGTCTACTGCTTAACTCTTCATGAAATTGCAAAGTTTCATCTTAAAATATAATCTGTTTTTAACATCTGTAGAATAACATGCCACTTTGAGTGATAGTTGCTAGACTCGGTAAATACTAAAACAATATTGGGAAATGTTACCTAATAAGATAGTGTTCTATAAGCAGAATTTTGAGTGTGCAACATGGAAGGTCTGTTTAGAAGTCCATATATTAAGTTAATGATGCTACAGCTTTTGGCCCATTTATGGAGCCCTTGTCAGGAGTTGAAACATAGAGCCTGGCGGCCTCTAACAGACTGGTCTGCTTACAACTTGCAATGAACTGGTAAAGGATAGACTAGAAGAGGAAACTTTGAGTGTATTATATATTTTGCAGAATCACCTATTTCCTTCTTTTTGTTTACTTTTATCATCTTTAAATGAGAATAAATCCCCATTAAAAAGAATGTGAGAAGACAGAAGGTAATTGCTATGGTTTGAATGTATCCCCCCGAAAAGCATGTGCCAGAAACTTGATCCCCAATGGAACCACGTTGGGAGGTGGGGCCTAATGAGAGGTACTTAGGCCATGAGAAAGGAGTGAATAGATTGATGCTATTATCTTTGGAGTGGATTCATTATAAAAGGGGAAATTTGCCCCCCTCCCTTTACACACACCCATTCTCTCTCTCTCTCTCCCCCCCCCCTTCTTCTCTCTTTCTCTTTCTTCCTTTCTTGCCCTTCCACCACCCACCATGGGATGATACAGCAAGAAGGCCCTCACCAGATGCTGGGCCCTGTTTCTTAGGCTAGCCAGCCTCCAGAATTGCAAGAAATAAATTTTTGTTCTTTATAAATTACTCAATCTTACTTCTGTTTCTTATAAATTACTCAATCTTTGGTATTCTATTACAGTAGCACAAAGTGGACTAAGGCAATAACTGTATATACTCAACAAAGGTTATTTGTATGGAAGCGAATATGTTCTTAAGACAGAAACTTCAGTAAAATTAAAATGTTATGGGGCATGATGCTAGTTTTTCTTCTCATATTTATACAATGAGAATAAGTTATTACATGCTGCAAAATATATTTGGAAAGCAATATATGTGTTGTTACATGATGCACTCTTATTCTGGGCCAAGAAAACTTACCCACCCCATTGGTTTGACCACATGACTTCCTTTGACCAGTGGAATTTTATTTTGAAAAATATTAACTGAGGCTTTTAATGAATTCAGCCAGTTTAACTTACTACTTGCCATCTGGTGAACCTACCTGAGAAGAGAATGTCCAAGTGGCCTGGAGCCTGGGCTTCTGCAATAGGAATACTAATGGTCCCCCAAAGTCATCTATGCCCTAGTCTTAAGAATATGTGAATATGTTATCTTTCATGACCAAAAAAAAAAAAATTGCAGATGTGATTAAGTTAAAAATCTTTGATTATGTGGATGGACTCAGTGTAATCACAATGTTTATAAAAAAAAGAAATAGAGAGAAAAGGGACGTGATGACAGAAGCAGAGATTGGTGTGACACTAAGAAAGGGCTACTAAGCAAGGAAGGTGGGTAGACTTTAGAGACTGGAAAAGATAGGAAAGCACATTCTCCCTTAGAGACTCTAGAAATAACACAGCCCTATCAACACTTAGCTTTTAAACCTCTTACTGCCATAACTATCAGATAATACATTTGCATTCGTTTAAATCCATGTGTATGGTAATTTGTTTTTTGTTTGTTTGTTTGTTTGTTTGTTTTTGAGACGGAGTCTCCACTCTGTCACCCAGGCTGGAGTGCAGTCATGTCATCTTGGTTCACTGCAACCTCCGCCTCCGGGGTTCAAGTGATTCTCTTGCCTCAACCTCCTGAGTAGTTGGGATTACAGGCATGCGCCACCACACCCAGCTAATTTTGTGTGTGTGTGTGTGTATTTTTAGTAGATACAGGGTTTCACCATGTTGGTCAGGCTGGTCTCGAATTCCTGACGTTGTGATCCACCCGCCTCAGCCTCCCAAAGTGCTGGGATTACAGGCGTGAGCCACCATGCCTGGCTGTAATTTGTTAGAGCAACAATAGGAAACTAACAAAGCATCCACGAACACATAAGACAAGACCTGAACCCAAGAGCCTGGGCCTAGGTCTGCCAGATTTTGGTCTAAAAGAGATCCTAGATGAACCGAAAAGTTTATTTCTGAAGTTGAAATTCTCTCTTTCTCTCTTTGGCTTTCTATTTGAAAAAAAAAAAAAAAAAAAAAACTCTCTCTATATAAACATATATATATATGTATTTTTCCGGTTTTAACAAAAACATTGGATTATAGACAGGTACATAACACACAGATTCTATTACAAACTTGCTGGCAGCATTACTTAATACCACATCTTGTACATCATTACATCATTTCATATCTGCTTATATAGATATATTTGTTCTCTTTAAGTCTCCATGTTATTAAACACCAAATTACATAGCCAGTAGCCAGATGAGGAATTAAATTTAGTCTAACTGTCCTTACCATATAATAAGAGAAAATAGAATGTTGATATAACTTAAACATGTTATAATTGAGGAAAGTTTGGATTAAAAACTAATTGTTCAGAATTTGTTAATTACAAATACACATAAATGCTAATTAATGACTAATTATCAGCACTACATCTGGCCTTAGTGGTGATGATTAAAATTTAGACGATAATTCACACTTAACTGAGAATTATATAAATTTTTTTATTAATTAGGCTAAACTTTTTTTCTGTACTTATAGAAACAGAGAAGTAGAATTTATATGTTGGGAAAAAAGGATTATTTTTGTACTATTGGTTATGCCATATGTTAAAAAGATGAGTAATTTTTAAACTTTGAATTGTGTTTATTTTGAATATCAATATAGACTATAAAGCATATATGTTAGCTAATTCAAGAGAATGTAGGTAATTTCATTTAAAAGATAATTAAATACATACTTATCATTTAAGATTACAAATTAATCTTTTAAGTCATCTGAGTTGTTAGTTTTATTTTTGCCCAAATCATAGAAAAAGTTGATAAGCATTTAAAATTCAGAGCTATACTCAATATTTGTTAGTAATCTAATATTCCGATTTGGGATGAATAGAAAAATACTTAGAGAAATTGTTAGATTAATATACTAAAAATGTATGAAACAGCGCCTCAATTTGACAGTTTCGTGGCACTGTAACTATATTGAAGCTGTACGTTTATTTTAATTGTTTTCCTGAGGGAAAAGGATATGTATGAGCCTATCTCTTTGCACCTGTCTGTCTATCTACTTATCTGTTTATCTATCTACCAAATTTTTGTTAGAGAAACTAAATGCTAAAATCATTTTACAGGAAATAAGAATGGCAGAAATGTGAAGAGTTATTGTGTGGGGAAGTGGCCTCTACATAGAAATGTTTTTCCACTGAATGTTCCTGTTGTGCTGATGAACAAAGGAGTTCATCACAGGCCAGAAACTAAGATAGATAGATAAATAAATAAATAAATAAATAAGTAATAAATAAATAAATAACCTCTAGTGCTTTTTTGTATAACGGTGATGTAACTTTCTCCCTTCACAACATAAGGATATCAAGGTTGTTCTGTCTATAGCTCTCCCACAACCACATCCCCAGATGTCCAGAGGTAACGACTTTGGTTCAGGGAATGCCCTGGGGATGGCATTCAACCAGGATAGTGTTAAACACCAAGTGATATTTTGACATGCCAACATTTCTTGAGTTACTGCAAAATATGAGTAAAGTACTATCACATGTTAATGGGCTGTGAGGACTAACTGGCTTGGATCTGGGTTTGAGTCCTTTGAGATTATCAGGTAAGTAATAACTATGTCAGGAGGGGCTGAGGACTCCATGTGATTCTAATGAAGATCAATATTGCTTGCCATGGCCCATTGATAGGGACAGGGGGCAGAGAAATTCTAGGCAGACAGGGGCAAAGCCCCACCTTCAAGCTGAAGCCTGAGATCGCAGCCCAAAGTGAGAACTTAGATCTCTATTTCCCTGCTCAAATGCTGTCTTTTCCTAAATCACCCATGACACTACCCCACCCCATCCTTTGCCTGTAAAGATCCCAGAAAACCTGCAGAGAGAAGCAGCAGCTGGACCTCGGGATGACTATGGCTGGACGTCAGGAGAGAAGCAGTTTGACTTCAGAGGGACAGCTTGATGGTGTAACTTCAGAGAAGAATCTGGTTAGAGATGGCTAGACTCCAGGAAAAGATTACCTACCCTTCCCCTACCCTTTTCTCAGCTCCCCTTCCCACTGAGAGCCACTTTCACCGCAATAAAATCCCCCACATGCACTATCCTTCAATTCATTTGTGCAACCTCATTTTTCCTGGATATCGGAAAAGAACTCGGGAGCCACGAGCGCAGATACAAAAGGGCCCACTGAGCTGTTAACACTTAAGCTGTATACAGACGGAAGAGCAAAAAGAGCACTTTGACATGGCCACTGGGACTTCCGGAGTCACAGACAACTCCCCGCCCCCAGCCTCCAGACGCTGCCCCTGGGCCGCATGGATGCTCCTACTGACCCGAAAGTGCTCACCCCCGTTCCTGCACCCATTCATCTGTGTGCTCCCTCCTGTGCGGGGTGAAGTACAGCAGGTCTGAGTGAGTGGAGTTTACTCCTGCTGGCGCCCAAGCAGCCGGCTCCTTTCAATGCTTGTGTACTCCACCAGTTCCTGCCTTGTTTGCTCACATGCTTCCTCCTGCGAGGAGCTGAGAGTGGCAGGCTGAGTAAACGGGGCAGTCCTGTCTCGAGTCCCACGAAGGGGTCAGGGAAATATCGTGCTTCACCATGACTAGGTCCACTCATCCTGCTTTAGGCAAAAGACCTCTTCCATTTTGGCAAATTTTCTAAAATGAGCTCCTGTGTTTGAGGATCACTGTCTGTTAAATTTCTGTCCTTCTCTCTACTCCCACAATCCACTGGAGTTCTGTCCCACATCAACTTCATCCCTCTCTCCCTGTGATTTGTTTGCAAAAATGATTTTCTTCCTATTCTTTTTGGGCACAACTTGATAGGTTATTATACCCAATGCTCTAATTATTAGTAGTTTTTAAAAAGTGACATTTTTTTTTTCTTGGAGTGGAGGAAGGGTTTAAACCCCGGACATCTCAAAATATGTGGGGACAATATGGGCTTACCATTATTCTAATGAAGTACAGAACAATTATACAAAGAAACAAGAAAAGTCCGTTGATCATCAGTTTTGTTACATTTAGTTTTAAGTGTGAATGACATAGAGGAATATTTTCTAACAAATTTCAGAGTTGCTGTTGTTAGATATTCATAAAACGAAATTTGGCTATTAGAGATTAGCAGTCCAATTAAGCAGTTTGCTGTTGACTAGAAAGTCTATCCACCAAGTTAAATTCCTAAGTCCCATAGCAAATGGTCATGGTCAGAAAGTTGGAACTTCCCTAGTTTGAAAGATGAATATTTGCTATTTTTTTGTCTTGATTGTGTGTATTAATCACTTTACTTATGTTTGTTTAATTGTTTTTTGAGACGGAGTCTTGCTCTGTCGCCAGGTTGAAGTGCAGTGGCACGATGTTGGCTCAATGCAACCTCCGCCTCTCGGGTTCAAGCAATTCTCCTGCTTCAGCCTCCCGAGTTGCTAGGACCACAGGCATGCGCCACCACGCCCCGCTATTTTTTGTATTTTTAGTAGAGACAAGGTTTCACCATGTTAGCCAGGATGGTCTCGATCTCCTGACCTCCTGATCCACCTGCCTCGGCCTCTCAAAGTGCTGGGATTACAGGCGTGAGCCACCGCGCCTGGCCTACTTTTGTTTTTAAATGATAAATTATTTTTACCCTTATTATTACAGAGATGATTACATAATTCTCAAAGTGTTATCCTATATTAGTTACACTTGAAGACATAGTCTCTTATAAGTAGATGCAACTAAAATATAGTTACATATAACTTGGAATCAATGTAGCTATAGTAAAATATTTTTGTAATATTTAGTAAAATTCAATATTGCTTTAAATATGTCAATTATATGTTATTTAATATTTTAAATCATTTAATTTAAATTATTAGATTTTAATTCTTTGGTAAAATTATTACCTAAGAATTTGATATAATTTCTTAACAGCACATTTGCTGAAACTAGTTTATGTTTGCTTCTCTCTAATTCTTTGCTATCTTTTATTCCTTTTGCTCTGTAAAGTAAAAATTGTGCCCCATGGAATTTATGTTATTGTATTTTTTTGCTTTCCAAAACTCAAAAAATAGTTTGAAGATGAATTTAAAATAACATAATGAGATTAGAATAACATAATCCACAAAAAGGAAAGCCCAGCCACCTAAACATATAATTGTCCATTGGAACCTAGAGATGTGAGAGATGCCACCTCTTCCTAGGCCATGACTTCATTGCCTGGTATGCATTATATATTGCTGTTCAGGAATCATCGAAAGGCAGACAGTGCTCTGCAGTCTCCAGAAACCTCCATAAAATGCATAATGTCGGTCAAGAAACTCATCCAACTGATATGCAGTGTTTGTGAGTTATGTGAAAATAGTACGAAATAGCTAAAATTGGCTACTTAAGACTGGAAATCCAGCAAAGGTCTTTATGAACTTGATAATTTTTTTTTTGATTGTGGGTTTTAACCTATGAAGTTCGTTGCTGCTAATGGAATTTCCCAAATGATACCAACAACAAACTCAGTCAATGAAAATAGATTCTGGTTCATCTGGGGGGTATGCAAGTAGTTTTGATTATTTATAATAGTAATCATAATTGTAATAATAATAGGGTAAACTTAATATTTCAGGCATTTTTATTTGTGTATTACTGGGTTTATATCTTCTCTGCATTTCAATTATCAGAATAAATATAAAAAATATTTCAGTTGTACACGGTTGAGTCAACCCATAAATCATTGTTAGAGTGGCTTTCTACATTTTAATCAGTGCACTAACTCATATTTAATGAAAAAATATGTATAAATAGAAAAGAAGAAATTATGTGCATAATACTTTCTTGTGTTCAGAACTTTCAGGCATTGGAAAGCATGTTTATAAAATATAGGTCATGTACACATAAACATTTTATTATATCACAATCGTTGATACATAGCATGAAATTAGCCAAATGATAATAAAACAGTTAATGCTCCACTTTACAAATTAACAGTGATTTCTAATGGATTTTGCTATTCCAATAGTCTTGTTTTTAGTGCTTTTCTTTAGCAGTTAGAAAGCAAACATGATTATAGGAAAGCCCAACTTATTAGCTCCCTTAGGAAATTAATACCTGCTTTATAGAGAAAAGTACATTAACCCTCTAAGTTTCTTGGCAGTCAAAGAAATATTTTCATATGGGTATTATGAATAAAACAATTATATTCTATAATTCTTAAACTTTTTTTGAAAGAGTGACATTTTACAAAAGTAGAAGAATACATAATTTTATAATTTTCACTACAACACAATTCCTTTAAAAAATTAAATTTTATGAACTAGTTCTAGTTTAAATTCTCATAATATATTGATTTTTAATGTTTTTCCTGACAGGACACATAACTCAGTGGTTTTGTACATCTCCAAAGACAATGACCTACTTTTGAAGAAATAGTGGTCTTCTCAGATAAATTACAAGTATAAAAGCAGTTGATATTCAGTACATTTGAATAAAGTTTTATTTTGCACAAAACACTGTGAAATACATAAATCTGCATATCATAAAATGCTTTTAAGAATGTTTTTCTCAAACACCCTGTACTATTCCTGTCATAATTCTAAATTTTCTTGCTAGTTTACAAATTCCACGAAAGCAGATGACTTTTCTGTTATCCTCAGAGTTAGTAAGAGCAGACTGAAGTCCATGTTAAAATCCTTGATTTTAGACACCATTTCAGTATTTAACTGAACTGTGCTAATTGGTTATCTGATGGGTAAGCTGAAATAGGATACAATGAGATAAACACAATGAACTTACTAAAATGCATTTCCCAGACACAAGTGTTCTTAGTTTTATACTTGTATGATAGTATCAATATTTTTCCTTAATCTTAATATATATCAACATATTAAATATATGTGCGTGTGTGTGTATGACTTACTTTTGAAGAAATAGTGGTCATCTCAACTAAATTTAAAGTATAAAAGCAATTGATATTCAGTATGTTGGAATAAAGTTCATATATATAAACTTGACATATATGAATAAAGTGTAAATTTATATAATAAAGTTGGCTTCACTGTGAAGCCATATGAATATATGCATATATGAAAAGTTTGATAACTATATGAATAAAGTTGAGTAAAATTATATAGATAGATAATTTTTATAGACTGAATGTTTGTGTGCCTTGGAAATTCGCATGTTGAATCCTAATCCACAATTTGATGTTATTTGGAGGTGGGGGTCTTTGGGAGGTGATTAGGTTATGGAGGTGGAACCTTTATGAATGGGATTAGTGTCCTTGTAAGAGAGACCTTAGAACTTACTCTCTCTCTGCCCCAGGAGGATACAATGAGAATATGGCTGTCTGTAAACCAGGAAGAGATTTATCTGACCATGTTGGCATCCTGATCTCAGACTTCCAGCCTACAGAACTGTTAAAAATAAATGCTTGTTGTATAAGCTACCCATTCTATGGTATTTTGTTACAGCAGCCCAAACTAAGACAATAATGTTTTATGTATGAAACACAATATATAATTCAATATACATTATACATGTTTCACATATATATATATATTTTTTCAGATACATTTAATTTCAAAATTTTGAGTTGACATCTAATTGTTCATATCAGGCTCAGTTGTTGATATGAGCTGCTGCTGTCATTTAGTGAGTGGATGTCAAGAAAGTTGCTAAACATCCTAAAATGCCCAGGAGAGTCTTCACATCAAAGAATTATCTGTTCCCAAATTTCAACAATGCTGAGGTTGAAAGTCCCTGATGTAAACAGTCAAGGGATGGTAAATACTAATTCTTTTAAAATATAAGAAAATAAGGACTTACTATATAAATTTAATTGAACCAAGGTCTACAAAATACAGCAGGTAAAGTCACCATTATAACCTATGTAGTCCTGGAGTCCAAACTGTTGTATATTACCAGTAGATAAAACCTGGTATTATTTTTAGCGATGTTAACTGTAAAGTTCTTGGAGTCTGAACCACATTGTTTAGCTTTATATTGGTTACTAATCATCACATGCCTTCGTTTACTCATCTATAAAACAGTCACAATTGAACCCACATTTTTTTAAATTTATTTGTTTATTTTCTGAGATGGAGTCTCTGTCGCCCAGACTGGAGTAAGGTAGCACGACCTCGGCTCACTGCAACCTCCACCTCCCAGGTTCAAGCGATTCTCCTGCCTCAGCCTCCTGAAGAGCTGGGATTACAGGCTCTGCCACTACACCCGGCTAATTTTTGTATTTTTAGTGGAGGTGGAGTTTCACCATGTTGGCCAGGCTGGTCTTGAACTCCTTACATCAGGTAATCCACCCACCTCAGCCTCCCAAAGTGCTGGGATTACAGGTGTGAACCACCGCGCTCAGCCAGCACTACATTTTAGGGTTAATGTGGTATTAAATTATCTAAAACATAAATTCTTTGTATCAATGGCTGTCATACATTAAATGCTATATAAATATTATTATATATCTTGAATACTGAATATTGTAAATAACCATATTCTAATATCATGAGAGATTTACAGGGATACGGTTTTCAGGATATAAAAGCATCTTATTAATTCCAAAAAAAGCATTTCTTCTCTTAATTTGAGAGCATTTTGCATTAATAATATTTTGACTTAGAGGTTGCTGTCATGTTTCTTAAGTCTAACATTTTAAAGATGCTTATAAAGTGAAAATAATTTAATTAATTATCTCTTAAGCAAGCAAAGCTACCAAAGCATTGTATCCAAATGAGTAAGTTGCAGTCTATCAAAGAAGGGACAATGTTTTCATAGTGCTTATTTCAGTAATTAATTATATTCTACAGGGTAGTGTTAGTGTTTGACTATAATTTTAACTTTTTTTGAGTTAAATGATGATAAAAATGACTAAAGTGTCCTAGAAGAAGCATTTAAAAAATTTATCTACTGAATATATGAATATTTAAAATATAATAGAATTATTCCTATATAATCTTCAGTTTTATTAGTCATCTGGCACATAGTGTTAATAATATATACTTTCTCTTTATATAGAATTTACTTATTGAATTTGAATATTATATAACATCTTAGAAATATCCCTAATAAAGCTTACAGTAGAATTTCTCAGGCTCCTTCTGCAGGCATTGTGCCATATATATGTTGATAAGTCCCAAAATGTGATATCTACTCCAGAACTGTATTCAGTTTATACTTTAACCAACAGATAGCTTTTATAAGTAATATTATATTAGTGTATGTCAGCATCATCCTGAAATCTACTCCTAAAAAGTTAAAATATAAAAATAAAATAATTATGATGTATAAATATCTGTACTCCTTGCTCTACATAGTACCATGCTAACTGCAATCTTTGCATACGGAGCACTAAATTTGCAAATTCCTGTGCATTAAAGTGGGACTGTAGTCACTGTGAAGCCATACAAAGTGAAAACTGCCTGTAAATTAAAATGAATTGTCAGGAATAACATTTCCCCATTTACCACCCTACCCCCACAATAGAGGCATATGATACTCATTTTCCATGTGAAGAAATTTTGGCTGAACTTGATAGAGGCTTTCTCGTCAACCTTCCAAATTACGATTTAAATACACTCATACTTAAAGTTTTCCCAGAATAATGTATAAATTCAAGTTTAATAACATCTAAATTATCTTCTAATTTTGTAGGGATTTTTTCAGATCTCTAGTGCTTAAATTTAAAAGGTTTTCAAATCCTGGATGAAATTGGTTTGTCATTTTTTTTATTAATAATAGTTTTCGTTTAAAAAACTACATGGTATTTTTTAAAATTGTATTAAATTTTACTCTCCAAATAATTTATATTTGTATCTGTGTTAAATTAAAAATAAGAGCTATAGATCAAAACTGTAACTTATGTAATCCCCTATCCAATTAAAAATAGAATTCATGAGATGAAAAGATACATTACTTCTATGGTCTTCCTCCAGTAAAACATTAACTCTAGTCTAATCATGAAACAAACATCAGACAAACCCAGACTGAGAGACATTCTAAGAAATGACGGATCAGTATTCCTTACATCTCTCAAGATTACCAGGAAGAAGGAAAGTCTGAGAAAAGGCACACACCAGAGGAGGCTAAGGGGACATAATAGCTAAATATCAAGTGTTATCCTGGTTAGGATGGTAAAACATTAGCAAAGATGGAATGAAATCCAAATAACTGGCATCTAGCCTATAAAAATATACCAATGTTGTGACAAATGTAACATTTATTTCCTTAATTCTGACAAATGTGCCCAGGCAATATAAGATATTAATAGTGGGGGTTACTGAGTGTAGTATATATGGGGAATCTCTGTATTCTGTAATTATCTGTAAATCTAAAATTATTTTAAAATAGTCATTTGCATAAAATATCATTCAGAAAAAGGTGAATAGATGATACAAATGAAATTATAAAGGAAAGTTAGCCATTTCAAATAATTGATTTTTTAACTAGCTTTCATCATTTGGTAGGATGGAAATTTAGGGCATGGTCACATATGACAAGACAAGAAGGAAAAATAATACCTTTTTCCAGGTACAATTAAGTACAGGCCACAGAGAAATACACAATTCACAATTAAAATTCAGAACTTAGGAAACTACAGCTGTATGTGTCTTAATAAAACAGCCTTCTCTCTCTCCATTTGGAGATACTGCAAATTAAATAAAATTAATGAGCAGAAGACAATATGAATACCCATTCTAAATTTCATTTTCAAATAATTTGCCTTTGTCCAAATTCCTAGAAAAATTTAGATTACTCCAACTGTATTTTAATTAGCTGCTTTGAAAGCAAGTCAGTACAACTGAAGTATCTAAAAGGTAAAATCAACTTGACTGTTTTCTCAGTCCCAACAGTATTCTGACCCCATTCTTGGTGAGGAGTCAATCACATAGCATCATGAGATCAATCAGACTGTCACAATTTGGAGAAACAAAATATCATGTACAACTAAAGTAAATGAGTTCATTTTTGAAAGGATAATATAGTTCTATTGCCCATGTAAATTCATACTGCACCTGGAAAATAAGAAGTTTACTTATAGCACTCATAAAATAGTATAGCTGCATTTGCAGTAGAAGAAAATCTGTTTCTTACCAAGGAAAAATCACAACATAACCTTTAAAAGGATGGAAAATAGTGGCAACTTTCTCACACTTGGAAAGAAGCAACCAATGCATGCTGATAACAGGGCTTGCACTCAATTTGTTATAACAGGATAGCCATGGCAACCAGTCCTGATGATAAAATTCAGAGAGGAGGGAGAGGAAGATAAAGGTCCTTGGCTTGCAGACCAAATTTATTTTTCTCCAACCATTAGTTCTAGAAAAGGTAAAAATACTCTGACATTTCTTTCCTCCCATCAATTTGTTAAAACCCAACTTCAATTTTACATAGATTGTTCATTCAGTCCCATGGAGGGATCATTCAGATCTCACAGGAAAGAATTTTGGCGTCAATCAGACACTATTTCAAAATGACTCTACCTCTGTGTACCAGGAAGACATTAGAGCAAGTAAACCATTTCTCACTTGGTAGGAAGTCCCTTGTAAAAGGTTATGGATTATGATGTGATTGTTTTTCTGTGATATTAATGTCATATGATGGAAAAAATCTATCATGTTTGTCAAACAAGTTAGAGTTTGATGAAACCCTCAACATACAATGTATGAATCTGTATTTGGTATAGGGTTGGTAAATATTTTAAGTAAATATATTTGCCAATATATTTTTATACTGAGTAAACATATTTGCCATATTTCTCTTTACAGAGAAAATTAGAAGATAAAGAGTTTTGTTTTCTTCTGTGAGCTGTAATGAGGAGAGCACTCATTTTTGTATCGATATGCCAGATATTCATACTTCAACAAAAGTCATTGTTAGAAGAATACATATATTTGTGACTAACTGCAAAACCACACAGTATTTTATATAAATCACATAGTTAATTATCAATAATTGCTGATTTTGATTCACTTTTTAAAAATGTAAATCAGCACCCTTGATTATATATGATTTCAATGTGCTTTAAAAAATAAGATAAAAACAGAGCAAGGTGATAACAAATAAACAACTTTGTTTTCTACACTCTGAAACCTTCTAGCCATCAAAGCAAATGCTCATACGTGACTTTTGAAATATTTAAATAAAATGTCTATTTTAATGACCTTCTTAATACCAGTAACTACCTTTTATATCATTTCACGTATATCTGAAGGGCCTCAAACCTGGTGTATATCACAGTTACACATTAGCATATTAACAAGATCTAAATATATAATTTTAGTGTAATAACAATTAAAACATTTGAAGTTTTAATACCACTACTAATTAAGAACATGTTGTGATCTACTTAGTTTGAATTCCAAGATTTGGACTCTTTCTCTCTCTGTTTTTTAAGAATTTACTGATGCAATATATTTTCATTAACTCTAGTCATCATGTAGTACAATAGATCTCTTGAACTTATTTTTCCTATCTAACTAAAATTTTGTATCCTTTGAGTGATATCTCTTCAATCTTTCCTTCCCAACTGCCACAGCCTTTGGCAACGACCATCCTACTTTCGATTTCTATGAGAACAACTTTTTTTATTCCACACAAGAGTGAGATCATGCAGTGTTTGTCTTTCTGTACCTGGCTTCTTTCATTCAACGTAATGCCTTCCAGGTTCATGTTGTCACAAGTGACAGTATTTTCTTCTTTTTACGGCTAAATAGTATTCCATTATACATATATTTTTTTATTCATTCATCCATTGATGGACATTTAGGTTTTTTTCATATCATGGTTATTGTGAAAACCTTGCTTATTCTCTGTAGTCATCAGATCTTAAAAAATGATTAAATATCACTGATGTATTTAAAATGTATTAAAATATTTACTTGAATATTAATAATTATTGCATAGAATCAAATGCAGTCAAATTTTACACTAGAAACCCATTTCTTGATTCCCTCTTTTTTTCCAATTTAAAACAATTTTCTAGATTTTGAAAGTTATTTTATTTTCTTCAGAGTACCTTATATTATATTTCAAGTGGTCTTCAGTAAGAAAAATATGCATGGTTTTGGGGTCTATTATACTTTCATCTTTTTATTCAAGAGCTCTGTAATTTTCAAATTCCTATACTTATTTTTTGTGGTTGAAATTTTCCTTGGCAACTATATTACTCCTAGGGTTCAAAGCTTGGCGATCACTATTTTAGTTTTACAAAAGCAATCTAGTATATTCGTAAAAGAAGTTGAGAAAGGGAAAACAGCCAACATTTTGGAGAGTGGGAGAGCGAGTCAATTAGAAAAAATTTGAATTGAGACTGAACAGTACAGCTTCACCAATCACCTTGTGAGGTTTACGTGAAGACAGATAATTGCATTAAGTAGGAGTCACGTTATTCCAGGCATTATAGGAGGATCGCTCTGAAGTGAGCGATCTTGTGTTTGTAGAGCAATGGCTCAAAATTTAATATGTGGAGCAGCAGTATTAGCATTATCTAGGGATTTTCAGAGAAAAAAACTCTAAGCTCCCATCTTAGATCAACTGAATCAGTGCCCTAATGGCAAAGCCCAAAAATCTCTGTCTTCAAAAGTCCTCTGAGTAATTTTGATGCATGCTAAAGTGTGTCTGCGTGAATAAATTTGTAAAGTTAGGAGTTAATGCCAAAAGAATGGGCTTTTCCAGTTGAGATTTTGTAGGTGGTGTATCATGCCCAAGGAAATAGATGGTTGATACGGGATGATGAAAAAAACACCAGGAAGTGGAGGTCAAGGGATAGAGAGACAAGCTGTTGGTTAAATTATATATGTGCCTGTTCAATTCACCAAAATTAATCGTAAAGCACTAACGGATAGAAATTCAGTGAGTTGGGAGCAAATTTGGAGGCAAGGCCTTGCGTTATCACCCAGGCTTCAGTGCAGTGGCGTGATGGTAGTTCACAGAAACCTTAGACTCCTGGGATCAAGTGATCTTCTGCCTCAGCCTCCCAAGTACCTGGGACTACAGATACATGCCACCATGCCTTGCTTATTGTTATTATTATTATTGTAAAGACAGCATCTCACTATGTTGCCCAGGCTGGCCTTGAACTCCTGTCCTCAAGCATCCTCCCACCTCAGCCTCCCAAAGTGACAGATTTATAGGGGTGAGTTGCTGCACCTGGCCAGGGAGCAAATGTTTTTAACACATCTGTAGTAATTGGGACATGAGCCAGCAACTACTAATTGAAACCGTGGTACTTCAAAGGAGCTGATGTTCTTTAAAAATATGAGGAGTAACATTTCTAAGTATTAAAAATGAGAAATAAACACACCTATTCCACTTCTAGGCATCATGATACATTGCATAAGGCAAAAACAAAAACAAAAAACAAATGTACAGACAGGTCAGTAGGACATAGTGACTCAGCATTGTAGACATTCCATGTCTTCGTGGAACACAGAGATTTTTTTTTCTTTCCTGTAGGGGAAGTTTTTGTTTTAGCAAATAAAATATTTGCCATCTTCAGGAAAGAATTAGCTTATGCCATGTTCAGGGATGCACAAAATAGGAATTTCTTTTTTCACAAAAATTGAAGTTAGAAATAAAAAGGATGAATTGAAATAGTTACAGATTGGCATATATCTCAATATAACCAGTATGTAAATATTTCAATTCATCTTGTTATTTTACATAGGTCTGCTCAATTTTCACATAATCACGGATTCCTTTTATAACCAGCTCCACAAAAAAAATTCCTCCATCATTATCAATCTCTTATTTTTTCTCAATCTCTTATCAAGCACAGTTATTTTTTATTGATACTTCTTGCCAGTAATCTCCATTACAATAGGCTGTCATTTATTTATTTGTATTACCTACTTACCAGTAAAATACTTTATGAGGTTATGCACTTCACCTTGTCTGCCACTACATTATTAATTCTAATAGTTGCTGACACATATTCGGCAGTCAGTTATTTTTGCTGGATAAATGAATGAACACATTAATGACTCCGATGCTGTAATGATCAAAGCCCTCCATTAGATAGACTGACATATTTATTTTTACATCAGCTGTCATTGTTACTGACAATGATGTCTAATTTCTTAGGCAGTACACTATTTTTAAAAATTCTCAAGGAGTAAACCTATGTCATTTTCAAAATCTTCAAAGAGATCAGTGAGGGAGAAATGTTAGGAATCACTATTAACAGAAAATAGATGTAAAATAGACGAAGTCCTGATGTAAAATAGATGAATCTTCTCTCTCTTTGTCTCTCTCTCTCCATATTATATATCCCATATGTTTATAAATATGTATAAACATATATATGTATATAAATATGCATAAAGATAAAAATAAAAACAATATATCTCATCTAAGGCTGCCACCTTTAACAATATTCAATGGTTTTATATATTTTAAATATTTACGTATTTAATATCATACCATTTATTAACAAAACCTGCATTTTTATTCAATAATATGACATGGACAGAAATTCGTGACAATAAATATGGACCTGCTTCATCTTTTCAATGGCTACATAATATTCTATTGCAGGTTTCTATCATAATACAGCTAATTAGTATTGAACGTCACACCCCTAACCATACAATAAACAATGTAAAATGTATATAGTTGAATACTTTTCTATTTATGATAATTTTTGTCATGACCAAAAAGTCTCCTAAATAATGTGCAGAATTTCATTTTCTGATTTTTTACATCACAAATACTCTTGTATTAATTATATTGTTTTGTTCTAGAAAATATTTTAACGCCAACTAAACAGAGCTGAAATTATAGACTTGCATACAGTTTAATAGAAATTCACTAATAGCTATCCATTTGAAAATAACCCTGAAATATAAGAATATAGAGCACAGAATCACCAACTATGGAATCCTCACTGCCACGGGCAGAAGAAGGTGAGATCTTGATCATTGATGGAAGCTATTGCATTCAAATCAGATTGAAATTAAAATATACTGTACATCTGTATTAATGCTAATGTTGCGATAAATGTCTTGGAAAAATTTATTTGCCTCATTGGAAAATCAGGGTTGATAACAACTTAAGTATTATTGTCTAGATAATACAAGAAAACAATTGTTAGCTACAGTACCATAGAAAGTAAAAATATTCAACGGATTTTTACTCTCTATCGTACTGAATCTCCATTTGTCTAATAAAAAGCAAAACACCGGCGGGGTGCGGTGGCTCAGGCCTATAATCCCAGCACTTTGGGAGGCCGAGGCGGGCGGATCACGAGGTCAGGAGATCCAGACTATCCTGGCTAACATGGTGAAACCCCGTCTCTACTAAAAATACGAAAAAATTAGCCGGGCGTGGTGGCGGGCGCCTGTAGTCCCAGCTACTCGGGAGGCTGAGGTGGGAGAATGGCGTGAACCCGGGAGGCAGAGCTTGCAGTGAGCTGAGATGGCGCCCCTGCACTCCAGCCTGGGCGACAGAGCCAGACTCCGTCAAAAAAAAAAAAAAAAAAGCAAAACACCACCATTTTTGTGTTAGAGAAAATGTTTTTCTAATGAAAATGAATAATTTAGGGTATAATACAAGGATCTCTGTGTAAGGATATTGCAAATACATTTATCTGTTTTAACAGAATTAAAGCTGAGTCAGTCTATACGTCCTAGGAGAGTGGTTGCTACACTTTTCCCTTTGGGAATTGATTTTTAGGTTTGATCATTGTTAATTTTTCCAGAATGTCAGAACTTACTCAAGATCTATTACTTTCTCTATTATTTAATAATTCAAACTGCCCTTTGTTGGAATATCAGCCACAGTACCAAGATCATTCTAAGATAAAAACCAGTGCAACTTCTGTCATTATATTTAGCAGGAAATGGATGTCTGATTTCCCAGCTTACTTTTTTTTTTTCTTTTGAGACGGAGTTTCACTCTTCTTGCCCAGGCTGGAGTACAATGGCGTGATATTGGCTCACTGCAGCCTCGGCCTCCTGAGTTCAAGCAATTCTCCTGCCTCAGCCTCCCAAATAGCTGGGATTACAGGCATGTGCCACCACGACCAGTTAATTTTGCATTTTTTGTAGGGACAGGGTTTCTTCTCTCAAACTCCTAACCTTAGGTGAGCCTCCCATCTCAGCCTCCAAAAATGTTGGAATTACAGGTGTGAGCCACTGCGCCCTGCCACAACTTACTTTCTTGAGAGAAATAAAGATTTTTCTAGAAATTTCTAGAAAATACTTATGGTCAGCTTTTCGGTACATGCTTATTTATGGCCAAATTCATGTCAGAGAAAATGATTTTGTTATTAGAACAGTTGAGTACTTCTTGTGAAACGAAAATTTTCTTTATGTCCTTAGTTCCTTGAAAGTACTTCAACCATATGCCAGTCAATAATTGGCTTATTGTTTTATTTCCATGAATTGTCAGAATTTAATATCATAAAATAAAGATGTCAGATGCTATTTTAAAAATATAGTTTAGGTAAAGCAATATTCTGACTAATTTCAAAACATGGGTCTGAAAAAAACAAACACAATTAAATGGCAGAGTCGCAGGAAATGTAAATAGAGTTTTAATTTCTCCATTCCCTATTTAAATTTTTCCTATAGCCAAGAAACATGCTCTTATTAAACTCTGTTTTGTATCACTGTAGGAAATTAAGTAATATATATCATTATAAGAATAATTGTGGAGTGCAACAGATATTTTAATGTTGCTAAATATATATGGATAATGAAATTTGTAATAGCCAAAGTTAGTTTTACATACAACTATCAGAGTAATAAATATATTTGATCTACTCCTGGGGAATGCAAGGATTCTATACACACACACACACGCGCACGCGCAAGGACAATTGAATTTTCTGTTTTATTTCTTTTGTAAACCTGCAATAAGTGATCTATTTGGATATAACATCTTTATTTTGCAGAAAAGATGCTGAAGTGTATGAATGGCAATCATAATTTACACGATTTCTGACCACATGTGTACATATGAAACGTAAAATTGATAACTTTAAATCAGAATCCCACAGCATTTTTTTGTGGTATGCTGAGAGTTCTTAATTTACCTCTTTAAACTCTTCTTAAGAACATTAACTTATTATGTAGATGATAATCTACCAAGAATAGAGCCTGGATATCTATTCATTTTGAAATTATCATGGAAACATAAATTTTAACGTAAAATGGAGCCAGGTAAATGATCTTGTGGTTGTGCTTAGATACTTTTTTTTTTTTTTTTGAGATGGAGTCTCACTCTGTCTCCCAGGCTAGAGTGCACTGACGTGATCTCGGCTCACTGCAACCTCTGCCTCCAGGTTCAAGTGATTCTCCTGCCTCAGCCTCCTGAGTAGCTGGAATTACAGGAGTGCACCCCCATGCCCAGCTAATTTTTGTATATTTAGTAGAGATGGGGTTTCACCATATTGGCCAGACAGGTCTCAAACTTCTGACCTCAGGTGACCCACCCACCTCGGCCTCCCAAAGTGCTTAGATACTTTGTAATCTGAAAGAAAACAGTAACAAATAGCAACATAATACATTTTGAAATGTCTTTAGATCAGGTTGTGAATGAATTAAATAACTGATAAAACTGGACTGCTTTACTTTAAAATATTTTGATAGAACATTACTGCATTTTGAGCCACTAAACCTCTTCTCTTGACTGTAGTTGAGATTTAATGTTTGGTTTTTTTTGTTTCTATTATCACTTTTCCTTCATTCATGAATTCAAAAAGAGAGCAAATGGAAACCATGCTTGTATTCTATTTCATTATCCTTACAAAAATTCTGAAGAGTGTTGTGGAGGCTCTCAAAATATTTTTCTGAATTAATATTTAAATATTAAATATTGTGGAAGCACTCTTGTGTATATAAAGTTGATTTTATGCTCTCTGGCAAAACAAACAGTATATCCTCTTTATATTTATTAACAATAAAAACTAGTGGATTTTTTTTAAATGAAAAAAGTGGTTATGTAGATAGTTGATTAATGGCCAATTATTCCTAGTAAGAATATGTAATATTGTATTGGAAACATCCTTGTGATTGGAAATTCAGTATCCTTTAAGATAAATCAGAGTGTTACTGTAACACATCACTAGGTTGCTACTGTGAGTAGTATTGGTAATCCCGAATGCTAATTACTTGATGCATTATTTTCAAATTCTAAAAATTTTTCATGGACTTAGGGGTACGAGCAAAGTTTTGTTACATGGATATATTGCACAGTGAAGGAATCTGGGCTTTTAGTGTACTCATCACCTTATTAACATTGTACTCAATAGGTAGTACTTCATCCCTCACCTCACTCCCACACTCCCACACTTTACAGTCTCCAGTGTCTATTAAATAATAGACATAATACATACTCTGTATGTCTGTGTGTAGCCACCAAAACATGCAGTTTTTACTTTCTGTTAAAATAAAAAACTTTCTGTTTGGGTTATTGCACTCATGTTAATGTACTCTAGTTTCATCCATGTCTTGCTGCAAAAGACATGATTTCATTCTTTTTTATGGATGTGTAGTATTTAATGGTATGTTTATGTCACAATTTTTTAGCCAAACATCTATTGATGGACACTTAGGTTGATCCCATAACTTTGCTGTTGTGAATAGCGCTATGATAAACATACAAGTGGAGGTGACTTTTTGATAAAATGATTTCTCTTCCTTTGGGTAGATACCCAGTAGTGGGATTGCTGTTTCGAAGGGTAGTTCTATTTTTAGTTCTTTGAGAACTCTCTGTACTGTTTTCCATAGGGCTTGTACTAACTTACATTCTCATAAGCAGAGTATGAGTGCTCCCTTTTCCCTATATCCTTAACAACATCTGTAGGTTTTTAACTTTGTAATAATAGTCCTTCTGACTGGTGTAAGATTGTACCTCATTGCAGTTTTAACTTGAATTTCTCTGGCAACTACAGATATTGAACATTTTTTCATTGGCTATTGGCTGTTTGTATGTCTTCTTTTGAAAAATATCTGTTCATGTCTTGTCCACTTTTGTTGAGGATATTAGGTTTTATTCTTGTCAAAACATTTGAGTTGCTTGTAGATTCTGGATACTAGCCGTCTGTCAGATGAATTGTTTGCAGACATTTTCTCCCATTCTGTAGGTTGTATGTTTACTCTTTTGCAGTGAAGAAACAATTTAATCAAGCCCTATTTATCTTTGTTTTTGTTGCATTTACTTTTGAGGACTTAATTATAAATTCTTTACCTCAGCCAATGTCCAGAAGAAATTTTTGTGTTTTGTTCAAAAATGTTATAGTTTCATGTCTTCTATTTAAGTCCCTAATCCATCTTGAGTTAATTTTTGTATAAGGTGAGAGATAGGAGTCCAGTTTTATTCTTCTGCATATCGCTCTGCAATTTTCTCAGCACCATTTACTGAATGGGGTGTTCTTTTTCCAGTGTACATCTTGGTTAGCTTTGTCAAAGATCAATTCGTGGTAGGTATGTGGCTTTATTTCAGTTTCTCTATGCTGTTCCATTAATCTATGTGTCTGTTTTTATACAAGTAACATGGTGTTTTGATCATTATACGGTTGTGGTATGATTTGAAGCCAGGTAACATGATGCCTCCAGCTTTATTCTTTTTGCTTACGATTGCTTTGGGTATTCGTGCTTGCTTTTTGTTCCAAGTCAAGTTTAGGATTATTTTTACTAATTCTGTGAAGAATGATACTGGTAATGTGATTGGAATTGCACTGAATCTGTAGGTTGCTTTGGGCAGTCTGGTCATTTTAATGATATTGATTCTTTCAGTTCATGAGCAAGATATATTTTTACATGTGTTTGTGTCATCTATGATTTCTTTCTTCCGAATTTTGTATTTCCCTTTGCAGAGATCTTTTGCCCCCTCGGTTACCTGTATTCCTAAATAATTTATTTTCTTTGTGGTTATTTTAAGTGGCACTGTGTTCTTCATTTCGCTCTTAGCCTGGACATTGCTGATCTATAGAAATGCTACCAACTTTTGTACACTCATTTTGTATCCTGAAACTTTAACGAAGTCATAGATCAAATCTAGGATTCCTTTGAATAAGTCTTCAAAGTTTCCTAGGTATAAGATCATATCATCAGTTGAACAGGGTTAATTTGACTTCCTCTTTTCCAATTTGGGTGCCTTTATTTCTTTCTCGTCCCTCACTGCTCTAGTTAAGACTTCCAGTAATATGTTGATTAGCAATGATAAAAGTGGGCATTCTTGTCTTGTTCCTGTTTTTAGGAAGAATGCTTTTAACTTTTCTATGCTCAGTATGATTTGGACTGTGGGTTTGTCATATATGGCATTTACTACTTTGAAGTTTGTTTCTTCTATGCTTAGTTTAAGGGTTTCTTATCATGAAGTGATGCTGAATTTTATCAAATGCTTTTCCCATGCCTATTAATATGATCATATGATTTTTTATTTTCATTCTGTTTAGGTGGTGAATCACATTTATTGATTTGCATATGGTGAACCATCCTTACATGCCTGGAAAAAATTCCACTCGATAATGGTGTATTATCTTTCTTGATGGGATGTTGGATTCAGTTTGCTCATATTTTATTGAGTTTTGCAGCTATATTCATCAGGGAGTTTGGTCTGTAATTTTTTTTTTTGTTATGTCCTTGCCTGGCTTTGGTATCAGGGTGGTGCTGGCTTCTTTATGAGTTAGAGAGGATTTCCTCCTCTTGGATTTTTTGGAAGAGTTTTAGTAGGATTGGTATCCTTGTATGTCTCATAAAATTTGGCTGTGAATCTATCTGGTTCTGGACTTTTTTCGTTGGCCGAGTTTTTTTCTTACTGATTCTGCTTCACCACTCATTATTGGTCTATTGGGGTTTTCTATTTTTTCCTATTTCAAACTTAGGAGATTGTATATTTCCAGGAATGCATCCATTTCCTCTAGGTTTCTAGACCTTCTGTGTAAAGATGCTCATGGTCTCTGATGATCTTTTGTATTAAATGGTATCACACCTTTTCATTTCTGGTTGTGTGTATTTGAATCATTTCCCTTGTTTTCTTAGTTAACTAGCTACTTGTCTATCAATTTTATTTTTCCAAAACAGTAAATTTTTAAATTAGTTTTTGTATTGTTTTTCTGGTCTCAATTTCATTTAGTTTTGCTCTGATTTTTGTTATTCATTTTCTTCTGCTAGCTTTTGGTGTTTTTTGTTCTTCTTTCTCCAGTTCCTTGAGATGCAACATTAGGTTTTTAATTTGAGATCTTCCTTTATTTTTGATGTAGATATTTAAGACTATAAACTTCCCTCTTAGCACTACCTTTGCTGTATGCTGTAGATTCAGGGAAAACAAGTCCCCATTTTCATTTGTTTCAAAATCTTTAAAAATTCCTGCCTTAATTTAATCATTATCCAAATAATCATTCAGGGGAAGGTTATTAATTTACATGTATTTGTGTAGTTTTGTGGCTTCCTGTTGGTATTGACTTATAGTTTATTCCACTGTGGCCTGAGAAAATATTTGATATGACTTCAATTTTTAAAATGTATTGAGACTTCCTTCTGGCCTACAATATGGTCAATTATTAAAAATGTTCCATGGACAGATGAGAAAAATGTATAGTCTGTGATTGTAGAGTGCTCTATAAATTTCTATTAGGTTTATTTTTTCTAGGGCTCAATCTAAGTGCAGAGTTTCTACATTGATTCTTGAACTCCATGATCTGTTTAGTGCTATCAGAAGGGTGTTGAAGTTTCCCACTATTATTGTATTACTACCTATGTCTTTTGTTAGGTCAAGTCGTATTTGTTTTGTGAATCTGGGTGCTCTTGTGTTGGCTGCATATATATTGAGAACTGTTGTATTTTCTTGTTGGGGTGATCCCTTTATCATTATACAATTAATCCCTTTGTCATTTTTTAACTGTTGTTGTCTTAATTCTATATTATCTGATATAAGTATAGCTACTCCTGCTCATATTAGGTTTCAACTTGGATGGCATATCTTTTTCAAACCCTTAATTTTGAGTCTGTAAATGTCTTTACCAGTTAGGTATGTTTCTTCTATGCGTTACATAATTGGAGCTTGTTCTTTTATCCACTCTGCCAGCCTCTATCTTTAAAGTGAAGCATTTAGTCCATTTATGTTCAAGATTAGTATTGATATGTGAGGTTTTGTTCCTGTTATAATGTTAAATATAATCAAGTTGCTTTACAATATATGTAGTGAAATTGCTTCTCTTACGACCTGCAAGTTTTACACATTCATGTATTTTTATGATGATGAGTATCATCTTTTATTTCCGTGTTTAGAAATCCTTTGAGCATTTCTTTTAGGACCTGTCTAGTGTTGACAAATTCTATTAGTGTTTGCTTGTCTAGGAAAGACTTTATATCTCTTTCATTTCTAAAATTTAGTTTAGCAAAAATTCTTCATTGGAACTTTATTTTTCTTTAAGAAGACTGGAAATATTACCTCAATGTCTTCTGGCTTGTAAGGTTTCTGCTGAGTTGTCCTCTGTTAGTCTGATTGGATTTACTTTAGAGCTGATTTGATATTTCTCTCTAACTGCTCTTAAGATTTTTTCCTTTACATTTGCTTGGACAGAATGATGACTATGTGTTTTGGTGATGTGCATGTTCTAAAGTACCCTGAAGGTGGTCTCTGAGCTTCTTGTGTCTGGATGCCTACAAATCTGGGAAGACCAGGAAAATTTTCCTGAAAAATTTCCTCAAATATGTTTTCTAAGCTTTTTACTTTTTGCTCTTCTCCATCAGAAATGCCTATTATTCATAGGTTTTGTCACTTTACATAATCTCATATTTCTAATAGCTTAAGTTTTGTCTGACTAGGTTAATTCAAAAGACCACTCTTCACACTCTTAAATTCTTTCTTCTGATTGTTCTATCCTATTGTTAAAGCTTTCAACTATATTTTGATATTTCTTTAGTAAATTTTTCACTTCCTGAAGTTCTCTTTTTTTTTTTTAATATTTGTCTCTTCTTTTATATTCTGAATTTTTTGCATTATTTGTGTTGCTTTTCCACTTTATTTTGGATCTCATTGAGTTGATTTACAATTCATACTTTGAATTATTTAACTGTCATTTCAGAACTTTCTTTTCAGTCAGGATACATTGTAGAGTGAGTGAGCCTTTGGGGGTATCACAAAAATATGTTTGCTTATACTTCCAGAATTGTTTGTCTGTTTTCTTCTCATCTGGATAAACTATCTTGTTGGTATTTTTAAATTTACTTTTATTTGGATGAGATTTCCCTCACCTTGAGAATGTGACTATAATAAATGTTGTGTAGAATCCTTGGGCTTTGGTTCTGGGTGCTTTCAGTGGTAAAGACTCTGCATGTTTCTTGGTTATAGATCCCCTTTTTATGGTGGCTCTCAAATGCTGGTCATAGGTGCTATCTACTGGGTATGTAAGCAGGCTCACTAACTCCTGTGGTACTGAGATAGCAGAGGTCTCAGGAAGCTTATCTTCTCCTTAGTTCTGGGCAATTTTGTCAGTAGATTTTCTATTGAATTGTGCACTTCATCCTCCCGTCCAGTAGGTGGATAAGAGCTGGCTGTGGCTGACACCAATGGTTATATGTTTGATCTTTATTTACTATGAGGAGCTCTCTTTTACCTCAGGCAATGGACTGCTCTGTGGAGCACACAATTATCTAAACTCCATGCTCAGCCCTAGATTGGAGGAACAAGCTGGACAGAGCCAGACTTTGCAGGCTCAGCTAAAATGTCTAACAATGGCAAGCAGAGACACAAGCTTCGAGGAGTGGTTTAGCAGTCGGCCACCAAGGATCCAGAGATATACCTGGGTGTAAAATGAAGAAACCTCTGCTGCCCAAGTTATTTGCATGGGGAAAGAGGGGCAACCTAAATTCCTAATCTAGACGAATGGATGCTCCAAATGCCAGGAGATATGTGCAGGTGTGAAGAGGAGAGAGCTGCTATATCAAATTGTTCACATCAAAAGAGAGGGGGTGGCACAGGCTTCTAATCTAGGTAAGCATGTACACCAAATGCCTCAATATATGTTCCTTTGTGATCTTCTTAAATGACCTAAGTCAATGTTTCACAATAACCATGGGATCACTATGGATGAAAATATTGCTGCAAATGTTATTATACCAAAGTTAAGTTTTAATTACTTCTAATTCAAAAGATTTTACATATATTATGACGGTGAAAATTAGGGTTCTACTCCTAGCTCCATTGAATAACTATGATGTATATAAAAATAATGGGTGCCAATGCAGGAAAACAGTGAATGATCCTTGATATTAATTTAGAATCCATTTCTTGAGCTACATGGAACCATTGTGATTCTACGTGTAAAATGATGGCCTATCTTTTCATGCATTCTGATATGTAGTGCTTGGAAAGCAGAGGTATGATCATCTCAAAGAATTTTTTTTTTTCAATTACTTGATATCATGCCAGGGTGTTTCATCAGATGTAGGGTTAGGACTTATCTCTAATTTCCAGCATTTACTGCTATAATCCTAACCAATGGATATCTCAAAAGCAGCAGGATGTCTGTATAACCTACAATTGCTAGAAAGTTAAAGTATACTAAAGAAATCCTGGAGTATTTCAGTCATTTTGGGATGGCACAGGTTTGTGCGTTTCTAGGTTCTTTGCAAACTTGTGGGGAAAATTAAATGAAAGAATAAGTGGAGCAAAGAAACAAAGAAATATGGCTGAATAGAAGCCTTCACCGATCATCCTCTCCACAGGAACACTAAAATGACAAACTATCCACACTATCTTTCTTTTTAAAAATATCTATCTATCTTTTCTGTTATATTCTGGTTTCTTTTGCATTCTTTGTGTTGCTTTTCCACTTTATTTTGGATCTCATTAAGTTGCTTTACAATCCATATTTTGAATTATTTAACTTTCATTTCAGAACTTTCATAAGGTACATTTCCTGAAAATGCCACAGGAACTGAAAGGGGTAAGAAAGACAGTCTTGAATTTATGACAGTAAATTCAAAGAAATCCTAATGAATTGGATTGTATGAAAATTGCAAATTCTACTTCTCAATATAAACATTAAGAAAAGGAAAATGCAAACCAGAGACTACAAAAAAAATTTAATTCTAATTTCTGACAAAAGACTTGTATCCAGAAAATACATATATTTAAAAATGGGAAAAATGTTGAAATATAAATTTTATAAAAGGAGATATGAATTAGTAATATGCATACGGAAGATATTCAATATACTCAATATCTTCAGTGAAGTGCAAATTAAAATCACAAAGAAATACATTTTCACATCCACTAGGTAGCTAAAACTTGAAATCTGATTATATCACATGGTGATAAAGAGTTCCTGCAACTGAAATTCACATATTCCTGCTGAAAGTGCAAAAAGTACAAACACTTTGTAAAAGAGCTTGGTGGTTTATTGAATAAACCTGCATTTATCACATAACTCAGGAATTAATTATGCTTTTATCTATATTCCCCCCAAATGAAATCATATGTACATACAGATATTTATACACAACTGTTTATAGAGTCTTTCTTTGTAAATACTAGTCTAGGACTCAAAATAACTCAAATTTATGTTTATAGGTGAATAGATAAATGGTGGTATATCTATAAAATGGGATCTTACTCATCAATAAATAGGAATGTTTTACATAATCAGATTAACACTTCTAAGCAAAATAAGGCAGACATAAAGGAATACATACAGTATAATTCATTTATATGAAATTTTATATCAGGCAAAAACAATCAATGATTTTAGAAATCTAATTATTTGTTACTTAGACTGGGGATGGGAATGAGTGCAGAGCTCATGAGGGAATTTGATGCGTGATGGAGACATTATAAATATTAATTGGGCCAATGGATAATTGGGTACATATATTTGACAAAATTTTTTGAATGGTATACTTTAAATGTGTACATTTTAAGTAAATTATACCTCAGTTAGTTGATTTAGAGAAATGTTCATAAAAATCAAGTTTTGATGAGGATTTGGAACAACTGGGTATTTCATAAACCACTGTTGAGAGTAAAATTGGTGCAGATACATAGGAGAATAATTTGGCATATGCAGTGAAGTTAAACATAAGCACACGCTGCAAACCAGAAATTCTAATCTTTACAATCTAAGTAAAAGAAGTGAGTACACATTTGTACCAAATACAAGTTTATAGTACTGTCATAAATTAAAATTCCTAACTACAAACAACGATTAATATAAGTAAATATTTTAAGGTAAATTGTTACAATGGAGTACTACACACAAAAAAATGAAACTTAAAACACAGGCAGGAGTCTTCAAACATCATACAGAAAGTAAAAAAACAAAAGCTAGATATAAAATCAAAATTAAAGAAAACTACATCATATCTTTAGGAGGCAGGAGAGTGGCTACCATTTGGAAAGTTTAGGCTTTAGTTATGGTGGCTTCTTAAGGTACTGAGAATGTCTACATCTGGATGCAGAGATTATTAGACAAATGACTTTATTGTGAGAAAACACATTGTGTATTTCATGATTTGTGCATTTTCCTGTGTGAATGCTATAGTTGACTAAGAAAGACTTATTTTACGAAAAGTCATTTATAATGTGTTAATCTTTTCTATTTTAAGCTTAAATTATCTCAATTGATTCACTGATTAAACCAGTAAAATTAGTTTATTTCATTGTCCTACATGTCTATTAGTGCACATTTAATTTTTATATTTTGGGTCACAAAATGCAATCAGATCAAAACCTACCATAAACATAGCCTCACAGATAATATGTTATTTAGATTATTTTAAAAGGAAGATGTGAGAACATCTCTTTAATTATATGCTATCTGCTTTTTCTAACTGATGAAGGAAATGAAGCACATTCTGTGATAAAGAAAATAACTACATTATTAGGAATTTTCCCCTTATATAGTCTGATCTCAGAAAATCTAAGTAAATTCTAATAACAATAAATTTAATTTTCTTTTTACTGATAACATAATTTGCACAGTTTGATTTATATATCTGTTTTAAAATATATAATTGTTCTCTGATGACTAGAATGATAATGACACTTCAGAGTATGTACATTAGTATATAGAGATATCAGTTGTATCATTTTTTTCATTTATTTCTGATTGTTTTAGTCATTTGTTTATTCTCACAGTTTTGAAATATTAAAGAGATCATTTTAACATACAACTGTAAACTCAGGTATAACATTTTAAAAATATCTTTGTTAGATTTAAACACAGAAGTGAATTGCATTGGAGGATAATAAATTAGAATACATGGAATCCAATATTGGTAAGATAAATAGTAATATATGAAAATTTAACCATATTTAAAGGAAATACATGTATATCTCCGAAAGAATTGTTTCTGAAGGAATAATAAACTTTCCAAGTGTCTGATAACTTTAAAGTTTTGTTTCGACATTCAATAGCTGAAGCATTTGTGTATTAAACCCTGATGTAAAATTTGACCAATCAGCATCTTGAACACACGTTTGTAAACAGACTAAGGCAAAAATAAGCATGCAGTAATGGTTTTAAAGTTCATATATTATTACGTAAGATTGTAATTAACTGAATGGTCCTTGGGGGAATCAAGACATGAAACCCAATTGCCAAATTAATACCACCATGTTTGTTTATTTGAGGCTTTCACAGTTCCCTTTGAATGTCTTATATTTTGCCACTTCACTCTTGGTAGTATATCTTGTCCCTTCTCCTTCTACCCTCAGCCTTCCTTGTCAGTGAAGCTTACTTTTTCACACCATTGCCCATGACTAAATAGTTTCTATGAATAAGATAGTGTATGTAGTTCTCAATGAGACATTTAAGATTATTATTACAGAACATTTTCAAAATTATGCGATTTTTAATATCATTAAGTCAGAGTCATTGAATGGATGTCATTTATTAACCTTGTATCAGTTTGAAAATTACACAAAGTATCAGTTGAAATTTATTGAATGGTTACCATGTACCAGGTATATGTCAGGTTACTATGTTTTAAATGGCACTAAATGCTGAAGACTAAGCAAAATACAAACTTTGTTGAAGAACAGACAGCTAAGGCAGAATCAAAGGCTCATGTCTATCCACCTTCAAATACCTAGCTTTCCTCCCTTAAACTGCACAGCCCTAAATGCATATGTGTACACACATATAATACATATACATACACAATCAATACTCACATACACACACATATATACATTTACGTATAAACATAGACATGTATTACACATCTGTTATGTCTATATGTATTATATGTAAGTATATATGTAACAGATATCTATGTTTATATGTAAATGTGTATACGTGTGTATGTATGTATAGCCACACGCATATATATTTCATCCACGATAAAAACACATACACACATATATAAACATACACAATAAAATACACAATAAAAACACACATACAGACATATATACATTTACATATATCTATATGTATTATATGTATGTATATATGTAATAGATATCTATGTTTATATGTAAGTGTGTATACATGTGTTTGTATGGGTGTATGTATAGCCACACGCATATATATTTCAAAAATTTGGACTATGTAAGCAAATTACCTAAAATATTTGTGTCTTAATTTTCTCTTCCATAAAATTGGAATAATAATATAACCTAAATCAGAGAGCTGTTAGAAAATTAAATAAATGAAAGAGTATGCTTAGTACAGGAAAACAAACATAGGTTTCAATAACTTGACCTTCCCAAAAAGACATATTTAAAGGCTACTGGGTTTTTTCTTAGTTCAGGATTATTTTTCTTGCCTGATCCTGATTCTAATAATTTCCTTATCTGAGTCCCATATTATTATTTTATCATTCTATAAATAACTAAGATGGTCATTTTCTGATATCAAGATCATATTTGTATTTTATGTATTTATAAACTTGATCAAAGTTGATGTAAACTGTTCAATGTTTACAGAATTGCTTTTATCATCTAATCCTGGACATTTCTAGGAAAGAAAAGGCATGCTTCTAAAAATAATACAAGGAGAGGAACTAGAAACTGAGGCTATTATCGGAAAATGGATACATATAGTCATGATGCCAAGTACCAGTTGTTTTGCCAAAATGGTTTTGCATGATGCATGATGTTTCATCCTGGAACGATTTCTTTTTATGTGAGTATTGTTTATGAATGAGTTCTACTCATTTCCAATATAAAAAATTCTGTCTTTTATGACAATTTCCATTTATTTTTCTGCCTTGGCTTTAATGACAGAATAAATAATTTAAACTCTGAAATTGTGGTGGAAAAATATACCCTCAGGTAATGTCAAACAACCCCAATTTTGTACTCAGAGTAATTTCATAAAAAATTTATTTGAAACAAATGGCCTGCCTTTACACGCCATGGTTTCATACTTTTACCATTTCATAGCCCCTCTTATGAAGATTATACATGACTATTATATGTGAATGTGCAGAATTGCAGTTCCTCAAATCATTTTTAATGTGTTAATGGGACAGAAATTATATTATAAATATACCTAAATATTTAATTAATTTTTATATATTTGAGCAATGAACCTTTTAGCCAAGCTTCTAGTTAAATTGTTATACATTCTGAATAAGATCTAGATATATAGATTTTCAAACACACAGAGTATTTATATAACATATGTATCATGTGTGTATGTGTATAATCCATGACTATTTTTATATGTGTATCTATATGTTTACATGCGTTTAGGTACACACTCTTAGATATTTCCAAACTTTAGACAATGTTAACTGAAAATATTACTTACAGTCTTTGTGTCTCAGTTTCTTCTTTCATAAAGTGGGAATAATAATATAATATAAATCAGAGTTTTGTTGGAATAATGAACTAAAATAAGTCAAAAATTATGCTTAGAATAGTTTTACAAGCACATAGATTTTACAGGCACACTAAAAGCATAGGGTTTAGGCTGACTGATAACAGTTATGGCAATAGCAACCATATCAACAAGAAGAGGCTTTGCAAGCTGCGACCTGGAAGGAGAACTGTCAAAAGCATCCTTTAATGTATCAGGTATCTGTTACAGGTAGCAGAGTCTGTCAACAAAACCAGGTTAACAATTTTCATTTGGCTATTAGGAATAAAAATGAAGCTTAATATTAGGCAATAGTTAGAATACAATGATTCTGGCTTCCTCTAATAATTTATTAAACTCCTCCTTAATATTATCACAGAATAATGATTTGGAAAAATAAGGGAGAAATGAATGCAGAAATTTTCAAGTGATCAATTATTGTAAGGGAGACAGAAATTCTGGACGTAGGAAAAAGTCATAGTCTGGGAAGATATTCAGAGTCTAGAAACAAAATAGAAGAGGAAGGCATATTTTCCTTTGACTATTTCTCGCACCTTAAACCCTGCAATCAGTCCACTTAGTATTCCTAAAAATGCACATTTTCAGTAGTTCTAACAAAGTGAAAATTTTCAAGGCAGCATTCTATTGGCACAGCTTTATTATCACTATATGCAGGACTGTTTTAAATGCTGAGCCACAGCAGATTCAGGAGAACACAGTCATAAGTTTAGAATCAACACATTTAGACCAAGATCCCGATTTGTACAAATGGTGGAAAGTAAAATTAATTTTCTGAGAAAAGTGAAAGAAATGTTGGGATGGAGACTAATGAACGTCTTATGCAGGAAAGAAGAATGAAGACGACAGTAACTGAGGGCTTAAAGCAGGCAAGGGCCAACAAAACAAACAAACAAAACCTGTGAGTCAAATGTGTATCCTTCAGTTTTAAGTTGTTGATTGTATTGCAGTGTACCCTGAATTCTGTTCATCCAAAACTTCAATAAGAGTTTTCTTGCACGCACAACAGCATGTGGAGGAAAGCAAAACAGCAGAAGCACTGCCCAGTGTAGAGTGAAGTAGCATAAAAAGATTCCAAATTTGTTGGAGCCAATTACATAGCAGAATTAAACAGCAGAAAAGATTGTAAGAAATAACACAAGAGGGATGGACCTTTTCTGAGGACATTCCTAGGTGATTAAGTATTAGAGATGTAACTATTATATTTGAACATTCAAGGGAGGCCGGGCATGGTGGATCACACCTGTAATCCCAGCATTCTGGGAGGCCAAGGCCAGTGGATCACTTGAGGTAAAGAGATTGCAACCAGCCTGGCCAACATGGTGAAGCCCCATCTCTACTAAAAATGCAAAAATTAGTCAGTTGTGGTGGTGCGCACCTGTAATCCCAGCTACATGAGAGGCTGAGGCAGGAGAATGGCTTGAACTCGGGACGCAGAGCTTGCAGTGAGCTGGGATCGTGCCACTGTGCTCCAGCCTGGGCGACAGAGCAAGACTCCATCTCAAAAAAAAAAAAAAAAAAAAAAAAGCCATTCAAGGGAAAGATATCCCCAAAGTTGATTCCTTCAGGCCCCAAAATATTGGTTACATAAATGCACAGACTCAACAGCATATTTGCCTGCACATGTTACTGGAATGGCATATCTGCCATGCTCATTGCCTTGGTAAAGAGAACCTTAAACAAGAGAATTTATTTAAGTTTAAATACAAAGAGATTCTTAGAAGTGATTTGAGAAAAAAATCAGGGAAAATAAAGTGTTGATTCTGTAGAACTGTGTGACTCAAAGTGTGGGCTGCAGAGCACTATCGCTGGCATCCAGTGGGAGTTCGTAGGGCATGTAGAATCCCTGGCTCTGACCCCAGACCACTGAGTCCTATTTTAAAATTCATCAATATACCCAGGTACTTTAAATTCACCTTGAAGTTTCAAGAGCAACACTCATTACAGTTGTCTGTTTCTGTGTAACAAACCACTCCAAAGTTTAATGGATAAAAATAAAATTAGTTTTATTATTCTCATTTCTTATGGTTTTTAGGAGATTGGTTCTTTTGCTGGGCTCACTTTGTGTCTTTTATGCAGGTGCAGTTAGATAGTGCATCTCTCTCTCTCTCTCTCTCTCTCTCTCTCTCTCTCTCTCTCTCTCTCTCTCTCTCTCCCTCCCCTCTCTCTCTCTCTCTCTCTCCCTCCTCTCTCTCTCTCTCTCTCTCTCCTACATTTTCTTTATCCAGTCTACCATTGATCAGCATATAGGTTGATTCCATGTATTTGCTATTGTGAACAGTGCTGCAATGAACATATGCTTGCATCTTTCTTTTTTTAATTTTACATTAGGTTCTAGGGTACATGTGCACAACGTGCAGGTTTGTTACATATGTATACATGTGCCATGTTGGTTTGCTGCACCCATTAACTCATCATTTACAGTAGGTATTTATCCTAATGCTATCCCTCCCCCATTCCCCACCCCATGACAGGCCCTGGTGTGTGATATTCCCCGCCCTGTGTCCAAGTGTTCTCATTGTTCAATTTCCACTTATGAGTGAGAACACGTGGTGTAATGGGATAACCGTCTCCACTTCCCCACTTATACTACCCTTCCTTAGCATCCTTAATGCTTTTTTGTTACAAGTAAATTTTTTCCCGTTTTAATGTCATGAAAATTTAGCCTTGCATTTTCTATAAGTTCTTTTTTTTAATTTTAATTCTAGGTGTATGGTTTGTGTCAGAGGATAGGTTTATTTTGTATATATAAATATATATACCAAAAACTTGTTTTATCAGCAATTTGTTGGAAACACTTATCCATTGAATTGTATTGGTTCATATATAAATTTGAGGACAAATTATGTAATAAGGAATCTTCCTACCATTATTATTCCATACTTTGTATTTATTTAAATATTTTAAAAATTTCTCTCCACGGTATTTTTTGAGTTTGTTTGCTAATATTTTGTTATGAAACTATGTGTCAATATGCTGTGGCTTTCATTTTTAAAATATATACGTATGGTTTTGGTGCTGCAGTACTTAATGCCTCACGTAATGAATTTAGAACTCTTTCTTCTTTTATGAATCACTGAGAATATTTGTGAAAGATGGGCATTATTACCTTCTCAAATGTTTGGTAGAGTTCACTAGGGAAGCTTTACAGGCCTGGAATATATTTTGAAATAAAGGCTTAATAAAAGTTCAATAATAGATAGAGAGCTATTCAAATTTTTCATTTCTTCTATTCTCAGTTTTGGCAAGTTGTGATTTTAGGACATTTGTCCACTTTTGTTATCTGCTTTTGTTTTGCCACAAAGTTGTTTATAATATTTTCTCATTATCCTATTAATATTGGAATTATCCGCAGTGATGCTCCATTTTTCAATCCTGACATCAGTAGATTTTGCTCTCCTCTTTTTTCTCTCTCTCACTCTCTCTTTCTTCCTCACTCTCTCTCTCTCTGTCCCTCTCTTTCATAGGTAAAAACCTAAATAATTGGACAAGTACTTCCTTTATTCCAATTTATTCCAATTAGTTAACATAAAAGAATCCTTCATTTTCACTCTTTCTTATTTCCTCCTCTATCATTTTACAAAGAGTTCCACTGCTCAGCTACCAATCCTTCATCTATGCTTTCTTCTCGAGAATATTAGGCCTTTAATTACATCATGACTTCTGTAGGCTCACACAATTCTTCATCATTCAGATCTTTTGCAACATTTAAATACACTCAACACACTTGAATCTCAAAAATCATCAATTCCTCACAGATACCTCTCTTTTCTTTACTCCCACATACCATTACTACTGTCATCCTATAACTCAACTCTTTTACCCTGAACAATCAAACTTCTTGGATTTATATTGAGTTGAGAAAAATATATTTATTAATGGAATACAAATAGCCAAATGTCACAAAGGAAATGAAAATGTTATGTTTAAACATATTTTTACTAGGAATCAATATTATTGACAGAAATGGAGCCATATTGGCTTGGTTTTAAAAATGTGTTAGTCCTATATTCAGAATAGAAGAAATTAAAAAAATTAAAAACACTACATGGATAAAATAAGATGCATTTTTCTAATATAATTTTCTAGCTTATGGAAGCCACCTTAGACCTATGATAAAAGGAAAAGCTGATGTACTTGTTCCTAAATGATATCAAATACAGAACAAAGAATTAGATGGTATAACTAGTGTCAATATATCTGGAGGGATGATTAGGGTCTATGAAGTTCCAATAAAGGAGTCAGAAAGAAAATTGGTTAAAGCAATTTAAAATGATTACCCCCAAAGACGACACTTAAAAGCTTTTAGAAAGAGCCAAGTGCAGTGACTCACGCTTGTAATCCCAGCAATTTGGGAGGCTGAGGTGGGTGGATTGCTTGAGGCCAGGAGTTTGAGACCAGCCTGGCCAATGTGGCAAAACTTCGTTTCTATAAAAAACAAAACAAAACAAGAAAAAAATCTTTTAGAAAGATTTGAGAGAATGAAATGAAGATCAGTGTTGAGCATTTTAGGTATCATGACAGCATTATGATTAAGTTAGAAACAAATACAAAATAAACACAAAGGCATTGTGGGCCCCAAACAGAGTTTTCATATATCCTGAGGAAGAATTTAAATTAACATCTGGGGTAACAGGTGGGAGGAAAAGAATTGGAGAATAAGCCGTTGTCAAGTTTTGGGCTAAGTGTTGAACATATAGAAACATGCATCCCAGGCAGAAAGACACTGGAAATGGTATTGAAAAGTGGATAGTTTTCAGTAGACTCCCTGGTATATCTCACTATGGCAATATAAGGTAAGTAGCTTGATATACCTGGAAATAGGATGTTAGAATAATAAAGAATTTAAGGGAATACATTCTCCTTGGAAATGTGCTCGTAAATGTGTGACGTGCTGACACAAGTGGAAGATATGTCATTAGACAGACCTGCACTCAATTCAGCTCTGAAATGACAGAAGCTAAGCTTTCAAGTGGTTAACAGAAATCAGGAGATTTCATCAGACATTCTCCAAGGGAAGAAAAGAGACGACTGAAGTAATGCCTGAACACTGGCACACTTACCGTGCATCGAAATCATTTGGGTATAGGCATGTCTTCAATGTCACTTGAAGAAAGAGAATTATTCAGATAGATAGTGGGAGATTACTCTTAGCTTCATTTATTTTGCCGGTTTGTAGATTCTTGGCTAATACTGCTGAAGTGAATAACAAGCAGACTTTTTTTTTTTTCCTTTTTACCTGTATTTTCTCTGTTTGCTCACCTTCCTCTAGACATAAATAAGTTGTTTTAATACACATGACAATTTAGGAATAGAGATCTGTATTGAAATCTTTAGTGGGTTCCAGAAACATCATTTTCATTCAGACAATTACTTCAGAGGCTGATGTTTTGCTGGTGGTTTTAAAAATTTTGCTTAAATGGGTTCAGTGTCATGGTAATCTTACATATTCTAATGAAAAATGTTTCTTAAAAACAGTAGGTATGTGGCAGACTGCAGAGTGAATTAATTTAGCTGGAGAAGTGCTAAAAGAATTTTACAGCTGCCAGGAGGAGAACATGAAGATATAACTAATGAAATTGCTTGGCTCCACCTATATTACATGAAAGTTTGTGGCTGAGATTGAAGAAAAGCCAAAGTTAAAAGGGTGGAATACTGGACTTAATTATTTTAATTATTATTACCAACTTAAATTTTTTCCTAGTAATCTGACAAAAAGCTCATTTGATAATATAATTTGCATACTTAATATTGCCATTTGAATTGATTGTACAAAATCTACTTTAAAAAATTGGATAATATCACCAAAGTTTAACTAAGAAATAGAGTAGAAATAGAATTGTTGGCCTAGGCTAAAAAGTGGCCTTAATATTTCTTTAATGATTATTCTATTTTCAGTCATTTATTATCTTTAAGTAAGACATGTTTTACAGTCCTAGGAAGAGGTAGTGGTTGCTATTGGACTCCTGACCTCAGGAAAGCAGAGTAAGTCTATGCTGGTAAAGTCTTGGTCTCTTCCTCATGAGGCAAACAAACACACACATTGTTGACGACAGCCTTAGTTATTCACCTGAACAGGTTTTGAATAAAAATTTATGGAGAAACATTATCTCATTGCTCCTAATATTTTAAGGATGAAAGAGCGCAATAATAAAGCATTATGAAAAATCCACCCTAACTCTGCATTATATTTTTCTCAAAAGAAAGACTGTGATTAATTCTGTTGATACAATTATAGGAAGTCTGAAAATCATTTGGCCGCATTGTGTATAGAAAAGGAGAATTTACATTTCAACCTCTCATGCTTTGGATCTATGTATCTTTTGGCTTTTTGGACCAGCTAAGCATATCCTAATTTATCTCCATTCTGTTGCAAATGTTTTTACAATGTTTTACATGGCTGCCCCCATGAGCTTGGAATAATTATTGATAGTTATACACATATTTCCAATTGCAGTTACATTGATACAATACATAGTTCATGGAAAAAATGAAGGAAGATAGGAAGAAAGGATGCATGAGTAGTATGTGATTCTTATAAGAATATTAGGAAATGAACATTATTTCCCCTTTTTCCTAAAATATGCAGAAAGATTTTTCAATTGGCCTATGACTAAACACAGTAATGATGAAACTAACAAGATCTTAGATATTCTGATTGTTAATATGGCATCAATCCAATTATACAGGTTACTTTACTTTTCATAATTTCCTGTCATAGTTTAATAAATTATTTTTTATAAATTATAATGCAAAATTGATATATTTCTTTAGTGATTGAGAGTCTTCTCAATATACTTTCGACATATTATAAAGTACCCAGTCTTAATCATGTCTTGCCTTCAGGTCTTTTTTCTTTTCTTGCAAAAATACCAATATAAGCTAAAACCATAACTAATAGGATAGTAATGTAATTTAAAATATGATACAAAACATGCACTCTCCTATTTATCTCTAGAGATTGCTACATAAACAAATTCAGCAGAGTTTTTCATTTCATTTTTTATAATAAATGATGATGTGTGACAATATAGAAAGCAGTCTTAACTAGATTTACACATTTCAAATTGAACTAGTTTTAATTTCATATCTAAAAAGGGTTTCAAATGGACATCATTTACAAGAATTACTGGGTTAATATTCTCAGAGATTTAATTGTAATGGATTATTACCTAGCTATGATTTATCATAATGTGGAAAAATAGATTAATTCATATGGTTTCTAAAAAGACTCAATATTATGATTAAAAGCAGTGACCTCATTTTTTATTAGTTTGATACTGCCTGGGAAGAATTCCTCACCTTATATGTTTGAGCTAGAAACGCAGTAGCTACTGCAGCATTTTCTGAGGGCCACAATGGTCACTGTGCCAGAGGCTATGTCCAGTGTCTGTTGATGATTGTGTGTGGGATATTGGCTAGATCACCTTCTCTCTGGAAGATTCTGTGTAGTGATCAGAGCAGAAGACGTGGCTACTTAGCCTCTCTGGATAAATGCTTATTTATCAGAGTGGTTCTCCAGCCATTTCAGTTATTCAATGAGCTCCTTGTACCTTTTATCACGAAATCCCTTTCCTGTTTAATTCAAGCACAGCTGGGTTTTTGGAACAGTGTATTATTTCCTAGGGCTGCCACCACAAATTGTTACACACTAGGTAGCTTAATATGACAAATTTATTATCTCAGAGTTCTGAAAACCATAAGTCCCCAAATCAAGGTTTTGGTGGGGCTGTGCTCCCTCTGAAGGCTCTAGGGGAGGATTCTGCCTACCTCTCCCAGCTCGCGGTGGCTCCCGGCACTCCTCACTTCCCTGGCTGCATCCCTCAAAACTCTGCAGTCACGCTGCCTCCTCCTCTTCATTGTCTGTGTCTTCTTTCTCTTGTAAGGGGAGTTGTCATTGGATTGAGGGTTTACTCAAATAATACAAAAGATCTCATTTTAAGACCCTTAATTGCATTTACAAAGACCATTTTCTCATAGAAATTCACACTCACAGTTTTCCAAGGGCCAGGATGTGGACATATATTTTTGGGGGGCCACCCCTTGACCCACTCCAGAAGTGTCCGTGGATTGACACTTTACAGAATTCTCATTTTATTTAATCTAGTTTGTATCGTCATTGAAAAGTTGTATCTTGTTTCTGAGCTAAAACACCCTCTAGTCCACCTTTTCACAGTCTAAATTCAGGAATAAAGGGTAATAAATATTAAGGAAACACTCGTCTTCAAAATAGCTGACTCCCTCAGCCCATCATCTGTCAGTCTACTTTAAGCACTGCCTGATAGACATGAGTAGGCTCACGTCACGTTGGGGGTTTTACAAGAACATTAACTATCTTGTACTAGAAATGGGCTAATCAGCTGTCACCTGTATGGCAGTTCAGACAAGTGCAAGTACTTCCTTTGAGTTATGATCTTGTAAAAATGAGAGTTTATAACTGAAAAGCTGGTCACTGTGACATGCAATTCTGAAAGACTGTTTAACATTTCTGGAGACAACATAGTTTGTAAATAAGGGGCATTTATTACTACAGACAGCCTCGGGGTACACATTCATTATCCACTGACAAGTACAGATACAAACGCAAAGGCTTAATTCATTAGCATGTAGGTAACATGTTATATTTAAAATTAGGGTAAATGGAAATATATTTCATAAAGATACAATGATTTAATTAATTCAATTACTTTTTAACTTAGAATATGATTTTAGATAGAAAAAGTCTGCAGATGTGTAACTTGCTTTCCATAGTCAAAGATTTTAAATTGTTTGGCTTACTTCAAAAGAGAGGTACTTATGTCAATCAGCACTGATTTAGATTGATGTATTTATAGCTTAATAAATGTTCACACTTTTTAAAAATAAATTTCTAACATGAAAAATCCTATATGGTATAGTAAACCCAAATTTTGTTGGAGTAGATTTTTTTTCTCTAGCTCATTTAATGTCACATTGTTTGACATTACAAAAAGTTCCTGAATGATTTGTGTGTTTTAAAGAAACTATTAACATCATTCCTTTTCTACTCAGTTTTCATACACTCAGTATTTATTTTCAACTGATGTAAAAATTTGAAATCATTTATGAATATAAAAATATTACATATTATAATTATAGCTTTACATATGTTTTTTCAATCAATCAATCAATAAGTACTTTTTCATAGCTAAATTAGAGAGTGGCATCCTTTGAAGTGCTGTGAAAACTGAACAGAATTAAAAAGAAAACATCCCTGCCCTCAAGTAGCTTACATTCTGGAACGGAGAGACATATGCTAAACCCAAAACTTTAAAATATATAATATGTTACATAGTTATAAGTACTAGGATGAAATGGAAAAAGGCAACAGAAAGGGCAGTAGGTGTGGAGGATAATTTTAAATTTAAATAACTCAGAGTGCACTGGCATAACTGAGAAGGTTCTTCTGAGCAAAGACTTGAGAGAAGTGAAATATTCATTATATACAGATATCTGAGGAAGGCTTCTCCAGGCAAGGGGACTTGCAGTGCAAAGACCCTGAAAAACACAGTACTGCTTAGAAGTCAGTGGAAAGAAATGAGGGACAACAATGGCTGGAATTAGATGAGGGAATGATAGGAGAGGTAAGATTACACTAGAAAGGGGAAGGACAGGGATTACTACAATAATAGGGACTTCACTCTGAGTAAACTGGAAGGTCACTACACATTCTGAACTGACAGAACCAATGTATATTTTATAGAATTATTCAAGCTGCGTAGGCAGTGGATGAGGTTAAGGGTGGTGGAGTTAAAACAGGAAGACAGTGACAAAGTTATTTCAATTTTTCAAGTAAGAAATAGTGGCAACATTGAATAGGGTAGTGACGACTGGCTGATTAGAAGTGGCTGAATTTCTGAACATATTTTGAAAGTATTATGTTGCCAAGAAATTTAACTGGAAGACAGATTGTGAGGTTTGAAGAGAAAAAAATGAGGCCAAAGTGACTCATATAGTTGAGCCAAGCAACTGAAAGGCTGTTACTATTTATCAATAATGGAACGCCTATAGAAGAACCAAGTGTAAGGAGTAAGGTTATGTGCTCAGTTTAGAAATAAAAGGTGTGTATATATCCTTTGCATCTGCCTTAACAGCACCTATATCTCTTTTTTTTCCTATATTTTATTTTATTTTAAGTTCTGGGATACATGTGCAGGCCGTGCAAGTTTGTCACATAGGTAAATGTGTGCCATGGTGGTTTGCTGCACCCATCAACCCATCACCTAGGTATTAAGCCTTGCATGCATTGGCTATTTATCCTGAGCTTTCCCTCACCCTGCACCCACAACAGGCCCTGGTGCGTGTTGTTCCCCTCCCAGTGTTCATGTGTTCCCATTGTTGAGCTCCTACTTATAAGTGAGAACATGTAGTATTTGGTTGTCTGTTTCTGTGTTAGTTTGCTGAGGATAATGGTTTCCAGCTCCATCCATGTCCCTGCAAAGGAGATTATCTCATTCCTTTTTATGGCTGCAGAGTATTCTGTGCCACATTTTCTTTATCTAGTCTATCATTGATGGGCATTTGGGTTGATTCCATGTCTTTGCTATTGTGAAGAATGCAGCAATATACGTACGCATGCATGTATCTTTATAATAGAATGATTTATATTCCTTTGGGTGTATACCCAGTAATGGGATTGCTGGGTTAAATGGTATTTCTGCTTCTAGATTCTTAAGGAATCACCACACTGTCTTCCACAATGGTTGAACTAATTTACACTTCCACTAACAGTGGAAAAGTGTTCCTATTTCTCCACAGCCTCGACAACATCTGCTGTTTCTTGACTTTTTAATAATTGCCATTCTGGCTGGTGTGAGATGATATCTCATTGTGGTTTTGATTTGCATTTCCCTAATGATCAGTGATGTTGAGCTTTTTTTCATGTTTGTTGGTTGCATAAATGCCTTCTTTTAAAAGTGTCTGTTTGTGTCCTTTGCCTGATTTTTGATGGGGTTGTTTGGTTTATTTTTGGAAATTCGTTTATGTTCCTTGTAGATTCTGGATATTAGACCTTTGTTGGATGGATAGATTGCAAAAATTTTCTCCCATTCCATAGGTTTTCTGTTCATTCTGATGATAGATTCTTTCGCTGAACAGCACCTGTGTCTCTACTTCTACATCTGTGTGTAAGTGTTTCTACATATATGCAACTGTATCTCCAACTCTTATCACAATATCTGGAATTAGTAGACAACCTGTAAATATTTGTTGAATAAATGTTGAGTACATACACATCACATGCAATTTGGTTGATATTACAGGTAGTGTGAAACAACATAGCATCCAAATTTAAAATTAGATGTAAAATATGTCCTATATTCTTTCAGAAACATAATTTTAATGGTTGTCAATATATATGTACAAATATTCTAAGTAATTGACAAAGCATTTAATTGGTATCTACTGAGATAGGATATCTGCATCCCAGGTCATTTTTCTTATTAAGTGAATGAACTAAATAAAATTATTTAATCTTTTTAAGATACAACTTTCTTATTTCTGAAATGTGATACTGTCACATTTTTCTGAGATTAGAATATGTATATAATAAACATCTGAACACAGCAGGCAACAAATGAATTACAGATGTTATTAAAATGTGTATCATTTGAAGTATGTTAAAATTACATTAATTCAATAAAACTTGTGGAATTGCTGGGTCAGTAATATATGTATTAATCTGGGGAAAAACAAATATAAAATATAGTAGAAAAATGTATACTGTAGAAATAATGTATATTAAAAACATAAAGTCAACTGTAGTATATGTATATGTAGCATAGTATATAATGCGTGTATATATAGAGTGTTTTATGTATATGTTACAATGTATATAGTATATATATAGCATAGTATATACAGTATATGAAAACAGTGTGTATATAGTAGAAAAATGTATATTGAATTGAAAATACTTGATCTTAATTAGTTACAAAATTGCCTAAAAACAATGCAATTGTGGGACAAACAAATCATATGCTATTACAGACCATGTTCCAGACTTCAATTATAAGACACTGAAACCTACCTCAAATTTGTCCCTGTTTGTAGGGGGTATGAATCATAAATGAATAAAAATTGTATAGAAACAATATGCCAACTATTTAGCAATTAAATAGAATATGTCTCGGTTACCTTGCAATGTAAAGATGAAAATACTTTGTATTAGATTATTCCATATATGATTTGATTAAATCATTCTAACAACACTTGCTCTAGTTGGTCTGAACTTGTTTAATTTTGTATTAAAGCAAATGCTGCAGAATAAAGTTCAAATGCGGGCCTTGAAAGCAGTTTCTCTGTGTAGACATTTAACTTATTTTTGTGATAATTTTTAACTAAATTATTTTTTAAAGCTTCACTATAACCTGTTCAGGCAATCATCTCTAATGGAATGACATCAATATTAAAAGGTCAATACTTTTAATGCATTAAATTACAGGTACCAGAAAGTCAAAACATAAATCACTATATATAATATATATATATATCAATATATCTCTATCTATTTCTACATATATATTTTTTCCTGACTACTTAGTATACTTGACCATTTGTGAATCATATATCTTTATTAAATATAATCTAGGTACTTGAACTTATTTTAAATATAATTAGAAGAGTGATGTCAGCAACATGACTGATAAGAGGTGTCTGGCTCTTTTCCTTCCACCAAAAAACAAATAAATTTTAAAAACCACCATTGAATAAACAAATACATTTCAACTAGATTGTCTGAAAGAAAGTCCTAGAGGACAAGGGAGTGTTGACCCTGTGAGTCAAGAAAAGCCAGGATGGCGGCATAAAGAGGAGGGGAAAGAATCCTGCCTCCGCCACTTTATCTTCCCTGCTGGGAGGGGCTCAGGGCCAGGAGGAGCTTCTCCTGCAGAAGAGTATAGGCATCAGGCCCCTAGAATTCCCCATTGCTGTGGCAGACATCTGCATCCCTTGCTACAGGAGAATCCCATAGGCGCTGAGCTCAGTTTAGTGAGCTGGCTGCAGTTCACAGGGCTACATTGCTACAGGGTAGGAGCCCACATCTTGCACTCTGCACCACCGTGACCCAAACTGCTATGGCATGGCCTTATTTTGAAACTGAAACCACTGATAGAATGCAGCCTGCTATGAGGGCCAAAAGCCACTGCAGCTCTCCATCCTCAAGGCTCCACTGTTATTCTACCAGACTCATGCATGTGAATGAAGAACCACGAATGCAGATGTTCTGAGCCTAGGCCTAGCTGAACTGCAGTGATTCTGGCAACAGAGCCCACATGGCACCTTACCTCCCCAAAGAAGGCAGTCTTGCACAGCAGGGAAGTTGACCCCGGACAGGAAACTCATCATATGCATGTACATTCAGCCTAAAAACCAGCAGGAAGACCCTGCCTCCAGCAAGGCAGCACTGCTGCAGACACAAAATCCTGCAACTTAGACCACTAAGGCACTCCCAGGCATTGCTTATCTGGATTACAGCTGAAGAAATTAAAAGTAGGCTTAAAAAAAAGTAAAATGGACAAATCGGTAGTTATATTAACTAGGAGAAAAAGAGATAAGACTCAAACAAATAAAATCAGAGATAAAAGGAGAAATTACAACCAATATCATAGGACAAAGGATCATGAGAGACAATTGTGAAGTTATACCCAAAAAATGGAATAACCTAGAAGAAACAGATGAATTCCTGCACACATACAATCTGTCAAAATTGAATTATGAAGAAATAGAAAATCTGAACAGACCAATAACAAGTAAGGAATTTGAATCAATAGTAAAATTTCTCCTATAAAAGAAAAGCCCAGCTACTGAGGACTTCACTGTTGAATTCTACCTAAACTTTAAAGAACAATTCAGACCAATTCTTCTGAAACTATTCCAGAAAATTGAAGAATAAGTAATATTTCCAAAAATTCTACAAGGCTGTCTTCCCCTGATACCAAAACCACATAAGGACCCAAATACAACAAAAAGAAAACCACAAGTTGATATCCCTGATAAGCATACATGTAAAAATTCTCAAAATATCACCAAACAGAATTCAATAGCACATTAGGAAGATCTTTCACAGTGGTCAGCTGGGGTTTATCACAGGGATGAAAGGATGGATTAAAATATATATATTAATAAATGTTATACATCACATTAGCAGAAAGATGAGGGAAACCATATCATCACGTCCATAGAGGCAGAAAAAGCATTTCACAGAACTCTGTATCCTTTCATGACAAAAACTATCAACAAATTAGGTAAAAACAGTACTTACCTCAACACAATAAAGGCCAGCTAGCATTATGCTAAATGACAAAAAGCTGAAACCGTTTTTGCTAAGAACTGGAACAAGACAGGGATACCCACTCTCACCAACTGTATTTAGCACAGTACTGGAAGTCGTAGCCAGAGAAATTAAACAATAAAAAAAAATGAAAGATGGGCAAATTGGAAAAGAGGAAGACAAATAGCCCCTGTTTGCAGATGAGATGATCTCATATACAGAACACACTAAAGACTCCACCAAAACAGAACTAATAAACAAATTCAGTGAAGTTATAGAATGCAACAACAAGATATAAAAATTAGTAACATTTCTATATGCTAATAGCGAAATATTTAAAAAGAAAGCAATAAGCAATATAATTCACAATAGCTACTAAAAAAAAAAAACCTTGATGTAGATTTAACCAAGGAGGTAAAAGATGACTACAATGAAAACTATAAAACATTGATAAAAGTAATTGAAGAAAATATAGATAAATGGAAAGATATTCTGTATTCATGGATCAGAATTACATTGTTAAAATGTCCATACTACCCAAAGCAATCTACAAATTCAATACAATCTCCGTGAAAATATCAATGATATTCTTCACAGACACACAGAAAACAATCATAAAAATAGAAAGCAAAATCTTAATACGGAATCACAAAAGACACTGAATAGCCAAAGCAATTTTGAAAAAAAAAAAAAAAGAGAGAGAGAGAGAAGACAAAGCTGGAGATATCCCTTTACCTAGCCAACAAAAGTTGGAGACATCATGCTACCAAAACAGCATGGTATTAGTGTCAAAACGGAAACAGACCAACAGGACACAATAGAGGGCTCAGAAATAAATCCATGCATCTACAGCCAACAGATTTTCAACAAAAATGTCAATAACACACATTGGCAAAAGGACAGTATCTTCAGTAAATGGTGTTCAGAAAATTAGGTATCTGTATGCAGAAGAATAAAAGTTAACCCCTATTTTTAACCATATACAAAGTTCAACTCTAAATTGATTTAATATTCTATTTAAGACCCAAAGCTATGAAACTGCTAGAAGAAAACATAGGGGAAATGCTTCACAACACTGAACTGGGTAAGAACTTTTTGTATAAATACTCAAAAGCACAGAGAACAAAGGCATAAATAAACAAATGAGATTACATGAAACTAGAAAGCTTATTCACAACAAAGGAAACAAGCAACAGAGTGAAGAGAGAACCTCCAGAATGAGAAAAATATTAGTAAGTTATACATCTGATGTGGACTGGATATTCAGAATACATAACGAACACAAACAAGTAAATAACCAAAAACCCCCACAAATAATGCAATTAAAAATGGGAAAATAACCTTAATAAACATTTCTCAAAAGAAAACACACAAAAGACCAAAAAGAATTTTAAAAATGCTCAATATTATCACTAAACATCAGGGAAATGCAGTTATAGCCACAATCTCACTCCAGGTGGAATAGCTATTATCAAAAAGACAAATGATAACAAGTGTTGGTGAACATGTAAAGAAAGACGAACTCTCACATGCTGTTGGTGGAAATGTAAATTCATACAGCTGTTATAGAAACAGTATAGAAGTTCCTCAAGAATTAAAATACTTCTACTACATGATTCAGCAATTTCATGGGTATATATCCAAAGGAAATGGGTATATATCCAAAGGAAATAAAATCAGTATGCTAAAGAGATGTCTGCACTTGCTTATTGAAGAACTCTTCACAATAGCCAAGGTATGAGTCAGCCTACATGTTCAACAAAGATTGAATTGATAAAGAAAATGTCATGTGTAATGGGATACTATTTAGTCATAAAAAGAAGAGAATCCTGTCATTTGTGACAAAATAGATGAACCTGGAAGATGTTATATTAAGTGAAATACGTCAGGAGCAGAAAGACAAATACTGCACTATCTCACTCATATATGGAATCTAAAAATGTTGATCTCATTGAAGTAGTCAATAGAATAGTGGTTATAAGAGACTGGGGAGGAGAGGGTGATAGAAGGACGGAAAGAGGCTTGTCAGTGAGTACAAAGCTACAATTAGAAAGTAAAAATAAATTCTGATGTTCTATTGCACAGTAGGATGACTGTAGTCAATAATAAGGTATTGTATATCTCGGAATACCTAGAAGAGACAATTTTGAATGTTCTTACCACACAAAACTGATGAATGTTCAAAGTGATGAATATATTTAGTATTCTGATTTGAAACGTATTAAAACATCATATTGTACCCCATAAATATGTGCAATTATTATATGTCAGGTAAAAATCAAAATAATTTAAAAGAAGAGCATAAATCCATACTTACTACATCATTAAAATAAGATTAATATCAATTTTCGTTCTGATTAAATTTTATGATCATCTTAGAATATTGCTATTTATGAAAATATGGTTTATTTTATGACTGCATGTTAAAGAAAAAAAAAACTCCCATTTCAATACCAGAATCCTGAATTCTGCTGCCCAGAGTTATTACCACAAGCTAGAATTTGAGCCTCAACTCTTCTCCATTTGATTAACTTTAGGTTGATATAAATACCCTAAAATTATATGCTTTTTAACTTTGGAAGATAAAATAAACAGCTGTTGGAGCTTACCAACTGGTGAGAGGGTATGTATTCTCTCCAAAGAACCTTCAAAAGACAGTCACCTCACATCTTCTCACTTCAATGATAAATACAATCATCCAGGTCTGTGAGCTTGCTGTTTGTGGTAGACAGAATTCTGAGATGGTCCCCAGGATTTCTGCCTTTTTTTATACACCCTCCCCTTGAGTGTGAGTATGGCATGTAAATATGATGTGTTATTACTCCTATGATTAGGTTACTAACCAGTTGACTTGGTATGAACTAATATGGAGGTTATCCTGGGTAGGCTTGACCTAATTAGGAGAGGTCTTTGAAAAGGGTGCAGTGAGTCAGACAGACTGACCTCCTGCCCTCTAAGAAAGGTGAAACATACAATCATGTATTGAGCTGCCTAGGGAGAAGAGCATCTTCAAAGAGTTGAGGTCCTAAAGCTGCAGGAACTGAATTCTACCCATAGCTTGAATGTAATTGGAAGAAGACTGCAAGAATCAGATGAGACTCCCAGCCTAGCTTCCATCTTGACTGTAGCATGTAAAACCTCAAAAACCCCTCCTGAGTGCAGCCTAGGCTGTCGACCTGAAATATAGTAAGATAATAAATAATGGTTGTTTTAATCTGCTAAATTTGTGATAATTCGCTACATAGCAAATAAAAATTATACAGTGTTCTGATAGACTAAAAACGTATAAGATTAAAGTTACATGATTTTCCCTTAAGAAAATAGCTCATTTTATGATGAGTTCCTCTCTGGGAACCCTAGCATAATCTCTACAACCTTGCTGGCTATCAGAGAATAAATATATTCAATAGCCCAGGAGACATTTAATAAATAGTAACAAGTAGAGGCCCTACTGACCCATATGACATCTTTATTGGTATTGGGAAAAGGTGCTGTAGCCTCAAGCTACTGTATTTCCAACTGGGGAGAAAATGTCAAAACAAATAGAATATATGCAACATTTAAAATTTGAATGACTTCTTTTAGGGTTATGAAATACCCAGCCTGCACAACTTTATGCAAGTTAATTGAATGTTGGCATAAAAAATGACAAAATAAACAACCCATGCCTTCTAGAACAATCAGCAGTGAATAACATTTTGGTAATAATTATTATTACATTATTTAAAGAGTTCACTTAATAGTTTAGTGTGCTTGAATTATTTTTAGAATGTATTTGTTGTTTGTGGTGAGTACAGTCTGTGCCTTGACACATCCCATTAATGAGTCTGGGATACTCATTCTCTAGCTAACATGAATGTCACACCTCAAAGCTGCCCCCTTCATATGGTTTGGCTGAGTCCTCACCCAAATCTCATCTTGAACTGTAATAATTCCCATGTGTCAAGGGCAGGTCCAGGTGGAGGTTACTGAATCATGGGGGCAGTTTCCCCCATGCTGTTCTCATGGTAGTGAATAAGTATCATGAGATCTGATGGTTTTATAAATGAGAGTTCCCCTGCACAAGCTCTTGCCTGTAGCTAAGTAAGATGTGCCTTTTGCCTTTCCCAATGATTGTGAGGCCTCCCCAGCCATGTGGAATTGTGAGTCCATTAAACCTCCTTCCTTTGTAAATTACCCAGTCTCAGCTCAGGTATGTCTTTATTAGCAGTGTGAAAACAAACTAATGCACTCCTTTTCTGGAGAACTGCCTGCAAGTGTCAGAAGCCTTTGTTGTGGAATGACAAAATCTAGCTAACTAGCATATGCATTACTCACATAGTTATTATTTTTGTGGTGAGAACACTTAATATCCATTCTCTTAGCCTTTTTTCAGAATTCATTAACACTGTAAGAATATATTATTAACCGTCATCACCAGGTTATACAGTAGGTCTCTTCAACTTTTTCTACCTGTCTGATGGAAATTTGGTATCCTTTGACTAACATTTCTCCAATGCACCCCCATCAACCACCACACCCCTGATAATCACCATACTACTCTCTACTTCAGAACATCATGTTGTACTCGATAAATATATATAATTTATCTGTCAATGTAAAAAATAAGATAATCATTTTTAAAAAGTAAAAGAGGCCTTCACAGTAAAGTTTGGCATTCTTCTCCAGCTGTCCAATGCTAACAAACAACTGAAACACGGCAAAGACTGGCTCCTTGGACTTGACTCAGGACCAGTTTTGGTGTACTTTCCACTCCAGAGTCCCTTTACGGTTAGGCAGAAGCTAGTCCCTAGCCAAGACCACACACTTGCTTATTTGTTTCCCTGACCAATCTTTTGTATTTCACTCGCTTCCTTCCTCAATAAATCACTTGAACAAGAACTTCCTTGCCATCTCAGGTTCTAATACAACCCCCTGTGTATTACGCTTTACAACACAGGCTTCATGTGATGTAAAGAAATTAGCTATCAGTATACCCTAAAGAAGCTAATAAAACCCAGAGACCAGGTCATCTCACACACGGCCTATTTCAAAGCCCTAAAGGAGTCTTAGACTGGTGCTCACACAGTTGCATAGTTTATAAAATGTTCAAAGTTAAATATTTTGTGTTGTTTTCTTACAAGAGGATCCCTAAAACAGGATTCAGGCCCCTCAAAATCCCCTTCTCCCTTGGAAGAAATTCATCTTTTGTTCTTCTAATTGCACATGTTATCTGCCTAACTTTCAGAACTACATTAATAACAATTATAATGTCAGATTTAAAGAAAAAGGGAATGTCATGTTAGAAAGATAACCTTCAGGGAACATCACACACTGGGGCCTGTTGTGGGGTGGGGGGAGAGGGGAGGGGTAGCATTAGGAGACATACCTAATGTTAAATGACGAGTTAATGGGTGCAGCAAACCTGCACGTTGTGCACATGTACCCTAAAACTTAAAGTATAATAAAAAATACATACATAAATAAAAATAAATAAATAAATAAAAAAAGGAAAGATAACCTTCAGATTTACTCTTTCTGGGACTACTGGAAACCGAGTTAGTTATTTTCAATACATGAGCATTTAAATAGATTTTCTCTGTAAAATGATATGTTTTAATTGTCTTGTACCTGTGTTTCTGCAAGTTTCAGCACAGAAGTGCAACAACTGCTATCAGAATGCCAGAGGTTCAGTCTAGGTCCTATTGCTCACCGCACAGAAGGCCAGTCATTGAGATGAGTATTGCCAGGTAAGGCCACTTTATTCCAGTGCTGCATCCGAAGAGAATGGGAGGCCAAGTCTCAGCTGTGTTTGGTCAACTGACTTAAATTAGGAGTTTATATGACAGGGAAGAAATGTAACTAACTACTTGTGGAAAAACAGGAATTAGAAAGAGGTGAGGAAAAGTAGTTGGTAAGCAGGCATCAGGTAGTCAGTTGGGCAATCGTGATGGGTGAGGGGTGTGGTATCTCATTGTCCAGATGCCATGATCTGGTGAGTTTCCACTTCTTAATACTATCTGAGAGGGTTGATGGTTGCTTTCCTGACCAAGGAACTCGGGTAAGACAAATACGGGTTTTAAAAATTTTAAGACTAAGAGGGTCAGTTTCCGTATTTATTCAAAAAATTCATAAATATTCAGTATGTGGGGAAAATTAGGCTGATTTCACAATTGCCCCCAAAATTCCACCGTCTCAGGAATAATGAACAAGGAAGGCTGCAGGCAAGACATTTTCAAGTTAATGGTGAAATTCCCATTGCCTATATCTTATGACTGTCTCAAAAGAAAAAAAAAAGAAAGAAAGAGAAAGAAAGAAAGAAGGAAAGAAAGAAAGAAGGGAAAGGAAAGAAAAGGAAAGGAGAAAAGAAAAGAAAAAAGATGAGACTGCGTAAAGACTCATGTGTTCTATACTCATCTGAGATGAAGCTGCCCCAAAGATCAAATTCAGAAATAAAAGACATGCAACGTGCTTACTACATTTGGGGTGAGAAAAATACTAACATTTGAATAATTTTAACTTTATATTTAAAACCTTCCACATAGTGCTATATGGACATTCCCTTCAAGCTGTAGGGGGAGGGGAATTTGGCCCAACCTGTGTACATGTCCCCTTCTCCCTCTCTGATTTAAAGCAGATCAAGGCAGACCTGGGGAAGTTTTCAGATGATACTGGTAGATACGTAGATGTTCTACAGGGCTTAGGACAAACCTCTGACCTCACTTGGAGAGACGTCATGATATCAGATCAAACCCTGGCCTTTAATGAAAAGAACATGGCTTTAGCTGCAGCCTGAGAGTTTGGAGATACCTGGTATCTTAGTCAAGTAAGTGATAGAATGATGGCCGAAGCAAGGGACAAATTCCCTACTGGTCAGCAAGCCATCCCCAGTATGGATCCCCACTGGGATCTCGACTCAGATCATGGGAAATGGAGACGTAAAAATCTGTTGACCAGTGTTCTAGAAGGACTAAGGAAAATTAGGAAGAAGCCATTGAATTATTCAATGATGTCCACCATAACTCAGGGAAAGGAAGAAAATCCTTCTGCCTTCCTCAAGTGGCTACGGGAGGCCTTAAGAAAATATACTCCCCTGTCGCCCGAGTCACTCCAGGGTCAATTGATTCTAAAAGATAAGTTTATTACCCAATCAGCTGCAGATATCAGGAGAAAGCTCCAAAAGCGAGCCCTGGGCCCTGAACAAAACCTGGAGGCATTATTAAGCCTGGCAACCTTGGTGTTCTATAATAGGGACCAAGAGGAACACGCCCGAAAGGAAAAGCAAGATCAGAGAAAGGCCACAGCCTTAGTCACGGCCCTCAGACACACAAACCTTGGTGGTTCAGAGAGGACAGAAAATGGAGCAGACCAATGACCCAGTAGGGCTTGTTATCAGTGTGGTTTGCAAGGACAGTTTAAAAAAGATTGTCCAACGAGAAACAAGTTGTCCCCTGGCCCATGTCACTGTGCCAAGGCAATCACTGGAAGGCACACTTCCCCAGAGGGCAAATGTTCTCTGGGCCAGAAGCCCCGAATCAGATGATCCAACAACAGGACTAAGGGTGCCTGGGGCATGTGCCAGCTCATGTCATCACCCTCACTGAGCCCCGGGTATGTGTAACCATTGAGAGCCAGGAAATTGACTTCCTCCTGGACACTGGCGTGGCTTTCTCAGTGTCAATCTCCTGTCCCAGACAGCTGTCCTCAAGGGCCGTTACCCATGCCTTTCTTGTTATGCCTGAAAGTCCCATACCCTTATTAGGGAGGGCCATATTAGCCAAAGCTTGAGCTATTATCTACATTAATATGGGGAACAAGTTACCCATTTGTTGTCCCCTGCCTGAGGAGGGAATCAACCCTGAAGTCTGGACATTGGAAGGAACAAACTCAAGCTCCAGCCTTAAGCCTTCCCACAGGACAAAACTTCTCTTTATACGTCACAGAGAGAGCAGGAATAGCTCTTGGAGTCCTTACTCAGACTCGTGAGACACTCCACAACCAGTGGCATACCTAAGTAAGGAAATTGATGTAGTAGCAAAAGGCTGGCCTCACTGTTTACAGGTATTTGTGGCGGTGGCCATCTTAGTGTCAGAGGCTATCAAAATAATGCAAGGAAAGGATCTAACTATCTGGACTACTCATGATGTAAATGGCATACTAGGTGCCAAAGGAAGTTTGTGGCTAACAGACAACTGCCTGCTTAGAAACCAGGTGCTACTCCTTGAGGGAATGGTGCTTCAAATATGTACATGTGTGGCCTTCAACCCTGCCAGTTTTCTCCCAGAGGATGGGGAACCAATTGAGCATGACTGCCAACAAATTATAGTCCAGACTTATGCCACCCGAGATGATCTCTTAGAAGTACCCTTAGCTAATCCTGACCTTAACCTATATACCAATGGACCTTAACCTATATACCAATGGAAGTTCATTTGTGGAGAATGGAATATGAAGGGCTGGTTATGCCATAGTTAGTGATGTAACTATACTTGAAAGTAAGCCTCTTCCCCCAGGGACCAGCGCCCAGTTAGCAGAACTAGTGGCACGTACCCAAGCCTTAGAACTGGGAAAGGGAAAAAGAATAAATGTGTATACAGATAGCAAGTATGCTTATCTAATCCTATATGCCCAAGCTGCAATATGGAAAGAAAGGGAGTTCCAAACCTCTGGGGAACCCCCATTAAATACCACAAGGAAATCATGGAGTTACTGCACACAGTGCAAAAACCCGAGGAGGTGGCAGTCTTACACTGCCGAAGCCATCAAAAAGGGGAAGGAGAGGGGAGAACAGCAGCATAAGTGGCTGGCAGAGGCAGGGAAAGATCAGCAGAAAGGAAAGAGAGAAAGAGAGAGACAGAAAGTCAGAGAGACAGGAAGAGACAGACAAAGAGGGAGTCAGAAACAGAAAAAGAAAGAGAGACAAAGAAGTCAAAGAGAAAGACAGAGATAGAGGTAGTAAAGAAAAAAAGTGTACCTTATTTCTTTAAAAGCCAGGGTAAATTTAAAACCTATAATTGATAATGGAAGGTCTTCTCTGTAACCTTATAACACTCAAATCCCACCTTGTTGTCAGTGTAAACAAGGGCACAGCCCAAAAGCACTGAGTCCACTGACAATCCATAGCCTTCCTATCAAAAATCCTTAACCCAGCAGGTTTCTTAACAGGGGATCTAAATCTTAATTATCATACAAAGGTCCGACCAGCTCTAGGAGGAATCCCTTCAGGACAGGACAATAGATGGTTCCTCCCAGGTGATTAAGGGAAAAAGACACAATAGATATTCAGTAAGTGATAAGGAAACTCTTACAGAAGCAGAGTTAGGAAAATTGCCTAATAATTGGTCTGCTCAAACTTGCCAGTTGTTTGCATTCAGCCAAATCTTAAACTACTTACAGAATCAGGAAAGAGCCATCTATACCAATTCTAAGTTATTATGGACTGAATGAGGTTTTATTAATAGCAAAGAAAAATTAAAATCCCAAACTTACAAGGTTTTCAACTAAAGTAAACGTCACTAAAAGTTAACAGTGGAACATGTATTATCCTACTACCACACACTCAAAGGATTTCTCAGACAGTTTGCAAGAAATAACGAACTCTATCCTTACTCTACAATCCCAAATAGACTGTTCGGCAGCAGTAACTCTCCAAAACCGCTGAGGCCTAGACCTCCTCACTGCTGAGAAAGGACTCTGCAGCTTCCTAGGGGAAGAGTGTTGTTTTTACACTAACCGGTCAGGGATAGTACACAATGCTGCCCGGCCGGTGTTTACAGGAAAAGGTTTCTGAAATCAGACAATGCCTTTCAAACTCTTACACCAACCTCTGGAGTTGGGCGACATTGCTTCTCCCCTTTCTAGGTCCCATGACAGCCATCTTGCTATTACTATTATTTTGTGTTTCTTTGCTTAGAAGTTCTTTAAGGTAAGCAGCTGCTGGAAGCAGAGCCAATAACTGCTAGTAATTCCAGTTGTTGGAACAGTATACTTGTGCTAAAATGCCATATTTCCATCCCTGAATACTACATGTAAACTTTTTTTTTCAACTGTAGTCCAGCATTTTACTTATCCTCTTCTGTGCATTCTTTAGCAGAGCCCTCTTTAATTTATCATACAGCATATGCTCTGGCAAATCCAAATGAATTCCAAAGAAAATAGATCCAGTAATGGACCACAAACTCACTCCTTAAACTCTTTTTAGTGACACTATGATTTTGACCATTTTAAGACAATGACTTAGCCATAGATAAGAAACCTCAGCTGATCTGTAGCTGCTGTACAGCATTGAATAATATACGATGGAATTAACCTGCATGTCACAGTTTCTGGCCAAAGCTGCCAGATTTTTTGCAGCAAACATTTGGAATCAGGCACACATGCATTTAAATGTTTGAACTGTTGCTTATTAATTGGGAAATTTGGAACCGTAAATAAGTTGCAGCATTTTCTGATTTTGCAGCACGATTATCTGACTTCTGTATGATCTTTCAAGGTTAACTCATGAATATGTTAGAACATATTCCATGATGTTTCATGGCTCCCAGACATAACTCTCAGTCTTAAAGGTATTTCAAATTGGAAACTAAAGCCTTTGCTTGTTTTTTCTCCTACTTGTATTAAATTCAGATATTATATTTCATGTCTTCAATGATACTTTAGGCAGAAATGCAAATTAACTTGCCCTCTCTCTTTTTGTTACACAGGCCTAACAAAATCTCAGCTTTGGATGAACTTACCGGTTTGGTTTTATCTATATATATGTTTATACAGTTTTATTTAAATAGCTATGCCCAATCAAAAAATGCCCACTGATTACTGTTACCTGTTGTATTACTCTGTTCTCAATGCTGCCATGAAGAAATACCCGACTGAGTAATTTATAAAGAAAAGAGGTTAACTGACTCAGAGTTTCGCAAGGCTGGAGAGGCCTCAAGAAACACACAATTATGGCAGAAGGGGAAGCAAACACGTCCTTCTTCACAAGGCAGCAGGAAGGAGAAGTCCCAAGCAAAGGTGGGGAAAAGCCCTTTATTAAACCATCAGATCTTGTGAGAACTCACTCACCATCATGAGAACAGCATGAGGGATAATTTAGGGTATCTGGTGGAAGAAATTTCCAAGCAGCAAAGCATTTTACTTAGGTGCTGTTAAAATCATTCAATTTTATGTATTCACAAAGATATTGTTTGGAATTGGAATGTGTGTTTAAAAGGCAAGCAGAGCATAAAAGTTTGGAAAATTTGCAGCCTGACAATGAGATAGAAAAGAAAAACTCATTTTCTGAGGTGAAATTCAAGCTAGCCATAGAAATTTGCATAAGTAACAAATGTTAATTGCCAAAACAATGGGAAAAATGTGTCCAGGGCATGTCTTAAGTCTTCGTGGCAGCACCTCCCATCACAGGCCCAGAGGTGTAGTAGGAAAAAAATGGTTAGGTTGGTTGGTTCCAGAGCCTTGCTGCTTTTTGCAGTCTTGGGACTTGGTGCCTTGCATCCCAACTGTGGCTAAAAGGGGACAATGTAGAGCTCATGCCATTGCTTCAGAGGGCAAGCCCCAAGCCTTGGTGGCTTACACATAGTGTTGAGTCTGTGGGTGCACAGAAGTCAATAATTGAGTTTTGGGAACCTCCACCTAGATTTTAGAGGATTTATGGAAATGCCTGGGTAACCAGACAAAAGTTTGCTGCAGGAGCTGAGCCCTCATGTAGAGTCTCTGCTATGGCAGTGTGGAAAGGAAATGTGAGGTTGGATACTCCACATAGAGTCTCCACTGGAGCACTGCCTAGTGGAGCTGTGAGAAAAGGGCCACCATCCTCCAAACACCAGAATGGTAGATCCACCAACAGCTTGCACTGTGCACCTGGAAAAGCCATAGTTACTCAATGCCAGCTTGTTAAAGCAGCCAGGAGTGGGGCTGTACCCTGCAAAGCCACAGGGGTGGAGCTGCCCAAGGCCATGGGAGCCTACCTCTTGCATCTGTGTGCCCTGGATGTGAGACATGGAGTCAAAGAAGATCGTTCTGGAACTTTAAAGTTTAATGACTGCCCTATTGGATTTTGGACTTGGATGGGGCCTGTAGCCCCTTTGTTTTGGCCAGTTTCTCCCATTTGAAATAGATGTATTTACTCAATGCCTGTACGCTCATTGTACCTGTGAAGTAATGATCTTGCTTTTGATTTTATAGGCTCATAGGCAGAAGGGACTTGCCTTGTCTCAGATGAAACTTTGGGCTTGAACTTTTGAGTTAATGCTGGAATTAATTAAGATTTGGGGAACTGTTGGAAGGGCATGATTGTGTTTTGCAATGTGAGAAGGACACGTGATTTGGGAATGGCTGGGGCAGAATAGTGTGGTTTGGCTGTGTCGCCACCCAAATCTCATTTTGAATTGTAGTTCCCATAATCCCCACATGTCGTGGGAGGCACCCAGTGGGAGGTAGTTAAATCAGGGGGGCTGTTGCCCTTACGCTGTTCTCATGATAGTGAGTGAGTTCTCCCAAGATCGGATTGTTTTACAAGGGGCTTTTCCCCTCCTTTTGCTCGAATTTTTCTTTTCCCTACCATCCTGTGAAGAAGGACATGTTTGCTTCCCCTTGCCCCATGATTGTACGTTTCCTGAGGCTGCCTGAGCCATATTGCATTGTGCATCAACTAAACCTCTTTCCTTTATAAATTACCCAATCTTGAATATATCTTGAATATGTCCTTATAGCAGCATGAGAATGGACTATTACAGTATTACAGTAGTTTGGGTTTTTGTTGTTGTTGTTGTAGTAGTTTTTAATCACTATCTCACTTTCTGTCATTATGAGATACTCAATGCTTATTTTGTGTATTTTCTGCCCTAATCCTAGAATCACCCATTTCTATAAGGAGCCCTCTTTTCTTTTATTGGAGAATGTTATTCAAAAAAAAGACCTGAGCACTAGATACGGTAGTTTCTCTCTGTAGCACTTTTCATAGACTGCAGATATTTATATAACTAATTATTTAGTTTAATTTTTAAATATATCTTAACTACATGAGAAACTAGCTTTGTACCATCAGGAACCTCTAGTAGGGACGATGGCATAGACATTACCTGTAATGATATTTAAAATTTAAGATTGTGGTGTTTATCTTAGAATATTTTCTTAACTAAAAAATACAATTAATGAGTTATGCATTGGTATTTAGTTGTGTGATTAGTGCAATGCTCTATGTTATAGTCTACATAGCAATGATAGGTTTAATTAAACAGAAGGTAAAATGCTTAATTTATAATAATATAATATAAAACCACAAATAACTGAGAAATGCAGAATATCCATTACATCTGCATTCTTATTTTTAAAACTATGTCCTTTGGCCGGGCACGGTGGCTCACACCTGTAATCCCAGCACTTTGGGAGGCCGAGGAGGGCAGATCATGAGGTCAGGAGATTGAGATCATCATGGCTAACATGGTAAAACCCTGTCTCTACTAAAACTACAAAAAATTAGCCAGGCGTGGTGGTGGGCACCTGTAGTCCCAGCTACTCAGGAGGCTGAGGCAGGAGAATGGTGTGAACCCGGGAGGTGGAGCTTGCAGTGAGACAAGATTGCGCCACTGCACTCTGGCCTGCTGACAGAGCGAGACTCCATCTCAAAAAACAAACAAACAAAAAACTATGTCCTTTATAATGTGACTGCAATTAGAAAAAATATTTTAAAATGTTTATGAAGCATATATAGATTTTAATTCAAAGTCAGTATTATTTGGAATCTGTTAAATATGATCACCACTCTTCTGCTAGCCATTAACCCCTAGAAAATGTCACTGGTTTGACAGCTAAAAATTTTTAAAGGGAATTTCAACTTTTTAAAATGCAATTCTCCTTTTGTGAAATGTAGTTAACCCGTATTTCTCTATAAGGCTCATTGACACTTATACCATACTGCCATACTGTTGCTTTTTATGGAATGACGTGCCAGAAGATATGGCTAAATCACACAGATGCTTGATAAAAGGAGTTCAATCCACTACTTCTATTTGTCTTACTCTAATTCTGTCTTTACAATTAAAGATCATGACATAATTTCATATTAATGTACTCAAGTTTATAAATGTAACTTGTAAAATTAAAAACAATTAAAATTATGTCTTATTTGCAACACTGAAAATTATTAGCATTAGACTTTTTGATGCCATATAGAATGAGATATAACTTGACATTCTTAGGTTAAATACATTATTTAATATATTTTGTGCTTTAGTATCTGACTTGGGCATTGAGGAAGGCACTTAAGCCCTATTTGTGGTGCATTTGTTTTCTTTAACTATCCCCAAAATGTCAGAAATGAAAAGAATCTCAAAAATCTTCTAGCCCACGAACATTTACTTCTCTTAAGCAATAACAACTTTCTTCAAACTCTGTCTTTCATAGAAACATATATACAATAGAAAGTAGATTTTTATTAATTTTAATACTTTGGAGTATATATTTTATTATGAAACAGACAAGTGAAAATCATGAAATAATTTAATCTTAACATCAAACTTTTGAAGTGTTTTTGAGTAGTAAAAAACATAATTAAGGGAAGATTACATAAAGCCTTGCAGGACATAGTGAAGAATTTGGCTTTTACTTTTATTGTAATGAGGAATTATAGTGGTCAGACTTAAAGACAGTCCCAATTATTTCTGACTCCTGGTGTCCTTGAATGTGTGTGGAGATTATTTGTTTCATGATTTTCTTCTAAACAACAGAAAACAACAAAATTGTTGACTGTTATTATGAATTTTACCTGTAATTGTAACATCTGTCTTGCTAGTAGCCTTTCTCTCTTGTCGAAGGGTGATGAAGCAACTTATTGTGGCAGAGAGGCCCCCTTGACAGGGAAACGGGTGATCTCCAGCCAGCAGACATCCAGCAACTGAAAGAGGCACAAGGCTGAAATTCATCCAGTGACTGTGGTTCTTATTTATGCAACTCTCAAGGAACTTAATGCCACCAACCATCACATGAACTCGCAATGCGATCGTTCCCTCATCAGGTCTTGAGATGGAATTGCACCCTTCGTCTCAAGATGCTGTAATAAAGGAGTTGGCTGAGGGTTCAGTTTAATCTCAAGGATCCAGTTTCTGCAGTTTGACCTCAAGGACTGCACTTTCAGCAGAGGACCTAGCTAGGCAGTGCTCAAACTCCTGACCCACAAAAATAATGAATGTGACATAAATAAGGGTGTGTTGCTTACAGCCACTATATTTGTAGGCATTTTTTACACAACAATATATATCTAATACAGAAGTATTACAGGGTTTTAGCAGAGAGTCATCCGTGTTTTAATTACATAGTGAATTAATCACTCTGGTTGCATTTTGCACTATAAGCTCTATGTGGAAGACAGGAGATCAACTGGAGCTCTGATGCAAGAATTTGAAAGTGGCTTACAATAATTCATAGAAGAGCAGTGCAAGTGTCTAGAAATGGCTAAATTCTAGATGGATTTGAAGGAGGAGCTGAAAGGATTTAGGAATATATTAAATTATATGTGTGTGAGGAAGTGAGGAATCAAATTTTTAGTGCATAGGTAAGTAGAAAGATGACAGTTGTTATTAGCAGAGATGGATGAATTATAAAGAGAGCACACGCAAAGAGCAGCATGGTAGATTAAAATTCTAGTATTTAACATATTAAGTTTTATTCTTTTTCTTTAGGTGTCTAGTGGAGAAGTCAAGTAGCTAGGCAGATATACATGCCTAGAATTCAGAAGAAAAGTCCAGATTGGCAATATAAATTTGGAAGCTGTAAATGCATAATGATAATTAAAGCCTTAGTACTAAATGAGAGATAATCAAGAAAGAGCACTCGATAATAAAAAATAAACTATCTAAAAATGAAACTTGGACCCTTTGAATTTCATGGCCATAAAGAAGAGAAATTGCCAATAAAAGAAGCTAAAGAGGAATGTCTATAAAGCAAGTAAGGTGTTTGTAGGCCGTTATCAATGTCTAAAATATTCTGTTGGAGTAAGCCTGGAAAATGTTAACAATTAAACGTTGGGTTTTCAACACAGAAGTCATTGGTGGCCTAAAGAGGAGTAGTTCTGATGATACGGTGGGGATGAAGTTTAATTGGATAGAGATTGTGAGTAAATGAGATACGGAAAATTGGGTATAGGATTACAGACAAACGTTGATAAAGAGGAGTAGAAAAAAGGATTGACAACTAAATGTAGAAACTAGACTGAAGAGTGTTCTTTTTATTTCTTAAAGAAGGGATGGATAATAGAATATTAATATGCTTATGTAGAAAATTAAATATACAAAATACAAAAAGAGAGAGAGTATAATTTCTAAGAATCCAACTAATAGTTATATTTTCCAGCCCTAGACTTCCTGATGCATTGCCAATCTTGTCGAATTCACTGTTAATATAGTTTTGTCTCCTTTCTATTGGTTGCTTCCTAACTTTAATTAATTAATTCATTAATTTCAGACAGGGTCTCACTCTGTCACCCATGCTGGAGTGCAGTGGCACAATCTCAGCTCACTACAACCTCCACATTCCAGGCTCAAGCAATCCTCCCACCTCAGCCTCCAGAGCAGCTGGGGCTACAGGCTTGGGTCCCCATGCCCAGATAATTTTTTGTATTTTTAGTAGGGATGAGTTTTTGCCATATTGCCCGGGCTGGTCTCGAACTACTGGCCTCAAGCGATCTGCCTGCGTTGGCCTCTTACAGTGCTGGAATTATAGGCATAAGCCATCACTCCAAGCCTGCTTCCTGACTTTAAACTTCACTCTTTCTTGTATGGACTACTAAAGAAGACTAACACACCATTTAAGAACATGCTTCCACTGGTGTATCTGCCACTGGGGTTTCCCAATCATTGTGTGATGCTCATTTATGTGTGGTTTTAATCATTCATGTACTCTGCTTCTGACTATCCTATTTCAGTTTCCTATGAAACCTGTCCTTGTTTATTTTTTTCTTTCTTCAAACAATTTTTATGCAGCAGCATATTATTTGGGAATTTTACATCATCCAGCCATCTTCATGATATAAATAAAAAAGGCAAGGAGTAGGAAATGAACCATCTTATACAGAACATTAATTTTTCTTGCATATTAATTTTGCTGAGTAAATTGGGCTTTGAATTAGTACATATTGTTCTTTATGAAATCCTATTATATAGATGATTATCTGAGCCTTTTCTTCAGGGTACACTGAAGAATACACTCTTCTATAGTGACTTACCTGATGGAAATTTTGTTACCTAGTTTTGATATTACTAAAATTTTTTAAACCTGTGTGTTTGGTACACTCATGTATGCATTTAATTGTAACTGAAGTAGTATTCAGGTGTATTCATTGAGAAAAAATTCTTACCCTTGAGAAGGATTGGATTGTTAAATTTTTAAAAAGAGTTAGAAAAAATCTTTGGCTTGTACAATGTTACTCTCTAGGTTTTTGAGGAAATTTAAGACAAATGGAATGGATTGTTTATATCATCAGAGATTATTTATAGCATCAGAGATATAATTTTGCTTAGATCTTTAACATCTTACTGGACATTTCTATTTAAATGTGATAACAGTAATAACCAATACATGTGATGCTTTTATTTACACATTACAAGGACAGGCACTGCTCTACACCTGTTACACAATTTAAATTACATACTGTTTACTAGATATCTACGAGTTGAGAGCTATTTGTATCTTCATTTAATTCATGAGGATACTTGTATAAAAATAAAAAAAAATCTTGTCCAAAATGACACAGAGTGTAAGAGTTGATACCTGAATTAGAATCCATGGAGTCTAGATCCACATCATCGTATTATTCTGCCTTTCTAAAGAAGGAATGAAAGAAAACAGGGATCAGCTCATGTAACAGAAGTCAGGGGAAAGCACTTTCCAAAGATTCGAACCCCAGCAATAAAACAAGAGAATACTCTTTCTCAAATACACTGCCTTTTTATTAGGGTTGCTTCTTTTAGTATATTTATCTTATTATGTACTACTCAAGAATACCTTCCTCTAAATTAATTAATGAAAACATACTTATTCTAATGAAGGAGCATTCTAGAGAAAGATTTTCACTGGTCTGGCTTTGGTAGTCACCATTATCTGGGGCATTTATTCACACACATATCTCAAATATAGGGCTGGGAGACAGTGTGGCTTTGGTTGGCTTTCCCCCGTACCCATATTTACGCGGGAGACTAGCAGTTCCAGCAAAGAGAGGTGGAGACACAGGTGTGCATAGAGGAAAATATAAACATGTGGTACCCAAAACATTAAATGACAACAGTCATTTAATGGCTAAAATGTGTGCAAGTACGGATTCCAAAATCAACTGTGTGATTCTCAAAGAGTTGGACATTATTAAAGGTAATCATTCTAAACAACTTTACTCTCAGGGACTTCCTTACTTTATTTTTCTTCCTCTTTGAGTGAGGATAATGGAGGGTAGAGAAAAAGGTTACTGGCATTCACCATTAACTCCAAGCTTCCTTAGGCTCCTAGATAATCACTTCCTTTGTGGTCAGACAAACCCTACTCCTCTGAAGTTCATTCCACTGTACTGAGTCCTTCTCACCATCCTGATTGCAATCATCTCACCACATCTTGGCCTTTCTGCCTCATTTTTCCAAAACATTAGCACCAAGACCTCAGTTTTCTTTCCAACCTGTGTTTTAAAAGCATTCCTAGATACTTTAAATTCCTCCCATGCAGATGCAGATGTCTGAAACACCACCAAATCCTCTCATTTACTTAAACTATTGATCTCTATTTAAAATTCTCTACACTTCACCTTACTCAGAAGCTTGTATGTTTATACCTGGAATATCTAATCACCATAAAATACGCTGCTTTGAAAATCATTAATTCAGTGCCTTAATGTAATGAACCAGTCTTCTACATCACTTCATTAGGCAATCTCATTACAACCATTATTTAATTTCACTGCATACATTTGCTTTTATCTTACCCCAAATTTAGTTTCAATAAACTATAAACAATACCAATTTATTTAGCTCATAAATAAACAATACCAATTTATTTAGCTCAAAACTGTGGTCCTAGGTTGGGGGTTTTCAACTGGTCCCCCTCATGTCTCTGTGGACAACTCTCGGGTTACCTGAGGATTGGCTGGTGATATAGTTTGAATACATATTTCTGCCAAATCTTGTGTTGAATTGTAATCCCCAGTATTGAAGGTGGGGCCTGGGGGAAGGTGACTGGATCACAGTAGCACACCCCTCATGTCTTGGTGTTGTCCTCACAATAGTGAGTGACTTCTCACAAGATCTAGCTGTTTAAAAGTGTGTGGCACTGGCCGGGCGTGGTGGCTCACGTCTGTAATCCCAGCATTTTGGAAGGCTGAGGCGGGCGGATCATGAGGTCTAGAGATCTAGACCATCCTGACCAACATGATGAAACCTCATCTCTACTTAAAATACAAAAATTAGCTGGGCGTGGTGGCATGCGCCGGTAGTCCAAGCTATTCGGGAGGCAGAGGCAGGAGAATTGCTTGAACCCAGGAGGTAGAGGTTACACTGAGCCAGGATCACACCACTGCACTCCAGCCTGGGAGACAGGGCGAGACTCCATCTGAAAAAAAAAAATGTGTGTGGCACCTCTCCCCATACTTGCTCTTGCTTTTGCTATGTGTCATGCTGGCTTATGCTTTGCCTTCCACCATGAGTAAAAACTCCCTGAGGTCCCTGATCCCCACAGCCTCCCATTAGCTGGGCAGACGTCAAGACCATGTTTCCTTTGCATCCTAAAGAACTGTGAGCCAAGTAAGCCTCTTTTATTTATAGATTTCCAAGCCTCAGATCTTTATTTACAACAATGCAAGAATGACCTAATACAGAAAAGTGGTATTAAGAGTGGATTATTGCTATAAAATACCTGAAAATGTGGAGCAGCTTGGAACTGAGTAACAGGCAGAGGTTAGAAGAGTTTGGAGAGCTCAGAAGAAAACAGGAAGATGAGGGAGAGTTTGGAACTTCTTAGAGACTGGTTAAATGGTTGTGACCAAAATGCTAATAGTGATATCAGCAATGAAGTCCAGGATAACGAGGTCTCAGAAGGAAATGAGAAACTTATTGGAAACTGGAACAAAGGTCATACACATTATGCCTTAGCAAATAGCTTAGCATCATTGTTTCCCTATCCTAGGGATCTACAGAAATTTAAACTTGAGACTTATGATTTAGGGTACAAGAAATTTCTAAGCAGCAAGTCATTCAAGGGGTGACTTGGCTGCTTCTAATAGCCTATTCTCAGATGCAAGAGCTTAAAGTTATAATTTATACTTAAAAGGGGAACAGAGTATAAAAGTTTGAAGGGGAGGAGTTGCCCAGGCCTCAGGAGCCCACCATTCACCCCAGTGTGACCTGGATGCACAATATGGAGTTAAAGGAGATTATTTTGGAGCTTTAAGATTTAATGACTGTTCTGTTGGGTTTTTGAATTGCATGAGCATGTAGCTTCTTTTTTTTGGTTGATTTCTCCCTTTTGGAATGGGAATATTTACCCAATGCCTATACCTCCATTGTCTCTTTGGAGTAAATAATTTGTTTGACTTTACAGGCTCCTAAGTGGAAGAAATTCATCTTCAGATGAAACTTTGTACCTGGACCTGAGACATTAGAGTTAATGCTGGAATGAGTTAAGATTTTGAGGGACTGCTGAGAAGGGATAATTGTATTTTGCAATGTGAGAAGAACATGAGACTTAAAGAACCAAGAGCAGAATTATATAGTTGTAAAATACATCCCCACCAAATCTCCTGCTGAATTGTAATCTTCATGTTGGAGGTAGGGCCTAGTGAGAGATGGTTGGATCATAGGGGTGGATCCTTCATGGCTTGGGGCTGTTCTTGTGATAGTGAGTGAGTTCTTGTGAGATGTGGTTGTTTAATTGTGTGTAGCACCTCCCTTCTCCACTTGCTTTTACTTTCATCATGTGACTTGGTGGCTCTTGCTTTGCTATCCACCATAGGCAAAATCTCCCTGAGATTTCTGCTCCCTGTGGCCCCCCAAAAGGTGAACAGATGTCAGTGCTATGTTTCTCATGCAGCCTGCAGAACCGCGAGCCAATTATACCTCTTTTCTGTATAGATTATCCAGCCTCAGATATTTCTTTATAGCAATGCAAGAATGACCTACTATAGCTGGCATCAGATGGTCTCAACTGAGCTAGCTCGTCTCTGCTACATATAGTCTTTCATCCTCCAGGCTTTTTCTCATAATGACTGGGAAGGATTCCAAGAGAGCCAGCAGGAGCTTGTAAGGGTGTCTGAGGTCTAAACATAGTTCTGACACAAAGTCATTTCTGCTCAATCTAATTTTTCAGAGTTAGTCGTAAGTATTGACAGGAGACATGGTAAAGTTGCATTGCAAATAGATATGAATTGTAGGAAGGGAATAATTATAGCAATTTATTTCAGGAAAATAATAGATTTATCATTGTCAGTCCTCCAAATCTAATCATTTACATCCCTCTTCTTCACCTCCTCCCAAGACCACCAAATCTCCAAATCTCCTCTGATCAATGGTGTTATGTTTGACAACCAGGACCTCAACCATCAATAAGAGATATATAAGTGGTCCCTCTTGATTAAGGTGCCTATGAACAAAGATTAACAAGCCAGCCTTCCTCTACATATGCAAAGTACACTGGAGAGACAAGGAGAGGATATGCAGGAGATACTCTCATATAACATTATATACATATAATGTGTATGTGTGTGTATATATATACACACGATATGTATGTACACACATTATATGTATATACACAATGTATGTGCGTATACACATATATATAGTGTGTGTGTATATATCTGTTGTGCGTGTATATGTGTATATGTGTATACACGTTGTGTATGTGTGTATATGCACACGTACAACAGCCACTGGTCTACAGCAATGACTGAAATTCCAACGGGAAAATGTTGCCAGCTTCTCCAAGACCAGACCAGAATGTTTGTTCATTAGAACTCAGTTCTGTTCCCTGGGAAAAGCTCTCCAGGCTATTGCTTTTTAATGCTTCTTGGGAACAACTTCATAATCCACTGGTCTGTAAAGTTTTCTGGGAGTGGCTCCTTAATGCATTGTTCTTCATGCTTCTCTCCATGATCCTCAGCTCGACACCCTGAAATATTGTGTTATTTTCTCAAAGTAATGATCTGTGTTTGTATGGTGATAACTATTGATGAGTTGGTAGATGATTCTGTATGTTTGTGTGTGAGTAGCCTGCTTTATGTTCACATAAAGTTAAAATGCCAGAAGCCTTTCTTGTAATTTGAGCTGTCTCAGTCACTTTTAATCTAAGTTACCAGTGTTTTCAGCCGCATACTTTTCTAACAATTTTGGATGTTTTTTGAGGTTGAGTAAACTTCATTACCAAAATTTACATAACATTTTAATTCTAGACAGGTAGATGCCAATGCATTTATTTAGAAGAAACATACCATTCAGCTCTTGGTTTTATCTTTGTCCATAGGGCTTGTTTCACTTCAAAATCTGTAATTATCTGTGAATCCTACATGCTAAACAAAGTTTATTTTCCAATATAACACAACTGGTCCTATATATTTTCTGTAAATTCTTTTTTAAAACATTAATTCTTTCTATAACTCACCTTTTTCAGTGACTTAACAGTGACAGCTAGGTACTCAGGTGACACATTCAAAAATATGCCTAGATCTGTCTTTAGCTAAGTCCAAAGATCTTTTAGTGCACTTTATATCTTCTAAATTAATTTAGGTGGTAGTTTTGACAATTGTTCCACTAATACAGATGTCATTTTTCCAGACTCCAGTTATACTATATTCATTAATTCTGCAGTCTTTGCTAAAAATATATCATTTTTCAAGCTCTACATGCCACTTGGTCTTAAAGCTAGTTTTACTTTGAAATAGGAGAGGTCCCCAGATGATCTTGGCCTTGTCAGTTCTTTCCTCTCTGCTTGTAGCTCTCAGAATATCTGCAAATGCAATATCCTGAGATAAGGAAGAAATGTCTAGAACAGCCTGCGCTGTGTCCTCATGTCTACCAAAACAAATTGTCCTGCAATACTTTAACTCAGTGATCCTTGTTGTGCCTGGTATATAAAATCCAATATGGAATGCTTTTGGTGTCTCTCAGCTGCTGTGCAATGTGGTGCATGCACAGACAGCACTCCACCTGCCCTGGGCAGCTTTCCTGATTCTTTTTTTTTTTTTTAATTATTATTATTATACTTTAAGTTTTAGGGTACATGTGCACAACGTGCAGGTTTGTTACATATGTATACATGTGCCATGTTGGTGTGCTGCACCCATTAACTCGTCATTTAGCATTAGGTATATCTCTTAATGCTATCCCTCCCCCCTCCCCACACCCCACAACAGTCCCCTGTGTGTGACGTTCCCCTTCCTGTGTCTTGATTCTTAAAAGACCGGTTCTCCATGAATCCTACACTTCTATTTATCCTTGCTGCCTGTCTGCTTTGCCTGACTTGTGTGAATGTTCTGTATCCCCAGACTCAAATGGTAGAAAACCTTTGCACACATTTTTTAGGATTTTATTATGGCAAGGCCACAGTTCTAATACTTGACTTGTAGCATGAGAAAACTTCTACTATGGAAAACAAGCCAGAATAATACCAAAAAATGAGGTAATGACTGCTTAGGCGAACTTAAGAAACGCTTCCCATTAATTCGTTACTGTCAAACTGAAAGAGATACTTCCAGTGACACACTAAAAGCTTGATTTATGGCACTAATATATTAGACATTTACCTTCAGTGACATTAAGAGAAGCATATCGATTAAACTGTATGAATAATTTGATGTTAAGACAGGATTAATACAAGTAACAAAATAAACTTTCCAAATGATGTTAATATACTGTTATGAACAACATGAATTTAAAAGGATAGCCATACACAACTCTACAGCCATGTACAACTCTACAGGAAAACAAAACAAAAATTAAAAACAAAAGATGTAACACATACACCCACAAACCAACTGCATAACCACATCCTCTTCACTGTGTAACTTAGAAGATCAGGTATAAAAAGGAACATAGGGCTATGTTTCTAAAATATTTTCATATGACAAAATTATTACTTAATTTTGAGGTCCTTGATGTATGTTAGTATAATAAAGACTGAGTAATTATTGTTATAAAGACATCTAATATTCTTTGTGTGTGTGTTTAAGATTTCCTCATGTATATTTAAATGTAGAGCAGTTCCTTTTTGTCTGGGACATATCTATTGGTGTCTGTTTCAGTCTTAATTTACTGAAAGAGCTCTTCTTGGTTACATATTGATTATTTTGCATTGGTTTATTTTTGTGTATATTTTGACTTAGGAGCTTTTAATCTTTGCTACTCTTCAGAGTTTAATAAACAGGTTTGTTTTTATCAAATAAAATGAGTAAATAAGAGGGCACCAATTTTACACAATTGTTTGGAAGTAATAGTGTCAGAATCTGACAATCTCATGACAACATTTAAGTATGTGCACTATGAAAGAATAATTGTAATGTCCTTGAAAGTGGAATATTTGTATACTATTATTTACTGCAGGCCCTGATATAATGTGAAAATGACAACAGGTGCTAGATAAATATTTGTAATGTTAGTGATCTTTAATATTGGCACTTTCCAAATTGAAATTACAGTTTTATTTCAATAATATTATGAGAGGTTTTTAAAACACAAGGAAAAGGAAAGATCTTTCATGTTTATAGATCAGAAAAAGTAATATTGTTAAAATGTTCATAATACCCAAACTGAATCATTGATTCAATGCAATTCCTATCTTCCAATGACATTTTCAAAAGAATTAGAAAAGGAAGTCATAATTAATTTGTATGAAACTACAAAAGACACTGAGTAACCAAAGCTTTCTTGAGTTAAAAGAACAAAGCTGGAGATATCACACTACCTGAATTTGAAATGTACTACAAAGCTATGGTAATTAAAACAGCATGATATTGGCATAAAATCAGACACATTGATCAATGTAAGAAGATAGAGAGCCCACAAATAAAGTCACAGACTTAAAGTTAACAGACTTTTTACAAAGGTGACAAGAAGAACACACAATGGAAGAAATGGAGAAAAGGAAGTCTTTTTAATAAATGGTGCTGGCAAAGCTGGGTATCCACATTCAGAGAATAAAATTAGATCCTTATTTCACACCGCATAAAACAATAAACTCGGCCAGATGCAGGCTTATGCCTGTAATCCCAGCACTTTGGGAGGCCGAGGTGGGCAGATCACCTGAGATTGGGAGTTCAAGACCAGCCTGACCAACATGGAGAAACCCCGTCTCTACTAAAAATACAAAACTTAGCTGGGCATGGTGGTACATGCCTGTAATCTCAGCTACTCAGGAGGTTGTGGCAGGATAATCATTTGAGCCCGGGAGTCAGAGGTTGCAGTGAGCTGAGATCACGCCATTGCACTCCAGGCTGGCCAACAAGAGTGAAACTCTGTCTCAAAAAAAAAAAAAAAAAAAAAAAAACCTACTCAAAATGGATTAAAGACTTAAACATAAAACTTGAAACTGCAAAATCATTGGAACAAAACATATAATAAAGCTTCATAACATTAATCTGGACAATACTTTTTTTGAATATGCATTCTAAAGCAAAAAGCCAAAAGCAAAAATAGACAAATGAGATGACATCAAACTAAAAAGCTTCTGCAAAGCCAAGGAAACCATCAATAGAGTAAAGAACCAATCTACAGAATGAGATAACACACTTGCAAGCCATGACTTTCACAAGAGATTATTATTTTAAAATATATAAGAAACTCAAATAACACAATAACAAGTAAACAAATAATCTTATTAAAAATTGGGCAAAAGATCTGAATAGACATTTCTCAATAGAAGATGTACAAGTAGCCAAAAGGTATATAAAAATGATCAATATTACTAATTATCAGGAAAATGCAAATTGAAAGCACAGTAAGATATCACCTCACACCTGCTAGAATGGCTGTTATCAAAAAGACAAAAGATAACAAGTGTTGGCAAAGATTTGGAGAAAAGGGAACTGTTTTATACTGCTGTTGGGAATGTAAGTTCACACAGCCATTATGAAAGAAAATGTATGTAAGTTCCTCAGAAAATTAAAAGTAAGACTACCATATTATCCAGCAAATTGACTACTGAATTTATATTCAAAGGAAATGAAATTGATATGTCAAAGAGATATCTATCCTCTCATTTGTATTGCAGTAGTATTGGTCCATTTTCATGCTGCTGATAAAGCCATATCTGAGACTTGGAAGAAAAAGAGGCTTAGTGGACTTACAGTTCCACATGGCTGGGGAGGCATTACAATCATGGTGGAAGGCAAGGAAAAGCAAGTCACATCTTACATGGATGTCAGCAGGCAAAAAAAAAAAAAAAAGAGAGAGAGAGAGAGAGCTTGTGCAGGGAAACTCCTGTTTTTTAAAACCATCAGAACTCGTGAGACTTATTCACTACCATGAGAAGAGTCCAGGGGAAACTGCCCCCATGATTCAATATCTCCCACCAGGCCTTTCTTACAACATGGAGCATTTATGAGAGAACAAGTCAAGATGAGATGTGGGTGGGGACATAGAGCCAAACCATATCAACTGACAATAGTCAAGATATGGAATCAACCTAAGTGTCCATTAATGAATGAATGAGTAAAGAAAATTGGGTGAATATACACAATGGAATATCACTCAGCCTTAAAAAGAAGAAAATTCTTTCATTTGGGACAAAATCAATGAACCTAGAGGACATTATATTAAATGAAATAAGCCAGGCACAGGAAGATAAATGCCACATGATCTCACCTATATGTAGAATGTAAAAAAAAATAAAATGAATTTTGGAAGTGGAAAGCAGAATAGTGGCTACCCGCAGATTAGGGTTAGAAGTGACTATTAGGTGTTCATCAAAGGATATAAAATTTCAGTTAGATGAAAGAAATATGTTAAAGACATCCATTGTACAACATGGTAAATATAATTAATAAGAATGTATTATATTTTTAAAAATTGCTACAGTATAGATTTTAATTGTTCTCACCACAAAGTAAGTTTGTCTGGTAATACATATGTTAATTACTTCAACTTAGTCACTTCACAATATATACCTGTTTTAAACAACATGTTTTATATAGTAAGTATATACCATTTTTTGTCCATTAAAAATAAATGTTTATTGGCTACTTGTATTTCTTCTTTTGAGAATTTGTCATCAGTTACCCACTTTTTAATGGAGTTATTTGGTTTTTTTCTCACTGAGTTGTTTGAGTTCCTTTTAGATTCTGGATATTAGGAATTTGTCAAATGCATAGCTTGCAAATATTTTCTCCCATTCTGTAAGCTTTCTGTTTACTCTGTTGTTTCTTTTACTATACAGAAGTTTTTAGTTAATGAAATCCCATTTGTCTATTTTTGTTTTGTTGCATTTGCTTTTGAGGTCTTAGTCATAAATTCTTTGCCTAGGCTGATGTCTGGAAGACCTTTTCTTAGGTTTTCTGTAGACTTTTATAGTATCAGGTCTTCCATTTAATTATTTAATCTATCTTGAGTTAATTTTTATATGTTGTAAGAGGGGTCCAGTTTTATTCTTCTGTGTATGAAAATTTGATTTTTCCTTGTATCAGTTATTAAATAGAATTCCCTGTTTCCATTGTATATTTTTTGTTGATTTCTTTCAAATATCAGTTGGTTGTATGGATGTGGCTTTATTTCTGGGCTCTCTATTCATTTCCATTGATTTATGTGTCTATCTTATACCAGTACCATGCTATTTTGGTAACTATAGCCTTATAGTATAATTTGAAGTCAGGCTCAAAGAACTGAAAATTGAACTACCATTAAACTCAGCAATCCCAATAACTAGCTATCTATTCAAAGGAAAACGAAGTGTTCTGTCAAAAAATACCTACACTCATGTTTATCACAGAATGATTCATAAAATCAAAATCATGGAATCAACCTAAGTGTTCAGTGCAGATGACTGGATGAGGAAAATGTGGGATATATACACCATGGAATACTATGCAGCCATACAAATAATGAAATCATGCTTTCTACAGCAATAGACATGGAGCTGGAGGCCATTATCCTAAGTGAAACAATTCAGAAACAGAAAACAAATACAACCTGTTCTTACTTATAAGTAGAAGCTAAACAATGGGTGCACATGGACATAACATGGAAATAATAGTCCTGGGGATTCAAAAAGGGGAGAGGGTTGGAAGCAGGTGAATGTTGAAAAATTACCTATTGGGAAAAATGTTCACTAATTAGGTGATGGAGCCCAAACCCACCATTATGCAATATATTCATGTAACAAACCTGTACACATACCTGCTGAATCTATAAAAGTTTTTAAAAATAAAATAAAATTAAAATCAATAAATCAATACAAGCTATTTTGATAGCTACTTTATCAAATGACTTTCCAGATTAATTTTCTACCTTTATATGAGATGTCAAAAATAATTTTCTTTTTTTTTATATCTGCATGTTCTATAGTGTTACTTCTGGCTCCTTACAATCTATTACAATCTTAGTTCTATCACCATTCATTTCAATTAGAAGTCTGTGTGCCTTTTCTTGGCAAATTAAAAAGAAAAAATTCCATTTGTGTAGATTACAAAGTTTTCTGAATGTAAACTAGAAAGATGTTTGAATATTACCTCCAATATCTATTATTGAACATCTGAAATTATCTAGGTGGTAACATGTGTGCATACATAAGATATGTGTCTTGAAATATAGTTTATGGTATTTTTAGCCTGTCACCATAAAAGCATATTTAGAACCAAAACCAAAATACATTACAAGTGAAAACAAGACTGAAAACACCTGATTTCTCAAGTGTTTTTGAATGTTTGTGTAGCCCACAAAAATAACTATGAAGAAGTAAAATGGCTTGCTTATATTCACATGGGACTTACACTACATCTTATAGTGATTGTGAAAGAAATATTTAATAATATATTCACTTTCAAGGAAAATAGGTAATAACTGCTCTATTTACCAGGGTTTATTTATTTTTAAATAGATTTATGTATTTATTCGTTTATTTTATTTGAGACAAGGTCTCATTCTTTTGCCCAGGTTGTAGTGCAGTGGCACTATCTCTTCTCACTGCAACCTCCACTTCCTGAGCTTGAGTGATCCTCCCACCTCAGCCTTCTGAGTAGTTAAGACTACAGGTGTGGACCGCCACGCCTGGCTAATTTTTGTACTTTTGTTAAGATAAAGTCTCCCTATGTTGCCCAGGTAATCTGAACTCCTGGGCTAAAGTGATCTGCTTGCCTCAGCTTCCCAAAGTGTAGGATTTACAGATACTAGCCACTGTGCCATGTTTATTCACAAAGAAAAATATTGAATAAGAAAATCCATGGAATACCCAGTTTCAAGATTCTCATGCAAATTTAACCAGTAAGCAAGCTAGAAAACACTAAACAACATCAATTTCTCCTTGTGATAGGGACAGGGGGAAGAAAATTTTTTTTCTAGGCAAAAAAGAGTGGGTCTCCAATGAAACTCCACCCTCAAGCTGAAGAGCCTAAAACCACTGCCCAAATTGAGAACTTATATTCCTGTCTTCTCACTCAAATGTTGCCTTTTTCTAAACCACCCATGACCATACCCCACCACATCCTGTGCCTATAAAAACCCCAGATTCAGCCAGTAGATGGGACTACAGCTGGATGCCAGAGATAAACAGCTTGATTTCAGAGGGACAGCTTAATGGCATAACTTCTGAGAAGAATCCAGCTGGAGATGACCAGACATCAGGGGAAGAATACCTTCCCACCTCATCCCCTTTTCAGCTTCCCTTCCCACTGAGAACCACTTTCAGCAGCAATAAAATCCCCCACATTTACCATCCTTCAACTTATTAATATGACTTCATTTTTCCTGGATGCCAGACAAGAGCTCAGGAGTCACAAATGCAGATACAAAAGGCTGTCACTCTGGTCCTTTGCCCTCATTGGCAGAGGGCAGCTGCATCACACAAAAAGGCAAAGGGCACACTGAGCTGTTAACACTTAAGCCATCAGTGGATGGCAGAGCTAAAAGAGCACTGTAACGCACCCTTTGGGGCATTGGGCATCACAGGCACCCTGACCTGGATGCTACCATAGGGCCTACATGGAGTTTGCTCCTGCCAGCACCCAAAACAGGCCAGTGGGATCCCCTACTTGTGCTCCCTCCCACAAGGGATTTGAGCATGGCAAGCTGAGTAAACTGAGTTTGTTCCTGCCAGCACCGAAAAGCACTCGCTCTGGTTCCTACACCTACTCACCTGCGTGGTCCCTCCTGGAAGGGGTGGAAGGCATCAGGTAAGAGTGAGTGGGGTTTGATCCCCCTGGCACCGAAGCAGCTGGCAGGTTCCAGTGGTCATTCACTCCAGTTCCTGCACTTGTTTGCTTACATGCTCCCTCCCACAAGGAGTTTACACTGTCACGCTGAGTAAATGAGGCAACCCTGTAGTGAGTCCCAAGAAGGGGTCAGGGAAATATCCTACTTCACAAGCATGGTAAACATATAATTTTAGATAACTAAAAACAAAGGTAGAACTTATTAATTATTTGAAATATTGCTCATATATTATTGTGCTAATTACATTTAGCAAACTTAGAGGTGTCTATAATACTTATAAATTATATATAATATACCCACCTTTAATTAGTATTGGTAAAATATTAAGAAAATATTTACTTGAAAAAGGTATAGTATATGAGTATACTTATAATTTTTATGTTCACATATTTTTGTAGTGAAAATAGAATTATTTTTAATATAGACTTTTTTTCTCATTAACATATCCATCTAATTTGGAGATATTTAAAATACAGAAAAATGCAAAGATAAGATGAGAGACACCCACAAACTATACTATATTTACCTTTAAAATTGTTATTTATTTTATGGAAAACAATGAGAAGCATATTTGAGCATTTCCAAATATCTGCAACCAAATATCTTTCTCTTCTGGAGAAAACATTATTGAGAAATTTTGGAGTAGTTTCTCTAAGTCTGTTTTTCTTTTGCTGTTGTTTGATAATACACCTATATTTAATCATAAATAATTTCAAGTGCTATAATATTTGTTTTAAAAGTATGTTTGTTTTAAAATTTGAAATGTTTATACATTTTAAAATAAACATCATAGCACTTGAAACTTATTTGTGACTAGACATAGGTGTACTTTTCACTGTTTCTCAACAACATACATTCTTAATCAACCTGCTATCAGCAATCAACATTATGTTTTCAAAATCATTAATGCCACTCGCTTGATATTTTTCTTTGATGCATGAAAGTTAATTTTGATAAAGTCCAATTTATTATTTCTTTAGTTACTTTTACTTGTGGCATTATACTCAAAGAAACATCGCCAATTCTAAGGTCATGAAATGGATCCCTGTGTTTTATTTTAATAGTTCTCTAGTTTTAACTCACATTTAGGTCTTTATCTACTTTGAGTTTATTTTTGTACTTGGTTTAATGTATGGATCCAATTTCATTCTTTTGCATATCCAGTTGTTTCAACTGGATTCATAAACTTCAGTCTGTCAACTGACAGATTTATAAACTCATGTATCTTTGATAAATTGACTTTTAATGAGGATGACAAGACCATTCAATAGGAAAAGAACACATGAACGAATGATGCTGATGCAACTGGATAACCAAAAACAAGTAAAAGCTATACAATTAAAAAGGAAATAGCAGAACTATCTCCATTCATAGTTTTCATAATTTTAAAAACACAACATTCCCATGAATACACACAAACACACACACACATACACACAATCTTCGAGTTAACATAGTCAGCACAGGTACAATATACAAGATAAATACACAAAATGTGGATATCCAGTTGTCTCAGCATCATGTGTTAATGTGTTCTTTTCCTAGTGAATGGTCTTGGCACCCTTATTACAAATCAACTGACCACAGATGCATACATTTATTTCTCGACTCGCAATTATATTTCACTGATAAATATGCCTATCCTTGTGCCAGTTCCACTGTTTGAATTACTTGAGATTTGTAGAAGGTTTGGAAATTGAAAAGTGTTCATCCTCCAAATGTGTTCTTTTTCAAAATCATTTTGGCTACTCAGGGTACCTTGCAATCTCATATGAATTGTAGAATTGACTTTACCGTTTCTGAAAACAAAAACCATTGGGATTTTGACAGGGTTTGCACTGAATATGTAGATCACTTTGGGGAGTATTTTCATCTTAATATTAATTATTTATATTAATAAATGCAAGATATTTTTCATTATGTAGGTTCTTAATTTATTTCAACAGTGGTTTTTAGTTGTCAGCATACACATCTTTCTCCTTCATTTTATATATATATATATACACACACATATATGTAAAAGCTTAATAATATATATAATGAAGAAGGTGAAAGACGTGTATAATAACATTAAATTATATATACGCATTCTGATGTTATTGTAAATGAAAATTTTTTGTTTCTTTTTTAGGTTATTTGTTGCTAGTCTATAGCAATACTGTTGATTTTGTGTATTTACATTGTACACTGTAAATGTGCTGAATGTATTAACTCTAAGGTTTTTGTGTGTATGTATGTTTGTGCATTCTTTGGAATATTATATAATTATACAACAGTGAATAGAGTTAATTATACTACTTTCTTTTAATTGTATATCTTTTATTTGTATTTTTCTTTAATTGTTCTGGCTTGAATATCAAGTAAATGTTGAATAGAAGTGGTTAAAGTGGATATCCTCATCTTGTTCCTGCTCTGAGGATGAAAGCTTTCATCATTGAGTAGACTAGAGTGTTTATTTTTTTAATAAGTGCCCTGTATTATGTTGAGGAAATTTCCTCTATTTCTAGTTTTTGAGTCTTTCGATTACAAAAGAGGTTTAATTTTCTTCTAATAATCTTACTCCATAAATTGAGATGTACATATTTTTGTTGTTGTTTTTATTATTTTATTTTGGTGTCTTGCCCTTAGTGTTTTTGTATTTTTTAAATGTTAAACAACTCTTGCATTCCTAGAATAAATCCCACTTGGTCATAGTGAATTGCCCTTTTAATATGCTGCTAAATTCTGTTTGCTGCTATTTGCCAATAATTTTCGTGTCAATTGTTATAAAGGATATTGGCCTATAGTATTCATTTGTTATGATGTCAGTCTCTATCTTCGGTACTAGCATAATGCTGATCTCATAGAATGATTTAGAAAGTGTTTCACCTTCTGATTACTAGAAGGGTTTGTAAAAGATTGGCATTAGTTTTCTTTAAATATTTGATAGAATTCACTGTTGAAACCATCTGGTTGTGAGATTTTCTTACTTGAAGTTTTTTTTAAATGACACATTCAATCTCTATTTGTTAAATGTCTATTCAGATTTTGTATTTCTTCTTGAGTCAGTTTTGTAATCTGTGTTTCTAGGAATTTGTCAATTTCTTCATGGATATCTAATTTGTAGTGTATAATTTTCATAGTTTTTTCTTATAATTTTTTTTTAAGGTTTGACATAATATTGTTACTTTCATGTCTGAGTTTAGTGATTAAGTCTTGTTCCACTTTCTTGATCAGTATAGCTAAATTTTTGCAATTTTATTGACTTTTTTCAAAGAACCAACTTTTGGTTTTATTATTCTACTTTTTGATTGTACTTTTGAAATTTGTATTATAATCTCTATATTCCTTTTTTCTTATTAAATATATAACTAAATTAGGAAGAAGAGACAAATATCCCATGCATAAGAATTCCAAACAGCTTATGTAGATATCCTTATCTGAATAAGGAGGAAGAAAATATTCCACTCTTTAAGCATGGGCTTTGACAGTAGCTCTCTTCCAAAGAGTACAGTATGAAAAGGTAGAGGAGAGAGTAACTTTATGTTGGAGAAACTTGGTAAATTCAACTTCAAATCAAGGTCAACATCAATAGTCTGTACCCTTGATATGTTTCAATAAAAATGACATGAACTATAGAGTTTAGTTAATGCTAATGCACCAATATTGGTTCATTCATCATAACAAATGCACCATAGTCATATAAGATAGTAATAATAGGGGGAACTGAGTGAGAGAGTATATAGGACATTTTTATACTACCATTTCAACTTTTCCCTAACTGTAAAAGTGTTTTAAAAATAAAATCTATTTTTATTTATTTTTTATTGTTGTATATATTCATTTTATTTTATTTTATTTTTAACTTTTAAGTTCAGGGGTACAAGTACAGGTTTGTTGCAAAGATAAACTTTTGTTATAGGGGTTTGCTGTATAGATTACTTCATCACCCAGATCTTAAGCCTAGTACCCATTAGTTATTCTTCCTGATCCTCTCCCTCCTCCCACCCTCCACCCTCCAAAAGGCCACAGCGTGTATTTTTAACGTCTATGTGTTTATGTGTTCTCTTCATTTAGCTAGCACTTAGAACTGAGAACATGCGGTATTTGGATTTTTGTTCCTGCATTGGTTTGCTAAGGATAATTTCCTCCAGCTCCCTCTATGTCCCTGTAAAGGGCATGATCTTGTTCTTTTTTATGACTTCATAGTATCCATGTTGTATAGAACCACACATACCATTTAACCCAACAATCCTATTACTGAGTATATGTCCAAATGAATATCAATCATTCTATTATAAAGACACATGCACACATATGTTCATTGTAGTACTATTCACAATAGCAAAGACACAGAATCAACCTAAAGTCTATTATTTAAAAAGCTGCTTGTTAGATGTGAAGAATACCTTCATAATTTGTGAATACACATTATTATTAACAATATTTTTATGATTATCTCATAGTGCCCATCATAGATAATATCCCATTTAGCCTCAAACATGTCCAAAATATTGAGCAAGCATTGTTGCAAATATTTGCTATAAATATACTTGATGTGAAGAAACAGTCTTTTATTCTACCTGTTTTGCTATATTAATCACATCAATATAAAGTATCTGGAAACCATATCTTATTTTTATCAAAGATGTTTAAGTATAATTTGTGATAAAAGAATAAATAACCTATTAAATCATACATAAAACACATTTTACTTCTTTCTAGCTTGTGACATTTTTGTCACACTTAGTTGATTCAGAGTGGGCATAATTGCTATAAAAATTTGAAACAAGATATCCATTGTCACAATAATGATTGGATGTTATTGCCAAATGCTAAAGACAATAACGCTTAAAAACAATGCTAATCCTATTGTTCTCCACGGGGAGTTCTTAAATATGCACACATAAAGATAAGGTGTTTTAAAACCTCATTCATATTCTCTACAGGAAAACATATAAAACATTTTTAGTAAACAACTAAGACCAGGCAGTTTTGTATACTGTTTTCTGTTATATTTACTTATGTGTCTATTTTACATGATGCAGTTTTTTGATCCCATGGTGAACATAAAATACACAAATATCTCCTCTTGTATTCCCACACCCCATACTCCACACCTCCACTGCGTTCTTTTTACTTCATTAACAATTCTGGAACTATTACACACACCCCACTCTCATCATCCATGTGGCTTTTTATGATTTTTGCCTCTCTCCTTCATCAGCCTAGTTCCTATAACCACTTTTTGCTTCCTATGTTTAGTAGTAATTTTAAGCCCAAATCAACATAAGCATAGTTTGATGAAAAAAATATACACTTTGAAGTTAAATAGCTATGAGGTCAATTCATGACTTTACTACTTAATAGATTTTGAGAAAAGATATTTAACTTTTCTAAACAGCAGCTTTTTTTTTTTAAGTGAGAGCAAAGCGTTGGTTTTTAACACTCAATCTAAAATGCTTTCCATGTGGCCTTTAACAAATGTTAGTTTCTTTTCACTTTTCCAATCTGTATGTTCAATTCCAAATCCTAGGCTGATCACACATTCACCTGCCGTTGTTTTCATTGCTGTTGTCATTATTGCTCACAATCTGTTAGCTATTGCCCAAGAAAAGCATCATGGGAAGCATGATTGTCAAGCCACAAGTCTTCTCTCTGACCTTCAGTAGTGCTTTTATTGATTTCTACTTGTCAACTACCACATTCCAGTAATTTCCTAGTATCTACAAGTTCCAAATGCTATCTTTACTTTTACTCCTTGGAGATTACTCTGTGTTGTACTTTACTGGGAATTTAGAGGCCACCTAATATAAACTCTTATTATCTCTATACTTAAAAATCCATGTTCATCCATATTAGTCTACACAAAAATGATATTTTTTCTGCCATGTGCATACCTGTGTAGATGTGTGGGGGAGGTGTGTGTGTGTGTGTGTGTGTGTGTGTGTGTGGCTTTGTGCTGTTCCACTTCTGAACAATATGCTATATTATGTCTTGGCAAGCATGTATCCTGACATTTAAAAAGTAGATGAAGAAAATATAATTATGCTCTATAGAACAGGGCTCCCCAAACCCCAGGTCTAGGGACCAGTACTGTTTAGTGCTGCACAGCAGGAGGTGAGCGGCTGGCAAGCAGTACTGCCTGAGTTCCGCCTCCCGTGAGATCAGCAGTGGCATTAGATTCTCATAGGAGTGCGAACTTCCTTGCAAACTGCTCATGTGCATGTGAAGGGTCTAAGTTGTGCGCTCCTCATGAGAATCTAAGGCCTGATGATCTAAGGTGGAGTAGTTTCATCCTGAAATGGTACCCTCCTCCTCTTCTGTGGAAAAATTGCCTGCATTAAACGGCTCCCTGGTGCCAAAAAGTCTGGGAACTGCTGCTCTAGAATACTCTGTTTTTCTTTCTTTCTCTTTTTCTCTCTCTCCCTGTCCCTCTGTCTCTGTTTCTCTCTTTCTCTCTCACTTGTTTACAGAATAATTAATGCTTAGGTTTATTGTTGCTTCAATAATTCAGCTGCCTACTCAGCTTCCTATTTGCCATTTATTTCTGGTTCTTACTGGTTACAATGTAAACTAAGGATTATTGAAATAATACTAAATTCACTCAAATTATGAGCAGGTCATTGGGTGAAAATTTTAGATTGAAGATAGAAATGTACTTGAAACAAGTTAGCATAATGGATGTTTTGAGCTTTTGCAACATTTGGATTTAGGCCATTTGTAAATTTATAGAGTGAATCAGCTATTTAGTATTAATATTAATACACAAGTTTACAATACCAATGAATCCCTTGGACATATTTTGAAAGGTGTTTATCTTTTTCATTTACATTATATGGTATTTAATTATTTTTGAAGGCAAATCTCAATATTGAAAGCCCTTTGCAGCATCATCGTAGCAAGGAGCGTATCGTCATCTCTCAGGTTTCTCATATCATGATTTGAAGAAAGAACGAGATATTCTCAGTGGGCCAAGAAATGGGCACACTCACAATAATTCACTTCACTGCAAGTTATAATATAAAATTATCATACTTATTTGTCATTATTTGAATAGTAAGCAAAAAGGGTATGAGGATTTGAAGAGAAACCAAAAAAAAAAAAAAATAGCAGTTGTTTCCTGGGGAGTAATCAACAATAAAGTCAGTTCAGCCAAGTGGAACACAGAGAAAAATTGGTCAAGGGCAACTAGAGCAGGAGCCAAAATGAAGTTAAGTTCATAAGGCAGGAGCTGAATGTTTGCAGTGATAACAAATCAATACTGCCTGTAGGTCGTATTGGTAAAAAATAAAATATCTATCTGAGGTTTTATATAATGGTGATGGACAGTTAATAAAGCAATGAGGTTATTAGGAGATCAGGTAAAATGAGTTCCATTGGAATATAACCCTTTATAACAATTTAAAGAATCACTGTCTCTACTTCAGCGCCCTCAAGCTACTAAATTCCATGATTATATTTTAGTAACTATTAGACAAGAGTCTAGGTAAAATCAATAGATTAGGGAATTGTAGAGTCAAATACTCAGCCCAGCTTCGTCTGCATTGTGGAGAGACTAACTGGATACTTTATGCCAATATCTTCCCTTGACAAGGAATTATACCTGCTTTAAATTATTGTGTAATATTTTAATATGATTTTGTGAGTTAACACATGGTAATTCCATTTCTTCCTATTTCTTGCATTGCTGTTTTAATTTAAGCAATGTCTTCGCTGTCATTGTGAAACTTATGTGAGTCACTAGACTGCTCCCTGATGCAGTATGTTTAAGGCTAACTCTCATTAACCATCTTCTGCTGACATGTTAACAAAAGCTGTCATCTGGATACACAGACAAGCATATGGCCACTAAGGAGTTTAACATTGTCTATTAGCTCTCTGCACGTATTTCTCTTTTCCTAATTCCCTGGTACTTATTTATTTCCCCAAATAAACTGCAGGTGGATTTTTATTTTAGTGTACTAGACAATGTTATGGATTGATGAATTGAGTGATCCAAATAATGATCATCATTTATAAACATGCTCATAACAAGACACACTAATTTCATCCAACTTTAACACAACTAATATTACAACGGTCTCCTCAGAGCAAAATATCATCATGCCCTTGGAATGTACTGATGAAAAGAAAGCACTGCCACTCAATCGATTGAAAGAGACAGGAGATTTCAAAATTAAGATATGATCCTATAAAAGAGATATACAAAGTTATTTACACCCAATCACTTCTTTACTGTAAGAAATCATTTGCAGATTCCTTTCAATCTCTTATGGGAACTAGAGAAATTACATGTCCCCAATTATTTTTAGACAAAGTAAGATCTGTACTCTAACCAGCTATTTCAGGACTTATCCTTAGTCTCCTATAAAAACACCTTCCCAAAAATAATTACTATGCCATTTTCCTGTATATACCTTTCTCATTTACATTGAAATGGGTAGACCACTGTTCTCTATATCTTTTCAATGGAAAACTCATTCATTTTGTTAACATGTTTTTAAATGAAGTTTAATCCATTGGGCCCACCTCAAATGGCAACTTTTCTTGGCATCTTTTTATAATACCACCAATTACTGCCAAATTCTTCTTCTATTCAAGTTAGCTATGCTTTTCTCTTGTAATTCTTGTTTAATTATGTTATTTGCCTATAATCAAACTGTGTAATATGGCATAAATTAGTTAAATATAACAATAATAGCATCTATCTTGAAACAGTAACAGCTAATCTTTATTGAACACATGTGTGTGAAAGTAATGCTCAAGGAATGTCTAGAAGCTATTTATATTAAAGTTCTTATGTTAGTATTTATTTAATCAACCCAACGACTTCTCCCAATCAGCAAATGAGGAAAACAGTGCATGGAGAGATTAAATCGCTTACAGAAGTGACAGATTTCTGGTCACTTTTGCCATGTTCTAATAGTTAGAAACAAGTAACAGGCTCTGCTTCTGTTCAAAGGATTATTACACAGGAACGTGACTACCAAATTGAGTCACGAATTGAGTTCCCAATTTGAGTGACTACCAAATTGGGAACAAATTGAGCTGTGTTGTAGTCTCTCCATCACAGCCCATCTGTTGACCCCAGTGATCTGTGTCCTTCTTATAGAAAAAAAATACATTCATCTCCTCCCAGTGTCCCTGAGTCCCATCCCATTAAACTGTCTGCTCTATGTCCAATTATTTATCATCAAAATTAGATCCAGGTAAGGAAGAAACTTCCTTAGTATAATTTCCTTTACCCTGTCAATCTATAAAGCTAAAGAGACAAGTTATCTGTCCCCCACACACCCAACACACATGGTATAACAGTCAGAGGACAGCAGGAATAGACATTTCTGTCCAAAAAGGATGACAAATGATTTACTGGTCCATATTGATTTTAAAATTGATCCAGGGAAAAGTGTTGGCTAATCCTTGACTAAATTTCAAAGCCTCAGAATAATTCTCCTTGGTGCCCCCTTTATTTCTCTGTTCTTCATTCCAGCCTCTCAGTCAGCCTTCCTTTTTTTTTCATGGAAGTAGAATGTTCCATGCCTAAGTAGATTTAGTGGTTTGGTTGCTGCCTGTAGAATTTCAGAAGTCTGAACGACTCTTTTCATTTTTCACTCTCCATTATCCCTTTAGTCCAAGTTGGCAGTGTTTTTGCTAAAACAATTTTCTCAAAAACTGAGTAGGTGTTTTCTGTCTTTCCCAGGGTTTCTTTCTATTAGATAAAAGCCATACCCTCAAATCCCTTCTATATAATCCCTCTTCTACCTGGGACTCCCATAGAAAGAAGTGAGTGACAAGAGATTAAGCTTCCTAGAGGTCCTATTATTAGACTGAGAGGATCTGTGAGACAAAACTTTGATAGCTTTAAAAGGCCATTTTTATGACCAAATACTCTAATCATTTGATCTTTTGAAGTTTTAGCAAAGATTGTGTAATTACACCATTTTCTCTATGCCAAGCTTTATCTAAAGACCATGTTTTCCTGACAGTTCATAGAAACAATTTCCTAATTTTAACATCTTTTGTCATTTGGAAAAGCTAGAATTTTCTAAATTATCAAGTCCTTTTGATTTAACAGTTCCTTCCTCAAATTATCTTCCTATATTCTGACACATTGCTACAGAAATCAAGAAAAAAGCAGCTGGCATATCCAACACTTTTCTTGAAGGTTTCCTTTATTAAATAACCAAGTTCATCACTTATATTTTCTGTTGTCTACATAACTACAAGAGACAACTTCACTAAGCTCCCTGCTGGTACATGTCTCCCTTCCTCCAGTTTCTAGTAACATATTCCTTACTTCCTTTTGAGCCATCACTGGCGGTGTCCTCAAAATTCTTATTCATAATAGTCTGATTGAGAAAACTTAGTCTTTACCATGCTTTTCAAAAATTGTTTATCTTCTGTTCACTGTCTCATTATAAAGCCACTCCCACATTTGTAGTGTTTTCAGAGCAGCCCCTCATTTTCAGATACTTGAATCTGCATGTCATCTACAGCTGCATAACAAATTACCACAACTTAAAGGCATAAAACAACATGCATTTATTATCTCAGAATTTTTGAGAGTCAGAAACCCAGGCATGGATTAGCTGAATTCTCTGCTTCAGGGTCTCTCATAAGTTTACAGTCAGAATGTTGGCCAGACTTGAGGTGTTATCTGAGGCTCCACTGGGGAATGGATCTTCCATCAAACTCCTGTTATTGTTGACTGGATTCAGTGTCTCCTTTGCCATCAGACAGAAAGCTGTAGCTTTTTCCTAGCATTTGGATGGTGGCTGCCTTTAGTTTCTTGCCAAATGGGTCTCCACAGCATGGTATCCTGCCTCATCAAACTGTGCAAACAGAAAAGTCAATAGAGATGCTGCTAACAAAGCAAAAGTTAGAGTTTCATGTAGTGTAATCAGTCAAGAGGCATTCTTTTATCTTTTCTGTATTCTGTTGGTTAGAAGCAAGTATAGCTCCTGCCCATAGTCAAGAGGAAGACCTTACACAGGGCATGCATGTCAGGAGACAGAGATAATTTGGTCAGTTTTAAAGTTTGACCATATCAGGAAGTAGAACCATTATACCTGAGAACTTTTTATATTCCTAGAAGGTATGAAAATTATAAGAAACAGCGAGATAGCAAAGGGTCATTGTGCCCAAGTTTCAATATTGTATTCCACAATCCTGATTGAAGGGACTAACGATATTTTTACTAGACTCCAAAATGCATTCAGGAGATAATATGAATGTGACACATTGTTATTTTGTAATAATCATCACAGTTCCAGTTAAACACAATCTTCATATATGGTTATCATGTAATAATAACGGCTAGCATTTCAGCATGCATTGTATCCTAAACATATGTTATCCTAAAATCAGTATCATTGGCATTAGCTACAGATCTTGGTTCAATCCTCAGTTTTGATAGTGATTATATAAGTGTTTCTGTGTGTATATTATATACTACACATGTATGTGCACTCAGAAAAAGCTATGTAGTCTATCTTTCTGAATTTTAGTGTCTTTATCTATAATATGGGTGCAGCAATGGCATTTAATTGAAGCAAGTGTGTTAAAATGATATGAGTAAATGAAAATCTTGTATCGTGTTCAACAAAAAGAAATCCTCCAATATATTAATTGCTCAAGACAAACATACATTGTGATTAAGTAGAAGGGCCATGAACCAAAAAGACATTGTTGCACAGACAGCTAAATACACAAGCAGAAGTTCAACCACTGAAGAGAACAAGAAAAAAGAATCATCCAAGTGAGAGAATAACATTCACTTATTTTAAAATTGATAAACAATTTCTTTTTAAGGTTGCCATAATCCCACTAGAGAATGGATAACTATTTACCATATATATTTATACAAGTACATACTCCACACAATGCTTATCAAAAGTATGGAATCCATTACTGGCTTTTTCACTGGATGTGAGTTAAAGCGCTCCTCAAGGTATGAATGTGTATCTTCATTGGGGTTCAGTGGATTTCTCATAACCATTACAAAGGTATGAGGCCAATAGGGAAATCTGAAGAAGCCAAGCTCATTCTGTAACATTTTAATTTTGCCCTATGTATTACTAAGCATTAAAAAGTTGCCCTAGAATTGTATTCTTCATATCCCATCTTTTCTACCTACTGCTAAAATGTGTGCATTTATTTTGTTGTAGTTTACGTTGATTCATAAGCTTCTTTTCTGTGAGTATCCAGTGAAAACATCTTTTTTTTTTTGGAAAAGTCTGGAAATGTCTCATGGTCGGACGACCCACAGTCCTTGGTGGTATGTAGAATTATCCTTAGGGATGCAATACCAGAGATAAACACTAAATTTCAACTCTCAACTACTTATGCTATAAGAGATTAAAAATTTTTTAAAAACATAATCAAGAAAGAAAATGATCTCTGTTACTTGTTAATTGTCATGGTTTCTAAGAAAATTCTTTAGAAATAAGCTTATTTCAAGAATTGTACTTTATAATATTTGCAGACATAATGATTTGTAAAATATAACAGCTTTTTGGAATTCAGTTTCTTCTGTTAAATAATTGTTTTCATAATTTTAATAAATATTTTGCTTTCATTTCATTTACAATTATAATATAAAGCCATTCATAAAAACAAGTCAAAATTAGACAACTAATTTTATTCAGAATACAATTATATCTCGCTATGCTATTATACATCAAAATAAATATAAATGTCTGAACTTTCCCCTTTAGACAAGATTAGATAATCCACTAGTCTTATTCTAGTTCCTTAAAAATGAAGATCAGGTGATGTCCTCCTAGTGATTTACTAATTTTAAACTAAAGAAGAGAGAGTGGTAGGGATAAAGAGAGGCAGACAGAAATATTCAAAACTTGTACTCTGTCATGAGGTTTCCTAGCCTTTTTAGAAACTAGAAGTAAAGATGAGTTGGTTCTTAATGATAAAATAAAATACAATCATTTTACATATTAAACACTCTCAGGTCATCCTAAATTTCAGTGGTTTAAAGAGGCAACCAAAATACATGAATCAGCCATTATCCCCTATATTCCTGAACATTCCCATCCTTCATATACTCACATTTTCTTTCACATTACCTGATTTTTTTTTCCTTTTTATTTCTGGACCAGCTTCACAGCTCATTTGCTTGCAGTATGGCATAATTGCCTTTCCCCTTGACATGTTCTGAATACATGGTTTTATGTTAGAGCTTGAACAATGGAGAACATATCTCTGTCTGCCCAATAAGCTAAGTTATGGCAGAAAATCCTGATATTAAAGCTCTCATAGACAGGGAGAGCAATTTATCTTTTGATTTCATTGAATCTATTTTACATATTGGAGAAATCTGTTGTGGATAAAATAAAACCTCCTTTTCCTGCCCGCCTCCTGGGTGCCTTCCTTCAACAGTCATCTTTCTTTTTTCTTTTTTTTTTTCCCTTCTGAAAGCCTGGGGATTCCCTTTTGAAACTATTTGGTCCCCGTAACCGTATACAAGACTAAAAAAAATGTTTTCTTCGACCATTAGCCCACACTCATTTCAATTTCCTTTCACTGTGAATGCCTGTGTTCAAAGTCGTAGGCAACAAATGTCTCTGCCTCTTTATGCCCATTGGCCTCCACCTCCTGGGCTCAAAAGATCCTCCCACCTCAGCTTCCTGAGTGGCTGGGACTACAGGAACTTGCCACATGCCTAATTCTTTTACTTTCTGTAGAGATAGGATTTTGCCATGTTGCCCAAGCTGGTCTCAAACTCCTGAGCTCCAGCAACCTGCCCGCCTCGGATTCCCAAAGTGCTGGGATTACAGGCATGAACCATCACACCCGGCCTCTAGTAGGTATTTATGAAGTACCCTCTATGAGCAGTCTTTGCCCTAGGTATGGGACATAATGAAGAATAAGATCATGGTAACAATATCATTTAAATTTTCAACTAGCATGCCTATCTGTAATTTAGAATATCTATTTACATATATTTAGTAGACATTTTTCTATTAAAGTAAAAATGACACAATAATATAAATAACAATGTAAAATATACCTCCTCATCACTTTTCATTGTTCTCATCATTGGAGTACATTTTGTTTTCTGTTCTATGTTATATTTTAAACAGCATATTTTGTTTTGACAAAAATATATAACTAGCATAAAATATTTTCTTCAAATCTTTATGCCCCTATATACAGCATATTATTTTAATACAATGACAAACACTAAAATTAGTCAGTGGTCAATTACTATGCATTTTCATTATTATAGGTCAATTTGTGAATTTTTATATTATATAACTTGGTATATATTATATACCAATGTGATATATCCTTATCTCTCTATATATGTATATATACATGCACATAGAACATATCACACATGTACATATTATATTATGCCCAAAATTAAATGTATGTGTACACATGTGAACATACCTGTATGTGTATGTGCTTGTGTGTGTGTGTGTGTGTATGTATGTATGTGAAAAATACATAGATATTACCCAAGGTAGAGTTAGTAGTGTAAAATAGGGCAAAATAAATTATTTAATTTATGATTTCATACTTTTAGTTTCTTTGCAGAGCATATTAATTTACAGTGTCACTAGGAGCATATGAGTAAACAGTTAGCAATATAATTTTTAATTAAAAATTATTATTTTCTCGTCTCATAGTTTTCTTGCTGTTATTTTAGCATGTGTGTCCTTAAACAGCCTAATTTTTCAGTGGTTCTATCACTCACCCTAATTGTCATGAGTATACTTAAACAGTGACTGTTTCATTTTCTGAAAAATCTCTAATATTTTAAATGCCAAAATAATCAAGTTAAAATTCCAAAGGGTGTCTTTTAAAGCTCTTCGTTGTCTTGTTCAAATACGCTTGTTGAAATTCATATCTTGCTGCTTTTCCTTCAAACTTGCAACCTACTGAAGACATGGCTGCGTCTTATTCCTGATACAATAGGCACAGATTAAACCCTCTCTGTGCTTTTTTCAGTTTTCTCTACCTCAATGCCATGCATTTCTCTCAGCAGATTGTAAATGCATTTGCCTTTCCTAATTCATCTTCTCAGAAGAAAACTATAATTTATAAAATGTGTTTCTCCTTTATTAGATTATACTCTCCTTGTTGACAGTGACTAGACTGATCTGTTTTTTAAAGCAACATAATGGATAACACCTGGCCCAAGAAAGATGTTTAACAACTATCTACCTCTGCTGACATTTTAGTCAGTAGATCCTTTTCCCTTAATGAACTTCTTTTGTGTTCTGACTTAGTATAAAGTTAAGGTGACAAACTAAGCTTTAGGAAGGCTTAACAAATGGTCCACTTCTATAAGTAATGAATACCTATTTATTTATTTATCTCTATGCATGCATTATTTTATTTTATTAGTTTGTTTCTTCTACTTTTAAGTTCAGGGTTACATGTGCAGGATGTGCACGTTTGTTATTTAGGTAAACGAGTGTCATGGTGGTTTGGTACACAGATCATCCCATCACCTAGATATTAAGCCCAGCATCCATTAGCTATTCTTTCTGATGTGCTTCCTCCCCACAACCCCACCTCCAAAAGGCCCCAGAGTCTGTCGTTCCCCTTCATATGTCCATATATTCTCATCATTCTTCTCCCACGTGTAAGTGAGAACATGGGGTGTTTGGTTTCTAATTCAGCAATTTGCCACGGTAACATATTTGGTCTCCATTATCTATATAACTAGGGGAACAATTTCTCTTCAGTTATTGATATCAGGAAATAAATCGCAGTTGGACTCTTCCGAGCAGTGTCTTTTCTCAATCTTACCAGTAATTGTGGAAACAGTTTGCTATTTTCTGGAACTTTCCCAGAAAGAAGATATAATTTATTTGGCCTGGGATCTGGGAATTTCTTCCTGAATGTAGAGATAATTATTGATCGTATGGTTTTTTTTTTGGTGTCACAATCTAAATCATTATCCATAGCTAAGCCTCCAAGGATATTATTGTTAATCTTTTATTATGTATTTATACAAGTAGAGTAGACCTGCTCCTGGAAGTCTTGCATGTAAGAAAGAAAATTCAAAAAGATTATTTAACACAACTAAGACTATTCCATGGCTATCATTGTTTTCAAAACTGAAATATAGTTGGATTTCCTTTCTATTGCCATTCCCTTTAATAAGAAGCTCCACACCACAAACAGAAAGAACCAGAATGGAATATTTCAGAGCTAGATAAAAGCAAAGGGCTGGTAGCTTACAAGGATAAGGAAGCGAGGATGGGAATTCAGAAATATAAATGCACTGATATTGCTTATAAATATGCCGAGTCAACTCCAGAACCCAAGGTCTTGAGATTATATGACTCTTGGCTGACAGAGGATTATGTAAGCATTCCTGTCAGGGTCTTGACAGAAAACAAATAGCAATTCACAAAGAGTATAATTGAGGAGAGTAAAATTAAAGCACCTTTAAAAATGTGTGAGAAAGTATAAAAGAAATAAACAAGGAACAATAAAGCAGATACCAGGAAGATAGCCATTGTCCTTGTTCGAGAAGGGAAGGGCGGGGTCAGTTACCAGAACTAGGTAGAGAACTGAAGCAGAGGAGGGACTACCCCATAGGAACTGTTGGCTTCAATACAGGAATAAAGAGACTGCTGACATGTGGTTCTGGAGGGAAGAAATCCAGGGAAATAAATGTCCTCCCTTTCTTTACCTTCTTCCTGAAAATTTCCTGAGAGTATTTTCCATTGGTATATGCTGACTGCAAGTCCTCCAGTATCCTGTTGGTGGATTCTAAATGGATAAAGACATACACACACACACACACACACACACACACACACACACACACACACGTATATGCATTCGTGCATATAGGCACATATATATGCACCAAAATGTGTGCATGCTCAAGATCCATATATGAAATGGTATAGTATTTGCATATAACCTACACACATCCTTCTGTATACTTTAAATAATCCCTAGACTATTTACAATACATAACACTATGTAAACAGTAGTTACACTGATTGTTTTTTCTTTGTATTATGTTTACTGTACTGTTTTTAATTTTATCTAAATATTTTCAATCAGTAGTCAGTTGAATCCTCAGATGCAGGAACTATGAATATGGAGGGCCAACTGTACATATAATTTTAATTATACTAATACATAAATAATCATATGTCTCACTTTTCATGAGGATGTTCTCAGGTTCTTGGCCAATAAAATAGCATTATGGTGTATGATTACATAAAAAATAAGAACAGATCACTGTTTCTACATATACAAAGTCAAAGGATTTGCCAACTGATTAATTCAGGACTATTCTCTAACCCTACATAACTAGAGTTAGAATTGGCTGTCTGCACAAAATCCCCATATTTGAATGCTAAGTATTTGAACATCAAGAACATAGACTCCTTTGACTGACACCAGCTGGTGGAGTCATTCCTATATGGACTTCAGATCATTGATAATTGTTAAGACATGATGCTGCTTTCTGCTCCCTTCTCTTTATAAATAGCTTTTGGAATCCAACTGATTTCATACACATAGCTGATCCAATAAAAGTTGAATTCATAAATGCATGGACCATTAACGAAAGCTATGTGGAAGAAAATGTAAGTTTATGCTGTTTCACTTATGAATGAATATATATCTAAGAGTCTAGAGGAACTTCAGTAGGATAGGGAAGAGATGAAAAATCCACACATGAAATCTCTGTATTTCCCCTGTCATCAATCATAATTGGGTTCAGCACCTAGAACCACGTTCAAAGATTATTAATAGCAACAGATAGACAATGTGCTCATAGATTTGAAAAATGCTACCATGTACATGTTTATATATTTAATTAAATTGTGTAATGGATAAACATATGACTTGTTTTAGGGTATAAATAGTTTGAAATATAGCAAGCATTATTCATTTTAGTAAAAAAGGAAAATAATGCAGGTGAAGGTAGAGGGAGACGAGACAGCAAGAGACTGTCACAATTTATTCATACATTCACGTATACATTCTATCCTGCTATGATGGGAATCTTGTGAATTTTGTGAATACATACATAAATAAAACGGGCTTTGTTGGGCTCCATAAGTGTATTCTCTACAAAGTACTGCAAAGCCATATTCATCATCACATGAGCACAAGTTTCTATAAGCCACTCACAAAGAAAATAAATATGGACAGAGGACCTACAGTTTACCAAAAATATAATGGCTTTCTCAGAGAATTTTTTGAGGGTACCGATTAATTCAAAATTCTACAGAAGTCAGTCTTATTAACTGATGCAAACTGATTGAGGCAGACCAGCTGTTGGGCATTTTCCCAAGCACACTCCCACAGGGCCCATGTCACTCATCCACATCAGAATCCTCCAGAGTCCCCCTTTAATTGGGGAACATGAAAGAGTGACACAGAAGTCCTATGCTTCTTTTTGAGAAGTCCTCAAAAACACATCCCAAATAAAGTTGGAAATATCATCTTAATTTTCATGTTTTATAAACATATGATGTCTGATGTTTATAGTGGGTTGAATAAGGTCCTGCCCCATACCCTCACACCTTGCCTAAATTCATGTTCACTCAGAACCTCAGAATGTGACCTTTTTTTTTTTAAGAGTCTTTCCAGATGTGGTTACTTAAAATGAGCTCATATTGGATTAGAGTGCACCCTAAGTCCAATGACTGGGTTCTTACCAGTAGAGGAGAGGAAAGACAGCCATAAAGACACAGAAGAAAGAAGGCCAGGCAACAATAGAGGCACAGATCAGAGTGAAGCAGCAGCAAGCCAGGGAAGTTCAAGGCTTGCTAGCAATTACCATCTACTAGGACGGGCAAGTACCCTCTACTAGAGGGAGGGAGGGAGGATGGCTGTGCCAACAGCTGAGTTTGAACTCCTAACCTCCGTAACTGTGAGAAAATCAATGTCCTGTTTTAAGCTACCCAGTTATGGCAGCGCTAGGAAATAAATACAATGGAGTTGGTCATTTTGGTTGAGGTGAAGTTAAAAGCTGTGAATATCTTAACTCATTATGTGAAATACAAAATTTTTATCATAAAGAATTAAACTATAAAATGGAACTTAGAAAACAATAGCTTTAATATATTATTGCTCCATACAGAAACTTAAGGGCTAAAAATATGCAATTTAAATATATTTCAGACATTGCAGATGTAATCCTCCACTCTTTTAATCAATTTCCTTGAGGGTTAAAAGGCTTAGTTGCAGTTTGGAATACTTCATAGAGATAAGCTTATGGACTCAGCATTTAATGAGTTTATTTCAGGTAATGATATATAATTAAAAGCATAAATGGAGACTTAAGCTCAGCTAAAAGGATTTCTTTTAAAAATCACAATTAATTTACACAACATTCAATGGCGTTTAACACTTTGAGGTTGAGCAAAAAGAAAACTTACAGAAAGTACTCATGCTCAAATTATAAGCAGAAAAGGAGATTGGTATGTTATCCCAAGAGAAAGAAGTTTTGTTTCTTTTGTTGTCATTTGCTTTAACATATTGATATTGGATATTTCCAACACTCTAAGACAACGAAAGATTTTTTACTACATTTCTAAAATGGAAGGCTCTCTTTTTGACAATACCATCGCCTTCTATGCCAGGGATATAGAGTCAGTTTCATGTCAGATAAATCAGGTGCCATTCTTAAAGGGTAAATGAAAGAGATGTATGCTATTTATCCTCTCTGCCAGGAGGATTTCAGCTGTGTGGTGTAGATCAGCCTAGTTAGAAAAATTGGCTAAGATTCTTACATTGTCTGGCATTCTTACAAGTAGAGGAGAGGAATTTTTCCTTCCTTTCTTTCTTCCTTCCTTCTTCCTTTCCTTCCTTCTTCTTTCCTAAAATATTTTCTTTTTAGAGTACTACTCTTGTTTTCTTTTATAAAAATATATTCTGCTTTAAAATTCAGCATCTTTCTTCATCATATTGCCTTCAATGCTTTCCTTTTATTTTCTTTGCAAGTCCTTTTTTAAAAAGTGTTTCTACTTTGGTTTGACTCTTTTTGCTTTAATATTTAAAAATTTGCTTAATATTTTTAAAATCTTTAATATTTAAAAATTTGCTTAATATTTTAAAAATCTTAATATTTTAAAAATCTTTACAGTTAATTCACCATTTAAACTATTAACATATGTTTATGTTTGTGCTCCTTTAATCATTACTTAAAAATATTTACTAAGTAACATATTTCTAAGAATCATCCTTCACAAGTTTTACGCTGCAAAGACACCATCCCTCCTCTTGGCCTCCCTCAGTTTCACCCTTACTTGTTGTTTTCTTCTGTGCCCCCACCTCCACATGCCTTCGGCAGAAACAAGCAAATGTGCTATTGCATAGATAATCTCAGTATCTCACTTGATCACCCTTTGCTTTATGATAGTTTTTCATTACCATCTTTCTTTTTCCTCCAGCTCAGCCAGACCTCATACTTCCCCAAGCTGTTGCTTTGGCTCTTCCTTCTGTCTCAAATGCCCAATGCCCAGGTATCTGCTTAGTCGACCTTCATTTACCGCCTTAAGATTTTCAATGAGCTCTTGCCACCTTAGTTAACACTATCATTTCCATTCCCTCCCTGGTGCCACATTTTTTTTTCTTCCATAGCATTTATCACTTTCTCACATGCTACGCAACTTCATCATGTGTTATACATATTATTTATTCTTTGTTTCCCCAATAGAATATAAGCTGTACAAGAGCAGGGATCTTTGTCTTTGTGGTTAATAGGTGTATCCTAAGTGCCGGGATAGTGATGGGACCATATTACATCTGTTTACCTATTTTTGAATAGATGCATGAACATACATTTTTTTTAAATTAATCAATATGTCATATGTCAGTTGAGTACTACCCACTACTAATGACTGGTTTATGTTACCTTCAATATTATTTCAAAATCTATAAGCTTCTAAGAACCTCTTCACAGTTTGTCAAATATGGAAATTTATAAAAATTTACTTGGCTGTTTTTCTCAGAAGTGTATAGTAATTGATAACTTACAGTATATTCCTCATACTTTTATAATTTCTGTATTTATAATAACTAGCATTAGTATCTTTTATTTTTATTATTATAAAACAATATTTTCTGTTAGCAAGAAAGAGGCAGTTAACTATTCTGTAAGTAGGTGAAAACTATTCAATGAGACTATTAATTGAAGTACCTTTCTTCTCTTATACCCATGTCACTTTTTAAAGGTTTTCATAGTATTAGATCTGCAAAGTTCTAACTTATTGTAATTGAGTCAGGGAGCAAACTGACTTCTCACTAATTTACTTATGACTGAAACATCATTTTCAGAACCTGAAGTCACACCCAAGCCATCAAGGTACGTATTTAGTATCTGTTATTTACTGGTCAAATGCCTAAGGTGAAAGAAATACCAGTTGGAATGCTGAACTTGAGAATTTAAATCTTTGAACTGCCATCATATTATCTTCTATAGGATACGTAAATATTAACTGGTATAGTGATTTACAATTATTGGAAGGCTACCATTTGCTAATTTACCATTAGAAATATTGTTCCTTTTGGAAAGTAGATTGCAGAGTCATTGATATGTTAATTAAATTATTTGGCAACTGTTACATGTCAATACAATGACAGAGAAATTATCAAAAAATGACTCGTATATTAGCAGTTTTTGTCTTTGCTAACACTTATACACAAATAATGAATATTTCAAAAATCATAAGTGAATTGTGAATACTTGTTTTTAATGTCTAGCTAGTCTCACATGACTCTAATAAAACAATAAAATAACTCACTTTAGGTCATTTTGCTAATGCTACATGACGTCGATGTTAGAAGGAAAATTGTTCATCATGCCACTTCAAGGCAGATCCACAGGAGTTATATTTTACTTCTGGTGGTAACTATGGTTTTTTTTCAGCTTGTAATTGAATAAAATGTCAAGAAAGAGAATGCCTCTAAGTAAAATACAATACACATTAACTCAAAATTTACTAAAAAAAAAAATGCTAACTTGCTGTTTTCCTAATATGGATCATAGGTTTACTTAAGGGTACTGAAAGCAGAAATGGTATTACATGTTGTCAAGAGGGCAAAAATTGTTGAAACATGTCGCCTCATAAAGGAGAACAGGAATGTTTTACTTATAAAATTATATGTATGGAAAGGAAAAACAAATCTGTTAAATGATATAGCAGAACATCTTTCTACACTTGCAATTGTATTTTCAAATTTCATAAAAATTCATTATTATAGACCTGGACCACATAGGTAATAGTTAAATTTTACATTTAGAAGAGTTGTGCTTATTAATTTTTTCATTGTCATAAATAATTATAATATAATTTCTAATATTCTAATATCTGGGACAAAGAAACAAAAAGAAATCTTCTATTTTGTGGAATTGAGAGGGTTGATATTAAAAATAGGTTGGAACTCTGATTTAAAGAACTGATTAAATAGTTAGATATTGGTCATGAGGGGATGGGGGAGACTTAAGATTGCTTGCAGGCATGAAACCTAGGTGACTAGTGAAGTGATTGTGCCATTCTCTCAGATAAATAAAAATGATAACGTAAGGTGCATGAGCAAAAATGGGTGAAGGTGTTTATGAAGCAAGCAGGAAGGGGTGACATAGGACTCTGAAATATGCAGATCTGGAGCTGTGGAGAAAGATAGGAAAGAAATGATCTGAGCCATTAACTGAAGCAAGAGAGAGGATGGAGAGAGGGAGGGAGGAAGTGGGAAAGACAGAGAGAGAGACAGACAGGGGTGCGGGGAGAGAATATAGATGAGAGAAAAATTGAGTCACAGAAAGAAACGTTTCAAAGTGGTGCTGAAGTATCAGCTGAAGTCATTGCTTTAACATAAATTTACTTTGCACTGTACACACTAAAGACCTGAGAAAATGGTTATTTTTTTTCCATGACACCAGAGCAAATATGCAAGAAAGAGAAGGAAAGTGAAGATGCCAAACACATTGGAAAAAGGCTGGTGGACAAAAGGAATGAAGCGCTTTGAGAAAGGAAAGGGAAAGGAAACAAGTATAATAAAAAATCAGCTGAGAGAAATGGAAGGGTGGAAAAATATCAATAGACTGGATGAGGTGGCTCACGCCTGTAATCCCAGAACTTTGGGAAGTCAAGGCGGGCAGAACACGAGGTCAGGAGTTCGAGACCAGCCTGGTCAAGATGATGAAACCCCGTCTCTACTGTAGATACAAAAAATTAGCTGGGTATGGTGGCAGCTACTCAGGAGGCTGAGGCAGGAGAATCGCTTGAACTCGGGAGGCAGAGGCGGAGGCTGCAGTGAGCCAAGATCGTGCCATTGTACTCCAGCCTGGGTGACAGGGCTACACTCCATATCAAAAAAAAAAAAAAAAAAAAAAAAAAGAAAGAAAAACAATAGTATTGGTGAGTTTGAAGAATATTTTAAAGGGAAAGTAAGAAAGTAGCGAGCACACAAAAAATAAGACATCTTGTTGGATAATGGTCTATTTCTTGTTATATACAGTTTTAGAGAAGGAATAGGAATTTCATAAGAAATTTGAGAAGACAGATTGGATCTGCAGCCATCAACTAAGGTACCCACACTCAAGTCTGATGTTGAACGACTTTTGTGTATCCAGTTATCTGAAGACAGAACAGATAACCAACTATCTGGGGACTCTCCTTCTAGCTGGGGTACTTAAATACAGCCATTTATGATTATAAGAAGTTTTGAAAAAGTAAGAACTTCCTTTCCAACTGAACAGAGAAAAAAGAGAACTTTAGGGACCTACTTTTGTTTGTTAGAGTATAAGAAATAAAGTGGTTTTGCTAGATGAGCGTAAGAGGTCAAGTCCTGTGGGTCCACGTGGTTGTTTGTGCCAAGGCTGTATAGAAAAAGAATGTTGGCCAAATAGCAAACTCCTTGGTGAATGGCGTCGAGAAACCAGGAAGTGTGTTGGTGTCAATTACAAAATAAGAAAAGTATAGTTAGTATCAATATTCAGAAACTTAAATAAGGATAATTTCATGGCCAAATGAAAAAAAATCATCATTGAGAGAAAGCAACACAGAGCATCACTGTCTATGTTCTGCAGTGTGTCATGTCATGAGCACCCTTACTACAGAGACTGACAGGAATAAGAGGCAAGTTCGAACAGAGGGTCTTCAACTTCCCAAGTGACATTTTAAAGGTCCCAGCTGATGTCATGTGCCTGACAAGTTAATAGACATTAACCTGTGAGCAGTACAAGAAATAATCTTCTTGAGAACATGCCCTGGTGTCTCCAGAAAAAAATTTTAGTAACAAGAGGGGTTGTGTGTCGTGTAGAATGTGGACTCATCTTATGGACTTCTCTCTACTAATGGGGCCTAGGGATCTCACAATTTCATATTGAGGGACAGGCATGCCTTTAGAGAAGATTGTGAAAGTGGCCTTTCAGAGGAACTCTTCCCATACAGTGGACAGCAAGATTTGCAGATTTGTTCCATGAGTCATCCCAGGTTGCTTCCTGTCTCATCCTCCAGAACTAACTGCTAGTAGTTACCTGTATAAATAGTTGAATCTTCTCCCTCTTCTCCATGTCCACTTTATTTCCTCAGTTGTCCTCTTGATGTCTCACCTGGACTATTGTAGTAGCTTCCAGGTTGATCTACCTCTGCATATACATGCTCATAGCTTTGTATCTGTTTTGAACTGAAAAGTTTTATAGAAAGGAACAATGAAATGATTGAGCCTGACAAGGACAGAGGATGGCCAGTGAAGGGACACTGTGTACCCTCCAGTATAGTCATTTTAAACTACCACCTATCACTTTGGACCAATTTTCCCATATCTGACTCCAATTGCCATTTTCTATTCTTTAGATTTTATTAAAAAAAAAAAAAGCATAGAGAGAAGGCTAATTTATCACTACCCTGGAGTGATTTCTTAGGGGAAAAACACCTGCAATACTTGTATTTTCAAAAGAGAAGACTGTTTAAAGTTTTTTTTTTTGGAGATAAATACTTCAGATGTGCAACATGGTACACATAAAAAGAATATCATATTATAAATAACAAACTTCATATTCTTGTTGTTTTCCTTTCTATATCTTACCTCTTGCTCTCTCAGAGATGTTCACATCAGGAACAAATAAATGAAAGGAAAGACTAAAATAAAATTAAAGAAGAAAATAAGATATATACATCTATGTGTGTGCATGTCTGTGTTGTGTTGTTAGCTTTTGACATGTAATAACTCTCCCCAAAATCTAATGGGTTAAGATGATAACTAATTATTTAGCTCACAATTCTTCTTTCTTGTACTTTTGACCTAATCTGGGCTTGGCTAATCTCGTTCACTCATCATCTGCAGTCGGTTGGCAGGTCAGCTCAGGGTGGCTGGTTCAGGATACATTGCTTCACACTCATGTCAGCAGGTTATGTAACTGCCATCAAGAGCAAAAGGAGAGACTGGACCATGTGTCACTCATAATCCAACAGACCGTTTCAGTCTGCTCATGCAGCAGCAAAATTCCAAAGGCAGCAAGAGGTTTTCCAAATCTCTCCTTTCATCAAGTCAGCTTCTGCCTCACGGGCCAAAGTCCAGAATTAGTGTGAAGGGCACAACCCAATGTGTGTATCCATTTAAAGAGCATCAAATTAATATGCTACAAAAGAATAAACTTAATAAATGTTGTGAAAAACATCTACAATAGAAACCAAAACATTGCTTTGTTAAATTAATGGAGATCAAAATAAATGGAGACATATTCTATGTTCATGTTTTAGGAGTCAATGCTGTAAAATGTAATTTCTCTCCAAAGTAATCAGTGAAATTAACACAATCCCAGTCACAAACGCAGCAGATTTTTTTTTTTTTGATGAACTTGGAAAGTTCTTCCTAAAATATGTATGAAAATTCAAAAATGTCCAGTTGTCTGGAAAAACAGTACTGTTGGGTAGCCTAAATTACCTGACATCAATAATTATTATAAACTAATTCTAATCAAGATTATACAGTGTTAGCATTAAGGAAGGAAAAATGGATTAATAGAACCAAATAGAGAATACAGAAATACAGCCACACTTACACGGCCACATGATATTTGACAAAGATTCCAAAGCAGCACAGAAGGAAAATAAAAGATTTTTCAGCAAATATTTCGTGACAGCTGGACATCCATATGGAATAAAATTAACCTTGAACTCTATCTCATTCTATGTACAAAAAGTAGACCATATGCCTAAACTTAAAAGCTAAAGCAAAAGGAGCTTAGGAGAAAACTAGTTTAGTAGGTTTTTGCCATAATTTCTAGTAGACAACATTTTCCTAGGACACAAAATGTAGTAAAAATAAGGGAAAAATGGATAACTTAGACTTCATCAAAACTAAACAATTTGCTCATCAATCGTCACCCTTAAAAATATATAAGAAAGTCACATTCTAGGAGAAAATATATGCACAACATAGTCTAGAAACATCCCCAATGGGCAAAAATTTGAACTGTTTCATTAAAATATGTAAATGACTAATAAGCACTTTAAAAATGCTCATGCTCAACACCATTAGTCATAAAAGAAATGCAATTTAAACCACACCAAGCTACAAATCCCACAGAAAAGCTAAAATGAAAAAGACTGAATGTACAAATGTTGGCAAGGCTGTGGAACAACCAGAACTCTCATCCATTGTTAGTGAGAATCCCACAGAGTATAGAAGTTAATTATTGTATGCCTATAAAAGATCTTTAACAAGCAGAATTCATTTAATGTTAAAAATTCTTCAACTTGCACTTAGCATTCTATTATCATTTTTCTTTTCGTATCCTAAATGCTCGTTTCTGATTTATTACAGGAAGCTGTATTCTCAACACCACTGGTGGCCTTGATGTGTACATGCACATGAGACAGATCCTTATTAACTCTTTAGAAACTTTCAGTGATACTGGAAATAGGAAAACCTTTAATTTGCTCATTTATTTGTGTATTTTCTGTGTACTAAACTTGCTACTGAAGACAACATTCTATTTTATGTCACCTAAACCTCATGCCATCCAAGTAAATTACTGGTAAATTCTTCATCCCAAAGGATGATTCCTGCTTAATTTATATAAACAGAAAACTTCTAGGTTTAGTGGACAAAAGACTAATTTGAATTATGAAAACAGAGAATCACAGCCCCTCAATCAATTTCCAGACTTGAGCCAGTTTACAAACCCAGAATCCCTTGAATGAAGGGGAGGCCGGGTCCCCTTGAGAAGGACCCCACTGCACTACTGACAATTTATTCTGTTAATTTTTCCACTAGCCATCCCCAAGGAGACCTCCAGCCTTCTACCAGGGTAACTGTGCACTGGGGAAAGGGAAATGATCAGACATTTTGGGGACTATTGGACTACTGGACTACTGACACTGATTCCAGGGGACCCAAAACATCATTGTGGTCCTCCAGTTAAGGTAGGGGTTCCTGGAGGTCAGAAAATTAATGGAGTTTTAGCTCAGTTCCGACTTACAGTGGGTCTCCAAACTCATCCTGTGGTCATTTCCCCAGTGCCAGACTGCATAGTTGGCATGGATATACTTAGCAGCTGGCAGAAACCCCACATTGGCTCCTTGAGTGGTAGGGTGAGGGCTATTATGGTGGGAAAATCCAAATGGAAACCATTAGAGTTACTGATACCTAGAAAATTCGTAAATCAAAACCAATATCGCATCCTTGGAGGGACTGCAGAGATCAGTGCCACCATCAAGGACTTGAAAGAAGCAGAGGTGGTGATTCCCACCACATCCCCATTCAACTCTCCCATTTGGCCTGTGCAGAAGATAGATGGATCTTGGAGACACCATAAGCAGAAAATGCAGTTTTTTTCTTCTTTGACTTCTGGTTTACAGAACTGTGAGATGATAAATTAGTGTTTGTTTTGTTTTGTTTTGTTTTGTTTTGTTTTGTTTGAGACAGAGTTTCTCTCTTTTCGCCCAGGCTGGAGTGCAATGGTGCAATCTTGACTCACTGCAACCTCCGCCTCCCAGGTTCAAGTGATACTCCTGCCTCAGCCTCCTGAATAGCTGGGGATTACATGATTACATGCATGTGCCACCACGCCCGGCTAATTTTATATTTTTAGTAGAGACGGAGTTTCTCCATGTTGGTCAGGCTGGTCTTGAACTCCTGACATCAGAGTGTTAAGTTTCCAAATTTTGATGATTTGTTATGTAGCAAAAGAAAACTACTACAGGCTCATAGAGCACAAAATAAAAGCTGATTGTATTGCCTTCAGAACCAAATATGGCTTCACCAAAGAGAGGAATGTTTAACTGTGTCTTTGAAATGAGCACTAGTTCCTTAGTTGGAGATGGCAACAAAGTCAGGAAGGAAAGTGAGCATGGTGCATTCAGACATCACAGACTTGAGGGCTGTGACTGAGGAATAAGAATCCTAAGGTTCAGTGGCAGAAGGTGGGATCTCTAATGTTGGTTGAGAATATGTTGCAAAGGAGTTTCTAATGATATACTAATAGATGTATACCTCTCGGAAATAAACAGCCATGAACACCATTTAATTACTTATTTTACAGAGGAGTGGCATGGTTCTGTGTGAGGAAATTACCACTAGCTCAAAGCAAGGATGGAGAAAAGTGAGTGTTGTCATTTTAAACTAGTTAATATGGTTTAGAGATTATCAGTGATAAGCAAAGCTACACAGACACTAAACATATTTTTTTCTAAATTTCGACAGAATATTATGTTAATTGGATTTACTTTTTCTGGGCTCTGTTGTCTTTGTCTACAATTTACAGGTGACTGCAAAACATAAAATTATAGTGTCCAAGCATACAATATTTTTATATTGCTACCAGTAGTTAGTACAAAAAAATTTGATGGCATAAACATAAAGCATGCATTACTTGTAGTCTACAAGTCATCTGGAGAAATCTCTGGGCCTTGACTGGGCTTACTTATGTGTCTGTGTGCAGCTGTAGGTGCACACCTAAGCTGACTACTCTTGGGCTCTGTCACATATTTTGCTATAGTTTATTAGACAGCCTCATCTAGAAAAACTGACCTCCACTCCAAGATGCCTTTTATTATCCTGCAAGCTATGTCTGCCTCTTTATCAAGGTTAGCCTTATAAATGACAGAACATCACTATCTCTATGTTCTATTGAAAGAAATAAGTCACAAAGTTGGCTCAAATTAAAGCCTTTAGAAAACTGATTTTGCCATTTGTGATAGTGGACAAAGTCCTATTGCAAAAGATTGTGGATGCAGGAAGGCATAACAATCTGGGTCACAATCAATCCACAATAGTATCTGTTTTCACTTTTCAAGTAAATCCCTACATGGTGATCATAAAAACAAATGCTCTCAGGATAAAGCAGAGAACGTGTGATATGAAAGAATTTGAACAATAGAGACATATGATGGCAAAATGGTAAGTAGATGGCTCTGCAAACACATTTCAAAACACAACTCCAAAAATAGTTGTTCTAGCTAAAGAAACACCTTTGAAGGAAATTTTGAGCCTTTGTTTATAATATTTCTTATTAAAGAAAGGCTATTTCGATCATAGAATATTACTTTGAACCACATAATTTGTGAATATCCATATTTAATAGTTTACTATCTAATATTTTAGTCTACAACACAATAAATTGTACAGTGTAATAATTTATTTTATTTTTATCCCACTGCAAGTTTCACCCCTCCCTCAACCTGCTCACCATTGTTTAGTTTTATTATGCATTGTGAAATAATTACTCAAGCATAACATTTTTAATTTACTTATTTTGAGGATTGTATTAGTCCATTTTCACACTGCTATAAAGAACTACCTGAAACTGGGTAATTCATAAATTGACATAATTGTGAGCTTATTTGACTCACAGTTCTGCATGGCTGGGGAGGCCTCAGGAAACTTACAATCATGGCAGAAGGTGAAAGCAAGCACCTTCTTCACAAGGTGACAGGAGAAAGAGTGAAGGAGGAATGCCACACACTTTTAAACCATCAGATCTAGGGAGAACTCACTCACTATCTTAAGAACAGCAAGGAGGAAATCTGCCCCATGATTCAATCACCTTCCAGCGGTCCCCTCCTACCATTTGACAAGAGATTTGAGTGGGGACACAAATCCAAACCATACCAAGGATTAATTGTAATGTGATCAACATACTTTAAGATGTATATCCATGCATTCTTCTTTTCAATTTTATCTTTCTAGTTATTGAAAAAAATTCCACATTTATTGTTCTGCTACTGACTGGATCCAATTAGAATTGCAAAGCAAAATGCTTAGGATACTTAAAAGTGATATAAATGTTAGAATACTTTTTCTGAAAGCAGCTCCATAATACTGGATAATTACACAAATTAAAAAAAAAGTTGTAGTGTCAATAGCAGACTCTTGAATTTTTTTTAATAGGGACTTAGCAGAAACAATTTTTGCTCTGTCTTTCAATATACAGAATATAGTTACGGTTTGAATGTGTTCCCAAAAAGCATATATTGGAAACTTAATTTCCAGGTGCAGGTGATGAGATCATAAGGGCTCTACCCTCATAAATGAATTGACATTCATATTACAGTAATAAGTTCTTTATCATGAGAGTATGCCTGCTATAAAAGCAAGTTCCACCCCCTCTGACTCACTTGTGCTTTCTTGCCCTTCCGCCTTCTGCTATGAGATGACAGCAGGAATACATTTGCAAGATGGGGGTTCCTTGATATTAGACTTCCCACCCTCTAGAACTGTAAGGAATACATTTATTTCCCTTATAAATTACCCAATACCATGTATTCTGTTATAGTAACACAAAATGGACTAAGACAAAAGTTGTATAATCTAACATTAACAGGCAGCCCACCAGAGACTATATCCAACAAAGTATATAGCAGCTCCACACAATGGAACATGGGCCATATGACACATGAAGTAAATAGTAGCCATGTATTTACATGTTCCAAAGCCATTTGATTTATCTTCAAAATTCTAGAGATCTAGACTACTGAGATCTTGTTTGAAACAGAAACAGAATATTGGCCTTAACAGTTAGTAAACTATAGTGAGACCCGGAGCAAGGTATTTCCCCCAATGCAAGTATATATATCTCTTTTTATTAAATTGTGTCTCCTCATTGTGCATGTACTTCATTTTATTAGTTACTTTAAAAAGTACTATTTGTTTAATTAAGAAATTTCTTCTTGGCAAGTCTGAACCTCAGCTATTGCAAACCTTTAGTAATTACTCAAATCACAACTAAAGATTTTTAATACTGACTATATATTCAGATATAAAGATTCTTGATTTAGAGCAATGTCATTATTTAAAATATTGCTATGAGCACTTCAATACAACTTTAATTCTCCATGATATCATTTTGACTAGGGAATGTATGAAATACAGTTACCTAAACTCCTTACAATGGTAAATAATTACGATTTGGCTCCACATTTCTAGGAACTTAGTTTATTTTGAAAAGTTGAGAAACATCCCAATTTTCTATGCTTTCATTTTGCAATTTTTCCAATAGTTGGGAGAACCTATGTGGGTAATTGGAAAAACAGTAACACATTTTTCCTAATTGTTTTTCTAGATCAGGCTGAGGATCACTTAACATTTTTATGATTCAAGATGATTCAGGATAGAAATCAAATGTGTCATCATAATAAATTTAATATTTTTACTAAACTACTTATTTAATATATAGCTTACATTTACCTTTTCTACAAAACATTCTTCGATTTATCTGGACCTGCGTGATGTTGCTAATAAGTGGTCACAGTATGTGCTATTCTAGTGTCTCTTCCACCTGTCTGAAGGCATTAATTTCTGATAGACGTACATACTTCAATGATGTCCAAACATTAAGAGCTGTAATTGTAACCTAAGAAGGTTGAGTATTAGAACATGAATCAACGAAGTCTGAGACTCTGTTTTTCACAAAATCATTATGAATTTTGATGATTCTAAATATTTAATACCCGATTTTCTTCTGTAAACCTAGAGGTAAGATTTTGTCACAAGACCTCTAGAAATTTCAACAGTAATTGTGCAGTGTGTTATATAAAATATGAGCTCAATGGTAGTGTTGATAATGTGCAGCATTATAAAGAGTTATGTTGTTTACAATGTAATTATGTATATTGTTGAATACAATACACCTGTCATTTATAATATAATTGCTTATAATGCTGCACATTATCAACAATACCATTGATGGTTTATATATATGTGTATATATATGTTCATTTATATTGATATATAATTTATGTGTTGTTCTGAGTTACCCAGATCTAAACACTTTGTGGTCTCCTAGAATATGCAACCTGCTACTGAAACGTGAATTCTGTCCCAAGCAAAGACACAACTAACAGAGATCCTTATTGTCAATTTTTTGGTGGTTTCCTAGTATAACTCACAAATAGCATTTACATATACATGATGCACATGTAGGAGATGATAGAATTTGCAAATATTCTAGCTTTTATTGTATGCCCTATGCATGAAAATTGTTTGATTTACTATTTGGCACATCACAAAATCATTATAGTTTTCAACATTATACTCTCCCCTGTAGTGGCCATCTTATAGATGTTTAATATATTTGAGATAGTAATTTTTTGTAAAAGCATACTTTGTGATAAATGCTGTCTTGTATTCAGGCCAACAAACTTTTATTATTTCTTTATTACATGGAATCAAAAACTTTAAAAATGTATTTCTTTAAAGTGTCTCTGTGATTTCCAAAGCTGGAGTCTACAATAACTGTTTCTGCTTCCATTGAGAAGGCTGTCAAGTTAAAACTATTTAAGTAATACAGACAGAGCAGGTTTTGTGTGGATGTAATTTCCACTTTTTTTTTTAACAGTTTATTGCCTGAGGAAAGGAAATATTTCACTAGAGTTGTCTAATACATACATAACACTGACTATATGACAAATACAGCAAAGGAATATTGAGCACATCCTTCTTATTTTTAAGACTCTAGCATGTTCAATTCACTTGTGGGAGCAACCAACTCACTGATTTTATACATAGCCATCAATGTTAATAAAAAGAAGTCTTAATATTTCTAGATAAAGACTAAGCAGTCACAAATCCATTGTTACTAATTATTATAACTCCTTTCTCTACATTCCACCCTGGAAATTAAGGGCTACTAATAAAGTATTGAAGCCTGGAAGACAATCAGAGCAGAAATATGAGGAAATTTCAGAACACTACAATAGGACCAGAGGGAGAAAAAAAAATAGAGAGAGAAAGCAGTTGTATCTGGGAAGGTGTTACACGGATGTCTTCCAAAACCAGAGGAAAACCTCGCTATGCTGAAAGTTCCAGAAATTTGTAACTTCATTGCCTAAGACCTCATATCCTAGGGAAATGCTAACCATGTGATTCACTGGACTCTCTGACATGAAATTCAATTCATCACTCTGATTTATTAAAATAACCTATGAGGGGAAAAGATTAAGCAACCTCAGATGAGATTTGGATGACATCCATAGCAGCTATTTATTATATTCAGAACAGACTTTTAACCAAAAATGTCAACTGCCAACAGCTGCTCTTATCAGGCAACACACACACACACACACATACACACAGCACAAACTATTTTAACTCTTATCAGTATCGCTAGATTTAAGAAAATGTACACCTTAAAAAACAGAAGAGTATCTGGTATAAAATGAAGGAAAAACAAAAGAAATTATATAATGAAAGATAATAATTTGCCACATTTACAATATATTAAGAGTTTTAAATTAGAGAACTAAAAGAATGGAGGGGAGAATTCCATTTAAAAATGGAATAAATTTTTCATCGTCTGAAGAAAGAAAAGAGTATTTCTGTTCTAGAGATCCAGTGTTAATAAGCAGTACGAATAAAAGAATCACACTTCAATACATCCTGGTTAGATTTGAACAGCAGTAATAAACAGGAAATTCCAAAAGCTCTCATGGTCAAATCTAGGACTGTGAGACATAAATTTCAAAACAGCTTTCTTTTAGACGGCACTTAAAACCATAGGTCTGGATGAGATCATATAGAGCTATTGTAGAGAAAGAGAAAAGAGCAGGGTCTGTATTTAAGCTCGGGGAAACTCCAAAATTCAGAAGTTGAAGACTAAAAACTACACAATAAAAATCATATTTAAAAAGTTACCCAAGAAAACTGATAATGTAGAAAGTAAAACAAAAAGTATATATTTAGATCGTGTATATATAATACATAGATGCATAATAAATTAACAAAGTTAAATTTGACTTTTTTGAGAAGATAAAAAAAAAGACCCCGAATATAATAAAAAAAGAAAGAAAAATAAAATAATTTTTATCAACCCAGATCATATAGATGTTAAGCAGATAATAAGATTACATTAGGAACAACTTATGCCGAAAAGTTAAGACAACTTTTTTTATATGAGATCCATAGATTCCTTGAAAAAACGAAACTCATCACAAGTGACATATGATGAAACAAAATGTAACTAGCCCCACAGAGCTCAAAAATTGAATTAATTATCAACAAATTTCCTTTAAGAAAACACCCAACCCAAATGGCTTAGTGCTGAATTCTACCAAATATTAAAGGAAAAATGGTACTAATTATTCATAAAGTTTTTCAGAAACTAAAAACAGAAATAATACTTCCTAACTCATTTCATATAGGACCAGTATAGGCATAAAAACCAAACCTGTTGAAAATGTTCAAACAAGAAAAGAAGCAAGCAAGCAAACAAATATCCCTCATGAATACAGATGCAAAAAAGCCTTCTCAAAATATTAACTGAGTCTATTAAGCAATATAGAAAATAATACTTGAATGATGTATATTCCTTTAGAGCTAAATGATGAGAACACATGACATATAGAGGGGAACAGCACACACTGGGGCTTTTGGAGGGTGGAGGAAAGGAGGAGGAAGATCAAGAACAATAACTAATGGGTACTAGGCTAAATACCTGGGTGATGAAATAATCTGTACAACAAACACCCATGACACACGTTTACCTATGTAACAAACCTGCACTTGCACCCCTGAGTTTAAAAGTTAAAAAAAGAAAAAAGAAAGAAAAAGAAAAAAAAATACTATACAATAAGCAATTAAAGGTTATCCTAGCCATGAAAGGTTAGTTTACATTTGAAAAATCAAAGAATGCAGTTAAGAATATTAATAGAATCAATGATAAAAACTATGATCATTTCAAAATATAGTATTTTTTAAATTCAACATGAAACTAAGAATATAAAGAAAATTCCTGAACATGATAAAGAGCATCTATGAAAATAAAAGTAATGAAAACTAGTATCACGCTTAGTGGTGAAAAACTGAATGCTTTCCCAATACGATAGATCAAAGATGTTCCAAGTTTGAACATTTAAAAAAATACAAAAAAATCTTCACAGAGCATACTCACATGAGGGTTTTATTTCGAGGTAATGGCTAGGGTATGGCAAAAAAAAAAAAAACAAAACAAAAAAAACAAAAAAACAAGAGTACAAGCAACATTGTGCATTTGAGAGATATCCAGGCACAGTCCCCCTGGGTGATTCTTATTTGTACATGGACACAGAAAGCTCTGTCTCCAGGTTGAACCCCCAATATTTGAATGAAGACCTTAGCTAGTGGAAGTTCCCCTCTGTCCCTCTGGTTATATAGCCATACAAGTCTGTATAACCAGTTATGTCAGGTGAAAGCCATCAAAAATAAAACTGGCCCTGGAGTTACCAGCAGTATTTTAAAATTTAACTGCATATCACAACTTTCATAGCCCTCAACTTGGTCAACAGTTAAAACCAGACATACATGTATTCCCAGAGATATGCCTGGATCTCTCCCGGTCCATCTGTAAAATGATAGTATCCTCCATAGTTAGAAGGTAAGTGTGTCCATTCTCACCACATCTGTGCCACATTAAGAGATCCTAGTCATTATAAAGAGTCAACGAAGAAAAATAAAAGGCATGAAATTTAAAAAGAAAGAAAAGTCCCTTCTTTACAGATGGAAGATTTAATGGTAGATTCCTTACTAGCAGTTTAATGGTAGATTCCTTACTATTCATATGTATACAGATTATTGTAACTTGTTCCTAGGTATACAGATTACTGTAACCTGTTCCAGTGTATACAGATCACTGTTACTATGTATACAGATGACTGTATACATAGGAATAGTAAGGAATCTACCATTAAACTTCTAGAAGTAGCAAGTGAATTCAGCAAGGTCAATAGATACAAGCTAATATACAAAAATCAATTGTGTTTGTATGTACTAGGAGCAAACAATTAGACAATTTAAATGCAAAGAGAGAGGATATTAAAGGTTGTCACCACGAGCATAAATATGTGAGGTACTGCATTTGTTAATTAGCTAGATTTAACCATTCTACAATGTATATATAATACAAAACAACATATCATGCACAATAAATATATACAATTTTATCTGTTGATGTTTTAAAAACATAAAAACAATGAGAATATTGTAGTAAAATAAAAATGGCACCAGTTCGATAATATCAACAAAAACTCAAAATGCATAAAAGTCAATTATACAAACAATATAAAATATTTACATTAAAAATATCTAAATTTTGCTGAGTGAATTTCTTTAAAAAGACACCAAGAATAAATGGGGAAATATATCATCTACATAGAATATTGTTGGGATATATACCTCACCTTAATTGAGCTAAAGGTTCAGTACAGTTCCAATAATAATTTCTCCTTCCATAATTTCCAAATCCAAGGATGTTTCCTGGATTTAACAGTGAATGATGTTTTGGATATCTAGTAAATGAGGAGAAATATGAGCATAATCAGATATGTGATTCAGGCAGAATTTTTAAATACTCCTTTAGCATTTGCCTCTGGTTCTATAAAAAAATACATAGGGTACTGTTGTCTTTAAATTTAAAAAATCCATCATTTTTAAAATAAATATTCATTCATCTACTCTGAATCATGTATAATGTCCAAAATAATAGTTAGAATTATTGCTATTACATAAAGTAACAACACTTAAAGCTGATATGAGGTCAATAAATATTATGTCACATGATAAAGGAAAAAAAATAAAATGAAGGCATTTTCTTAGTACAAGTAAATATATGCACAGAAATGTTTTTAACAAAAGGAATAGGAGATACTCATGATGTAGAAGATAAATACTGATACACAGAGCTTACATTCAAGAAGAAAATATGTATATTAATATAGTATCATGAGTTTCCAAGTGATATTTCCAAATAAAAGTAGAGAGAATTCTGTAGGTAGAGTCAACAAGACTTCATAGCTGATCACGTGTAGGAGTGACATGGTAAAAAAGTTAAGGATTACAATGACTACTTACTTCCTGTTACTCAACTAAATAAAAAGATACCATATATTAAGACGGAAAATGTGTTAGTCAGTTTGGGCTGCTATAAAAAACTACCATAGACTAGGTGGCTTAAACAACAAATATTTATTGCTTACAGTCATTATTGTGCCCTCACATTGTGGAGAGTAGAGGGAGAGGAAGCAAGCATTCTGATGTATTTTCTTTTAAGGGGGTTAGCCCCCATTCATGAGGTCTCCATCTTCATAGCCTAATTATCCCAAAGTTCCCATTTCCAAATATCATTACGCTGGGAATTAGGCTTCAACCCGGGAATTTTGGAGTAACACAAAACTTTCTGTTCATAACAAGGAAAAATAACATTCCTTGAAAAAAGTATATATATTATATTGTTATATTATTATATTATATATATTTGAAACATGTAAATTATCAGTGTTATATAAGTTATCCAAATGTATATGCATATTAGGTCAATGGATAAGTCAAGTCTGTCTGTATCTAAGAAAACTAATCTGGATCGGTGATATAGACTTTGATAATTGAAACTGTGGAAGTACTTAGATAACTTTTGCTAGAGATAAGTTGTAAAAGGACAAAAATAAAGAGCACAGGATAAATCACAGCAAGGCAACACTTTTAGTTAGATAAGAAAGTCTGGGAAAGTAAAAGACTGGAAGTTGTTGACTGGTCACAGGCAGAAGGAAAACTACGGCGTGTGATACCCTATTAGCTAAGAAAACCCAAGGATTTGAGAAGTTAAGAGGGTTAGGAGTGTTGAATACTATTGAGAATTAATGCAAGGTAAGGGATGAAAGGCAAACAAAAGATTCAATAACACTGACGGCAAGATTAGAACAGCTTTGGTGAAGTAATAAAATGAAAGGTGGATTAAAATGGATAATGAATTTTAAAAGAAAGGAATTTTGTGTTTTGTGTATAGACTGTCATTTCAAGAAGGTATACACAATGGGAGGAGCGAAAGTAGATTGCTGGTTTTATACTTGGGAATTGAGTATTTAAGTCATGGTGAGAACGAACTATTACAAAGGAAGAGTTTGAAAATGCTATAAATAGGGTAAATCATTATGTTATGTGTATTAGTCAGGGTTCTCTAGAGAGAGAAAACTAATAGGATATATAGGTCTATATCCACATAGATCTATACATAGATCTATATCCACGTAGATCTATACATAGATCTATATCCACGTAGATCTATACATAGATCTATATCCACGTAGATCTATACATAGATCTATATCCACGTAGATCTATATATAGATATGTATAAAGGGGAGTTTATTAAGGAGTATTAAAATCACATGATCACGAGATCCCACAGTAGGCTGCCTGCAAGCTGAGGAGTAAGGAAGCTAGTCCAAGTCGCAAAGCTGAAGAACTTGAAGTCTGATGTTTAAGCACAGGAAGCATCCAGCACAGCACAATGATGTAGCTGGGAGGCTAAGCCAGTCTAGTCTTTTCATGTTCTTCTTCCTGCTTTATATTCTGGCCATGCTGGCAGCTGATTAGATTGTGCCCACTTGGATTAAAGGTGGGTCTGCCTTTCCCAGATCACTGACTGAAATGTTAATCTCCTTTGGCAACACTCTCACAGACACACCCAGGATCAATACTTTGCATCCTTCCATCCAATCAAGTTGACACTCAGTATTAACCATCACAAGTCAACCCATTGTCAACTCGAACCCATACACTTCTCCTGAGATCATACAGAATGTTCAAATAAAAACAATAATAAAATAATAAGGTCATAATTATGCCTAATATATACAACTATTCTTCCTACAACAGGAAATGCACCAATCCCCAACCCAAATACTATTACATAAAGCTAACAACACTTAAATGCTGATAGAAAGCCAATAAATCTTATGTCACATGATAAAGGAAAAGGAAATAAAATGAAGTTATTTTCTTAGTACAAGTGTATACATTCACAAACACGTTTTTAACAAAATGAGGAGGAAATACTCATGACAATTACAGTCCTCAGTTCTTCAAATGGTCACGTGGTCATAGCCGGTATTGACTACCACCTGCTTGTACTACCCATTCTGTATTCCCTCTACCTTAAGCAAGCACCTCAGCAGGTCGTGGCTTTATTCCTGGTAGAGTCACCCAAACCTTCATTCCTGAAGGGTCTGGGCCATTTGTAGTCCTGCCTAGATTGGGTTGCTGTAGTTTCTCATTGACCTTTATCACAGGGCATGGTAATATTAAGAGTCGCTCCAAGGGATCTCCTGTATTCCACAATATGCTTCCTTACCTTCATTGTGGAGTAGTAGACTGATTTCATCTTGATAGTCCAGGCCAATCACACCAGCCAACACAGTAACTCCCTTCTTAGACTGTTGACTTAAAGGTTGGAGGAGCCCAAAGTGTCCAGATGGCAATCTTAACTTTTAGTTTAATGGAATCATTTTTGTGTCTCCTGGTGGCAGATTCCTCCCTCTGGAACTAAGGCCTCTAGGCCAGCAGAAGGTAATGTTGCAGGAATAGGAAACAAAAATTTTGCTAGTGGATAACTAGGGGTGATGGTGAGTGGTGCCACTTTCACTTCCACCCCATGATTTCTGGACCCATGAATCCTGGCTGTGGGAGAAATGGTACCATACATTGGACACAGATTCAGAGCATACACGGTCTTCTGGAGAACTTTGTCCCAGCCCTAAAAAGTATTGTCACCTAGTTGGCATTGTAATTGTGACTTCAAAAGGCCATTCCACTGTTCTATAAATCTACTGCTTCAGGATGATGGGGAACATAGTAAGACCAGTGAATTCCATGAGCCTGAGCCCACTGCTGCCCTTATTTAGCTGTAAAGTGAGTGTCTTGGTCAGAGGCAATGCTGTGTGGAATACCATGATGGTGGATAAGGCATTCCATGACTCCACAGATGGTAGTCTTGGCAGAAGCATTGTGTGCAGGATAGGCAAACCCTTATCCAGAGGAAGTGTCTATTCCAGTGAGCACAAACCTCTGCCCTTTCCATGATGGAAGAGGTCCAATATAATCAACCTTCCTCCAAGTAGCTGGCTGATCACCCTGAGGAATGGTGCCACACTGAGGGCTCAGTGTTGGTCTCTGCTGCTGACAAACTGGGCACTCAGCAGTAGCTGTAGTGAGGTCAGCTTTGGTGAGTGGAAGTCCATGTTGCTGAGCCCATATGTATCCTCTGTCCCTGCCACCATGGCCACTTTGTTAGTGAGCCCATTGTGCCATGACAGGGGTGGCTGGGAAAAGAGGCTGAGTGGTGTCCACAGAACGGGTGATCCTATCCACATGATTATTACAATTCTCCTCTACTGAGGTCATCCATTGGTGAGCACTCATGTGGGATACAAATATATTCACAGTTTTTGACCACTCAGAGAAGTCTATCCACATATCTCTTCCCCAGACTTCTTTGTCACCAATTTTCCAATCATGCTTCTTCCAAATCCCTGACCATCCCTCTAAAGCATTGGTTACAGCCCATACATTAGTATATAATTGCTCATTTGGCCATTTCTCCTTCCATGCAAAGTGTACAACCACGTGCATTGCTCGAAGTTCTGCCCACTGGGAAGATTTCCCTTCACCGCTGTCCTTCAGTTTGTCCTAGAAAGGGGCTGTAGTGCTGTCACTGTCCACTTTCAGATGGTGCCTACATATCATGCAGAACCATCTGTGAACCAGGCCCTAGTCTTCTCTTCCCGTCAACTGACCATAAGGAACTCCCAGTGAGGCCATTGGTGCAGGCTGGGGGAGAGAAGTCAGGGTGGCAGGAGTGGAGACTATGGGCATTTGAGCTACTTTTTCATGTAACTTACTTGTGCCTTCAGGACATGTTTAAGCCCGATCATGTATATACCACTTCCATTTGATGATGGAATGCTGCTGTATATGACCCACTTTATAGATAGATGGGTCAGAAAGTACCCAGTTCATGAAGGGCAGTTCAGGTCACATGATGACTTGATGATCCATAATTAAACATTCAGTTTCCACCAAAGCCCAGTAATAGGCCAAGAGCTGTCTCTCAAAAGAAGAGTAGTTACCTGAAGAAGATGGCAGGGCCTTGCTTCAAAACCCTAGAAGCTTCCACTGTAATTCACCTGTGGGGACCTGTCAATAGCTCCAAACAGCATCCCTATCTGCCACTGACACCTCAAACACCATTGAATCTGCTGGGTCATATGGCCCGAGTAGCAGAGCAGCTTGCACAGCAGCTGGAACTGTTGCAGAGCCTTTTCCTGTTCTGGACACCACTCAAAACTGGTAGCCTTTTGGGTCACTCAATAAATAGGCTGAAGTAGCACACCCAAATGAGGAATGTGTTGCCTCCAAAACCCAAATAGGCCCACTAGGCGTTGTGCCTCTTTCTTGGTTGTAGGAGTGGCTAAATGCAACAATTTGTTCTTCACCTTAGAAGGAATATCTTGGCAGGCCCCACACCACTGGACCGCTAGAAATTTTACTGAGGTAGAAGTTTCCTGAATTTTAGTTGGATTTACTTCCCATCCTCTGGCATGCAAATGTCTCACCAAAAAGTCCAGTGTGTTTGCTACTTCTTGCTTACTGGATCCAATCAGCATAATGTCATCAATATAATGGACCAGTGTGATATCTTGTGGAAGTGAAAAGCAATCAAGAATATGACACAAAGCAGGAGAGTTGATATAACCCTTAGATAGGACAGTAAAGGGATATTGCTGGCCTTGCCAGCTGAAGGCAAATTGCTCCTGGTGGGCCTTATGGACAGGAATGAAGAAAAGGCATTTGTCAAATCGATGGCTGCATACCGGGTACCAGGAGATGTGTTAATTTGCCCAAGCAATGAAACCACATCTGGTATAGCAGCTGCAATTGGAATCACCACTTGGTTAACCTTATGATAATCCACTGTCATTCTCAAAGATCCATCTATCTTCTGCAAGGCCGAATGGGAGAACTGAATGAGGATATGGTAGGAATCACCACTTCTGCATCTTTCAAGTCCTTGATGGTGGCACTAATCTCTGCAATCCCTCCAAGGTTGTGATATTGGTTTTGATTTACTAATTTTATACGTATCAGTAACTCTAATTGTTTCCATTTGGACTTTCCCACCATAATAGCCCTCACCCTACCACTGAGGAAGCCAATGTGGAGTTTCTGCCAGCTGCTAAGTATGTCTATGCCAATTATGCATTCTGGCACTGGTGACATGACCACAGGATGAGTCCAGGAATCCACTGGACCCACTGTAAGTTGGACCTGAGCTAAAACTCCATTAATTATCTGACCTCCATGAACCCCTACCTTAACTGGAGGACCACAATAATGTTTTGGGTCCCCTGGAATCAATGTCAGCTCAGAGCCAGTGTACAGTTGTCCCCACAATGTTTGATAATTTCCCTTTCCCCAGTGCACAGTTACCTTGGTGAAAGACTGGAGGTCTCCTTGGGGATGGTTGGGAGAAAAATTAACGCATAAATTGTCAGTAGTGTAGTGGGGTCCTTCTCAAGGTGACCAGCCTCCCCTTCATTCAAGGGGTTCTGGGTTTGTAAACTGGCTCAAACCTGGAAATTGATTGAGGGGCTGTGATTCTGTTTTTGTAATTCAAATTAGTCTTTTGTCCACTTGATCTGGAAGTTTTCTGTTTATATAAATTAAGTAGGAATGTAGTAGGCTTCCTATCAATTTCACTTCTAGGAACACTGTAATTAATTAACCAATATCAGATCTCTACATGAGTCAGAGTATTCTGATTGCTGCTTTGCCTCTGCTGTCCATTACAATAGCTACACCCAACTTGTCTTTGATGGTTGAGTGCCACCACTTGGCTCCTGCCACCTTGGGATCCAATTATTCACATTGCATTTAAATTTTATTGTTCAGTGACTGCGGTTCCCACTGTTAGATCTGACATACAGGAAAGACAAATTACAGGACTCTTCCAAGATCCAGGTGCTGTCTTTGCAAATCTGTTTCACAAAGCATTGGTCACGGGTGTGTCTTCTAGACCCTCCCAGCTGGGATGAGTAAGTCTAAAGTGACTAACCCACTCCACCATCCCAATCTCCCTAAGCCTTTTGATCCCTTCCCCTACATTAAACCAAGGAAGATCAGGCATTTCCAACTCACTCACAGTGGGCCATATTTTAATCCATATTTCAGCTAACCAAGAAAATAAATTATTAGAACCTTTTTTAACTCCCAAGCTGCAACATTAAATTCAGAGTTCCTGCTTAGTGGTCACAAATCAATAGATTTCAGCCTGATCCGACTCTGTGTTCCTTCCACCATCATCCCACACCCTTAATATTCAATACCATGCCTGTTCTCCAGGTTTCTGCTTATATAAATTAGAAAACTCATGCAGTTCTTTTTGAGCATAGCAAACCTCCTCATGGGTCACACTCTGAACCTCACCTCTAGACGCTTGCCAGGAATTTAGTCTAGTTATACGTCTAGAAGCAAACAAGGGTGTTGAGGGTGGTTTGTAGGAGAATCACATTATCTTGCAACTGCCTGAGGGGAGGCCATCACTGTTGCCGCAGGCAGCGCAGGGCTTATCTTCTCAAATAAAGTTGGAAAGGCTGATGGCAGCATGGGTCAGGGAGGGATGTTGCCACTACTGGGGATGGGGAAGCTGTTTCTTCTATTCACCAGAGTTTACGAGCTCAAAATGTTTATTTTTGAAAGCAGAAATAAGCCTTGAATAAGAAAACTAAGATTGTTGACAGTTTTGAAGACATTATTGCTGTTACAGATATTGGTGACAATGATCTGTCTCCTTCTAATTATTCTATAAAATTGGTCAGTAATGCAGTTGACAGATTTTGGCATTTTCCATGCTTATGTGACTTCAGATATCAGAAAATAGAAATAAAAGTGTTGTTTAAGGACAGATTGAATATTAAAGTGATGGACTCTAAGCATACAGGAAACGGGGGAAGTAAAGCATAAAGCATAAAGTACAAGAAATAAGGAAGAATGCTAACGCATTGAATGCCCTGATATGCACCACAACTGATTCCAGTTCTAGTTAAGTGAAAACAGAGAAACTGTTGATATTCCTCCATTTTTGTTCTTCAAAAAAGCACTTTCTTTGTATTATTTAAATTTATCTCAGAATGATGAAAGTCCAAGAATATGGTTTGTGCATCTTATGATTCAAGAATGGAGAATGTAACTGCTAAATGGATAGAGAATACTGGATGGAATATGCCATACAGATGTGTATATCAGTTATGTTGCCGGTACAATTAAGCAGTAGAAGAAAAAACAGTGAAATATAAGGCATGGTTTTCACTGAAGGAAATGTTGTTGCTTTGGGTTACAATACAGTGAAGAGGTAAAAGGGAAGGTTCTGATTTAGTGAAAGTTCAGTCAATAAGAACAAATAATATTTGATATCTAGAATAAAGTCTGATACATTCTGGTTAATATTTTTTTAAGTTACAGATGCAAACACTAGGTCAAAGGAGGATTTTTGCTTCTCTGAAGTTACTAACCTATGGAGAGCTGAGTCTATTTCTTTTTCTTCTTTTCTACTTTTATTTTAATGTCAGAGAGCACATGTGAAGGTTTGTTACATGGGTAATGGTGTGTCATTGAGGCTTGAGGAATGAGTGATCCCATCAACAAGGTAGTGAGCATAGTACCTGATAGGTAGCTTTATAACCCATGCTCCCTCTAAACCTTCTTCTTAAGCGGTCCCCATTGTCTATTGCTCCCATCTTTGTGCCATGTGTAGTCAATGTTTGGCTCCCACTTATAAGTGAGAGCATGGAGTATTTGGTTTTTCATTCCTGCAGTAGTTCACTTAGGATAATGGCCTCCAACTGCATCCATGTTACTGCAAAGGATATGTATTCATTCTTTTTTATGAATTGTATTCCATGGTTTATATGATTTTATTTTACAGTTCTTTGGTGATGGGCATCTTGGTTGATCTTATATCTTTGCTGTTGTGAATAGTGCTGCAATGAACATACAAACGCATGTGTCTTTTTGGTAAGATGATTTATTTTTCTTTGGGCATTTTATTTATTTTCCATGGCTTTTTGGTTGACAAGCTTTTTATTATTGATTCAATTTCAGAAGTTGTTATTGGTCTACTCAGGGTTTTAATTTCTTCCTTGTTCACTCTTGGAAAGCTGTGTGTTTTTAGAAATTTATCCATTTCTTCTAGCTTTTCTGGTTTGTGTGAATAGAAGTGTTCATAATAGATAATAATTCTGTTATTTTAGAACAGGCAAAATTATGTAACCTAGAACAATAAATGCCTATGCAGTTCAAAAATGCACAAATAATAGAGGCTCAATATCTGAACATTAAATTTTCTTAAATGTACCCTTTTTAATAAAACTTATGCCTCTGTTTTTAATATTAAATGATCAGTAATTTATATAGTGTTTCAGGAAACAAAGGTATAAATATGTAAAAAATGTCTAATGGAAACTAGATCCTTGTATTAAAATGTATTTTCTGTATTTTTGCAGTCTAGATTAGTAACTTAGAACAATCTATAAGTTTGAACAAAATGCACAATATTTATAGTTTGTTGAAATAATACAGTGGAATTGTTAATAAAATTTTCACATTAATTCCTCTTTGGATATTATCTTTTTACCTAAATTGGTTAACATGAGGCAATTCCAATAAAAGAAAATGCCAAGAACATATTTGTAACTGAGGGAGCTATGAATAAAGTGAAAAGAGCAACTACAGTTTCCTTAAGGGCCTTTATCCACCCAAGAAAACCTGTTACGCTGGTTTGATAATTTTTTTAAAAAAAGAATTATGATATCTCTAATCTCTTATTAATTTAGCAAGCATAGATCTTTATTTAACTATGTTAACATTTCTGTAATTACCAAGAAGATTACAAATTCAAATACTGAAAGAGGAAGACATTATATGGAAGAGATGTCATTTTAAACAGATAAAAAAAGAAATGTTGACACTTTGGCACCTTTGCTGTTCTTAACAGAATAGAATGTGTGTGCGTGTGTGTGTGTGTGTGTCTGTGTGTGTGTATGTGTGTGTGTATCAAAGCAAGTTACAGATTTGGGCTAGGTAGGCACATTTTAGGAAAAACATATTTTATTGAATATATTTAAAAGCATCGATTGCTGTATATCCAAAGTAATAGGTACAAAATTACTCAACAATCTCAGAATATCTTAGAGATAAAATGTGATTTTTATGAAATTACCAAATGAAACAAGTGTTTATGATGGAAAATTGTATCTTGACTTGATTAATCTTTTAAAAGTTAACTGATAAAAGTGGCTGCCAAAAGGAACTAACAACTGCTCCTGGAAATGGTTTCTGGGATCTGTATTTATGAATTATAAATCAATTTATTTAATTAATGAATATTTCTGGATTTTCAAATCCTTTAATCCTCCAACATTTGGAATAAAATCAAATATAAGACTTTGTAGAAAATTTTCTGAAACGTATAAAAGTACCACCTCTGAGATGACCTCTCTGAAAAATAAGCATACTAATAAAAAAAATTGGACTGCCTTATTGTGTATGCCTCACAGGGTTACTTATAATGATAAACAAGATAAGCAAACAGCAGTAAGTGTTTTTGCCTGGACACACACTACCTTCTTATATGTTGTATATAGTTCATCAAAGTATTGATGGAGATTTTGTAAAGATTAAATGAAGGAATCAGTATACAATATATAAGAAGGAGGTATGTGGCAAAAAAAAAAGGTTGCTGTTGTTCACTTACATTGTTCATCATTGTAACTAATCCTGTGAGCCACACACAATGAGGCAGTCCAGTGGTTTCCTCTCTCATACTACAACAGTGGTACGCCTGGGTAATCTATGCCAGTTCAAGCTGTAGGATCATACAGGACTTATTTCACAGAGTTTTTACAGAATCAAGAGAAATGATACATAAAAAAACACATTAAATCTATAAAGAATTGTACAAATATAAAGTGTTGTGATTATTATCTAAATACTAGTTTTTATATGCCACCAGGGAAGAGTTGAAGCAGAAATCTTGACTGAATGTAATATATATATTATATATATATATACACACACATATATAAAATATACATATATTTACACACACATATATACACATATATGTATATATATACATATTATATATATGAAACATAGTTGTAGTAAATCGCAAGCTCATGAAGGAGAAAGGATCTTCTAAAACATACATAAGATGCGGTGACAGATTTAACTTGCACTAATACTGAATATATAAAGTGAATATCACGCCTCTGAGTTGTCTATAACTCTTCTGGTCCTATCATGATCTTCCATGTGCTAGCTAATGGTGAAAAAAAAATAACTTTCATATAACCTTTAGTTCAAGCTGATTTAAATCTTAATAAGATTCAGAAAATCAAATATTTTATTTCTTTTTAATAGTAATAACGTAACAGCTTGAATGTCAGATTTTCTGCCTTCCATCTCCCTTTCATATCTATTCCATAGACATGTCTGGCTGGGCAAGTGAAAGTGGGTGGCTTTCTCATAAGTTAGCAGGTCAGGGACTGATTGCAGTGTGTCTGACTCTCTCTGGCTTTCAAGACAGTGTCCCATTTCTTGCTGGCTAGAGCAGCATTTGTAACTGCTAAACAATCTGTATTTTGGGGATCAACTCTATCTCCTTGAAGACTCAGTTGTTCTCGGAATGTTCCAAGCTTCAGGCCCTAGAATCTGTGTCATTCCCGCAGTTCATCCAGCCTTTTACCTGGGAAGACATATCTCAAGTTTGCTATGCATAACCTTGTCCAATTCGGTACCATGCCGCATCTTAGTACCATGTGGGAAGGTCCTCTCTTCAGCTGCTCAACCTTTCACTTTTTCTACTGGGCTGGATTAAGCCATGTCTACAAAGTATCTCTGCGTAGTGGTTCCCTCCAAGAATACTAAATGAGAATCCCAAGCAAGATTCCACCTCACTTCCCTTATGTAAGAAAACTTTCCATTTCTACCAAGGCATGGAAAGGTTAAAATTTGAAGAAAAATATGATATTTCACTTCCGTGATTTCTTTTTGTTTATTTTTTCACAATTGTTTATGGTTGATTCCTTTTTTATTCTCCTCTTAAACAGCCTCTATCTACAATAAAAAGCAAATATCCAGGCTATGATGTTATAGATGAGAGGGTGTCCTCTCAATAGTAGGAAAAACGCTGTGAACTGAGACCTTTTTGACACACTAAATGAAGGAAATTATAGAAAACATTTTATCAAAACAACTCAACAGCCTTTCACATTTTCAAAACTCAAAACTCTTTGCATTTATTTTAGAAATATTTCTAATCCTCACCCCTATATAAACAAGAGCACAGTCTCTTTTTTTTCTATGTAAACTAATTCAGTAATGTCATAATCTTCAACCTCCTCCTGTCTTCTCAATCCAAGAAAGAAAAAAAAGACACAGACATCTAGGGCACACCAGAATGAAACTTTCGTTATCAGAAAGGTTAGCAAGAAAACTATCTTAATATTTTTAAAACCCCTTCCCTTACAGAGAACTTAGTCTTTAATCATTGTGCATACTATTGACTAAGAATATGGATATAATTTTGCATTAAGAAGCTGAAATAATATGTAATTTGAGAGAAACTTAAGAAAACTAAATATCATTTTTATATATTGCAGGGTTTTTTGTGCTGTCACTTAAAAAAAATTAAGAGAAAAACTCAGTTTAGATTAACTTGTGACTTCTTCCCATCAGACAATCTAACTTCTCAAAATAATATTGAATTCCCATAGCCATTCTAGAAAAACAGTGTACCGTCAATCCACGGATGGAAAACAATTTCAGAGAACCTGCTGCTTGGGTAGGTTATAAACATGAATCCTAAAATTGCTAGGAAATAGTCAATCTGTTGTAACAAAGGTAATGTTAATCTCTGCACAAATCATAATGTGTACTGATTCATCACTGGGCTACTTGCAGTCACGCAAATTATTGGAGATGAGAAGGTTTATGCTAACACCATAATGGCGAGGTAATTATAATAGAATTATGCTCAATGAGGAGAGTGACCTTTTCATGTTCACTATTGTTATGTTCAGCCCAAAGATTAAGGAGTATTAACCAAACACTGAATAAATGCTTTTTTTCCCCCCAGAGTGAGAATATAAATTATCATTTTGTTATACGTTCTCTATCATTGCTACGACAAGTTACCACAATTTTATTTATTATCTCACAGTTCTGTAAGTTGGAATTCTGACGAAGGTTTCACCAGGCTCAAATTAAGGCATCAGTAAGATCGTGTTTCTTTCCATGCTCTGAAGATGAATCTGCTTCCAGGTTCTTCGAGTGAGTTCCTGGCAGAATTCAGTCCTATGTGATGGTAGCACTCAGGTTTCCATTTCTTTGCCACTTGTCAGTCTGGGGTGATTCTCAACCTCCAGAGGCCACCCACTTACCTTACCTTCTTCTTTTAAGGCTATCTTTACAGGCGCATGGATGAGGCTGGAAACCATCATTCTCAGCAAACTAACACAGGAACAGAAAACCAAACACCGCATGTTCTCACTCATATGTGGAAGCTGAACAGTGAGAACACATGGACACAGGAAGGGGAACATCACACACTGGGGCCTGTTGAGGGGGTGGGGGGCTAGGGGAGGGATAACATTAGGAGAAATAACTAATGTAGATGATGGGTTGATGGGTACAGCAAACCACCATGGCACGTGTATACCTATGTAACAAACCTGCACATTCTGCACATCTATCCCAGAACTTAAAGTATAATTTAAAAAAAAACATGATAAACAAAATTTAAAAAAAAATCCCAGAGAATATTTGGGAAATACAAAAAAAAATGCTATCAATCGCTTGTCTTTTTCATGCTTTAAATCTCTCTGATCTTCTCTCCCTCCTTCTCTCTCCTCCTTTACACATCTGCCACATATCTCTAATGGGCCCTTTTGCATTCTTCTGTTACTTTTAAGGACTCAGATGATTACCCTGAGTTCACTTAGATCATTTAGAATAATCTCTCTATTTTGGGGGCAGCTGACTATAAATTCCAACCTCAATTCCATCTGCAAAGCTCCTTCTTAGCAATACCTAGATTATTGTTTGATTCAATGACCGTGGGACAGGGATTTGAGGAGGGGAAAATCTTTACATTTCTGCTTCCCACAATTTGCTTACTTGCCTTTTATTCTGTAATCAGCAAGTTTGTGAAATTCTAGGTGCCAGACACCTTTCACTTGTCACAATATAAGAATTACTAACTCGTGATTGTCAACTGCAAATAATAAAGTGCAGAGGTTAAGAGACACAAATAAACACTCTTTTCAATAAAATGTATTATAGAAACACTTGTGTATGGGTGTCAGTGGAACCGTGAGCCAACTAAACCTCTTTTCAGTGGCATAAGAAAATTTTATGGTAGTAGCAAGGTGGTGGTTCAACTCTCAGGAGGGTAGCAGAGAGCAAAAACTTTACAGAAAAGATATGATCTGATTATGCTAGAAGATCTTAGTTCAAAGTAGAAATAAGAGGAATTGAGATTCTAGGAAGAAGTAGGGTGCACAGCAGTGAGTTGTGTAAAAGCATACAACGTTCTAAAAATTGTGGGGAGACAATGGGGTATAGGTATGGCCAAAAGAAATAGTAGAATAGTTGAAAGACAAAATAAATTGCAAAAGTATTAATAGGTTGAAACAAATCTATAAATGCCTTGACTACTACTGCTAGGCGACACTAAGAACATAATGGAGATAAAAATCTAGAAAACCAGATATGTGAGTATGAGTGTGTATGTGTGTATTTAAGATAGCTGTAGAAGTTTAGTGCAATATAGGCTTGATAAGGGGACATAATGCTGAGAGATTTGAAAACTATAAGAAAATAATAATTTAGGTATTTTATTAATAGAACTTCTCACGGTACACTTTATATGCTCATGTAGTTTAACTCATTTTTATCTGTGAATGTCATAAATATAAATATAGGTTAAAGCAGAATCTAATTGATTCTTTGGACAGAGATTTTACTTTGGAGTCAGAATGGTTTCTTTATTTTCATACTGCTTTTTCCTTTTCCTTGTTCATGTTGGCTAGGCATATTTACTCCTTTTATATTTTAATCCTTATTCTATGCATTTACTTATGTTAACAGTATCAGATTTGGGAAGATAATTTAATTATGCACAGACATTTTCCCTCTTATTTCAGTATCAAAAATTTATTCAAATACGAAGTGGCACTGATTCAATGCATTATTACTGATGCAAGCAAAAGATTGTCAGCAGGTGAATTTGTGTTTATAATTCATGGTCGTGGGAAGAAAAAATAATCAAGTTTGGGAAAATGGATGCTAGCATAAAAAGCAGAATTTAAATATCTCTTTGTAGGTTCACAATTAAAATAGTTCTCCAAGGATATTACTTTATATGGACCCATGACAGTAACCATCCTACTGTAAATTTATTTGGTTCTTGCATGATAATACTGCAAACTCATCACTGCTGACCTCAGACAGCTTTCACAGATGTGCACCAACAAACACAGTCACAACACACTGGCCTTATTCCATATGCTACTGATAAAACGGCATACCATCTCAATAAGATTAAGGAAGAGAATAGTTATTTTTTAATGTAATATTGACTTTTTAAATATCTTTATGACCTTAGATGGTTTTGAGTTATTATATTTTGCATAAAAAAAGCATTTCTTTTTTTCTAATTTCTTTCACGGTACATGAACTGTCTTGTTGATTATACTGCATAGAAGAACAGCAACAACACAAACTAAAGAAAATGTACCATAAAATGTTGATATTCTTAAGAAATATTTTTAAAATACACACACTAAAAAGTCACCAAATGTTTGTTAAACTTATTTCAGTGTGTCCATTGTATTGTCACTTAATTTACTCAACAAACATTTATTGAGAGGTACTCTTCTATAAGCTGTGAATTCGGTGTTCAACAAATCAATGCATATACATTTCACATGGGTTGGGGCAAGCAATAAAGCAAATAAGAAAAAAGTATAGTAAATCATAGGATGATACATACATGGAGAGGATGAAAGATAAAGCAAAAAAATTGAATATAGATTGTCAAAAAATGGGGTATGGAGTGTGTGTGTGTGTGCGTGCGTGTGTTTGATGGGGTTGTGTGCAGAGGAACCTAAGAACACTACAATTATAAATGGTGAAGGCTTTCCTGAGTTCCTGACCTATGGGTAAGACCTGAACGTATGAAGATGAGCCTTGTGGATTTCTGGGAATGAGCATTCCTAGAAAAGGGAAAGCAATTGCAAAACCCTAATTTTAGAAGACAGTAGTATGGTGGTAAACAGACTCTAAAACATTAAAAAGCCACGATTTTTAGTGTTTGTTAATTTCTATTTTGTAAATATTCACACCATGACTAATTTTCAAGATACTGACATAATACTGCAGGACGCTGAGTTGGAATGACATGTACACAGTTGGAATGAGAGCTTGTTCCAGTGGCCCCAGCTCACCACTGGAAGAGAGTAATAGGATTTGAATTTGAGGAGGTAAGGACCAGATGGGGATGAGATAATATAGAGGCTTCTAAGTCATTAAAGGCTCTGAGTTTTTCTCTGTGGAAATTAGGAAATTATTGGATGGTTTAAACTCTACTTAACTCACACAGAATATAATATAAAACTATAGGAGTTATTAATTCCCCAATTAGAATTTACAAAATATTCCTTCCTTATTAAATCAAAAGTACTCATTAAAATTAAACAAATTTCAAGTTTACAGTTTTAAACATCACATGGAGAGCCAGATTAAATGGTGAGTCAATTAGGGAAAAATCTACAGACAGCACACAAGGTGCCATTTAGCTTGTTTGTTAATTGATGAAATCTAGAACTACTCATTTTCACCTTCCTGGTCACCAATACATTTACATTGAATTAATATTTAAATGCTATAGGATCAGAGGAGCACCAACTTTTTAGCTTGTTTACCATGGTCAGAAAATGTGTTGTGCTGAAAATCATCTACATATTATTGATAGCTCCCTCTCCTTTTCCAAGAGTGTTCATCTGAAAACTTAGTATTTCATCAAGCCCACTTTTCTTATTATACTCTGCCAAACATCCCTCACTATTTGACAGTGATAGCAAAGACCACCATCCAATATGAATAACATCACCTTATCTCCTCATGTAAAAAAAAGGAGTCTATATTAGTTAACCATTCTCACAAGACCCCTTAGGATCTCAAGGGAAAGTGGTCACTTTTTCCCAAGGACAAGTCTTCTACTTGTGCTCTACTTTCCTCTCCTTACCATTTGTCCAGATACTTTCTTCCATCACCTAGTTTATCAGTCCACCCATCAACAGGATCTATAATGAACATCATCAAATCACTGCAATATTGACAGAGATTCTTCTCCATGTTCCATAGAGCTAAAGCACTCTCTTTCTCTTCATGAAAAAGCTCCCAATGTGAAAATAGAGGTTGATATGGTTTAGATCTGTGTCCCTACCCAACTTTCATGTCAAATTGTAATCACCAGTATCAAAGGTAGGTCCTGGTAGGAGGTGATTGGATGGCGGTGATTCCCCCTCGGTGCTGCTCTCATAATAGTGAGTGAGTGCCCATCAGATCTGGTTGCTTAAGGCACCTTGCCTGTTTCTCTCTTCCTCCTGCTCTAGCCATGTGAAGATGGGCCTGCTTTCCCTTTATCTTCCACTATGATTGTAAGTTTCCTGAGCCCTTCCCAGGTATTCTTCCTGTACAGCCTGTGGAACCATGAGCCAATTAAACCTCTTTTTCTTATAAATTAACCGTTCTCAGCCACTTCTTTATAACAGCGTGAGAACAGACTAATTCCGAGGTTTTGATTTTGCTATGTATCATTCATAGATCATTATCCCACTGCCATCTGTCTTCCAACCCACTAGCTCATTTAATTCACTAATTGAAGTCATCAAGCATTTCTTAAATCTCAGATCCGTTGGGAAATTTTTGGTTGTTATATGACCACTTTGTGATATTTAATCCACTTGACAGCCTCATATCTTCTAATTTATTTCCTGATAATCACTGATATATATTTCTTTTCCTTCCTTTCTGATAGTGTTTTTCCTGCTTATGTTTCTATCCCTTTTCTCAACCCTTCACTAGGGTTATTTTCTTTCTGTCTTATCCTTTCCATGGTGTACAATCTCTTGATATATTCAGTATTTATCTATACGCTTGTCTAAATATCTAATTGATATATAGCTTGTCTAAATAGCTAATTGGTACATTTCATCCTGATGTCTTCTATATTTTCCAGAACCTTATTTCTAACAGCTTTAACCACATGCCTATTTAAAAGTCCAGTTAAAAAAAAAAAACTAAACTAAACTAAATTTAAAATACTTTTCTCAAATCTATTCTTCCATCTGTGCTTCTAATTTGGGCCAATGGTTCAAGCATTCATTTAGTGTTAAAGAATTAAATTGTTGAATATATTCTAAAATGCTCCCTATGTCTATTTGATAGACCAAATCACTAATGAAGTATTTTCATTTCTATCTCTTATGTTTAAAATCTATTCTTGTTTCTCAACATCTGACTTTGCCTTTATTAAAACCAATCTTTTACCCACCTAGGTGAATAAAATAAATACTTCACTAGATATAATGGCATCTTTGGTTATTTTTTTCTATTTCCAATTTATCCACCACTTTCCAATATACACACTTCATCAAATTTCCCAAAATGACTAATATGCCTAATATAAAATAAATAAATGCATTTTTAAAAAGTAAATTATTTTGCTTAGTATACATCATTCCTTTTGATATGGTCCCAATCTCTTGTGTGTCAGCTATTGTCTCTTTTCCACACCTTCATTTTTAGAAATAGAATTCCCTATATTTCTGAAAGGCAATCTTTTATAGGTATTTTTACTTGCTCTTCCCTCTGTCTAGACACCATATTCTTTCTCCACCTACATTACTAATTCTTTTTAACCTGTGAAAACAAAGGCTTTCTTTCCAAATGAAAAAATACGTATAAAGGTGCTTGAGTATCTACTTAACAAATCCAAACAAAAGACTACTAGTATTTAAAATAAGGGAAACTCAGAATCAGTACTTTATATAAGGAAAATGCTGGAGAATTTAAAAACGTATTTAAGAAAGTAAATGTAATTAATTTTAACCTACAGAATAAAAGAAACAAAAGCAATAATCCAAATACAAAAGAACAAATGTTTTCTTAAATGAAGAGAAAAAGTGTGTCTATATTTCAAAGCACTTACGAAGACCCAGGTATTATTAACGTAAATGATTAATTCTTACAAAGATTTTGATTAAAATCTTGAACTTTAAAAAACAAACGTATGAAAAATAGAAACATTTAGATAGGATAAATACATGAATCTACTAATATAGCCCCAAACAGGTAACCTTAGGTAACAGGTAACTTATTCTGAGTATATTTACAAAAAAATGCATTGTTAAATATAAAGTTGAGTCTAATATGGTACTAGAAAAATGATATATTATGTATAAATGATGCTAAGATAATTATTTAAATATGTGAAAACCACTTTTTTATTTATATCAAACACCAGAAAAAATAACAGCATTATTTTAAAATATTATAAAATTCATTGAATAAAATCTTAGAAAAAATGAAAACATAAGTGAATATCATAATATACTAACTGAAAATAATGTATGCAACGCTCATGTGCAAAATTCAAAAGAGAAATGTTGATGAGTTTGACCAAATACAAATTAATGACATTTACATGATAAAAGTAAACAAAATCAAGAGGTAAATGAAAATATTAAAGAAAAAAATGCAACATGTGAAGCGGTTTGTTAATATACTTAATATCTAAAGAACAATTTACAAATCATAAAAAGAACAGTATCTTACAATATAAAATTGGGCACAGTTTACATTAAAAAAGATATTTCAAGAGAGCAAGATAAAATAATTTTAACAGAAATAAGGAAACTGTAAGAGGTTTCATTCCCCACGTTTCATTTTATTGTTGTAACTGCTATAGTGGGCTCATAGTACATTTTACAATGACAATAAAAGATTACTAGTGGTTCCTTGTGCCAATGGTTTTGATGGCACAAAAGATTAGATCATCTTCATTGATCTAACAGTCATGACCTAAATTTGTTTTCATTTGTTCAGCAAAGCTAACGGTTATGTAACTGAAGTACTGAAATTTTAAAAGCAGCATATACAAAACAGTATGCCCAAATATAATATGAATTATTTTATTAACCATTTTATCCTTCATAACTCTTGAACAAGATGTATATATGTAGGCACAGGGTATGTTTTAAAATAATAGAGAAAACAAGGCTGTGAAAAGAAAGTTAATTTTCAGAATCTTGACAAAACAACTAAATTGATATAAAAATTTCTACAGATATAAAAGGTATCAATAGGTACAAGAAACAAGAATCTTATTTGAAAATGCATTAGTACTTGGTTACTGTGGCAGGTTAAGGAATGGCTCCATGAATGCCCATGCCATTAATCTCCGGAAACTAATTGCAGGAACCTCTGAATATGATATCTTACATGACAAAGGAAATTTTGTAGATGTGATTAGAAATTTTGAGATTCAAACATTATCCAAGTGGGCCCAATGTAATTACAAATTACTCTAAGAAAATGCAGGAAGGTCACAGTTAAGAAATGGTGGGAGGATAGAGACAAAAGTCAAAATGGTGAGAATATGCTATACTGTTGGCCTTGAAGATGGAGGAAGGGGCCATAAATCAGTGAATATGATGACCTCTAAAACTTGGAAAAGCTCTGAGACTCCTTTCAGAGCCTCCAGAAGAAACAAATCCTGCCAATCCCTTGACTTTAGCCTAGTGAGAATGATGTTGGACTTTTGATCTTGGAAATATAATTTGTGTTGTTTTAATCCAGTAAAATGTGGTAAATTGTAACAGAAGCAATAGAAAATTATAGAATCATAATCTTTTTTTGTTGAAATCAGGATATAATTTCAAAATCAGAGAACAAACCATGATTATTTATTTAAGTTGTTTTGAATGTGAAGGAGATTTTTTATAAAAGCATGTTTTGGGATGTGGGGGAGCCTATTTGTAAGGAACATGGCTATGCTGCAGCCAGGAAGGCAGAGGCTGAGGTAAACACCCTGCATGACTCAGCAGGATTGGAACACAGGTGCACAATTCCATGTGTTATATAATCACAGCTATGTAGCCATAACATGGGGAGACTCATCACCTGGCTCTGAGCCACTATTGTTTGTGAGGTGTGTAAATGCAGCACTGACACTGTGAGAGAGCTGCTGAATAAAGCCATGTTGGATCTACCTCCTGTCTTTCGAGTGTTCTGGAAGAACACTTGCAGCTCCCTGCCCCCCATCCACCCACTCCCCTCAGACCTCATCTGGGGCTCGAACCTGACATTTGGCATAGTTGGCAGGATGAGGTGAGTGGGTATTCAGCACCTGAGGCTCCTGGGTTGGCTATGTGGCTGCAGAACGGACTGTGGTACTCAGTGGCAGTAGTGCTGTTAAGATGGGCCCCAGTGGAAGCATGGGAGGCAATGGTCTGATCTCCCTCAAGGGTGGAGAAAGCACCGAAGCACCTGGAAGCATACAGCACCAAGAAGGAATGCGTCTTTGCCTCCAGAGTTGGATGGGTGTTTCTAACTGCAGTTCAGGAAGTACATGTTCAGTACTGCACAGGTAAGGGACCTCCAGGTGCAAGCTGTGCTCCTGGGGGCCCAAATGCACAGCTTAGAGCAAAACCTGGGGGTAAGGGAACACCAGCCACAAACAGGACACTTAGAGGCCCAGATAAACAGCCTGGAACAGGAGTTAGAGACTGTCATCAGTGTGATCTTGAGCCCATCCTCCCAGCCAGAAACTCCTGTTCAGTCTGATGATGAGGAGGAGGAGGTTCCTCCACTGTGGGCTCACCCTGTGATCCTTCAGAAGGTAGAGCAAAAAAGCCATTGGGCCCGAAGGGTGGGCCCAGGGACCCCCTCCCATAGTAGAGCACACTTCATATAGTGCCTACACTCCCACTGAGTCATGGGAGTTAGGCAAGCAGTGTAGGCAGTGTCTAGGGGAGCCCCTCCCCACCTGAATGCTTTGTCTCTGGGACAAAGTTGTGGATGCATTTTCTGCTCAGCCTCCAAGATGGAAAAGCTGGCTTTAATGACAGTGTAGACTGATGCCTGTGAAGTACCAGAAACTGTCAGTAGATGACAGTTGTGTACAGACTTGGTGCAAGTGATTCGGGAGAAGGATAATGCTGAGTGACCCAGTCCCTCCCAGGCACTTCAGTTCAAAGACACTTGCTGCAGCCAGGCAGGTGTGTAAAGATTTTACTGTCTAATTAGGGAACTGGCTGAAGTGCCTGGCACAGGGGGACACCAGACAACCAAAGGCCACATGTGACTTGGCAATCCACTGATCCCTGATCCCAGATAAGTTTCTAGGAAAGGATACATAGGCAGTTCTGAAGACCGGTCAGTGAAAGTAAAACCTGTATCTTTGCACTTTGACATCGGCTGCTTAGCTCTCCACTTATGCACTGTGTATGTCTCTCCCATACCTGAATACATTCTGGGGGTGGATGTTTTACACAGCTTGGCAGCTGTGTTGTCTGTCATGGATTTGACGGACTGCTTGACAAAGGAATGGGGACAGTACCACTATATATCGGACTTGGCTAATGCATTCTTCTCAATCGACATCACTCCGGGAAGCCAGGAACAGTTTGCCTTAATGGGAGGGCAACAATGGATTTTCATAGTGTTGCCACAGGGCTATGTGCATAGCCCCATCATATGTCATAGTCTTGTTGATATTACATTAACCTCTAATTCTCTTGCAGATTTAGAAGCAGCAACACCCCTCTTGCCTGGGATTAGGATGATGCAGCTAAGACCACCTTCCTGGCAGCCAAGCAGGCTATTCAGCAGGCACAAGCCCTATGGGTGATTAATCAGAGGCACCCATTTAAACTTAATGTACATGTGACCACCGATAGTTTTGACTAGGGCCTATAGTGGTGCATAGAGTGCTTTAGAATGCCAGTAGGCTTTTGGTTCCAACCTTGGAAGGGAGCTGAGCTCTGGTATTCATTATTAAAAAGCAGTTAGCTGCTGTATATGCTGTCCTTCAGGTCTGTGAGAGAATGATGGGACAGGCTATAGTAGTCATACGGACAACTTACCCAGTAGAGGGGTGGGTACACTCATGGGTAACAACTCCCTGCACTGGGATGGCACAGATATCCACTTTAGCAAAGTGGGGTGCCTACTTGGAACAGCAAAGTATACTGAGTACAAGTCCCTTAGCAACAGAGGTACAAGAGGTCTTGGGGCTTGTAGTCCTAATGCAAGATAAGGCCATGGGGCCTGAGGCACCCCTAGACCCTGAGCCCTCACCATTTAAAAAAGGGTGCCCCCCAATTCTTGGTGGGGAATGGTATATGGATGGGGCCAGCTGGGGTGCTACTACTGCCTGGACTGCTATCATCGTCTAGCCTAGTACTGACGCTATATGGTTTGATACCAGGTGTGGATAAAGTGGCTAATGAGCTGAACTCAGGGCAATGTAAATGGTGATCGCCAAGAAGGTGATACCTATAGTAATCTTCACCAATAGCTAGGCAGTTTATTGAGGCTTAACCTTTTGGTTAACTATCTGAAAGTTACAGAATTGATGAATGAGTCACTGGCCCATATAAGGCCAAGCCATATGGCAAGACCTATGGAAGGAAACATGTCCGTCTCCGACCAGGTATGGGGATGAATGATAATCTGTTGTTGCCTGCCCCAACTCCCCTGAAGGCAAGAGAACAGAAAGCCTGGTGTTGGCCATGGACCCTCCAAGCCCCTCACTGCAGGTGATTGGCTATCATAGCCCCCTGGGGGGAGGGCCTGCAGTATTACTTACATGTTACTCCTTGGGTATTTAATGTGTGACCTCCATGATGGGCCATTCCTAAGGGAACGGCCAGGGAAGGGACCCTCCTCCAGGGAACATATGTATTGTCTGTGTGGCCTATCATGAGCTCCCCTGTGACTCTGGCACAGGTACAGGACCCAAAAGAACCATGGGGAGCTGATAAGGTGTGGTACCATCGCCCAGGGCAGAAGCCCTTAGCAGCTGCATTGTTATCCAGAGACAAAAAGTTGGCCTGTATTTTGCCTGAGGAACGTAATTTATCCCTGTTAGTACTCGTGCCCGCTTTGGCGTTTCGGCCATAGTTTGGCATGCTCCTACAGCACCATGGACTAGGCCCACACCTATGCTGAGCTGACCAATGTCTCCAACTGCTGGATGTGCACCCTCCTTCCAGCAGCAGCTGTGGATGGCTTGCCCTGGGGTTCTGTGAAGAATTGGATGTGGCTAGAGACTTGGGGTCCCATGGACAATGCTTGGGGTGCAACATGCAAGCTTTGGATAAGAGGGTTGCAAAACCTACGGCATGCCTGCCCCCTGGCTGGCCCATAGTGTCCGGGATGGATGGGGCTGGCTAATGGGAGAACAAATGTACCATGATGTATAGAGCAACACTGGGGTAGTGTCACTGTGGGATGGTTGCCTGATGTGGCCTGTACAAACACTTAGAAAGCAATTTTGACTAATTGCTGGAGTCTTAGAGTGAGTTAATTTAAGAGTGAAGAATGCCTGGGGTCCCCATTTTAGGGGGCTCTCCATACCTACAAGAGCCCCACTAAGATGTCACAGTCAAGATGTAAGAAAAACCCCCTCTGGTTTCAGACAATACCGGGAATAGAAACCATTTTGAAACATGCCCAGAGTGTTCTTCACAGCAAAAGCCAACCCTTTAAGGGAAACTACTTTAGCGGAGCCTTATGTGACCAAGGAAGGGGCTATGAAAACAGTCTCAGCTCCCTCTAAACTTCCACTTCCATAGGAGAGGGGAAGGTCACATCTCCATGATCCAGAGCCACTAAAGAAAAAAAAAATCTAAAATCAAGAAAACAAACTCTCATCTCATGAAACTACACAATGAAGAGCAATATAAGAGTAAAGCAAGTAGGAAAAAAATGTTAAAAATAACAGCATGTATCAATATAATTAAAAACAGATAAACAATTGAGAAAAATCAACAAAACCTAAAGCTGGTTCTTTGAACATATCAATAAAAGTTGTAAATCTAAGCCAGGATAACAAAAAACACAGAAAAAGAGAAAGAGGTGTGAAAACATTATTGACTAATTCCAGAAATGAAAGGGGTCATCATTATGAATCCCAAGGAAATGAAAGGGATAATAAAGGAATATTATGAGAGTCCTGTGGCTGCAAATTTAATAATTTGATAAGTTAGATAAAAAGGACCAATTTCTTTTTTTTTCTTTTCTTTTTTTTTGAGACGGAATCTCACTCTGTCACCAGGCTGGAGTGCAGTGGCAGGATCTCAGCTCACTGCAACCTCTGCCTCCTGGGTTCAAGCGATTCTCCTGCCTCAGCCTCCCGAGTAGCTGGGACTACAGGCGCTTGCCACCATGCCCAGCTAATTTTTGCATTTTTTGTAGAGATGGGGTTTCACCACATTGGCCAGGATGGTCTCGATCTCTTGACCTCATGATCCACCTGCCTCAGCCTCCCAAAGTGCTGAGATTACGGGCGTGAGCCACTGCATCCAGTGCAAGGACCAATTTCTTAAAAACACAAACTACAAAAAGTCCTGTAAAGAACAGAGCCCTCAGAAATAATGCCACATATCTACAACTATCTGATCTTTGACAAACCTGACAAAAACAAGAAATGGGGAAAGGATTCCCTATTTAGTAAATGGTGCTGGGAAAACTGGCTAGCCATATATAGAAAGCTAAAACTGGACCCTTCCTTACACCTTATACAAAAATTAATTCAAGATGGATTAAAGACTTAAATGTTAGACCTAAAACCATAAAAACCCTAGAAGAAAACCTAGGCAATACCATTCAGGACATAGGCATGGGCAAGGACTTCATTTCCAAAACACCAAAAGCAATGGCAACAAAAGCCAAAATTGACAAATGGGATCTAATTAAACTAAAGAGCTTCTACACAGCAAAAGAAACTACCATCAAAGTGAACAGGCCACCAACCTACAGAATGGGAGAAAATTTTTGCAATATATTCACCTGACGAAGTGCTAATATCCAGAATCTACAATGAACTCAAACAAATTTACAAGAAAAAAAAAACAACCCCATCAAAAAGTGGCCAAAGGATATGAACAGACACTTCTCAAAAGACGACATTTATGCAGCCAAAAGACACGTGAAAAAATGCTCATCGTCACTGGCCATCAGAGAAATGCAAATCAAAACCACAATGAGATACCATCTCACACCAGTTAGAATGGCAATCATTAAAAAGTCAGGAAACAACAGGTGCTGGAGAGGATGTGGAGAAATAGGAACACTTTTACACTGTTGGTGGGACTCTAAACTAGTTCAACCATTGTGGAAGTCAGTGTGGCGATTCCTCAGGGATCTAGAATTAGAAATACCATTTGACCCAGCCATCCCATTACTGGGTATATACCCAAAGGATTATAAATCATGCTGCTATAAAGACACATGCACACGTATGTTTATTGCGGCACTATTCACAATAGCAAAGACTTGGAACCAATCCAAATGTCCAACAGTGATAGACTGGATTAAGAAAATGTGGCACATATACACCACGGAATACTATGCAGCCATAAAAAAGGATGAGTTCATGTCCTTTGTAGGGACATGGATGAAGCTGGAAACCATCATTCTTAGCAAACTATTGCAAGGACAAAAAACCAAACACTGCATGTTCTCACTCATAGGTGGGAATTGAACATTGAGAACACATGGACACGGGAAGGGGAATATCATACACCGGAGCCTGTTGTGGGGTGGGGGAAGCGGGGAGGGATAGCATTAGGAGATATACCTAATGTTAAACGACGAGTTAATGGGTGCAGCACACCAACACGGCACATGTATACATATGTAACAAACCTGCACGTTGTGCACATGTACCCTAAAACTTAAAGTATAATTAAAAAAAAAAAGAAAAAAGAAAAATCCATAATTTCTACTGGCCTAAAAGTATCAATGAAATTGAATCAATGATTCATAACTTTCCAAAACAGGAAGCACCAGGCCCAGATGGCTTCTGGTTAATTCTATAAAACGTTCAAGAATAAAAGCCATAAATTCACTACAATCACACTAAGAAAATAGAAGCAAAGGGAATACTTCATAAAATGCTCTATGAAACTAGCATTATCTTAAAACAAAATGAGAATTAAGACATAAAAAGAAAGAAAATCAGCAAACCAACATCCCTCATGAACATACATGTGAAAGTCTTTAATAGAATATTAGCAAATGAAATCCAACAAGGTATATAAAGACCAAGTGGGATTTCTTCCTGGTATGCAATTTATGATTTAAAATCAACTATATTAATTCAACGCAGCAATAGTCTAAAGAAGAAAAATCAGATAATCATATAAACAGATGCAGAAAATAATTGATAAAATTTGGTACACATTTATAATAAAACCCTCACCAAACTAACAATGAAAGGGAACTTCATCATAATTACACCTACCAAAAAAAACTCTACAGATTACATCATACTAATGTTGAAAAACTAGATGATTTCTCACTAACATCAGGAATAAGGCAAGGATGTTTGCTGTTATCATTCCTATTCAACATTATCTTAGAAGACCTAGAAAATCCGATAAGAAAAGAAAAAATAAATGCTACACATACAGATTCAGAAGAACAAAATAAAAATGGGTTTTTCCCCCAGGATGGCATACCAGTCGGTATATGTAGAAAACGCCAAGAAATCAACAACAAAACATTGAAACTAAAAGCAATTACAGCAAGATCACAGGATAAAAGGCCAATGTAAAAATGTCCATTTGTTTCCTTTATACCAGAAATAAAAATTTGACATTTGAAATTAAAACATGAAACAATTTTACACTAGCAACAAAATGAAATACGTAGGTAGAAATCTAAGCCAACCTGTACAGGACTTATACACAGAAAATTACAAAATTCTGATGAAAGTTATCATATAAAATATCTAAATAAATTGAGAGATATTCTATGTTTATGCCTTGGAAGACAATATTGTTCACATGTCAGTTCTTCTAAAACTGATCAATAGATTTAATGCAATCTCTAAAATCCTAGCAAGTTATCTTGTAAATATTAAAAAAACTGATTCAAAAGTTTATATGGAGGCCAGGCGTGGTGGCTCACATGCCTGTAATCCCAGAACCTTGGGAGGCCGAGGTAGGCGGATTGCTTGAGCCCATGCGTTCAAGACCAGCCTGAGCAATCTAGTGAAACCTCCTCCCTACTAAAAATAGAAAAATTATCTGGGCATTGTGGTACACACCTGTGGTCCCAGCTACTCCAGAGGCCGAGGCAGGAGAATTTCTTGAACCTGGAGGTGGAGGTTGCAGTGAGCCAAGATCGTACCACTACACTCAGCACTCCAGCCTGGGTGACAGAGTGAGACTCTTTCTCAAAACAAACAAACAAACAAACAAACAAAAAGTTTATAAGAATAGCTAATCAATACCCAGAGGAACTTTGGAAACTATGCACATACAAGGACATTAAACAAAATGCTCCTGAAAAACCTTTGTGTAATTAAGAAATTAAGACAGAAATTTTAAACAACTTTGAAACAAATGAATATGGAAACATGACATAACAAAAACCTCTGGGATAAGACAAAAACAGTGCTAAAAAGGAAGTTTTATAGCATTAAATGTGTACATCAAAAAATAGATCACAAATTAACAACCTAACATTGCTCTTCAAGCAACCTGAAAAATAAGAACAAATGAAACTCTAAGCTGGCAAAAGAAACCACAACAACCATAAGAACAGAAATAAATGAAATAAACACCAAAAAACAATACATAGGATTAGCAAATTGAAAGACTGGTTCTCAAAAGGATAAACAAAATTGATAAACCATTAGCTAGACTAACTTGAGAAGAAGAGAGAAGTTACAAATAATCAAAATCAGAAATGAAAATAAAAACATTACAACTGATACCACAGAAATCAGAGTCTATAATGAACAACTATATGCTCACAAAGTAGAAAACCTAGAGGAAATACAGAAATTCCTGGAACCACAGAACCTCCCAAGGTTGAACCAGAAACAATTAAAGATCATTAACAGACCAATAACGAGTAGTGATATTGAATCAGTAATAATAATAATTCCAAAAAACTCCAAGAAATCAACGACAAAACACTGGAGCTAAAAGCAATTACAGGAAGGTCACAGGATAAAAAGCCAACATACAAATGCCCATTTCTTTCCTTTATACCAGCAATGCTACATTAATTAAGACAGTGAAAGAATAGGCAAATCAATTGAACAGAATAGAGTTCACCAAATTCTAGTAAAATACAGTCACCTGAGCTTTAACAAAAGAGCAAAATAATTCACTGGTGACAACATTCCTTTTTCAACAAGTAGTGCTGAAACAACTGGACATTCATATGCAAAACACCACCTACAAAAACTCAAAAGGAACCATAAACCTCCATGAAAAACGCAAAAATACAAAATATCTAGGAGATAACATGAAAGAAAACCTAAATAACCTTGGTTTTGGCATTTGGTTTTAGATGCAATGTCAAAAGCACAAGCTGTAGAAAAAAATGATGTACTTTATAAATATTAAAAACTTCTCTGCAAAAACACTATTAGGAAAACAAAAAATATTTTATGAATTAAAATATTTGCAAAACATATATCTGATGAGGGACATATATCCAAAATATGCAAAGAACTCTTACACAATGATTAAACCAATGAACAACAACAGTTAATCAACGCTTAAATCTATGATTAGGAAAAACTCAATTTAAAAATGGAAAAAAAACCTGAATAGACACCCACCAAAAAACATAGATTGTAAATATACATATGAAAAGGTATTTAACATCATATATCATTAGGGAATTGTAAATTAAAACAAAAATTGATACTACTACACTCTTATTTGATTGGTAATACATATTTTAAAAATACTGAAAAAACCAAATGCTGACGTGAATGTGGAGCAACAGGAACTCTCTTTGAGTTCTGGTGTGTAAGAAGGCTTTATAGGGTAGTGAAACTATTCTGTACAATACTGTAATGGTAGATACATCATGCCATGCATTTGTCAAAATCCATAGTGGTACAGCACAAATGTGAACTTTACTGTAATCTGTTGACTTTAGTTAAAAATAATGTGTCCCTCTTGTTTCATTAATTGTAGCAAATATACTATAGTAATGCAAGATGTTAGTAATAGGCAAACTGTATGCAGGAGATGATATATGGGAACTCTCTCTGTATTGCCTGCTCAAATTTTCTGTAGATCCAAAACTGCTTCGATTTAGTTAGGAACAGTATTATAATTAGAAAAATAAGTAATTTTCTGGACCCCTTTACATTTATCTTTTACGGTAAACAATGTTTCCACTAATTAATTATTTCACAGTATCACTGCCAGAATTTTGGTAGCAGAAAGTTTTCTCCCGTTTTAATGTACTTGTGAATGCTTTACATTTAGATTTTTAAAGCATCTTACAAGTGACTGCAATTGTGGGATGCTCGACTTTCTCTATTGCCTGTTCTTCCATTTTTTAATCTAGTAATGTGAAATCTTAGCCTTGTCTGCAACAGGATCAGTTTTGCTCAGTGGATTACACTAATGCAATTCTGGCTCCTACTTATTAGGACAAATCAAAGAAAATGAGCCTAAGTACAAATTCCAAAATATGTGATTGGCCTGATTTGTGACAACGTGTACCCAGCTTAAGCTCACTAAGCTTTATAAGGACCCTATCTACAAACGGCAGTTGTTCAATCAATTAGGTGCAGCTGCAGCACCTGACCAGATTTCTAAACAAGGCTTCGTCTTTTAGCAAAGCAGGCAGACTCCTTGGTGTTTCAGGGACTTGTCTTTGGAAGTGAATGTGGCAGCAGCATTGAGGTAGTGAATTTAACTGAGAAACTGAGGCCAAGCTGGGGAAAATGGAAACAGAAAAATCCTCTGAAGACAAAGCAGCTAGAACCATACCATGTTTGGGATTAAAAGAGAATTGAGATACTAGAATTCTTTGGACGTGTTTTATTGGTTTGTTTCCTTGTAATTATTGGTGGCTGTAAGAAAATTGATCTTAATTAAAAAATTTTTACGAAAGTCAAGTATTATTACACCACAAAATGTGGAAAGCTAAGTTTTGCTATAAAGTGCAAAAACAAGAATCCATTAACAAATGAACATAAACTGAATGCAGATGGGCAGTTACCAATTCTCTGTTTCAGGAAAAACCTCTCCTAAAGCACATTAGATATGAGGGTACTCAAGGATAACAAGCTATAAACATGTAGACATTATTTATATTTCAATACAAGTACAACCTTAAAACTCTTAACAACATATTAATGCCATTTATTTTTGTTTGGAAAAAAATCACATCTGAGAATCCTTTAAACAAAAAGTATGCCCCCAGGTACAGCTGTCATTTTCTTCATTTTATACAATGAAAGGAAAGCAGAAGCTTATTTATCAACCAAAATGGTAATAATGGCAAATGGATAACTGTGATGAACTTCTCATTCCAGGAGTGAATTATCTAAAAAATGATTTCTAATCAGACTGCCTTCAGAGACCATAAGTGAGCATCATGATAGACTCTAGAGAGATGAACATTTTAAAAAGTGATCTAGTTTGGATATGTGTCCTCACACAAATCTCGTGTTGAACTGTAATCCTCAGTATTGGAGGTGGGGCCTGGTGGAAGGTAATTGGATCATGTGGTTGGATTTCTCATAAATGGTTTAGCCCCATCCCCTTGGTGCTGTCCTCCTGACAGTGAATTATTTCTCCTGAGATCTGGCTGTTTGTAAGCATGTAGCAGCCAGGGGGCAGTGGCTCATGCCTGTAATTCCAGCACTTTGGGAGGCTGAGGTGGGCAGATCACTTGAGGTTAGGAGTTCAAGACAAGCCTGGCCAATGTAGTGAAACCCCATTTCTATAAAAATACAAAAATTAGCTGGGCATGGTGGCATATGCCTGTAATCCCAGCTACTCAGGAGGCTGAGGCAGGAGAATTGCTGGAACCCTGGAGGCAGAGGTTGCAGTGGGCCGAGATCACACCACTACACTCCAGCCTGGGAGACAGAGTGAGACTCTGTCTCAAAAAAATAAAAAAAAAAATTTAAAAAAAAGTGTGTGGCACCTTACTCTCTGTCTCTTGCTCCTCGCCCCTGATTTTGCCAGGTGATATATGCCTGCTCCCACTTTGCCTTCTGCTATAAATATAAGCTTCCTGAGGATGCCACTATGCTTCTTGTACAGCCTAAAGAACCGTGAGCCAATTACACCTCTTTTCTTTATAAATTACCCAGTCTCAAGTATTTCTTTATAGCAGTACAAGAATGGCCTAATACATCTCCAGCGATTTCAGAGGCTAAGGTGAAAGGATAGCTTGATGTCTGGAGTTGAGACTAGTGGGGGCAACAGAGGGAGACTCTGTCACTACAAAAAATAGGCAGACTAACAATTCCAGTCAATGCAACATAAATAACCTCTGAATAACACATGGATTCATAAAGCTTACATGTGTAGAATCTTTCCTGAGGTGAAAAGGAAAAGACAAAAAAAATAAGCATGTACTAAAAACTCTAAAAAATGTAATGCAGATTAAAACAGAATGAACTCAGAAGTTTTAAAAATATGCCTGTACAACTAGACTTGAAATCTGTTTTTCAAATTCTAAGATTAAATCAGAGCTTTCAGATTAATATCACCAATAAAAATGGATTATCATCAAAAGAAAATACAAAAATAACTGGAATTTTAATTGATATGATTAAGAAGGATTATATAATCTCTAGAGGGACATGAAAGGCAATCATAAAATCCAAGAAAAACTTAAAAACAAAAAGCTTAGATAAAGCAATGATGGTGAGAAACTTTTAGAATATTTGGAAAAAGATCTAATCTAACTTCGAACCTTAGAATTCTCTCCCCATTGCACAGAGGTATGGTTGCTTAGGACTGAATTTCTTTCCTATTTATTGCTTTAGGAAATAAAATGCTGCCTGAAAATAGCATAGTATTTTAGGTTGCTAGCTCTGTATTTAAATGGCCTGGACTTTTATTTCAAATCTGATATTTATTAAAAATGTGGCTTTGGCAGCTTCCTTAAATATTCAGTGGCTGTCTCCTTGTGGTTAAATGAGGATTAATCCAAGTTATCTAGAAAATAGAAATGGAAACAAAGTGAAAATGATAAGGGAATTAGGAAAATGAAATCTTAGATCGACTATGGTGAGGGAATAGGACAAATGAGGCATGAAAGGAATAAATACAAGAGTTGGCAAGATGAAAGTGGATCACAGCTTCTGAGAAAAACACAGCTAGTATTTTGGCTATGTGTGGGGTTGCCAATTAAAACACAAGACACTAAGTTCTTTTTGAATTAGATAAATGCCCAGTAAAAATAAATCTAGACTTAGTAAAGGAGATGGGTTTTTTTCCTTAAAAAGATGATTGCAATAGGGAAAATGCTCTAAACTCTGAAATCTGCAAGCATAGCAAGATCAATAAGAATTTTTTTTTCTTTATTTTAGTTGGGACAGGTTATCAGGGATAACAAAAAACTTTTAAGAGTAAATCTACGGAGATTGAGCAGACAGCATGGTTGCCATTGTATGATAGGAAATGTATGTCAATGTGGCCAGCCAATCTCTGGGATGAGCTGGTAAGCGGGGTACATTCTGCCTTTTAAGGCTTGCTCAGGCTTGTGGGCAAGCCAAAGTTCATGCGGCCCATGAGGCCCATGAGGAGGAAAAGTCTGACTCAAGCTTGGCTAAGACAGGGCAGAAGGTGAGAACTGGTTCATTGAAATCACTTGATTATAAACAATAAATACTGTGTGGACTTTGGTTGTTTTGGTTTGATTTTTGTGTGTGTGTAAGTTGTCCTATCCAATGTTTGGAATTTATTTACTTTAAAAAAATCATGTAGTACTTCTGGTTTGTGGCCCAGCATGCAAGGAGCTTCAAAGTCTTCACTTCATTCTAGCAACTGGTATAAAGCTGAAAGGCTGAAGAATCAACAATTCTTCCTAGCTCCATCAGTGAAATGAAGATGCAGGGCAAATGAGGGCACAGGGCAAGGTGATGCCCCCAAATTGGAGAGACAGACCACTGCATTGAGAGGATTATTACTTACCTGAGCAGAAATACCCATGGGAACCAGGGTTGGGTTAGGAAAATCAGAGCAGAAATTGAATTGTTGGCAGCTTACTGTGGACAAGACTCAGAGAGTTAAAACCCCCAGGAGAGCCTAGCTGAAATGGGCCTTACACTTTTGGTTTCACTTGCAGCAACTCTACCAGTTTCCCAAGGTAAATATCAAAGAAAAATTGTTATGTCTTCATCGGGGAAAAACCAAAGGCAATCATTGTTAAATAAGCCAGGACCCTTTATTATTCTTTAGTTTAGCAATTCTTTATTTTTAATTTTTGTGGGTACATAGTAGGTGTATATGTATATATACACATAATATATCTATTTATATCATATATTTATATCTCTCTCTATGTAGAGACATGCAATTCATACACACAGTTTATTATTGTTGAAAAGGCCTTCTCTAAAAAGAAACTACCAGAGGCTAACCTATTGTGGTTTTATCAGAACCTAATTGATCTGGGGGAAAGGAAATACTCAACTTAAGCCCACGCTAGGCATCTTGCCCTATCTAAGGGTTGGGGTGAGAGTGGGGGAGGTTGAGAATCACTTGTAATGTTCATAGCCCAGGAGCATAGGCTCATAAAATACTGAGATCTAGTCATAAGACTGTAGTAGACTACTTGTTCCCACACATTTTACCAACACATTGCTAAAGACCTATTTACCAGAGTTCCTTTTACCCAGTATAGCATTGCCCTCTTTCAACAAAATATTACAAGTCATACTAAAAGGCAAAAAAAAGCACAGATTGGAAAGGCTGAGCAAGCATCAGAACCACACTCAGACATGGCAGGTATGTTGGAATTATCAGTCCATAAATTTAAAACAACTATAATTAATGTGCAAAAAAACAGTTATGGAAACAGTAGACAACAAGCAAGAATGTATGGGAATTGTAAGAAGACAGGTGGGAATTCTAAGAAAGAAAATAAAATGCTGGAGGCAAAAAAAAATCACTGTAATAGAAATGAAGAATGGCTTTGGTAGGGCTCAGTTTTAGACTGGATATGAGTGAGGAAGGAATCTCGGAGCTTTGAGATATGTTAATAGAGACTTTAAAACTAAAAAGCAAAAGCAAAAAAAAAAAATGAGAAAGAAACAGATACAACAAAATATCCAAAAGCTATGTGACAATTAAAAAAAGTGTAACATATATTTTAGTGAAATACTAGAATAAGAAAAAAGAGGAAACTGAGGCAATATTAGAAGCAATAATTACTGAGAATTTTCCCAAATCAATTTCAGACACCAATCCACAACTTCATGAAAATCAAAGAACACCAGGCAGAATAAGGGCCAAAAATTATACTTAAGCATGTCATATTCAAATTGGAAAAAGCTTAAAAGATAAGGAAAATTTTAAAGAAGCCACAAGGGGGAAAAATACCTTAACCTATAGACGAGCAAAGATAAAAATTGCATCTGAATTTTCCAAAGAAGCCACACAAACAAGAAGAGAGTGGAGTAAAATATTTCAATTTTTGAGAGAAAAATACTCACCAACTTAAAATTCTGTATTCTGTGAAATTATCCTTTAAAAAATGAGGAAAGCATTTCTCAGACAAATAAAAACAGAATTAGTCACCAGCAGACCTGCCTTGAAATAAATTTACAAGAGTCTCTTAAGAGAAAGAAAATGATATACATCAGAAATTCAGATCCACATAAAGAAATAAAGAGCACCAGAGAATAAATAAGTTTTCTTTTTCTTAATTGATCTGACAGATAACAGCTACTTGGAAACACTAATAGCAAAATGTATCCAAGTGTGTATGTGTGGGTTTGTGTCTCCCCTTCTCATTCATGAATATCATTGATATGTTTCAAATCACCATAAATGTACCTACTAAGTATAGTCAAAAGTCCAAAAGTTCTTTTAACCATTTTCACATGTTATAGCAACAGACAAGTAAAACCTTTTCCATCCTATTTTTATAGCCTATGACTTTAAGAAGCTGATAAATAACCTGTGACAAATCTACAGAATCTTTAATAAAAACTACATTAATAGCTAAGTTGCTATCACGGTGACTCTTCTCCTTCTAGGACTTGAGATCTAGAGAGCTAATTTGAGAATGATTATTTTTATGAAAGTAGAAGATGAAGATATAATTTGGACATTTTTCTATTGTACTGATGTGACTTTGAGATTTCTAGTAAAATGTCCTCCTCAAAGGGGAAGAATAATTTTAACTGTGGATATTTAATCAAAGCTCTCCTACAATAACGTTTCCTTAATATTACAGTCACATTTGCATTCAACATTTATTTAATATTTCTTGGTAGAAAATAGATACATGAGATGTGTGCAAATCTGCTATTTTTTAAAACTGTTTATATTGGTTTTGTTTTGTTTTGTTTTGTCTTTTACTTTTCTTTTTCTTAACTTGGCAAAAGGATAATTATCCATATGAATTCATTTTGTCAGGCACTTGTCCTGTTCATTGATCCAGAAGAAAAGTGTGTCATTTTTATATTTATGTTCTATCAAAGATTTCTTTGTGAAACTCAATCCTAAGAATATTTACTTGTGGTATAACTCTGGTTATCTTATTCTATGTGATGTAGTGCTTATATTTTAATTGTGTGGTCCCACTTGCACTATGAAAGCAGAAAGCGGAGAAAAGTGTTGCTTTCACCCTAAAAATGAAAACAAATATTCAGGTAATGTAAATAATTATTACTTTCTTTCAATCATCAAGAGCTAGTTTCAAATTTCTTAAAATCTAAGAAAAAAAGGGCCTTGCAACGAGAAATAGTCTCTGGCTCAACTCCTGGAGACCACAAGAAGAAGTGATGACTAGACTTATACAAATAGATAAGATCTTAGCAAGAACCTTCAAGAACCTGTTGAAAGTTGAGTGTGAGCAAATGTGAAGCAACTTACCATGGAACTCAGCCTGCATAAAGACCATTATTGGAGTCTATCTATAGAAATGAACTCCATTGGCCCCAACTTGTTCCAGGACATGGGCAGCCACAGATATCCTTTGCCTGCAGTAACAGCAATCCTTCCTATTTCAAAATACCCTGAAACTACCCACATGCTTCATTATAGACCACCAAAGTCTCACTAGCTTTATAAAACCCTATGTTAATGGAATGTTTGCCAACAGACTGTCTCAGTGTATTCTCCTTTTTCTCTATAAAACTTACACTCCTGTCTAATATCTTTGAACATTTGCTGAAATGAATGATAGAGCAGATGGTTTCTCTTGATGCAAGTTGAGTAAAAGGCCTTTGTTGCTTCAGTTTTGGACCTAGTTTTTTTTTTTTTTTTTTTGGTGGGGTGCGTTGGGGGGGAATGCAGAGCCTCCTGGTAGCACCTAATTGCGGGCTCTTTTCCATACACCTGCACAGGATGCTTAAGAGCAAGATTCAGTTAGAAGTAAAACCAGAGAAAGCCTTTCAAGGTCCAGGCAAAGAGATAAGGAAGAAAGTACCAGTGGAGGAAAGACAGAAAGCTCACCTAGACTCTTCTACACTATGAAATAAAAGTATTGAGTCATGGAGGAAGGGTAGCAATACCTCCTGCCCCAGGGCACAGATAAAGATGCACTGTGGCTAGGAGAGTGTAAAAAAAAAAGACAAGTAAAAACTCCTTATCCACAGGGGAGGCACCACAAATAGTCCTGGGCAAAAAATAAAATAATTAAATAAATAAAAGGCTCAATAGATACCTTGATAACAGATATGAGTCATACTCCTAAAAGAAGAACAGGATGCCCATTTTGGAAAAATAATCACTAGATATACAAGGTAGAGTTTGGCTGCCATGGAAAGAGAGCAAATCACTGAAGAAACTTTATGAACTGGTCCCATGGATACAGGGTGTTCCTAGGAGACTGAGCTCTCACCCATCCATCCATCTCAAGCACCCAAAAGTAGAATAGGAAGTACTGAGTAATCAGCAACCACAGTCTACTACTAACAAAGGAACAAAAGTGTGAGTAGAGATTCCTTTTGATATACAGGCATGCAGTGAAGGCCAATAGATGAAGGTAGAGTGCTGATACTTTCAGTTACCACATCAACTACAAAATAAGCCTAGAGAATTATAAAGGCGGTGATTCACTGAAGGTAACAATAGCAATTGCAAAACCCAAACACCAACTCTTAACTATGAGGGTTGGAATCAACCCTCATACTAACGGCCTAGCATCCTAGCAAAAGAAAAGCTATGATCAATTCAGGACACGAATATTACTTACCTCAGTCTCTAATCCTTTATGTATGACACCTAGCCCTCAGTAAAAAATTTAGTGACACGCACAAAAGCAAGGGCGCTGGTGGCAAGGTACAACCCACTGTGAAGAGACAAAACATTCAACAGCAGCAGAGTCAGAGAAAGCTCACAGGTGGAATGAGCACACAGGAAATTTAAATTAATTATGATTAATGAGCTAAAGACTGTAGTAATGAGGTGGAAAATAAGGCATAAACATGTGGGGGATTTCACTGGGAAGACCAGAAGTATAAGAAACAATTAAATGGAAATGCTATTAAGAGCAAAAATAAAAGCAACTTCAGCAGCAAAATGGTAACTGATGATTAATGCCATTGGCAGGCATCAGTTAACTTTACGTATCTGAGGAAAGGATCAGTAAACTTGGACATAGGTCAATGGAAATCACCTAAAATGATATACTTTAAACAAAGAGTATAAATACTATAAAACAGAGTATAAAAATTAAAAACAGCAGCGGCTGTAATAGTTGTAAGACAAAGCCAAATATTGCAAAATACATACAAATGGAATTACAGAACAAGAGGAAAGAAGAAAAGACCAGATAAATATTTGAAGAGATAATTGCTAAGAATTCTCAAAAATATTTAAAAAATAACAAGCCAGATATACAAGAATCTCAGAGGACTCCAAGCAGGATAAATGGAAAAACAAATAATAAAAAATCAGAAAAAAACCCAGATCTATAAGCATAATTTTCAAACTGCTCTAAACCAAAGATAAACAGAACATCTTGAATGAAACCAGAAAATAAACAAAATGCATCAGTATCTCATGTACTCCATAAATATATAGACTTACACAAAATTGAAAAATTAAATAAAAATTTAAACAAATAAATAAATATTATTTGACAATTAAAAAGCATAAAGAAATACACATGGTAGAGGAACAAGAGAAGACGTTAAGCACATTGCTTGTCAGACACCAGAAATCCAGAAGACAATGGGATGAGACCTTCTAAAAGCAAAACACTGCCTATGTAAATTCTGAAGGCAGCAAAAGTCTTTCAAAAATAAAAGAGAAAGCACATAATTTTTCTAAAACAATCTGAGAGATTTCAATGCTGTCAAAACTACCCAAGAAAAGATTTTAAAAGGTACTCTCTGAAAAAGAAATATGATATAAGATGCAAGCAGGTGTCTGCATAAAGAAATCTCTCTCTCTCTCTCTCTCTCTCCATATATATATATATATATATATATATATATATATTTGAAATGGCTGATATGGAAGGAAATAGACAGAAATTCAGGAGCAAGATGGCAGAATAGAAGGCTCTATTGATCATACCCCTGACAAGGACATCAAGTGAACAGCTATCTACAAAGAAAAAACACCTTTCTAAGAGCCAAAATCAGGTGAGCACTCATAGCACCTGGTTTTAACTTCATATCGCTGACAGAGGCACTGAGAGATAGAAAAGACAGTCTTGAATCATAAATGCCACCCCTCTCCACCACCCCCAGCAGCTGGTAGCATGATACAGAGAGCATCTCTTGGGCACTGAAGGCAGAGAGAACACAGTAAGTGTGAGGCATCAAACTCAGTGCTGTCCTGTTAGAACAGAAAGGAGAACCAGACCAAACTCAGCTGATGCCTGCCTTGGAGGGAGCATTTAAACCAGCCCTAGCCAGAAGGAAATTGACATTTCCAACTCTCCAAACTTGAGTTCCTGCAAACCTGGTGACCTACTAACTAAAGAACCCTTGGGCTCTGAATAATCAGCAGCAATACTCAGCTACTGAATCAAGGGCCTTGGGTGAGCCTCTGAGAATTGCTGGCTTCAGGGGAGTCTCAGCACATTACCAGCTGTGGTAGCTATGGGGAAGAATTCCTTCTGCTTGAGAAAAGCAGAAGGAAAAGAAAAGGCCACTTTGTCTTGCACCTTAGGTACCAGCACAGCCATAAGGAAGTAGAGCACCAAGTGGATTCTTGGGGTCCCCAATTCCAAGACTTGACTCTTGGATGGCATTTCTGGACCTGCCTTGGACAAGAGGAGAGGCCACTACCCTGAAGAGTGAGTCTCAAGCCAGGAGGCATTGACTACAAGCTGACTTGAGAACCCTTGGGCCTTAAGGGACCATCAGCAGGAGTCTGGCAGTACTCCTTATGGCCGTGCTGGTGGTGGCTGTGGGGTGAGATTTCTCTGCCCTTGGAAGGGAGCAGGAAGCGTGGAAAGGAATGCATTTTGTAGTTTGAGTGCCAGTTCAGCCACGATAAAATATAACACCAGGTGGACTTATAAGGTTTTTGATTCTAGTCCCTGACTCCAAATCAGTATCTCTGGACCTATTCAGGACTGGAGGAACTCTCTGCTCCAAAGGGAAGGACATAGACATAGCTGGCTTTACCACTTTCTGATCCTACAGCCCCAAGGCCTTGAGCCAACATAGGCATTAGCCAGGGAGTTGGTTATAGCATGCCTTGGGCAAAATCCAGTGTTGTGCTAGCTTCAGTTGTGACCCAGCACAGTCGTAGTTGTGGTAGCTACAAGGGTGCTTGTTGTCACTCCAGCCACAGCTTTAGGTGGCTAAAAACAGAAAGAGAGACTATGTTTGTTTGAGAGAAAGTAAGAGAAGAGAACAAAAGAGGCTCTACTTAACTGCAATTTTGATTTTCCAAGTTAATATCAGTATGACATATTCCAAGTTGTCATGATGTAAGTCTCCGTGGTATGTGTAATACTCAACTTGGTCAAACTCCTGACAGGTAATAAAATACTACGACAATTCAAGGGCTTTTTTAGAATTTTCAGAAGCTAATATTTTTAATATTGGTCTGGTATAATTAAATATAGATGGCTGTCTATTTTACGTAAAAATACTCTCTTAAAGATGCCCACCAAACAATTACTGGCGAGTACTATAAAACCCTTTGTTAGCTAGGTCCTTTACAAATCTAAATAAAATATAATGCATGTTTCAACCCTTAGAGAACTTACAAAGATAAATTAAATGAAATCATCAGTAAATAATTTAATAGTAACTTAATTTAGTTAGGAATAGGAAAATGAAATGGAGATATTCCTGTGGAGATACTGTAGTTCATTTATATATCGTCACATCCACTATGTTAAAAACAATTAACAATGATATATTAAACATCAAGATAACATTCAAAATGACCTATAGAGAAGAAAAACACTGAGCTTGTCTAAAGCAATTAGTGTAGTAACGAAAACAGCTAAGGATTATTTAAATTTACATTAACGAGGATTATATCTTATGAATTAAATTTGAAGCTATCAGTTAGAAATTTGCAACTGTAGATTACCAAGTAATATAGAAAAAGACATAAAACAGATATGTATGTTGTTATTGCTTTTATTAAAAATGCTTGTATGTAGAATAGACAAATACAGCATTCAAACCATATAGTGAGACCATTATAGTCTCATCAATGTGAATATTTTGTATATGACTTGAATAAAATTACTAAATCTTTGAGAAAAACATGGCTAACACAATGAGACTTATCAATAATTTATCCAAATGGAAAAATTATTAGACCTTCACCCATATACAATATAAATTTCCATATTCAAAGCCCCAAATGTTATTAGGAAAACTTTGAAAACATTAAAATAAATCATACATAGGTAGGTTCACCTTTGCGAACTGGAAAATATTTACTATTAAGTTTGACTATAAGCACATTAAGCAACTATTCCTGAATAAACTGTGATATAGTATGCTCCAGAATTGGAAAATATATTTCCATACTTATAAAGGCTAACATCTAGCCTCTACTAGAAATTATTCAATTCAGTAAGAATCCAATCTTTCAAGTGGATAAAAATAAAAATGAGCAAAATATATAAGTAGGAAATCCAAAATAGCAGAAACTAAAATGGTACAACTCCAATAATCAATGAAATAAAATAATATTTCATGACATAATATTAGCAGAAAGAAAAAAATTGTAGGCATAAAGAATTGGGAAAAAAGAAAAATATCAAATAATTTTTAATAAGGTACAAATTGGTATCATCATTTTAAAGGGAAAATTCTAATATTTAAAACTGTGAATACGTGTATATATTACTACTGACCACTGCAATTTCATAGTTTTCCAGGTGACAGTCCACATTTAGGAAAGGTTTTTGTATCGATATTTTTTGTAATATTATCAAAAATTTGCAAACAAATGTAAATACAATTTGTTATAGTCTAAAAAAGGAAATTACAAACCCATTGAGGTGAATTAACATCATTGATCAGAATAGATTGATGTCAAAATATTTTGAAGATATCTGATAATTAAATGCAACTCATGGGCCTAAATTTCATATTAGAATAGGGAAAAATGCTATAGGGACATTAGTAAGAATGTGGGTAAAAACCTGAAATATGGGCTGTGGATGAGACAATAATCTTACATTGATATTGAATATCCTAAATTTTATAATTATACTGTGGGATGGAAGGAGTGCCTGTATTCTCAAGAAATACACCATTAAATTATTTAGAGAAAATTGACATATTTTAACTTTAGCCCAAATTATTTGGAAAACAAATTATATGTACAGGCATACCATTTTATATTGCATATCACTCTATTGAAATTTTCAGATAGATACTGTCTTTTTTACACATTGAAAGTTTGTGGCAACCCTGTTTCAGTCAATTCTATTGGCACCATTTCTCCAATGCACATGCTCATTTTCTGACTCTGTGTCGTATTGGTAATTCTTGAAATATTTTAAACTTTTTCATTATTATTATATCTGTTATGGCAATCTATAATCAATGATCTTTGGTGTTACTATTATAATTGTTTTGGGACACCACAAATCCAGGCACATATAAGACAGCAAACTTAATCGATAAATGTTCTGTGTTTTTTGACTGCTCCACTGACTGCCTATTTCCCATCTATGTCCCTCTCCTGAGGCCTTTGTAGTATCTCAGACACAACAATATTAAAATCAGGAAAATTAATAATACTAAAAGAGCCTTTAAGTATTCAAATGAAAGGAAAAGTCACATCTTTCTCTGCCTTTAAATAAAAACTAGACATGATTAAGCTTATTGAGAAAGGCATGTTGAAAGCCAAGAGAGATTGAAAACTAGGCTTTCGGTGCCAATTTGCCAAGTTGAGAATGCAAAGGAAAAGTTATTGAAGGAAATTGGAAGTGCTACTCCAGTGAACAGCTTTATTGCTGATATGGCAAGAGTTGGTGATCTGAATAGATCAAATCAGCTGCAACATTCCCTTAAGCCAAAACCTAATCTGGAGTGAGCCTTTAACTCTCTTCATTCCTATGAAGACCAAGAGAGGTAAAGAAGTTGCAGAACAAAAGTTTAAAGGTTTTAAGAGGTTGGTTCATGTGATGCCATCTTCATAACATAAAAGTGCAAGGTGAGGCAGCAAGTACTGATGTAGAAGCTACAGCAAGTTATCCAGACCAGCCAAAATAATTGATGAAGGGAAGTACCCTAAATAATAGATTTTCAATGTAGATGAAACAGCCTTATATTGGAATAAGATGCCATGTAGTACTTTCAAAGAGACAGTGAAGAAGTCAATGCCTGGCTTCAAAGGACAAGTTGACTCTCTTGTTGGGTGCCAGTGAGTTTAAATTGAAGCCGTTGCTCATTTACCTAGGCTGAAAATCCTAGGGCCCTTAAGAATTATGTTAAATTTACTCTTCCTCTGTTTTCTAAATGGAACGACAAAGCCTGAATGACAGCACATCTGTGTAACAGCAGGATTCACTGAAATTTAAATCTACTGTTTGAGAGCTACTGCTTAGAGGACAAGACTCCTTTCAAAATATTACTGCTCATTGACAATGCACCTAATCCCCTGAGAGTTTTGATTAAGTGTATGCAGATATTAACATTGTTTTCATGCCTGCTGACACAAGATCTATGCTGTGGCTAATGGATCAAGGAGTAATTTTGACTTTCAAGTCTTATCATCGAAGAAAGACTTTTCATAAGACTGTATCTGCCATAGAGAGTGAATTATCTGATGGATCTGGGTAAAGTAAATTGAAACCTTTTGGAAAGGATTCACTAGACAAGATGCCACTAAGAACATTCAGGATTCATGGGAGGAAGTCAAAATATCAACATTCATAGGAGTTTGAAAGTTGATTCTAATCCTCACAGGTGACTTTGAGGGGTTAAGACTTCAGTGGAGGAAGTAACTGCAGATATGGTAGAAATAGCAAGAATACTAGATCTAGAAGGGAAGCCTGGAGATGTAACTTCATTGCTACAATCTCATGATAACACTTTTATAGACAGGAATTGCTTCTTGTGGATAAGCAAAGAAAGTGGTTTCTTGTGATAGTATCTATTCCTGGTAAAGAGGCTATGAACATATTTGAAATGACAACAAAGGGTTTAGATTACATACATTTAGTTGATAAAACAGTGGCAGGGTTGAAAAGAATCGACTCCAATTTTCAAAGAAGCTCTACTGTAAGTAAAATGCTATCACATGGCATCACATGCTACAGATGCATTTTTCATGGAAGAAAGAGTCAATCAATTTTGCAAACTTCATTTTTTTTAATGAAATTGCCACAGACAACCCAATCTTCAGCAACCACCACCTTGATCGTTAGCAGCCACCAACATTGAGGCAAAAGCCACCACCAGCAAAAGAGATTGCCTCTAGCCCAATGGTTCAATGATCATTTGCAATTTTTAGTAATAAAGCATTTTTAAGTAAGGTATATACATTTTTTAGATATAATGCTATTGCACCCTTAATAGACTACTGTATAGTGAAAACATAACTTTTATATGTACTGGGAAACCAAAAAATTTGTGTGACTCACTATATTGCTCTATTTGCTTTACTGTGGTGATCTGGATCCAAATCCACAATATCTCTAAGGAGAGACAGACAGAGAGAGAGAGAGAGAGAGAGAGAGAGAGTGTGTGTGTGTGTGTGTGTGTGTGTGTGTGTGTGTGTAGAAAAAGAATAAATTATAAGGCAAATGTGATAAAATTTTAAAAATTGGTCAATAAGTATAAAGTTTTTTTCAAAATATACATAATGACTAAGAATTGTGAAATACATTGAATAAAATGCAGTTTTATCCAATAAAAACATATTTCGTGATTAAACATGTATTTAATCATTGTTTATAAATGTATGTACAGTTATAAGGATTTTACACATAGGATTTTATACATGGGATTTTAAAAATCAAGTTTATGATTATTTTTGCTCTGAATACAGAGCATACAACTTTATGTTTAAGCTTATTTATTTAAAAATTGTTGATTATATAATTCATACTATAATCTATAAAAATCATTTCTCCTTCATTCTAGTTTCTAAACCAATATAAAATCAAGGAAAAGAAAGCAAATTAGCAACAGGAATGAAAAATACTATTTTAATCATTTTTAAAATCTCCTTTATTCCCCAAACACAGTGTGCATGAAGATAGGCTGCCAAGTCCAGTGAATATTAGATCAGACAGAATGGATATCAGAGCACCCAAACCCCAGCCAGATCTTGCATAGCACAGCATTTCCGAATTAGGAAACACAGACTGGGAGGTAAAAACACCATGCTTGAAACCCAATTGCACTGACCCTGGGAGCTTCCCTGAATGACATTTGAAATCATGGAACAGCAGATGAATTATTCCCAGAGGAGACCAACAGGCTTGCTTTGCAAGTTGCAACCTATTAAGGACAGACTTATGTAAAACACTGTTGTCAGCAAATTGCTACAATGTACCCACACATGCACATAACACATGCACACAAACACATATACCTATACAGGCACACATGCACATCTTGACACAAGGGCTTCAGAGTAAGTCACAGTAATGGCTTAATAACCTGAATTACTGGCCCTTTTCTAAATTATTTTGCCACAAATAGATGGTTCAAGAAGACATATACGCACATAAAGACATATACGCACATATAAATTAGATCAGCATTCCAAATATGGATAAAATATGTGGTAAAGAATATTTAAAATAAACCTAGAACATAAGAAACATGTTTTGCTATGAGTAGGTAAACATGGTAATTAAAGGGTACTCAAAAACATGCATTAAAAAATCTCGAAAGAGTGTGCACTACATATCTAGATGTTGAGTCCAAATTATAAGGATTATTGAACAAAGGTTAATACAAGAGAATAAAAATTAAATTCGCTGATCTAAAAAATGATGTAAAATGAATAATAAAGTCATAACATAAATAAATGCCACAGAGGAAGAGTCAAAATTGAGTAACAAATGAAAACCTGACACAGTGAATGTGACATTGTAAATCTAAGAAGAAAAGTAATCGGCTATCTCTGTGCTCCAAAAGAAATTATTCAAGTATAAGTTTGAGCCAAAGGGGAAAAAGTACATATTTTAAAAATAATTATCTGTGTAAATAAAAATATTTTATAAAGTAAATTATATTTAAATAAACATCAAGTTATCAAAATGTTGAAATACTTTAAAATTAACTCTGAAACTGAATGTAGTTCGCATGCCAATCCTAGCACATTTATTAGTACAATAGTCTTAAATTTTTTAATCACACAGCAAAACTATATGCTACATGCCAAAGTTACACCTAAAACAAAAATCTTTGAAATAATTGAAAATTTAAAAAAATGGAAATATCAATAGCAAACAAATACAATACTAATGGATGATAATATTAACAACAGGAACTTTAAATTCTAAGGAAAGTCATTAAACGACAAAGGAAATGGCCCTATAATTGTTGAAATCCACAAGAAATATCCTATAGTCAGGAATATGCTTGTATTAAATAACAGCATAAACATTTGTAAAGCAAAGACTACAGAGGATATAAGAAAAATTATGCTTCAGCTTTTATTGGCTAATGCTAATGCAAAGAAAGTATTCAGTAATAATTTAGGGAATCTAGTCAATATAATAAATTAACAAGATGTCATTGCTATGTATCAAGGACTTTACATAGGAAGCACCTCTTTTCCAAATGCACATGCAATAATCACACTTAAAATATATTATATATTAATAATAATGAAAAGGAAAGGAAATGTTGTGATAAATACAATGACTAGATAAAAACAATTAGTATACTAATCTTTTAAAAAATATTTAAGAAGCACACACACACCCCCACCGCCCACAGAAATGCTAAAGTATAAAAGTGTATTTCTCCAAAGATAATCTTTACACAAAGACAAGATAAAAATTGAAAGTGCAGACTATTTTGAAAATAGCAGTCATTAAATTACTATATATCAGAATATCTGTGAACAGATAATAAGAGAAAAATATACAGACATAAATGTTTTTATTAATGACTTAATAATACTGAATGAAATAAGATTCTAAAACTAGAATTTCTCAGTTACAAAAATTAAAAACTATAAAAAGAATAGGTTTGTAAAAGTCAAATGATAGGTTAATGAAGAAAATATTATGGAAAAACTATAATAAGCAATATTTGGAAAAGAACAAAGGAACAGTAAAACAACTCTAACAAAATCTAGATTAGAAGGGAAGAAAAATAATACAAAATACGAAAATAAGAAGATGGTGGTGGTAAAATAATCAAGTTTATAAAGTGGACAAAAGAACAAAGGGAAAGTTTTCACTTTTCCACTCTGCTCCACTTTGCAGCGACTGCGTTGCATCCTTAAAAAGGCTTACACAAACACATCAGACTCTACATGTTGTTTGCTCGTTTCTTTTCAGTTAACAAAATATAGTCAACATAATTTTATGTCTACATGTACAGACACTTTTATTCCTTCTTTGCATCTGAGTATTTTAGCATGTGAACATAAAATGATTCATTTAACACTTTCTCAATGACTATTTTGGTTTTTCTTGTTTTTTTCACAATTATAAAATATGCAGAAATGATCATCTCTGTTTACATCTTCCTGTGTAAATATTTCTGTAAGATAGCTAGCCAGAAGATGAATCATGAGATAGACAGTAACACATGTTGAAATTTTGTTTTCTCCATTATTTAATTCAAACTGTATATTCTGTAGGAGTATATGAGGATGCCAAATTCCCTAAAGCCAATAGTGTAAATTACCAATAGTTTAAATTCTTGTAATCTGAATATCATAAACATGTCATTTTTTAAATTTGCATTTACCTGATTACCAATTATGTTAAATATTATATATGCAAAATGTGTAAGGATATATGATATATAATATGGCAAGAGAAAAGAATATAAATCGACATTATGTGCAAACTAATACAGAGTGCAACTTTGCAAAATTTGGACAAAGCTTTATCACAAAATTCAGTAAAGACATCATAATACAAATTTTATTTTAGCTACAGTTTGAAGAAACTATTTGCAGTTTTGTAGGAGAGAAGAGTGTAGGAAAGTTAACTCTAGATGTTTTGGGGAAAAGGAATGACTCTAATGTTAAAATTGTATTACATATTTTCCATTTTACCAACATGGCTTTATATTGCTAGTTCCCTGAACCTAAAATGCTGATATTGTTACGTTTCAAAATTGAAAACTGTAAAATCTTTTAAAGTAACTTATTACTTTTGTGATATATATTTTTACAGAAGTAAAATAATTAGGAATGCTTGGGGATTTCTATCTGATATTACAATCCCTTCTATTATTTTTTGTTAATTTGATGATTTTGAAAATTGTTTTATCCTTTGGCATACAAATTTGAGGTCAGCTAATTAAAGACTTTAACAATTAATCTGTATTAAAGAAGGAATTTTATAACCATTTCAAAATTAGCTTCACAATACATTTGGAAAACTTTATCACATAAGAGGTCAATCTCAACCAAATTTTGATTCAACACTTCACGTCAAATATGCATTTTAATTAGGGTATATTTTGAAATTTGAATTGAATGTTTTTTATTAATTTTAACCATATGTATCAATAAAAACAGTAAGAAACATTTTGCATATAAATTATACACAGGAGAAAACAAAAAATCGTTACATGTTTTTTTCCCTTAAAATTAAACTAATGTAAGTTTTCATATATTTAATGTTATTAATTCCAACATTCCAAAAGAGGTTTTTGTATTGGTATGCTATGAGTGCCTTTATGTATTCAGAAATCTATACCTAGTAGGTCATCAGGAAAAATTATAATACCCATATAATAAACAGTCACATAAATGACATGAACAATACCATTGAGTTATATATTAGACATTATTATTTTGTTATGTTGACTTTCTTAAGACTTATTCCATGATTATGGAAAATAATGCTACAATGTAAATTCATTTCTATAATTGATAAACATATACACTTTATGGACTTTTAGATTATCACAGTTTTTCTACAGAGAGTTGTTTCATATCTATTAGAAAATCCATTAAAGCCGTAATCAATTCTCTTTAAGTAAACATAACAAAAATAGAATATTTATAGTCATTATGACACGTTATAAGATATACTTTGAAAAGACATAACATTGTTTTCTGTCAGGTTCTACCTATTAGTTTTCTGTTTTTAGATCTTAATGTCAGACCGTGCTAGTATCAAAAATAAACCTTTATCAGTAAATATAATAGTAGTAACACATGGTTATAATATTATGATGCCTTAGATATTAGTAGAAGTCTCAGACTCACTGTCCTTTGGTAATTCAACAGCAGACTCTAGTTTATTTTTTTAATTAAAGCTAATAGATCTATTTTCCAAAATGACCATTTGCTATGCAGTGTTTCCAAATTGGAAGGGTAAGTCTAGGTTTCAGTTTGACATCAGGAGATGTTGAAAAATTTATCCTTTTATTGAAATGTAATACATTCCAGCTAATGAACACAAATTTTCTTATTACTTAAATTCACTAGACAAAGGAAGAACCATGTTGCAGACACTTGGATATATTCTGCATTCACCGGCAAAGCAAATAAGCCACAGTAATTATAGAGATGCCATGAACACATGATTACAAATTACAAAACCTTCTAATATGCAAGTATTTATTTGAAACATTTCAATGAAGAACTCTTTAGATAGGTGGTGATAAACATTCCAGTTTTCAAATTACACAAAGCTAACTAAACGGGTAAGCTTTTCTTTTTTACCCTGTCCAGGTCCTTTTAATTTTAAATAGATTAGAAGGAAAAAAAGAAAGAGGAATATGCATAAGTTAAACATATTTTCAGGGAGAGAGCAGGAACTTAAGGGACCTTTAGTTCACATGTTATGTATTTCTCCAATTATTACATTTTCGATACCAAGGATGCATATTATTATTATTATTTTAGATGGAGTCTCGCTGTGTCGCCCAGGCTGGAGTGCAGTGGCGAGATCTAGGCTCACTGCAAGCTCTGCCTCCCGGGTTCACGCCATTCTCCTGCCTCAGCCTCCCAAGTAGCTGGGACTACAGGCACCCACCACCACACCTGGCTAATTTTTTGTATTTTTAGTAGAGACGGGGTTTCACTGTTAGTCAGGATGGCCTCGATCTCCTGACCTCGTGATCTGCCCGCCTCGGCCTCCCAAAGTGCTAGGATTACAGGCGTGAGCCACCGTGCCCAGCCAGGATGCATTATTTTTAATTTTGAAAAAAAAGTAATTATAAAAAGATAAATAAAACAAAGTATTTTCATTTGCTTTTGTAATCAATAATTAAAACTTTGATATCAAAAGCTGTGCATAACTTTTTACATAATCCAGTCTAAGTTCTCCTACATGGAGAATCATTTATAATGCATGCTTGTAAGTCACTCATATATCATTTGATGAGTTTTATAAACAGTACTGACTTTCTGCGGAGGTAGTCCATTGTTAGGCATGTCTCCTACTTTCAACATATTTTCCAATGTGTTGCCTAAATGTGCTTCTCATTGATTTTAAGTTTTATTCTTCCCTAGGACTAACCTTCAAGTTCATATTGAGAGACATCATGGGAAAATTAATAAACATCATTTTCCCTGAATAAATTTATTCCATGTTTGATTTATTAGTTGCATTTAATTATAGAACCCGTTATCATTCTGGATTTCTTCCAATATAGTTTATAAACATCTATTATAAGATACATTACTTCAAATTTTATAAAATACTCTAGTTGTGATTTGACAAGTAGGGTATTCTTCAATTTTCATGTATAAAAATGTCTCTTTTTCTGTAAGCAATTACAAGACTAATAAGAGCAAATGCTGTGAAGTAACTGAAAATATCATCTCTCTGTAATACTGTATTCTGTTAGCAGTTGATTGTTTTGGAGGCAACTATTGAAAAGAAGATGCATCTGTTACCTTCAATCTCGCTCAAGATCTGACTTTGAACATTTTAATATATCTTTGTCTTTTAAGGGGAAGAAAGCATTTATTAGTGGAGATGGATACTTTACAACAGGAGGAAATGAATATAGGCTAATTGTAATCAAGGAAATCTGATTAGAAGAGAAAGGGTCATTTTTTTATCATAAATTTTCATATTTTTCTAAAATGTGAATCAAATCAGTGCATGTTCACTAGTGGAAGCAAGAAATCTATAAAGTAAATGTCATTGTTAAAGTATTCAGTACAAAGTCTGGAATGTAGTAAGTGGCTCAAAATGGGGTTAACTATGTATGACGCAAGGGTTTTGTGTCTGGGTTCCAGAGATTGCCCTAAGGTGTTCATAGATAGAATTTTGGATAACTTTACATTAAAACAGGAAAAAAATACAGTTTTATTTTCATTAATTTCTAACTGAATTTTAGCATTTACTTTAAGTTGAAATGCAAGTGAGAACTCACATTAGTATCAGTATTAACTATTAATCGCCACCAGTAGAATCACAGACTTTTAGATCACGTGATTTATTGTATCTCAAAATATCAGGTATGCACACCACTCCTTTTAAAATGTAGTACTTTGTTTCAGCGCGATAATAAAGTAGTACAGATATCTATACAGCCCAATTTAAAAAGTAGTATTTTGGTAACTGTGAAACTGGTTTCCTTGAAACACTACATGTAATTTTTAAAATTTTGTGCATTTATTTGAGTAAGGTCCATGGCTTCACTAGACTTTAGAGTACCAATGCCACATAAAGTTTAAAAATCCTTCTTGTGGGCTGGACATGGTGGCTCACGCCTGTAATCCCAGCACTTTGGGAAGCAGAGGCAGGCAGATCACGAAGTCAGGAGATCAAGACCATCCTGGCTAACACTGTGAAACCCTGTCTCTACTAAAAAAAAATACAAAAAATTAGCCGGGAGTGGTGGCAGGCGCCTGTGGTCCCAGCTACTCGGGAGGCTGAGGCAGGAGAATGGCGTGAACCCAGAAGGCGGAGCTTGCATTGAGATGGCGAGACTGCACTCCAGCCTGGGCAGCAGACCGAGACTCCGTCTCAAAAAAATGAAAAAAAAAAAAAAATCCTTCTTGTGAAGTATTTAGCACCAAGTATACAACCAATAAATATAGGTCCAAATCCTACCTATCACCTAATACTTAGTCAAAATGTCGTATTTTCCGTAATACTTACTCTGACGCAAATTTCTCTCCTTGGAACTTCAAAATATTTTAGAAAGAGTGATAGAGAGAAGAATGCCTAATATCTACTCGCAATCTTAAAAAGACAAAAAAAGACTTTATTTTTTAGAAAAGTTTTTGGTTCACAGCAAAATTGAGCAGAAAATACAGAATTTCCCATATATGCCCTGCCCCCACTCAAGCACAATCTCCTCCACTGTCAGCTTCCCTCACTAGAATGGTGCATGTGTTACAATCTATGAACCCAAATTGACACATCACCCAAAGCCCATAGTTTAGGGTAGGGTTTACTCTTTGTGTTGTGCATACTCTGAGTTTTGACAAAGGTATAGTAATGTCTACTCACTATTACAGTATCACAGAGAATAATTTTACTGCCCTAAAAATCCTCTGTGCTCCACCTTTCCATCCCTCCCTCCCATCTAAACCCTGAAAAATCTTGATCTTTTTAATGTCTGTATAGTTTTGCCTTTTCCAGAATGTCCTATGTTGGAATCATACAGTATGTAGCGTTTCCAGATTAGCTTCTTTTATTTAGTAATATACATCTAAGATTCTTCCATGTCTACTCATGGTTTGATAGCTCATGTCTTTTTAGTGATTAATAATATTTCATTGTCTGGATGTACTACAGTTTATCCATTTGCTTACTAAAGGACACGCTGGTTGCTTCTAACTTTTGGCAAGTATAAATGAAGCTTACACACACATCTGTATGCAGCTTTTTGTGTAGAAATAATTTTTCAGTTCCTTTGGGAAATACCAGCTAGTATTATTGGTGGATCATATTACAAGAGTCCATTTAGTTTTGTAATAAAACACTAAGGCATTTTCCAAAGTGATTGCACTATTTTGCATTCCCATCAGCAATGCATGAGAGTTTCTTTGGTTCTACATTCTCACCAGCCCTTTCTACTGTCAGTGTTTTGAATTTTGGCCGTTCTGGTAGGTGGAATTCAATCTCATCATTGTTTGAATTTACAATTCCCTCATGGCATATCATGTTGAGCATTTTTTTTTTTTTACAATCTATCTCCTTTTATTGTGCTATGCTTTATTGCACTTCTTAGATATTGCATTTTTACTTTAAGTTCTGGGGTACATGTGCAGATGTGCAGGTATGTTACATAGTTAACACATGCCATGGCGGTTTGCTGCACCTATCAACTCATCACCTAGGTATTAAGCCTGGTGTGCATTAGCTGTTTTTCCTGATGCTTTTCTTTCCCCCACCCTCCCTTGACAGGCCCCAGTGTGTGTTGTTCCCCTCCCTGTGTCCAACATGGGTTCTCATTGTTCAGTTCTTATTTATAAGTAAGAATATGCTGTGTTTGGTTTTCTGTTCCTGTGTTAGTTTGCTGAGGATAATGGCTTCTAGCTTCATCCATGTCCCTGCAAAGGACATGATCTTGTTCCTTTTTATGGCTACGTAGTACTCCATGGTGTATATGTATCACATTTTCTTTCTCTAGTCTATCATTGATGAGCATTTGGGTTGATTCCATGTCTTTGCTATTGTGAATAGTGCTTCAATGAACATACATCTAACAGAATGATTTATATTCCTTTGGGTATACACCCAGTATTGGGATTGCTGGGTCAAATGGTATTTCTAGTTCTAAATCTTTGAGGAATTACCACACTGTCTTCCACAATGGATGAACTAATTTACATTTCCAGTAACAGAGTAAAAGTGTTCCTATCTCTCCACAACCTCGCCAGCATCTTGTTGTTTTTTGACATTTTAATAATCACCATTCTGACTGGCATGAGATGGTAACTCATTGTGGTTTTGACTTGCATTTCTCTAATGATCAGTGATGTTGATCTTTTTTTTCATATGTTTGTTAGCTGCATTTATGTCTTCTTTTGACAAGTGTCTGTTTTCATATGCTTATTTGTCATCTGTAAATCTTTGATGGGTGCACGTTCAGGTCTTTGCTTATTTTTAAATTGAGTGTTCATTTTCTTATTGTTGAGTTTTAAGCATTCTTTGTATATTTTGAATGAGTCCTTCATAAGATATGTCTTTTGCAAGTATCTTCTCCCAGCGTGTGGCTTCTCATCTCATTCTCTTGACGGTGTTTTCCAAAGAGCAGTTTTTATTTCTAATTAAGTAGAGCTTATCAGCCACTTCTTCCACAGACCATGCCTTTGGTGTTCTATCTAAAAAGTCATTGCCAAACACAGGATCATCTAGATTGTTTTTCTATGTTATCTTTTAAAAGTTTTATGGTTTTGCATTTAGGTTTTGATCCATTTTGAGTTCATTTTTATGCAGGCTTTCAGCCTTTTTGAAATAGTTGCTATACTTTTTCTTTCTGCCAATCACATTTTTCAGCAAGTTTTGAATACCTAATAAATGTACTAGTAGGTAAATTAAAATATACCAGTATGTGTTTTGCATCTCCTTTACACTCTCTTGTTTCTGCTTCTCCATTATTAAAACCCACATTGAGTGTGATTTGAAAGGGGCAGGAGGTTGTGAGCAGAGAATGAGAGAATGCTCACTTAGTACAGCTCTATGTTATTCCTGTGAGATGCATCCCAGAAATATCCAGAAAAGGCTGTCAATTTTTTTTTTTTCAAGACTGAGTCTCGCTCTGTCACCCAGGCTGGAGTGCAGTGGCATGATCTTGGCTCACTGCAACCTCTGCCTCCCAGATTCAAGCAATTCTCCTGCCTTAGCCTCCCGATTAGCTGGGATTACAGGCATGCACCACCACGGCCAGATAATTTTTTTTATTTTTAGTAGAGATGGGTTTCACCATGTTGGCCTGGTTGGTCTTGAATTCCTGACCTCAAATGATCCACTTGCCTTGGCCTCCCAAAGTGCTGGGATTACAGTCGTGAGCCACCGTGCCCAGCCTTGTCAAATTTAAACATGGACTCTATTATTGTGTGAATGTGGCTAAATCTAGTCTATCAGAATTAACTTTTTTGTCTTTTCGATTGCATTTTTAAATAACAAGCCAAAAAGACTTTCAGTGCTTCTAGACTACTGCCATATATAAACACTTAAAAGAAAAGCAGGTTGAAGTAGATACAGTGAATATTTTCCTGGATACATCAGATTTAAGTGACAGAGATTCATTGATAAGAATAATTTGAAAGAAACACTGTTAATTTATCATGAGCGATTGATTCTCCTACCTGATGCACAGTTTCACACAGTTACACACACCCACATATTTGGGTTTAAATAATAAATGTGCCCCCAAACCTATAGTCCTTTTAGAATATATTCCTGCACCTTATTGATCTTCACTGGTTTTCTTCTTCATATATCATATATTAAATAATTTCTTAGTTTCCTTGAATTTGGTACGTATATGTATTTTCCTTATACTTACTTTCCTGTCATTCCTATAAAAGAAGAGTAAGATACAGTTATTACTCTACCACTTTAAAACTGGAAGTTAATGATAGTGGAGCAATCTTTGTTATTTTAGAAACATGCACAAAATTTCTATAATCTTTGACTATCTTAATTGCATGTATTATTAAGGTAATAGGTTTCCCATATATTTTAATAATATGTATTTAAATCAAGAGTTTATCCTCAAATATATAATCAAATTATAGTAGGGCAAAATATACCAGTGGTGGATTCTGTAGATTTTGTAGATCTTGCTCTCCAAAATAAGTGGCAAAACCTGAGGGGAAGAGCTTACTTAACCTGCTTGCAGCCAGCGGTATTCTTGACCAGGTCTGCCATGATGGAAGAGAAAGTGTGTGCTGAATAAGGGAATACATCTGATCTCTAATTAGATCCATATTTAAGCACATCTCAAAAGAAAAAAATCATAAAGTCAAATATGAAAAGGAAAAGCTTTCACAAACAAGAATTGTAAGGTTTTGCTAATTTGTATTTGCCAAAAACAAAAACAAAACATAGGTAATATATATGGAAATTGATTCTGTGAGAGAAGAGGAAGGGAGAAAAATCTGGATTCTGCTGAATTTATCACGGAGAATCCACACACCAGAGATTATAAATTAATTGTGCTTGCTTAATAAACTGTATATAGTATTATTTCTTAGGTTAGTTCTCTAAAATCTAGACTTAACATTTCACTCACTAAATCAAGTTAAAATGATAGAAATTCAGTGAAATAATATAGATAAAAGTATTAGAATAATGCATTAGAAGAACATCCAATGAAAACGTTGCACATAACTAATTACTTGTAACTCACTTGCCCACCACCCATATTTTTCCAGTTTTAGGGTCCCAGAGTTCCTTCTTTCAATGAAGAATTGAAGAATACTTTGGGGAAGGGAGAACCAGTATATCTGAAAGGTTATCGTGGCAGTTATTCTGTTTTCAACTAGAAATTTGGTTTGGATATACTGGCTTTGAAATGGGCTCTTATTTTAATGAGGATAATTGTAGTCTAAGGTGGAAGAGGTCAAGTTGCAACAGTGCCTGCCAGAGAAAACATGAGTGATAATGGTCATTATGATAGGCACAAGGTCTAAACTGCTAATTAGAGCAACCTAACCCACAGTGGCCTTTGACAATAGCAAATACATTGTCGGGTCCTTGGAAGAAAATAAATGATCTGTCATACACAGTCCTGCTTAATGACTATTAGACAATAAAGATATCTAGGTCTGGTGAATTAAAATCTAACTTGAGACTTGACTGTCCAAAATAAAGATTTATTGGATTTAAATAAACTCCTATACTTCCATCAGTTGCAAATCCCAGAGCTCAATGAATAAAAGTGAAGAAAAATGGCAGATGAATTTCATAATACATTACAAGAATGTGCCCAACTAAATTTCCCCAAGATTACCAGCAGCCAATACTCTATATTGGGCAACTGTAAAGAAATAAAGGAAAAAGTACAATTTTCATAGGAATTATTGGACACTGGGCCCAAGTTAATGCTCTTACCTGAAATCAAAATATTTTGATCAGGGTGGGCTTCTGAACATCAAGTAATAAAGTTTTTACTCACTTAAATCTTCTAGTGTCCCCAGTCAGTTCACAAATGCATTTTAAACTTATCTCCCTCCCTGGTTATAAGGTGTACACTGATAGCAGTAATATTCAGTACCAGACACCTAATCTAGGTCTATGAGAATTTGCTTGCCAGTATCTATTAAAAAAAAAAAAAACCTGTTGAGGTTTTTTATCAAGACTACCATAAATCTATAGATCAATTTGAGGAAAATAGACATCTTGACAGCACTGTGTCTCCCAACCCATGACATGGCATTTTGTGCCATTTATGTTTATCTTTAGTTCCTCTCAGTAAATTTCAATAGTTTTGTATATACAGATCTTGCACATATTTTAATAAATGTATCCCTAAATATTTTGAGAATTTTTGCTCTAATATAATTGTATTTCTTTTTTCAATTATTTATTGTTGTTATATAACATTACATATGATTATTGTATATTAACACCATGGTCTGCACTAGCTAGGATCATTAGTACAATGGTATATAGAAGAAATATGTATGGACATCCTTTCCTTTTTCAGATGCTGTTGGAAAAACATTTAGTCCTGAACTGTTTGTTTAAGCATAATTTTTGTTTGGTGTTGGCATAGATTTTCTTTATTTTAAGCCATTTTGAATAAGTTCTAATGTATCTCTATTTTTCTGAGATGTTTTATTATAAATTTGTATTATGAGAATATTTTTCTGAGTTAAGATATATGATCTTAATTATGTTAATAAATTGAATAACAAATATTAAACCAACCTTATATTTATGAAATAAATCTGTTTGGCAAGCTTTACTTTTCTCTTTCTTTAAAATGTGCCAACCACCATTGTAAATATGCATTTATATTGATAAAGCAACATATTTTTGTAAGTCTGAATTAACAAATGTGATAAAGTATAATAAATTAAAATGTTGGCAAATGTAGAAAATAAGTATACTTATTCTTCCAGAGTGCCAATTCTAGTCCGAAAAGAGATAATTAATAATATCAATGCCAATTGATCCTTGAGCTTGTTTATTCAAAAAACAAACAAAATAACTCCACAGTGATTGGATTAAAGCAAGTGCTATACTCCTCCAAATTAGAGAAATGTAACCACTGTGGATATTTTAAACACATTGAATGATACTTCATAATTATAAGCAATGGGATTTATATAAGAAGACAAAATTTAAGTGTCAACCCATTTATGCCTAGTGTTCCATTATTGGAACGCTAAGCTTCTGGGAGTTATTTATATCCTACTGCTGAAGGTCATCAACAAGGTCTGATTTTCCACACAAAAAAAAACTTGCAGCCTCTGGCATAAATGGGTTAATAGAGTTCAAAAGACATACGTACCAATATATGATGTGCAAGATATTTTATTGCACACATCGGGAAAAAACAGAATGGTCTCAAACTCTTTAAAAATATCTATTATTTTTATTTTCTCATATTATACATAATATCTGGCCCATATGTTCACTAAGTATAAGAGACATATTTGAATGAGATGACTTAAAATGTAGACTTGTTGGTGTACCTGAAAATCACTTTGGATTTCACTTAAAGTACAGTTAAAATATTGTTTACTTTAATACAGAATAGTGTGACACATTGATTTAAATATTCTTTAGTATCAAATATGACCATAAACTTATTGATGGGAATTTTGGTCCAGGTGTCTGAATGCTGATTATTTTTCCACAGCACCTAATTTTATTTTTGTAGATATAAGAAATTATGCCCAAAAAACAAAAAGATCACGCTGGAAAACCTGTCAATACAATAGCAATGAGACCTAACATATATGAGAACTTTTAGAGGAAAGCCAATCAAACTTCCAAAAGATGAAACCCCAAACACCATATTCCCAAATATAGACATTCTGAAAGATCAAAATTTCTAGTTTAAAACCCTTAAAATCTCAATCCTGAAAGATCAAATTCTCAAAACTAAAATTCTGGAAAAATAATTTTTAAGGCTCTATATTTGTTTACATTCTTAAAGGCGATTTGCTGGAGAAACATATAAAAACATAACAGAGCACTTCATAGGCCACTATACACAATAAAATAACATGCATATTTTTGCAAGGATAAATACTGTGTATATTAACAACTATGGGGAAGTCCGTTCCCCATGTGCATATATATAGACCACAATACTGGTGATCAAACGGCTACACCTTTGCATACGTGTCTTCTTATCCTACAATGCACATAATTATTTTTAAACTATTTCATAATTTAGCTAGCTTCTTCAGGCAAAGATAGCTTTAATTCATTAAAAGCTCCTGATATGTTAATCAGTTAGAAAGAATGCCAATGCAGGCAAATGGCACACTTTTAAACTGAAGTTTTCATTGTTGCCATATTGTATGGCCAATCCATTCACCTGAGTTTTTTTTGCCAAATACATTGGGCTGAATGGAAAAAAAAAAAAAAAGAAACTTCATTGATACCACCTTGAAATTCACTTGGAAGCCTTGATTGCACCTGATTCTAAATCTGTCGTTACAGTTTGGAGACTCCGTTGAAATTCATTTTTTTCTACATAAAAACAATAACAAAGTAATCTCTCCACCTAACATGATGCAACTATTTTGTGATTGTAATTTCTTGGATTTTAGACATTAGGAATTTTAGGCTTTAGGAATTTAGACTTTAGGAATTCAATCTTTTGGGATTTCAACATTCGGAAGTATGGCATTTGGAATTGTGTCTTTAGAGATTATGATCCAAACCCTTCTAAGAGAATCTAAATGTCAATCTAGAAAAGATAGCCAGTTAAAGACCAATTAAGAGAGAGGAAAACTTTCAAGGTAAACAAAAGTAGAATCTTTGAGTACTATTGGCATAGGCCATCACCTTCCAGAGCCACTAAACCCCAGAGCCTGTGTTCATGCAGACAGGGAAAGATAGATTACACACAGAGAAACTGAATTTGCTAATCTAAACTCAGTCTACAATATGAAACATATTTCTATGCTGAATTCTGCTGTTAGGGGTTAAATTGTTTCCCCAAAAAGATGTTGAAGTTGTAACCCTAGTACCTGTAAATCAACCTTACTGCAAATAGTCTTTGCAGATGTTGAAATTAAAATGAGTCCATTAGGGTGGACCCTAATCCAATATCACTGGTGTACTCATAAAAGGGGAAAATTTGGAGATAGGGATAGACAAAATGTGAAGATCCAGAAGGAATACCATATGGGATCCAAGAAATGCCCAAGGTTACCGGAAGCTAAGGGAGAACAGAATACTCCTCGCAACCTTTAGAAAAACAAAAAAACAAAAAAACCTCTATTGGCACCTCAATTTCCATAACCATAAAACAATAAATTTCTTTTGAAGCCACCCTGTCTGTGGTACTACACTGCAGCAGCCCCAGGAAACTAATATATCTGAGATAAAAAATTGGGAAGTAGCAGCTTAAAATGTTTTTTAGCCACAAGTAACAGAATATCTGAATGCTAATGGCTTACATTTATTTTGCTCACTTAAAAATATGTTTTGGAGACCAGCAGCAACTAAACGTTGTGCAGCAACTCACTGAAGAAATCAGTATTCAAGACATTTCTAGCATTAAACTCTACCATTCTCAGTGTTGAGACAGTCGCCTGCCTCATGGTGAGAATGACTTACTGTTGATCAGGCTACCATGCAAGATGAAGAGGATATCAAAATAAACCACATTCGTCTCTTTTATCTACAAAATAGTAAAATGCATATTATGACCCATTGCCTATAGCTCTGTTATATTGCTTCACTACCTACTAAGGAGCATGAGAAAGCACTTATTTAGGTATTTTAGTCTCTACAGTGGAGGCAGACCAAAGAGAAATTGCTGGGGAATAGCATTTAGATATCAAACCTCAGTATCTGCCAAATGGGCTTATGCAGTGGTTATGTATTTTGAGTGTTAATGTTGGGCCATTCACAGAGCACTTAGAGCTTAGGCCATCATTTCTGGGGACAGCAACATCCAGAATCCAATGACAAAAAAAAAAAAAAAAAAAAAAAAGAAAGAAAGAAAGAAAAAAGGAAACATTGAGCCCAGATTGGCACACCCGATGAGGTGGATAAGTCACGATACATAAAGTGTCCGTCAGCCACTTTGAGTTTTTTCAGATTCCTCCTTTGCTTTTCACACATCTGCACTTCCCTGGGAAATTCTGTTTTGCATGGCTATCTGTTAGCAACATAAGAAAGGCATCTGATTAACAAACACTAATTTGTTCTACAGATGCTTCTTACATGAACAACCTCACTCCAGGTGTTTTCTCTGTAAGGTGAGGAAGAGCAAGAATTTATTAATATTTGCCAAGCAGTAGAAATAAAAATGTCACCCACCAAGATGTTTCCTTGCCAAATAAAACATGGTCGTTATTATTCATTGACATAATATTAAAATATATTATTCATTCAACATTTTTTAATTTGTATATTTACCTTTACTTATTGGTAGTTATTTTTACATTTAACTTTGCTTAATGAGAGGTAGCTGTTACAAATATATGTAACACTAGAGAATTCTTATCAAATATCTACAACATTTATTATATTGGTAGTTAATTAATTCTTCCATTAGTCTACTAAAATAATAGTATTCCTGAATTCTCACTTTATGAAGAGCTAAGAAATTATTTTAAAATATACATATTCAATAATAAAGTATGATGTAATGAAATAACAATAAGATTTACTTCCCGATTGATGTTTTGCAAATGGACAGAGAAGATAATCTGGAATGTGAAAAATTGAGAAAATGCAATACCAGGTTTTAGTTCATTTCTATGACTTTAAAATAAATTCAGATGAACAAGAAAATATGTATACAAAATGCCTTCCATGTAGTCAAGTTATATTGTTATGTCTAAAACATCACATTGAGGATATCACAATATTGTGATATCCAGCTTTCTCCTGTCCCTGGCAGCAGGAGGGAGAAGTGGGCAAGGAAAACAGGTGCACCTCTCAACTGAGCCAGCCAGTTTTAAAGAAGTTCTCTAAAATTCCCAAGCAATGCCACATGTTACTAGGCACTGCTAGTTGCAAACAGCTTAGAAAATAGTCTTCAAGTTTTGTAAAACAGTGTTCTGAATATATTTAGGGTTCTGTTACCAAAGAAAGAATGAGAAAATAGCTACAGGGACCACGTTATACTCACTATTAGAAAAGGCAAGCAGGGTAGGAGGAGATGTGTATTTATGGAATAGTAGTTTTGTTGAAATCTTCAGGGGCATTACAGAGAAAAGTACTCACTATGATATATGCTTTGAAATAGTTAAAACAAGCGTAATATATAAGACCATCAGACTCGACTGTGCAGATATGAGGGACTAAGAAAACAGACTTTGGTTCATACTGTGGAACTTCATAATGGAGATTCCAGAAAACAAGATTACTGTGGAAACATATCGAAGGTGGTTAAGTATGATTGATCATAAGGTACGTAATTAGACCAGATGTCTATTCCAATCCCTTATGTTTATTATTTTATTACATACTATATAACACAAGATTCATGTGGGGTTTAAGGGAAGTAGAAGGGCAATTTTGTGATCACTGAGTCTTCTTATTGAAACATATCAGTAAATGTTGACTGAGTTTAAAAAAATAACGTTTTATAGTACTTTACAGAATAATTCATGTTTTACATGGAAATAGAAGAAATGTAATAGTGGCCAGTGAAATTATATCACAAGTAAGAGACATCATTCTAACAACTTGTTTTCTACTTTTTTATACAAACTCCTCCACCTCTGATTTAAGTATTTTTATTATTTTATTAAAATACTCTATATCATATAAAACATTACTACTATTTTATATTTATAAATTTTACATGGCTTTGGTATTTATTTTTCAGAAAATGGATACCACATAAAGTGTTCCTGAAGTTTACATTATGTGTTGAGACATGGATTCAGTCAATAAGCATGTCTTGTGCATTTTAATTTTTCAAGGTCCTACATCAATGCTGTAAAATATGTCCATCCCATATGTGATCATCCTTACTAGAACATTCATGATTATTCTAAAAGCAGTCACTATCTATAAAACTGTCTCATTGTAGACTTACCAAACTTCACGATATACCTTCTACAATAACAAATAATATTCTAATGATTTCAAAATATATGTATTTCAGGAAATAAGAACATGTATCATTATGAATAATTTAAATAACTTTTAATGTATCAACAATGTTTGAAAACATCAAATGCAGCTCTGAAAAGCAAAAATAAATTGAACTAATTTTTTTCAAAGTTAGATTTTATAATGTAAAATTTCATACATATTAGTGGTAAGAAGCATGTATGATAGTGGTTCAGAAATCATCTATTTCACCTCTGTGTTTGTTATGAAACTGTATTTGATGATATCTTTACTAGTTCTACTATGGATTCCTTCCTCTGAAATTGAACAATGCCTTCTTTTCCACACAACTGAACATGCTTTTAATTTTCGTATTTCTAACTGTTACTTTTTTACAACCATTGCCCAATGTACTACATTTTATCGTTATTTCCTTTGCTTCAACTTGCTTCTTTCATTGGAATTTTATTGTTTGCTTGTTTTTTAACCATTGGAATTTTATTGTTTGCTTGTTTTTTAACCTATGGACTCACACATAAAGAGTTATATATTTTATTGAATTTATGTTTGGAGTGGCTAAAAGACTATCAGCAATTCTAAAGAAATAATCATTTGGAGTATATAATGACATATAACTTTTGCATAAGAAAGAAGAAATTCTGCCTACTCTACCATTTCCACCATCATGCATATCAAAGAAAAATTGCTTTATAAGTTTTCAAAGATAAGTGGCTGTTTACATGAGCCACAAAATCTAGGAGAAATAAATATTGATCCCAAGTTAAAACTAAGCCAACAATATAATATAGAAAGCTACTTTTATATGAAATTCACAGTAAGACATTTTACAAAATATTCCTCTATTTCCTGGATTTTGTCTAATCATGTCCCCTGTGGACATAGTGATATATAATGTGACTCCTTCTTCACAGCCTGGAAACAATAACCGGTTTTCTTTCTTATTCTCTGCCATAAATACTAAAATGAAATACAACTTGTAGTTCTAATGTATTCCTCATTTATTTTGAAGTAGAAAACATGTTAAAATATATCAATCAACTCTGATCATATTGTGCCAGGTTTTCCTTATCCTAAATTACAGGAGTTTATCTTTTTGCTAAAACTCTACCAAAAAAATAAATGTCATTCTATACTAAAAAATTGAATTATAATAATGATTTAGAATATTATAAGAATCCAACAAACATTTGACAGTAAGGTGGTATCAAATTTTTCTCTGAATTTAATGGGAATTTTTTTAAACATCAAAAACTTCTGTCCTACTGTGTACCCTGCAAAACGGGCCTCAGTGAGAAAATACATCTGTAAAGTATGAGTCATGTAAAACCAGTTAAGATTACAACCTCGATGTATTCATACTTGAAACACAGTTTTAACAATAAATAACTTCAGAGACACCTGAGAGTAAATTGACATGTAATTCAAAAAGAGTAGATGTTATATGCCCATTAAAAATATCCTGAGGAGTTATTATATTCAAAGATAAAAATACACATCAATGTCCTTAGAAATGACAAAAGTAATAATTCTAAATGAACTCATTTGTATTAGTCAATTTTCACAATGATGTAAAGAACTGCCTGGGACTGAGTAATTTATAAAGGAAAGAGGTTTAATTGATTAACAGTTCCGCATGGCTGGGGAGGCCTCAGAAAACTTACAGTCATGGTGGAAGGTGAAGAGGAAGCAAGGTACCTTCTTCACAAGGCAGTGGAAGAAGAATTGAATACAGGAGGAACTGCCACACATTTATAAAACCATCAAATCTCATGATAACTCAATCACTGTGATGAGAACAGCATGGAGGAAACCATCCCCGTGATTTAATTACCTCCACCTGGTCTCTCCCTTGACACATGGGGATTATGGGGATTACAATTCAAGATGAGATTTTCAGGGGGGACACAGCCAAACCATGTTACAATTCAAAACATTTTAAATAATTTAAAAATTCAAACCATATTGCCAGGCTCAATGGTAACAGCAGAAATAGTTCAGATTTCAGGTAACATGGTTTATATCACTCTCTCAAACAAAGTGATAAAAACAATAGTATTCTAATGGGGAACAGCTGTTAAAGACACCCAGCTTAAAATCTAAATTGTCTCCATTTTCCATTTTTTCAAGGGTAATATCTGTGTTGTGATTATATTTTACTAAATTCAAGAATGCCATGTAACTGTTCCTTTTCTACTAGTTTTGCTTATTTACCATTTTATTCTACACCAATAAAGGAGTCTATCTGAAGAGAGCTAAAATTGATAGTTGTTGAGATAATATAACGCAACATTTGTTATTGATAAGCTGAAAGTAGGCCTTCCTGGGTTCCTCTTCCATAGGAGTTTATTGTACCTCCTTTTTCATTTCTGGGTAATTGTTCTTTGTTACAACTACATTAGAGACTTCATATAGACAGTTGTTATGGGCTGAATTGTGTCCCTCCAAAATTTACATCTTGAAGTGCTAATGCCAGTAACTAAAAATATTATTGCTTTTGGAGGTGAGGCCTTTAAAGAGGCCAACTCTATAAAATAATATTATTATGGTGGGCCTTAATCTAATACGGCAGATGTCCTTAGAAGAAGAGGAAATTAGGACACAGACAAACACAGATGGAAGACAGTATGATGATGCAATGAAAAGACGGTCATCTATAAGCCAAGGGAAGAGGCCTCAAAAGCAACAACCTTGCATACACCTTACACTTGGATACCAAGCCTTCAAAACTGTGAGAAAATTACCTCTGTCATTTAACCCACACAGTTTGTGGTATTTTATTATGACAGCTCAAGTAAACAAATACAACATTGTGTACTTTATAGTTTAAATATCAACCAAAAAAAGTGTCTGTAAAACTCTATCCACATATAATTTTAATACAACTTATATTTAATAAAATATAAGTAACCTTATATATACTTAATATATGTACTTATTTTCTCATCCAATACCAGATGTATTTCAAATGTAAGGTAAGATTGTGCATTCATTGTAAATTATATAATATATAATACCCATATAGAGGCTATGACAGCACCTGTAATCAATAACATTACTATATCTACCTAGAAACATACAAATATTCACACGAAATGGGATTGAAGAATATTAATCCTCATCAGTATAAGTGTTCAGTGACAGTAACAAAATCTTTTGGGTTTTCAAAGCTTTGGGAGGGTTCTCAAAATTCAGATTGTTAAGCTGGCTGTGGGAAAATCACTGCAGGAATCTGGTATTGGTCAGCACCTTCCTGAATAGGAAGTATTCAAGATTTAAACCCTATCTGTCATGAATAACATGACAGTCTCTGCACTACGCTATCATCCATTTGTCATCTCACCACGGTGCCTAGTTCATTGCCAGCTCTTGATCTTCCTTAAAACCAATACTGGACAGAGCCTTTGTTGAATAAAAATGAATGTACTAATTTTACAGAATTCTTGTGTTAAATTTACCAAAATTGAGGCCTTAAAGAACCACATATTTGTAACCCAAGATATGTGATCCACACTTTTCTTTGGAAGATGAATATCTGGTAAGACATGGAGAGGTGGTTTCTGTCATAGTGGGGTGACAGGGGATTCCTGGTCAACTGAGGGTCTTTAGTGTAAGATTTCTAAAAGTGTGTACTAGTAGCAAGTTGTGTTATAAATTTCTAAACAACATAATCATCAAGTTTGTAAAAACTATCTAACCCATCGGAATTTTTTGCAGAATTCTATCAACATTCCATGAGTCACTAGAGTTGCCAATATCACTTATTAGGACGTGACACTGTAGTTATTTTTTTTCCTACTAGCTTCCATATAAATCTACCCAATGCTAAAACTCAGGCATATTTCTGTCCTGCAAAAGAGTATTTCAACTGAAAGGAGATAATGAAGTGGGGAGAGGGAAGGTGTGGCACGATATTCTGTAACTTGAGAGATGAGGAAATTGCATCTCAAAATACCTTTCTCTGTCTCTCAAAATAAATCTAAGAACACACTGCTAAACATTTTTATCAAGATATAGAAACCATTATTACTAGTCATTCCATGTCCATTTCTATGTACACTACATATACTACATTTTATAACCTTTCATATCCAAAGTATTTTGTGAACCTATACAAGAGAAAACTATCTATAGGAAAATAAACTCTGAAAAACAATTAATTGTAAACTGCATCCTAATTTCAGATATGTTAAAATGTAACTAGATAAGCATCTGATTTTAATAATTTAATTGAAAAAGTTATGCTTTTATGATAAACATATGGTTTGGGACATATCTAATAAATGAATCTGACAGAAAACCCAATTTTATTCCTATATCTTGACTCAGAAATTAATCTTATTTCAGACCTCTAAGGTCTTTTTCATTCCATAGGAGAAGTCAAGAACTATATCCCCCAAACTTCTCTCTTCATAGTGCCCTAGGTTGGAGTTTGCCAGTGAGAATCACTGACATGGGATGTACACAAGAGAAAGAAATGGAAGCGTCCAATAAAATGTGTCCAGAAAGGATCAGCAAAGGACAGATGGGTTGTCACTGGTCATCAGATTTATCAGAAGAAACAATAAAATAGGTGGATCTACACAATATGCTTAATCATTAAATTATATTGTAAATAGAAAATATAAGGCACATAATATAATCTATAACATAAAATAATATATGTAAACTGAAAATAACTCCATATGCAAACTAACTCCATTTGGGAAAAGCAGGTACGTTATAAAGAAAAATAAAACTATACTTCTACTTTATACCACATAAAAATAAGTACATCCCAATCTTTGTACAACATTTAGTGTTTTTCCAGTAGGGAAGCTATTTGCATTTTATATGACAAATGATTAACTTCTCTAACAAATAAGGGGACTCTATAAGTTAAGGGAAAATTATTCAAAACTTAATATAAAAATGAGCCAAAAAAAAACAGGTGTAGAGAGAATTAACAGAGAAGGAAATATGAAGGTCTCAAAGTACTCTAAAATATTTTGAACCATAAAAAGATATATCATTTTTTAAAAAAGAAAATAACATTGTTTCCTTTTTTCTTTTTAACACAACCCAGAAGAATCTTTTTTAAAAAATCAACATTCTATTGAAAGACATCAATGACCTTTTGCTCATATTAAAGTCATTGATGGTTTCTCCTGACACAAGAAATGATCTCTAGAAAGAGTCACCACGTTTTTTCTACAAAGGTGCAGAGAGTAAATATTTCAGGATTTTCCAGCCATCCAGTCTCTGTGGCAACTACACAACTGTGCTGTTGTAGTGTGAAGGAAGCTGTAGACAATACAGAAATAAATGGGCATGGTTGTTTTCCAATAAAATGTTATTTATCAAAAAACAGGTGGCAGGTGACATTTGGTCCATGAACTATACTTTGCTGACCCCATGATCTATAGAGCATTTTCCTATAACATATTGCTAAATGACATGTTAAAGTTATGCCTACATTGGGCCACCAAGCAGCTGCATATGGTACATTTAAATATTCATGACACCCTTTTGAAATCCCTCATGAGAATTCTGTATATCTCTGCTTAAAACATTAAAAAAAAAATCTCACTGATCATACTGAATATGCGAGTAAATAATTTCAGTCATATAATCGGACTTATATTATCATGGGAATTACTTTATATGAAAAAAGGCACAATCGGGTTTGAATTAAATTAACTAAACATATCCAGTTCTTAGAATTTTATTGTATTATTAATTTCATTAATTATAACCAAATCTCATATATTTTACTTGCTATTTTTCAGCCTTTTATAACATTCCTTCAATCTACAGCCTTTTTTTTTAACTTTCTAAATTTCCAATTATGTTTCAAAAATTATATTTCATTTATATTTTTAAGGAGAGAAGCCTAATTTGACTCTGACTTTTTACTGGGAAAATGCTACTCGCTATATGCTGAATCAAAAGTCCACATTTCAGACAGAATTTTTGGAACAAAGGCCTGTTGAGAAAGAATACTCTTTGAGGGAGAATGACTGTCAAATTCATTTGCATTCTGAGTGTAGTTCAGGAAGTGAGGCAACCTGACCTAGAGTATGTGAATAATAGACATTTCAGTGATCCAAAAATCCAATGAATTAAAGTTTTGTTTTTTTGTTTTTCTTTTAGAGACAGAGTCTCGCTCTGTCGCCCAGGCTGGAGTGCAGTGGTGCCATCTCAGCTCACTGCAAGCTCCGCCTCCCGGGTTCACGCCATTCTCCTGCCTCAGCGTCCTGAGTAGCTGGGACTACAGGCGCCCACCACCACGCCCGGCTAATTTTTTGTATTTTTAGTAGAGACAGGGTTTCACCATGTTAGCCAGGATGCTCTCGATCTCCTGACCTCGTGATCTGCCCGCCTCGGCCTCCCTAAGTGCTGGGATTACAGGCGTGAGCCACCGCGTCCGACCATGAATTAAAGTTTTAAGTGATAAAGCAGAGACTCATTGAGCTTAACCCACACTAAGCCAGGGATATGTGCTTTTTAATATCTATATTCAGATCCAAAGTTCTTTAATGTATATTTTAAACTATTTTTCACAATAATCCTGTGAGTTAGTCAAAGCAGCATTATTTTTCTATTTTTAAGAGATCATATTCATATTTACAGAACTTGAAAATCACAGGGCTAGCAAGTAGCAAAGCTGAAATATAAACTCACACATTCTGCAAAATTTCACTGGTGATGTTATGATTTGAGTCCACCACAATTCTTATCTGCTTCTTTACTGGCCTGGATAAATTCTGGAACATTTTCAGAATTATCTAATTGATATTAAAATAATTTTTAATATTTTTAAAGAATATTATATCTCATGTTAACTTTCAGGTTAGAAGCCATCTCTTTACAATTGGGAGGAATAAGGGCAGCTTATTTGCTCACTCAGCTTCCAAAGCAATATCCATGAACTTAAATATATCATCCAAGTATCTGTATCGAGTTGAAGTAAAATAAATTTTGCACAAAGTGTCAGCTCCGCATCTAACATATATTAAGTTAAATAACATGTCTCATCCTTCATAACAAAGTCTATATCGCTTCCAACAAAAACTCCTATAAAGATATGGAAAGAATTGTCAATGCTATGGAAGAGAACCTTGGGAGAGAGAACATCATGAAAGTCTGGGAGGATTATACTATCGAAGATGCCATCATTGTTATAGAAAAAGGTGGGAAAGCCATCAAGCCCTAAAGAGTAAATTCCTGCTGTAGAAAACTGTCCAGATAATGTGCCTGACTTGACAGGATTTGCTCTAGAGCCAATCAATAAATTATGAAAGAGATTGTGGATATGGCAAAAAGGTGGGGGTGAAGGGTTTTGAGTTACGGATCTTGAGTAAATTCAAAAGGTAATAGACACTACACTAGAGAAATTAACAGGAGGCAACTGGATGGAGATAAGTGCTTCAGAACCAGCGCCAGGTGATAAGGAAGGAGACAGAGGAAACAGTGGCAGAAAAAGAATTGTCTTTAGACAATGTGGTAGAAGAGTTCCGATTATTCAAGACAGCTTCTGGCCTCTTTTATGACATGGACCCTTCTATGATATGGGTACTGAAACTGAAAGCAAATGGTGGAAGAAGGATTGGTATCACACAGAAGCACTTTTAGAGAAATGAAAAGGTCAGAAAGAAATTACAACGTACTTCCTCAATGTTACACTGAGTATGGCTGTCTTTCCTGCCTGCCCTTCCACGTTTTCCACCTGTGCTACCCTTGAGAGAGCAAGACCAGCCCCTCCTCTCCCTCCTCCTTCTCAGTCTACTCAACATGAAGATGATGAGGATGAAGGCCTTTATGATGATCCACTTCCACTTAATGAATAATATTTTCTCTCCTTATGTTTTTAAAATAACATTTTCTTTTCTCTAGCTTACTTTACTGTAGTAATAACAATTTATAGTACATAAAACATACAAAATATGTGTTAATTTATTATGTTAACAGTAAGGCTTCTGATCAGCAGTAGTCTATTAATCATTAAGTTTTGGGAGAGTCAAAAGTTATACGTGGATTTTCCACTGTGCAGGGGGTCAACGACCCTCACTCCCATGTTGTTCAAGAGTCAAATATATTTTCCATAATTCATATACTTTTAAATGTTAACAAGCCATTTCAACTATAAAAATAACACCATGATATTTTTCTGTGTCGTCAGTGAAAAGTTGAAGTGATGTAAGGAGAATAATAAAGAACTCAGAAGACAATTATACAGCTGATGTCAATGCTGAGCACTGCTTCTCCTATCAATGATTTCCAACTGCTTTGTGAGTTCCAGGGATCTGGTCAATCCTTCCAGCCTCCTTCACTGGATGAGGATGAGAACGAGTAACAGGACTGTAGGTTTCTGGGCTGTACTCCATCCAGTTCAATCTAGCAAGATTCTGAATATAATTTTGTTTGAAGGAAAATTTGAACCCCACCTCCCCAAAAATGTAATGTTTTATCTTCTACAGATCTGGCATAGTCAGTGGCAAACGGAATTGGTCCCTATCTCTGTGACTCTGTAAATAAATGCCATTTTTATTCCATTCTGTTGGCTTGTTTCCCATAAATTTAAAAGAACATAACAGCAACTTGCTGATTGTATTGATTTTACAACCTTGAAGGTGTTTTTAATCTGGGGAAAAGTAAACCATTATTAACAAGTTGTCACTTTCACAGCAGATAATTCTAAGTTACAGGATTTCATTAAGAAAAGAAAAAAAATCCCCTTCCAACAATGTGGAGTGCTGGAAATGTTATTTGTTTAGCCTGTTAATTTGTAATTTTCTAAAGGTATTGCATTTAAGGATTTTACTTGTTTACATTACATAAAAATTACATAATATTTTGAATGTTATTTATCTGAAGCTAATGCTCATCTATATATGTTCACTGGAGGAGGAAAAAAAGCAAATGATACATTTCATCTTAATGTGTCAAGACAAGGAGGTTCACTTACAATAAAAATAAGAAAAAAAAGGTTGAGTTACATAAATAAATGACGTATGAAAAGTGTAGCTTTAAATAAGCAAGTCAATGAATTCTGATTTTGATATGTTATAAGGTACTGGTGATCTAAGGAAAGTCTCCTTTAATTTAATCTTTTCATTGTTTTTTCTACTCTAACCAGAACTCAATTAGAACAGACATCTCTCAGTTCCCAGGTAACATGATTCACTGATGTTCTGCACTTACGTTAGAATTGCCCTGACTAGAAGAAAAAAGTGCTAAGGTCAGCTGTCCCATCCTGGTATTAATTTAGAGAAACAAAGCTTGTTCTTTCGTCTCATGGAAGGAGAATACCTCCCAGAAGGGCTGAAATCCACTCCTATCATCAAACATAATTTCAGATACCAATATGGTTGCTTCTGATAATGCTCCCTATCCTAGAATTGTGAAAAATTAGATTCGAACGATAGAGTTTGATCCTGAACAAGTGTTTGTATCCCAAATCACGGTTGATAATAGGAGAGAATTTCAGTCTCACTCCATGGTGTAAAGAAATTTAATCCAACATGCTGTTTCAGAGATCACTTTCTGAAAATACTAAACTGATATTTTTATTTCTTTCCATTGTGAAACAGATACCTGGGCAGTCATTCCACATGATGTGCCAAGGAAAGAGAGCAAATACCCCCTTGAAGCTGCATATGGCATGCTGAGCAGAAGAGAGCCTGGTGTCAGGGAGAAACTCAGAGTGGCAGGAACAGCAGGCATGCAAACCCATCTCTTCAAGCAATGTTCCTAGACAAAGTATAGGTGAGTTTGGAAGAAAAACAGAAAAATCAGGAAGTGATAGCCCAAGAGTCCCCTGTTCCCTTCAGGCCACTCCCATTCACACATGTACATTCTACCTTCTACCTACCCAAGACAGGTAAAGGAAAATCAAACTGGCCTTGAGCCTCATCTAATATGGCAGAAGAAGCACTTCATTTTGGCCCCCAAGAATTTCCTATGGGCCCTATGTGGCTACAACCATGTCCAAGAGCTTTCTTCCACCAACCCCATGAAAGGACCACAAGGTTGTAGATGGTGCTGATTGGCAAGCTGACCAGGGAGGTCACTGCAGCTGGATATCAGCAATCTTGTAGCCAGGGCAGCAAGGCCAGAATTAGGAATCTTTTCAAGGTCAGGAATGCCAACTACTCCCTTGGAGAGAGAGAGATGACAAAAGAAAATCTGAAAGACAAGGGCATCTGAAAAAGACTGAGTAAATTAATGGAATGGCCTGAGTTTATTGATCTAGATACCTTTTCTGCCCTACACATAGGAGAATGAATGGGAGTACAAATAGGTAATTGGGCATGTACAGTTACAATCTTTGTATGTGTGATTACAGCGTGTACATTAGTCACCACAATACAATGCTTTTCAAGGCTCATCTGGCTGATAATCTTCCAGAAAATAAAATTGTAAATTCTAGACAATCTGTGTGCCACCTGAGGATGTGATAGAGATAGTGAAGATGAGATATATTAAAACAATTCAAATTACTAATAAAGTATAAATTTTGTGAATAAGAGGTTTAATTTCTAATACTTTGGTTTCAACAAACCTGTTTCATGAACCGCTCTGGCAAATTACAAGACTATTTTTTATAAAAGAAAAAGGTCAGATCTTTGAGATAGTTTTTAAATAAAACTGAAGAAGAGTTCTTTGTGGAGTCTTAATGTTCTTAATAGTCTTTTTGTTGGTACTTCTTTTAACCATGTCTATGGAAGAACATAATGGGATAATTCTTTTGTCAAAAAAACAGATGTGATTGTGTAAAAGGTAAAAATAACCAATGCAGAAATATATTCAAGTTTGTTTTTGTTCTTTTCTGAAGATAAACTCTGCTTTTCTATGTTCATTTAGAAGTATAATTTTAAGACAATTGTTGATTCAGGGAAATAGGTATATATATATATATACGTACATATAGATATGTTTATATATATGTATACATGTATGTCAATAATGTATATTTAATATATGTGTATATATACATCTATATTTTTCTGGGTTTTTCACTCAATTCTTTAGAAGATAGAGTGACTTTTTCTAATAAGTAATAACAATTATATGAGGATCCCAGTATCTGAATGTTGGGGTTACATGTGCTATCTTTCCTGAAAACTGTTTTACTTATACAAACAAGCAATCCTTTCCTCCCAGCCCAGAATCCTTTATATGTAACAACTCATACTGATAAACGGTAATTTTAGCATAATTGGAGAATACGTAAAATAAAAACTTAATCATAAGGACTGTGGACCCTACTTTCAGTGTGTGTGTGTGTGTGTGTGTGTGTGTGTGCATGTGTGTGTGTGTGTGTGTTGGGAGGAGAAGTGTTATAGGGATTGTACAGCCATCAATAAGGGTCAGATTGTAAATAACAAATGGAACAGTCTACTTTCTCCACTCCCCACTGGTCTTGACCTTTCTAAACTCTTGCACAAACATGGAGATTGAATGCTTAAAAGAATAACGTATTTTACTACAGTATGACAGTAAACAAAAGGAAAAATCGATTTGGAAATTGAGCCATGATCTATTAAGCTATGCCTATTTGTAAGGAAAAATCTTGTCAGTGTAACTTATTAAAGCTTAGTGTTTCGAATTAGAAGAGCAGTTCAGCAAATGCAGAGGTGTACAGAAGCATAGTAACTTGAAGTGAATGGTAAAATGCTGCTTCTGTATATTGCCCTCCTCTCTCTGGGGTTGAAATCTTGTTGAAACTAACCATACATGTTACTTTTTACATTTATTATGAAAAACAAGAGGGAGCCCAAAATGCAACACCAATAAATAAAGGCAGAGTGAATAAAGATGAAAAAATATTGTATTGTTTCGAAGGGTTTGTAACATACTGTTCAACTCCTTTCTGATATTTGACCTCTGAAGATAAATAAAAACATGTTAATTTCAAATTTTACATCTTGTTTCATTTGCCTTTTCAAATATAAGGTGAGCAGGCAGTGATAGTGTGAAACACAGAATTTAGTATAAAAGGCATTGCATTTAAAACATAACATTGATAACTCTACTAGCTATTGGACCTTGTGATAAGATATAATCTGTGTTTCAGTGTTCTCAGTATTAATAGGAACAATAATATATGTCTCTCTGGGTTGAAATAAGTGCTAAAGGTATTCATGGATATAAAGTACAAGAAAACACTCTCAAATAGTAGCTATTCACGATTCAAAATTACAGCTTTGGGATATTTTTGTCATTTATCTTCACCTTATAACAGAGAAGTGAATACCACCTATTCTCTGCCATTAGAATTCTTGCAGAGTTTAAAAATAACAGATGTTTGACTTCCTCTTTTCCTAATTGAATACCCTTTATTTCCTTCTCCTGCCTAATTGCCCTGGCCAGAACTTCCAACAATATATTGAATAGGAGTGGTGAGAGAGGGTATCCCTGTCTTGTGCCAGTTTTCAAAGGGAATGCTTCCAGTTTTTGCCCATTCAGTATGATATTGGCTGTGGGTTTCTCATAGATAGCTCTTATTATTTTGAGATATGTCCCACCAGACGACATGATTGTATATCTAGAAAACCCCATTGTCTCAGCCCAAAATCTCCTTAAGCTGATAAGCAACTTTAGCAAAGTCTCAGGATACAAAATCAATGTGCAAAAATCACAAGCATTCTTATACACCAACAACAGACAAACAGAGAGCCAAATTATGAGTGGACTCCCATTCACAATTGCTTCAAAGAGAATAAAATACTTAGGAATCCAACTTACAAGGGACGTGAAGGACCTCTTCAAGGAGAACTACAAACCACTGCTCAATGAAATAAAAGAGGACACAAACAAATGGAAGAACATTCCATGCTCACGGGTAGGAAGAATCAATATCGTGAAAATGGCCATACTGCCCAAGGTAATTTATAGATTCAATGCCATCCCCATCAAGCTACCAATGACTTTCTTCACAGAATTGGAAAAAACTACTTTAAATTTCATATGGAACCAAAAAAGAGCTTGCATAGCCAAGTCAATCCCAAGCCAAAAGAACACAGCTGGAGGCATCACGCTACCTGACTTCAAACTGTACTACAAGGCTACAGTAACCAAAACAGCATGGTACTGGTACCAAAACAGAGACATAGATCAATGGAACAGAACAGAGCCCTCAGAAATAACGCCGCATATCTACAACTATCTGATCTTTGACAAACCTGAGAAAGACAAGCAATGGGGAAAGGATTCCCTGTTTAATAAATGGAGCTGGGAAAACTGGCTAGCCATATGTAGAAAGCTGAAACTGGATCCCTTCCTTACACCTTATACAAAAATTAATTCAAGATGGATTAAAGACTTAAACGTTAGACCTAAAACCATAAAAACCCTAGAAGAAAACCTAGGCATTACCATTCAGGACATAGGCATGGGCAAGGACTTCATGTCTAAAACACCAAAGGCAATGGCAACAAAAGCCAAAATTGACAAATGGGATCTAATTAAACTAAAGAGCTTCTGCACAGCAAAAGAAACTACCATCAGAGTGAACAGGCAACCTACAAAATGGGAGAAAATTTTTGCAACCTTCTCATCTGACAAAGGGCTAATATCCAGAATCTACAATGAACTCAAACAAATTTACAAGAAAAAAAAACCATCAAAAAGTGGGCAAAGGATATGAACAGACACTTCTCAAAAGACGACATTTATGCAGCCAAAAAACACATGAAAAAATGCTCGTCATCACTGGCCATCAGAGAAATGCAAATCAAAACCACAATGAGATACCATCTCACACCAGTTAGAATGGCAATCATTAAAAAGTCAGGAAACAACAGGTGCTAGAGAGGATGTGGAGAAATAGGAACACTTTTACACTGTTGGTGGGACTCTAAACTAGTTCAACCAGTGTGGAAGTCAGTGTGGCAATTCCTCAGGGATCTAGAACTAGAAATACCATTTGACCCAGCCATCCCATTACTGGATATATACCCAAAGGATTATAAATTATGCTGCTATAAAGACACATGCACACGTATATTTATTGTGGCACTATTCACAATAGCAAAGACTTGGAACCAACCCAAATGTCCAACAATGATAGACTGGATTAAGAAAATGTGGCACATATACATCATGGAATACTATGCAGCCATAAAAAAGGATGAGTTCATGTCCTTTGTAGGGACATGGATGAAATTGGAAATCATCATTCTCAGTAAATTATCGCAAGGACAAAAAACCAAACACCGCATCTTCTCACTCACAGATGGGAATTGAACAATGAGAACACATGGACACAGGAAGGGGAACATCACACTCTGGGGACTGTTGTGGGGTGGGGTAAGGGGGGAAGGATAGCATTAGGAGATATACCTAATGCTAAATGACGAGTTAATGGGTGCAGCACACCAGCATGGCACATGTATACATATGTAACTAACCTGCACATTGTGCACATATACCCTAAAACTTAAAGTACAATAATAAAAAAAAAAAACAGATGTTGGTGAGGATGCAGAGAAAAGGGATGCTTATACACTGCTGGTAGAAATGTAAATTAGCACATGGAAAACAGTATGGAGATTTCTCAGTGAACTAAAAATAGAACTACCATTAGTTCCAGGAATCCCACTACTGTGTATCTACCCAAGGGAAAATAAGCTGTTGTATCAAAAAGATACCTACTCTCGTACATTTATCACAGTGCTATTCACAATACCAAAGATACGAAATCAAAGTGTTCATCAGTGCATTATTGGATAAAGAAAATGCTTATACACACAAACATACACACACAATGGAATAATATTCAGTCATAAAAAATGAAATCATATTCTTTGCTTAGCATGGATGGAACTGGATGCCATTATCTTAGGTGAAATGACTCAAAAATAGAAAGACAAATACATGTTCTCACTTATAAGTAGGAAATAAACAATGTTTACACATGAATATAGTGTAGGATGATAGACATTGGGGACTGAAAGGGTGGGAGGGGTGTGAAGCATGAGAAATTACTTAATGGGTACAGTGTACATTATTCCAGTTATAGTTACACTAAAGTGCCAGACTTCACTATACAATATATCCACATAACAAACTTATTCTCATACCCCTTAAATCAACACCCCCAAAAAATCTGATGATCTGATTTACTGATTCAACTGGTCTTGGGTTGGCCTGGGCTACATCCATACACACACTCTTTCTTTCTCTCTTTCTCTCTCACTATACACACCTAGGTGGCCAGCACCTCCATGTCGACAAAAAAAATTGCCATCACCCCAGACCCAGAACCTGTGCACTTTTCCAGGAACATCCTTGAGAATAATGACTATACAGATGCCTAAAAGCAAGGATTAGTTTTGCCCATTTTTGTTTGTCACAACTCATCATTCAACATTATATTTGTGATATTCATCCACGTGGTTGTTGATAGGTGTAGATAATTCAATACTATTGTAATCCATTCACTAAATATGTTACAACTTCTATATTATTCTTCCCTGAAGGGCCACTGGGCAATTTCTAGATTTTGTCTAATAAGAATAGAGCTCCTACTACATTGAAGCAAATGGATGTTTGTGAACATGTATCTGTTGGATATGTTCCTAGTTTGGTTGAATTATTTGATTACATGGTATTCATAACATCAGATTTCACAGATGCTGATGATTTTACAAATTGACTATTTCAATTTACATTCCAACCAGAACTATATGAGAGGGCCAAAGACTAGTTTTTGTCAACACTTGGCATTTTTCATAGTTTTCATTTTAGCCATTTTTGCGAAAGTTTATTGTTGTTTCAATTTGCAGTTCTTGATGATTTGTAAAATTGAGCAATCTTTCATCACTTATTGATCACCTGGATACGTTTTTTTTTGTAATGTCTATTCAACTCTAATTGCCTATTTCCTATTGTCTTGACTATCCTTTTATCTTAACATTATGTAGTCTGCGCGTGAGGTGTTTATTCTTCTTGCTGTTGTTGTTAGATATCTGTATTATAAATATTATATTCTACTCTGAGGACTACCATTTTAATCTCTTCATAGTATACTTTGATACTGAATTCCTTATTTGTAACATGTTGTAAAATATGTCAGGTTTATTATGTTTCCTTAGTCCTTAGTGCTTTTTGTGCACTCTTTATATATCTATTTAACAAATATTTTATGTGTTTTCTTGTGAAAGCTCTACTATTATTCTTAAAATTAGACTAGAGTGTCCAGAAACAAAGCAGCAAACAAAATTCTGTTATATTGGAAACTTTGTCTTGTCTAATATCCCACTCCCTTAACTATTCCAACTATTTTTAAAACTTAAAGTCTATTTTGTAAGGCCTTCAGCTTAAATCTTATTTTTCTTCATTTGTATTGCCTATTTTTGCCTCTCTGCTCTTCCATGTAAATTTCAGAATAAGTTTATCTATTTCTACCAAAAAAAAGCTGGCATTTTAATTTGGACAGTGTGGAATCTATAGATCATTTTAGGAAGAATGGACATCTTTACAATATCAAGAGTTCTAACCCATCAAAATGGTATATTCTTCCATTTACTTAAGTATTCGGTAATTTGTCTCAATAATGTTTATAATTGTTATCTTAAATTATTGATTTTGTGCTCATATTTAAATAGATTTATTTTAAATATTTCCTTTTTTGGACATGTTTATGGAGATAAAATTCACCTACCATACACTTTATCCATTTAAAATATATAATTATTACATTCAAACATGGTGAATTGTGCAGCCATCACCACACTCAAATTTAGAATATTTTCATGAAAATATGAATGAAAATCCATACCCACTAGTAGCTACTTTACATTAAAGCTTAGATAACCACTAATCTACTTTCAGTCTCTGTAGATCTACATATTTTACACATCTCATATACATGGAATCAAACAATATGCAATCTTTTGTGACTGGCTTCTTTTACTTGAGTTTAAGATTAATACACTGAGGTCCAGACATAGGTTTCTGGCCTCCATTGTGAAGCACCCAGGAGTGCCCCTAAACATCCCTAAACAATGACAGCCATGAGAAGCCCAAAGCAAGCCAGTGGTCCTATCTTTAGTTTCTGGAGAGCACTTCCTGTGTCCTCTGGCAGAAATGTTTCAGCTCCATCCCCAGTAACCAGAACAACAGCTGGAACTTCAATTTCAGAAGACAAGAAGCATATATTATGCAAGTGAGTAACTGAGTGATGGTGACCAGGTCTAATTCCCTTTCTATATTTTGGATCCTGAAGCTATTGGCAACACAGAAACACATATTGGCTGTTTGGTCACTACTCCCCATAGGCTACAGCCCCACATATTGTAAGATGTTGCCTCAAACTGTCATCTTAGGTTGGCTTTAAATAAATCTTTCCATCATCCTCTCTGCTGGGCTCTTTCCACTGGACACTCATGCACTGACATCCACACTTCCCCAGTTAAGAGTTGCCCCAGAGAGTATGGAATCCCCATACATCTGACTTATGCCATGGAAGGAAGTCCAGTTATCTGTAGCTTTGGAGGGAGCCCCAGGGCACCACAACAGAGCTGTCCATGCTTGGTGGGGGATACTACCAAGTGCACAGAATCGTCCAACAGAGCTGCCCTGACAACAGGTGGGCACGTGGCATGGTGCACCAAAGGTGGCTTTTACCGTATATATTTTGTTTCCTCCCTTGCTTAAAAGCTCCATGAACCGAAATTTTCTTTATTATGTTCAATATTTTACCCAATAAGTACTATGATGCTTGGCAAATGGTAGATTTCAATTAAGAGGTACTCAATGTATCACTGAATTAATTTATTTGTGAGTAAGCATGGGACTTCTTTTGGTATATTAACTATATGAAACATAACATTAAGCTCATTAAATGATAAAGTTTACTCTCTTCTTAAGGTAAATATTAGCACTTCCACAAGGTAGGAGTTAGTGATGATGTGGTGAATTTCATTGTTTATTCCAGATGACATTTTTCATCCTGTCAAAACATTAGACAGATTGTAGGTAAGAGTCTGATGAAATGAAGACTAAGTACCGGACATGATGTTTATTCACTCAGAATCAATTTACCTTCCCCCTAAAGGGGACATTCTATTTTATGGCAATGACTGATGATTGAAACATTTAACATGATATAGTCACGAAAATGACATGTTTTATTAATAATAAAATTTATGGTGAAAGCATATAACAGCCACTGACATTCTGGAAAAGTAGTAATTGTTTTTACATTAAAAATAATATTTAGATGCTTTCCTCATAATCGATTAGTAGAGTGCTTAAATAAATTTATTCATATACCTAACAATAGATATTTGAACTTCATATTATATCTGAAGGATTAGAAATAATTATAAACTGAAAGTTGTGCTATCTCATAATGTAAGCTGCATTTTAAACCAAAATTCAGTTACCAAACTATTACCTATACAAGTGTTTAGTCTAGATACTCAAATTCACGCCTAAATTAGTAATGAGTTAAAAAAGAAGAAAAAGTATCATGAAATAAAATTTTTCACCAATACACAAAAAACTTTTTGAAGAATGATTATAATAGATGTTGTCCACTCAGGAAAATATACTGAAATAGGTAAATCACACTTACATTAGGTTTTATCCTTAATTTTATATCAGTAGCTAATATACTAAATATTATCATTTCATTAAATCCTAAATTTAAATATTAAATAAATTTACTGTCTAAATGTTTTACCATTGACCTTTATTTTCAGCTCTTTGATAAGCATATTGAATTGCCCGTTTGAGACTTGTATGTACGATGTCACGCAAAGACCCAAATTTATTCATCTTTAATTCAAGAATAGAAAGTTCAGCTATAGTACCGGGCGAGTGGAATTTATGATGTGAAGATGGATCTCATCTTGAAATGGCAGCCGCATCTCATCTTGAAATGGCACTGAACTTACATTCACGCTTACAAGCACCTTTACTTGCTCACAAATATGAATCAGATACATTTATCTTTGACAACAAGAGAGAAAGAAATACAGCAATCAGTGTAATGTGCATGCAGCATCTGTTGCTTCTGTGCCAGGAAACACAACCTTCTCTCCTCAAGAAATACACATCATAGGCGTCTAGAATTTTAGATCTTGATTAGCCTCAGTATAGCCCTTTCTCATCTTTTATTAACAGTTATTTGATCTTAAATCATATGCTCCTATCACTTACCTAGGAATGGAGAGTAAATTGTTTCTGGGTAATATTGCTCATTATTAAGCATATAATTTTACAGATAACCTTTGGAAGATAGGATTAGCGAATTGAAATTTCTGGTTGAAAGGCTTATGCGTTTATAATTTCAATGCAAATCTCACAACTGTCTTAGAAAAAAACTTTGTATGTATAGTCAGCAACATTTCTCTGAAACTTTGCTGACACTGGGCATTGTTGAGCCTATGTAAATATTTGTAATATTTGTAAATATTTGTAAATATTCAAAGTGTCATTTAAAATATTTTTAATTTAGTTGACTAATGATAAGCATTAGTCCATTTTTATATATGTACTGGTGGTTGTTTTCACGTTTTAATTAAAACCCCATTCATTTTTTTTCTAGCTTTTGTATATAAGTATAGCATATTAAATTTTTTCTCTACTGGAAGTGTATCTCCATCTATTTTGCAACTTAATGCCCTATTTTCCTTCAATGCCTACGTTAGTCATTCTTCACTCACTTATTTACTGTACCACACTCCAAACCTACCAAAAAAAAAAAAAAAGAAAAAAATGTTTAAGAAAAATTAAAGATACACTTCAATTTTAAAGTCTCGTCTTCTTTTTTCAGCTCTTTCTTAATTCAGGTTCTTATCATCGCCTATACCCTTCCCTTGTCACCTCTGACCTCTCTCGCTGTATCTAAAATCAGGAACTATAGAAACAGGGTGACATAAGCTTTTCTCCCTAAATACTCCTCCTGTCTTCCGATTTCCAATGAAATTATCGAGACATGCTTTTGATGTGCAAGGAATTTCAATGTTTTACCCAAGGTAGTAAAGAAAGAATCATATTAATAAAAGAGTGGTCATCAGTCATCATCTAGTTCTTTTTTTTTTTTTTTCTGAAATGTTCAACATGACCTACTTCTAAAGAAAACTTAGAGAAAATTCCTAACGTAATCGCACTGCTTAACTTAGAAGGGTCTGAATAGCAAGACTGGACACAAGAACAGTTGGCAGGAAATTTTGTTTCCTACAACACAATTCGTTGTTGCTCTTAGCATGTGCACCCACAGAAGTCCAGTAGCCACATGGTGGATTTTAATTCAGCCTCATATTTGGCCTATATACTTATGAAAGTCAGAGATCAGGTGATTGATTCATTCACCATAACAAAAATTTCTCAGGTTGAACTAAAAGCACTGTTTGCCTACTGTCTACAGAAACTTTTTAGAGAGGGGACTGGGGGAAAATGGCAAAATAATTTATTTCTAGGGAGAGTAAAAGCCAAATAAAATGCATTCTCTGTGGTAATTATTACAATTGTTTGACCATAGTTTGAGTTGTTTCTTAGGTATGTGGTGTGATCACACACCTCTTCCTGCATTGAGGCTGGGTATTAAGATGCTACTTATCAGTTAATGAACTATGGGCAGGAGTGTCACATGTCACTTCCAGGAAGAAGCCTTCAAGCATCTGCATGGTTTTCTACAGTAATAATGGAAGCATGTGATGAGATGGCTTCTCCATCAGCCTGGCTCCTTGAGTGGTTGTGATAGGCAGGGTCCATTGACAATCAGCACTAGACATGTGGTGTGCGTGTGACATATATCTCATCATTAACTACTCGTAGGATTTTGGAATAAATTTTGACCAATATAGTCCCTTTCTTAAATATTAATTTAAGCAATTGAGGACAAAGTTGAGTTGACCAAGATATGTGAACATCAAGAATGGGTGACACAGGGAGACTTCATCTCAAAAAAAAATTAAAAAATTAAAAAAGAATATGGAGGTGTGGTATAAGAAATAGAAAAATTGATATAATAAAAAAGTTGTAATTTAGTCTTAAAATAGGATTTAGATTGTATGTCATACTTAGAGATAATTATAGCATCTTTTCTGCTCTCTCCAACGACAATAAAATGTCCATTTCTAAGGTGTTAAAATTAGAGACTACATTACCTAGCCTCCCTTACCCTCTGGCTTCTGAGCATCCAGAGAGAACATGATCAAGACACTTCTTTCCTCTCTGCTTTCTCTGGCACTGTGTTATAGCTGGCATGTATTCCTTTATGATAAGTAGTTCTCTAGTAGAAAGAACATTTGACAATGCCTAGAGACCTTTTTGATTGTCACAACTCTGATGCTACAGAAATCTAGTAAGAGGACACCGAGGATGCTGATATTTTACAATGTACAGGACAACTTCTCTCCCAAAATAACACCACACACACACACACACACACACACACACACACACACACACACACACACACACGAGACAGAGAGAGAGAGAGAGAATTATCCAATCCTAATGCAACAGTGCCACGATTGAGAACACCTGATCAATGACCACAGGTCCTTGTCAGGAGCCCCTTGTCCATGGCACCAGCTCACACACAGCTCTACCTCCTCCAACTTTTAAGCTTATTACAGGTAGTCATGTCTTCCCACTAATACTGGTCTCTGTGTGGCTCAGCAGCTTTCTTTGTTTTCTAAAGGCTAATTATACCTCCATATGTAATCCATTTATCAAAGTCTATTTAACTCTTCACTGTGTTTGCCATATTTGCTTGGATCCTGAATTATTAGAGTACTTGCCAAATGAATATGAACACTTAAAAAGGCTTTCTCGGGCCGGGCATGGTGGCTCATGCCTGTAGTCCCAGCACTTTGGGAGGCTGAGGTGGGTGGATCTCTTGAGGTCAGGAGTTTGAGACCAGCCTGGCCAACATGGTGAAACCCCATCTCTACTAAAAAAAAATACAAAATAGCTGGGTGTGGTGGTGAGCGCCTGTAGTCCCAGCTACTTGGGAGGCCGAGGCAGGAGAATCGCATGAATGCAGAAGGCGGAGGTTGCATTGAGCCAAGATTGTACCACTCCAGCCTGAGCAACAGAGTGAGACTGTAAGAAAAAAAAAAGGCTTTCTCAAATCGGATTGCTCATATATTTGGTTAGATGACTAACTGCAAGTAAATGAGAAACTGCTAATCCTAGACTTTTTGTTGCAGGTATAGGTCCTAGTATTGGGAGAGTATATCCCTGAGGTAGGTTTTAGTTATGGGCAGTTTTGATATGTAGAATGATTTTCAGATGTGCTAGCTATTCTGGCTAAAATAGGGAGTTATAGTATGAGATAAATCTAAGATATTTGACCACCCAAGTCAAAGCCTAGATGGACAAGGAGATATAAGAATGATAAAAAAGGTGGAGAAACTTAAGAAATATTAAGACTTTGCATCAATCGATTTTCATTATCCTTGACTGAAAATGAGGAAGAGTAAGTAAAACAAGAATAACAACGACAAAAATTCTTCCCAACTACTCAGTATTTTTCTCAAGATATGGATTGATGGTATTTGGGAGATGATATTTTCACTCATGGAGATGCATATGAAAAAAAGAAACAGATTTAAGGGACACAGTTTTTGATGAGTTCAATGTGGATATACTGAACTTAATGTTTGTGTAACATCACAGAATGTATGCTTGTGAATAGCTGGATATAAGAATCTGGAATTAAAGAGAATGATATGAGATAAATATGGAGATATGGGAGTCACCGGAATAAAAATAATCTTAATACCAACAAGTAGCAATTGCTAGATATCAATTACTGTTCTATGTGCCTTGTATAAATTAATGTCACTTAATCTCCACAGTAACAAAATGAGGTAGATAATATTATTGGATTACTATCCATCAGAAGAGAAAACTGCGACACAGAGGATTAAATGTCTTGCCCAAGCTCACAGATCTTGTAATTAATGGTGGTGAGATTTGTACCCAAGCAAACTGCAGGAGGACCCAGTCTCTGACATACAGTATGTACTGCTTCTTAAGACGTGGTCATTGAAACAATGAGAAAAGGTGATATCAACCAGAGAAAACTTCTTAAATGACAATAAAATGTCCCGAGACTGGAGTATTATGGAAAATAGACAATAAAGATACTGGCAGAGGATGAGGAGATTGGGAAAGGAATAGAAATGGACCCACCAGAAAAGTAACCAAAGGCTCGAGGGCCATGATGTCTAAGACAATTGTGCTCCCCAGGAGCAAGAGGATGGTGAGTTGGTAGTTTAAAAGCCATCAAATTAGGAAAGTGACCTGGAATATAAAAATAAAAGACATGGGCTGTGCTTCACATTTAAGAAGCTCAAGGATGACCTCGTTGTAGAACTGCAACAAGGTGAAATGTTGAATAGCCGAAGAGCATAGGGAATAATCATTAACAAAGGACTCAGGAGAAGCAGTGGCTTGCCTTTTTGAGAATTTGAGGTACAATATTTAAGAAGTCAATTAACCTTTTTCAAGTTCTGGACATAAACATTTTATTGTAAAATGAGTGTGATCCCCAATTTTCTTAGTCAGCCAGGCCTGATATAACAGAGTATCACAGACTGGGTGGCTTTTAAATAACAAAAATTAATTTCTCATAGTTCTGAAGGCTGGAAATGCAAGGCTAAAGTGTGAACAGATTTGGTGCTCATGGGACCCTCTCTTGGGCTGCAAACTGCCAACTTCTCTTTGTATCCTAAGACCATGAGAAGAAAGCTAGACAGCTCTCTGGGGTCTCTTTAATAAGGAAACTAATTCTATTTGTGAGAGTTCCACCCTCATGACCTAATATACTCCCAAAGGTCCCCCCTCCTAATACCATCACATTAAGGGTTAGGATTTCATCATATAAATTTTCGGCAAGCAAAAGCATTCAGTCTGTTGCATCAATGTTTTAATAATTTGTATAATTCAATTCTAAAAAAAGAATCTACATTAATATTACTATTATTATAATATTTTCTCAAAATTTATCTCTATAAAAGCATCTAGGAGTGGGGACAGCAGTTCCAGGAAGATATTTTACATTTTTGTACATTAGGAAATGCAAACTACTTGATGCTTTAAGAAAAAAACAAATAACCAGTTTATTTTGTTCTCTCCAACTTTTGTGGTAAATGGCTTGTGCAGGAAACAACAGATACCTCTGCTACTTGATATCTTCACTGGAAGATGAAAATGGCATAAATTATAACTTCAACCTTTAAAGGAAAAACACTATAGCACATTCTTGTAAATGAGTTTTGTAAATGATCAGCAACTAACATAGGAATTTAACATTTCATAAAATATTTTTAGAGCAGTTACCTTGAATTTCAAAGGTAAATGAACCTAGATATACTGAAATATCTTCTGATATTAAAAATTAGAAAAATTTTTTGGTTGTTTGTAACTTTTATTGCTTCTTCCCCAAAGTAATGTTTACAAACTGACATTTTGTACCTATGTTGCAGTAACTTTGGGATTAGGAGAAGAGATGAACTTCACACAGCATTCTAAATGAATGTCATAACTACAAATCCTGGGGGCAGAGAAGATCAAAAGCATTCCTTAATCTACAAATCAATTTTGATGCTCCAATAAATACACACCTTTCATAGAAACAACAGTGGCCTAAAAAGTGTTTTTCCTAAAAGCAATTCTACACACACACACACACACACACACACACACACACACACACACACACAACCTTTGGAATTGAACATAATGAAAAAGTCAGAATTATATTTTAAAAATTCCATTAGATTTAGCAAACATGTATTGCACAGATTTCAGTTACCCAATATTGTTTCAGTTCCTGATTTTGGTTCATAACTGAGAGGAAGAATTAGATTTGAAGAAATTAAATATAAAATAATGGGACAAAAAACCTAACAGAGTTATATATGATTTGATATAAAATATAAATCAATTTACTTATGGAAAGTTGCTGAAAATGTCTCCTGAAATTGTACGATGTTTTACAGTACATAAAACAATTTCCTCTGTATTATTTGCCTTTAAAGGCAACTTTCTTGGCTTGGCAATTGATAATGAAGGTGTATTGCACTGGTTTGTAATTTAAGGTTCAGAGTAATTTTGAGAGCTCTTGGAGATAACTTCCCCTCTTCCAGAAGACTCTTATGGACAGTAGTTGCTGCACCAGCACTCCTGGCTCTGCAGAAATGATGATATTGACATCACACCTGAGTCTCCCCAAGTGCATTAAGATATATAATATTATACTCTCTGCAACTGACTATTAGCATCATCTCTGAGTGACTTAACTTTCAACATAATCCTATAGTATTGCCTGTATTTTCCCTATATTGTTTTGTTCTTATTATAAAGTATATTTCCAGACTCTTATGCAATCTTAGCTATAAAACAACATTAGAACCGTATCATATTATAAATCATATCATAGCAAATCTAGAGATCCTTCTGCAGATACAGTCAAGAGAAATTAACTCATGATTTCAACATTCAAGTAGCATATGAAAGTAAACCCTACGATAAACTTACAATCATCTCTGCATTCAATACACATAAATTCCTAAGTATGGGTAATACTGATAATAATCAGTTATCTAAAATGTAAGTTTAAAATGCATACTTGTCCTGATGAAATTATTATACAGCCTGAAAAAATTATTTCGTCATTTTTCTGAGTTATTTTGTATTGTGTGGACCCAGACTGAAAGACTAATTATCATGGAACGTTACACTCAGGATCTAATTAATTTGGTTAACCAAAACCCATGGAAATTTGCATTGTTTAACTATAGGATATAAACATATACTTGGTCCCTCGATTACAAGTGACTCTTTTTCAACCCATTGTGAAATTAATGAGAACAGATATTAATATAGTACTTGTGACAGCAGCTAGGCAAACTGTCATGTTTATAAGAAAATCTTGAAAGCAATTCATGCAAATTGCAATGTAGCTTGTCATCTTTGGATCTTGTATGCTCTGGGCAGAGTCTATTACACTGGTACTGACAGGTTGCAAAAACAATAACAAAGAATGGTGTAACAAAAAATATTGGGAAGTATAAAAAATTTCAGAGAATGAAGAAGAAAAAATATAGATGTTGACAAATAGGACTTGCTAAAAATGATTTCAGTCTTTAAAGAAACTAGGGAAAGGGAAATAGAGATGAGAAGAGATAGCTTCTGAGGAGACAAAGTAATTAAAAACAAAGAGAAAGCAATGTTTATCACATAGAAGAAATGACCAGAAATGATTATGTTGTTGGTGAAAAGTGGGAGAGGGAATAATCTTTCATCTTTGCAATTAAAATAAATTACAGGGTTTAATTCTAAACAGGCTACATAAATTAAATCGTTGTCTGTACTCTAAGTAAATAAGTCATGAACTTAATTATTCATGAAGACAGTTACTATAAATAGATATTTCACAATAATTCACTGTAATTTTCAGAGCATTTATGTTTCTTTCTGTTTTTGTTCTGGAAAATTGGACAGTGAATACTGGCAAGCATCATACTCTAGAAAATGAAAGAAAATGTCCCTGAAAAATACGACATGGAACTTCTGTGGAGTGGAGGATTGAGTCATGTCTTTTCTGGAATAGAAAACTTTTTATTTTGTTTTGTTTTTCTTCTTTTTCCCAGCAGTGATATAAACTTACAGAATTGTTAGGTAGTAATGGTGAGGATCTTTTGTACTACTAAGTCCTAGAGTGTTCTGAGATCATGATATGCAAACACATGCTTTAGTTCACATCCAATATAATCAGAAAACCAGAAATAACACCCTATTAGAATTATCTTATTTGCCTTCACAAGACCACAGCATCTATGAGAGTCTTCATGATTTTAAGCCATGCAACAAGTAGATGGGCATGAATATCATTCCTCTTTCTTTCCTGGGCATTATCTCATGGTAGCTAGATTTACCAAATCCTCTTAATTTTTAACATAGTTTATCGGTACATTAGATTTTCATTTATTTATCCCTTCACTTAATAAGTATTTATTGAGAAATTAATATTAGAGTTTCTTAGTATACAATGGTGAACAAAACATAGTCCCTGTCTTTAAAAATAGGTAGGTCATGATCATGAAACCTTCCCCTATTGCAGGAGCATCCCTTAGGCCTTCCATGCTGTGTACCACATGACTTTATTCCTCAGGCATGTATGTGTGAACTACTGGCAGCAGCTAACCTAGGAGCTTTTGATACATGGCATGGCCAGTGTATCAAAATGCCTGGCCTGCTGTGCACAGACAGAATTATGATCTGAGCTTTTAGTGAGCTGGTGTCTTAGGATTGTGACATTTCTTCACAAGCGTTTCTCCAGCGGTATAACGCTTCCTCTACCCTTTATTTCCTTCCTTGGTTGCAGCATTCCCAGTTTATTTCTTTGAAGTTCTCATACTGTTTAATTTGTTTTGTTTTGCTTTATTTCTTGTTGTTGATGTTGTTTCATTTTTGCTTAAGTGAGACAGGATGGAATTAGAGTAACAAGAAGGTCCCTCTAAAAAGTGGAATAAAGCTCTGTCAAAATTTTCCCGTGTTATCACAAAGGCTCTGAAGTTATTTCACAATGAATTTTTTCTTCCTTTGTCCTTGCCAGATGCACAAGTGGATCTTTCTCAGATATTCACAGAGAGAAACTAATGAATCGCCTGCAGGTAAAGCCCACAAAAATGCTGGGTTCCCTTTAAAACTGCAGTCCACAGGAAATTCTCACACTTTCTTCCAACACTCTGCCTTGAGGAATTTGTCAAAATTAACATTAAAGAGTTTCAGCCAGTTATGGACTCAGTGGCTTCTATTTCAGGTAGGAAGATTTCAGATAGATCTCTCTGGATGATCCTGTCTCTCCAGATTTCCAAGAGGTAGTTTCCCCTGACTTGAATTATCTGATATGTAAAAAATAAGTCATTTATTTTCAGTTTCTCCAGCCTTTGCTTATTTTAAGGTGAGTGAGAACTTGTCAGCTGTTTATTTACATGTTGGAGCTGAAATTGAAAGTCCAAATGCTATTAGTACTATAATAATAATATTTTTAACTTAGCTATGTCAATGCCACATCATCCTATGTCAGACTTTATAGATTTGAAACATTGGGAATAACAAAGGGACAAATATAATTTAACCATAGTCACCATCTGTAGCACCATGGATATAAAAACTACTTACTGGGTGTAAAATAGGTGTAGAAATAAAGCACCTGGATCTTACTTCTTTATAGAAGTCATCTAGATAAACAGCAGAAATCAAGTATAGATTCAAACAGCAAAAAAAAAAAAAAATCTGAGAATTTTACAATTAAAATGTGTGGTATGTAAAATTTGAGAAATCATTAATTTGAACTTCAGATAATCACAGACTTCTTTTTTCCTGAATGTCTTGCATAAGTGTGAACTGTGTCTCAAAAGTGTCATACAAGGGGACAGACCAGCATATTTAAGGTAGCCTTCATCACAGAACACTTGCAAACCTCGTTCTTATGATTGAAAATATTTTAAAGGGCTGGAAAGTGCATTCAGTAAAAACCAAAGTAGACTTAATTGATCTACACCTTATCGCTGAAGTCTGAATTACCATCTTGTCAAAAGCGACTAGAGTCTTAGAGATAAAAGCTAAGAAAATTTTCATCCTCCAGTTATGATAAAGTCATAGTTCTCAAAAGTTGTCATATGTAAATCATGCACCATTTTATAAAACAAAGCTTAATGTGCTGTCATATTTAAAATTTTGAGGGGGGAAGTGCTTGTCTTGGGATTTTAACTTAGACAATTTTTGCAAAATTAGACTCACCTGGAAGCATTTTATTGACAATTTAATGATTGACTTTTCTTCAGATCATTCTACTAAGGGCAGAAATTTGAAGGTGAAAGCAACGTCGCTAATATTAAAAACAACTTTATCATTCTGAAAGGCAAGTTATTTCAAGCCTGAGTCTCTCTGGAAAACTTTGATAAAGTCATTTTGATTCTGGAACATGTTGTTTCTTGCTAAGTTTTGCCAGAGATCACCAGCTCTATAATATAGAAATTTCATTGAGTAATTAGGATTTTATAAGAAATTACCATCATAAATATCATATTTTATTGTTACTTTATGACATACTTACTATGTTCTATATTTGGTTTTAGATGTATTAATACTGAATATACCCTCAATATGGCATCACTACGAATTAGATTCAGTTAACCACAGCAAAAAGGAATAGTAACGTCAATTTAAATTTTCCTAGAATATTGTGGCAATTCTATGTTTACATTCAAAATCCAGTAACAAAAAATTGATTGCAAAACTCATCTACAATTTAGAATATGGGGAGATTAAACTAATTTTATCTCTAAATAAACTCAAAGTTGCATTTTAATATCAAAACTCATCAGTTCCCTTCCTGCTTTGGTATCATTAGCCTTTACAGCTTATCCCCAGAGAATGAAGAAATGGAAACCCTGAGCAGACCAAAAATGGGTTCCAAAACTGAATCAGCAAAACCAATCTACCCACCAAAAAAAAGCTCTGGACCAGATTTTTTTCAAAGCCAAATTCTGCCAGATTTATAGAGAAGAGCTGGTAACAATTCTACTGAAACTATTTCAAAAAATCAAGGAGAAGGAACTCCTCCCTAATTCATCCTAAAAAGTCAGGATCACCCTAATACTAAAACCTGGGAAAGACACAACCAAAAAAGAAAACTTCAGGCCAATATCTCTGATAAATATAGAGACAAAAATTCTCAACAAACTACTAGCAAATCGTATCCAGCAGTACATCAAAAAGTCAATACACCACAATCAAGTAGGCTTTACTCATGGGATGCAAAGATGGTTCAACATATGCAAATCAATAAGTGTAATTCAATACATAAACAGAATCAAAAGTAAAAACTATATGATCATCTCAATAGATGAAGAAAAAGCTTTTGATAAAATCCAGCATCCCTTTATCATACAAACTGTGAACAGACTAGGCATCGAAGAAATATACCTAAAAATAAAAATAGCCATCCATGACACATCCAGAGCCAACATCGTACTGAACTGACAAAAGCTCAAACCATTTTTTTTGAGAATGGCAACAAGACAAAAATGTCCACTCCCAACACTCCTATTCAACATATTATTGAAATTTCTAGCCAGAGCTAGAAGTCGTCCAAATAGAAAAAGAAGTCAAACTATCTCTCTTCACTGACAATATGAATCTATACCTAGAACATTGTAAACACTCTGCCAAAAGGCTCCTAGAATTGATAAACAACTTTGGTAAATTTCAGGATACAAAATCGTATACAAAAACCAGTAGCGTTTCTAGACTCGAATAGCATTCAAGTTGAAAGCCAAATCCAGGACACAATTCCATTTACAATAGCAACACACGCAAAATAAACTACCTAGGAATAATTGTAACTGAGGAGGTTAAAGAGCTCTACAAGAACTACAAAACACTTCAGAAAAAAAATTATAGATGATACAAATAAATAGACAAACATTCCATGCTGACGGACTGGAAGAATCAATATCATTAAAAAGATCATGCTACCCAAAGCAATCTACAGATTCAACACTATTCTTATCAAATGCCAATGTCATTTTTCACAGAATTAGAAAAAAGTATTTTATGATTCATGTGGAACCAAAAAATAGCTTGGATAACCAATGTAATCCTAAACAAAGAGAGCAAAGCCAGAGGCATAACATTACCTGACTTCAAACCATACTATGAGGCTACAGTAACCAAAATAGCATGGTACTGGTACAAAAACAGATACATAGACCAATATAACATAAATATAGCCACACACATACAGCTATTTGATTTTTGTCAAAGTCAACAAAAATAAGCAATAGGGAAAGCACTCCCTATTCAATAAACAGTGCCGGGATAGCTGGCTAGCCATATGCACAATCATCAAGCTAGACTCCTACCTTTTCCCATATACAAAAGTTAACTTAAAATGGATTAAAGATTTAAATGTAACACCTGAAGCTATACGATTCCTAAAAGAAAACTTAGACAACACCATTCTGGACATTGACCTTGGGAATACATTTACGACTAAGTCCTCAAAAGCAACTGCAATGGTAACAAAATTGACAAGTGGGACCTGGTGAAACTAAAGAGCTTCTGCACAACAAAAGAAACTAAAGAGAGAGTAAAAAGACAATCTGCAGGATAGGAGAAAGTATCTGCAAACTACGCATCTGACAAAGGTCTAATATGCAAAATCTATAAGGAACTTAATTCAACAAGTAAAAAGCACATAACTTCATTAAAAACTGGGAAAAACATATGAATAGAATCTTCTCAAAAGAAGACACACAAGTGGCAACGAACATAGGAAAAAAAAAGCTCAACATCACTAACCATCAGAGAAATGCAAATCAAAACCTCAAAAAGATACCATCTCACACCCATTAGAATGGCTAGTATTTAAAAGTCAAAAAACAGAGAAGATGAAGGCTTTAGAGAAAAGGGAATGCTTATACACTGTAGTTGGGAATATAAATTATTTCAGCCATGGTGGAAAGCAGTTGGGATAATTCTCAAAGAACTTAGAACTACCATTCAACCCAGCAATCCCATTACTGGGTATATATCCAGAAGAAAATAAATCATTCTACCAAAAAGACACGTGTACTCTTCACAGTAGCAAAGAAATGGAATCAACGTAGGTGCCCATCAATGGTAGATTAGATAAAGAAAGTGTGGTGCATATATACCATGGAATACTACATGGCCATAAAAAAAAAACTTGTCCTTTGCATCAATATAGATGAAGCTGGAGGCCATTATTCTAAGCGAATTAATACAGAAACAGAAAAACAAATATCACGAATTCTTACTTATAAGTGGGAGCTAAACATTTGGTACTCATGGACATAAAGATGATTGCACTAGATACTGGGGACTACCAGAAAGGGCAAAGGGGGAAACTACCTATTAGGTACTATACTCACTACCTGGGTGGTGGGATCAAGCATACCCCAAACATCACCATCACACAATATATTCATGTAAAAAACCAGCACATGTACCCACAGATCTAAAATAAAAGTTTATTATTTTTTTTTAATTTTTTAAAATTTTAATTTTTAAAAATTTAAAAAAGAATTGTTCTATCATACGTATTCTACAAATTCAATGGGAATCAGCTGGAGAAATTTCTTGAAAAATACAACTAATTAAATTGATCCAAGAAGATATAGAATGTCCATTTCTATATCTAAAAACATCAAAATAAATTCAACAAAACACTCCAACTAGGAAATCTCTAGGAAATCAACTAGGAAAGGTAAATCTGACATCCAAGGGAGAGGTGACAACATTACTGCATGTATATATGTATAAGTTTGTTTTTCTGGAGAAAAATCATTTACCAAATTGTTTTATGAAGGTAGTTCATGGCTAATCCAAAATCTAATAACACATTATACAATAAGAATAAGATAGGAAGAAAGGGAGGAAGAGAGAGAGGAAGGAAAGAAAAGGGAAGGGAGTAAGGCAAGAGGGCAATATAAAAGGAAAGAAAAGAGGACGGAAAGAAAGAAAAAGCAAAGAAAAAGATAAAAATATACACGAAATTCATAATACCCCTCATGCCTTTGAGGCAACGTTTATTTTCTTCATTCTTTTTTCTCTCTGTTATTCAGCTTTATAATCTCTTTCAATCTATTCTCAAATTTGCTTATCTTTCATCACCCATTCTAAGTCTACGTTCAAGCCCTTCTCATGAATGTGAAATTACTATAATACTTGTGGGTTTGTTTCATAATTTCTATCTCTGTATTGATATTAGCTCCTCAATGCAACATTGTCATCATCCCTTCCTTCTCTTCTCTGACCATACTTACCTTCAGTTCTGTGAACATATTTATAATGGCTATTTTGAAGTCTGTTTCTTTCAAATCTGGCATCTGGTTGCTCTCACAGGCAGTTGTGTAGCCTGCAATATTTTTTCCAGTGTAAACTCCATACTTTCCTGTTTATTTGCATGCCTCGAAATCCTTTGTTGGAAACCTGACATTTCAGTATACTTTCTAGCAACTCTGGGTACTGATATTCTTTGTTCCAGGACTTGGTTTTGTTGTTTATTTCCTAATGACTGGACTAGGCATATCATTTCTGTGAAGTACATCCCCCCACACCTATACAGTGTTAAACCAGTAATGTTAACACACAAGTAGGCATCTCTTTAGAGATACTCACAGGCGCTCTGGGAAGACATTAGTGCAGATCTCTTATCTCTATTCCTGACTAGACATGGCTGCTAAACTCCATTAATTGCTTCCTCCTTGTTCTAATAGTCTCACCAATGAACTGGGGCATAAATTGCTCCACAATCGAACCCAATTCAATTTTGGCTACTTTGAAGAAACAGTTTCTGATGTCTGTGTTTGATATTTGTTCTGACTCCATAACGGTCCCCTTCAGCTATCCTATTTGCTATTCCCTTACTTTTCTTACTGAATTTTCACAGATTTCCTTGTGTTTCTCCATTGCCATTTGCCTTTAGGGTCCAGAGCCTTATGATTCACTGGAAAGTGAGCCAGTGAAGTTCCTTATGCTGTCATGACAGTAGTTTATCCTCAAGAATGCCAGATAATTTAATGTTCAAAATCAATCAATACATTTACAATATTAAAAAATGCAGAAAAATATAATTCAACACCCACTCATGATTTTTAAATGCTGAATACACTAACAATAGTAAGAAACATACTCAACTGATAATGAACATTATAAAAATTCAATAGCTAATATAATGTACAATGATAAAAAAAACAAAGTTGTTTTCCTCTGATATCTAGAAAATTATGCTAGCTTTCACACTTCCCACTCAGAATTTTACTGGTTGTTCTAGCTATTATAATCAAGTAAGAAATTAAAATAAAATCTATAAAATCCATAAATTGTCAAATGAAACTTTGTTAATATATTTTTACATAGAAAATTCCAGAAATATGGAAATTAGTTCAAAAGGTAATATATAAATTTAGCAAGGATATAGAAATGATCAATAAAAACAATTGTTCTTATATACCAGCAGCAGACAATTTAAATATTAAAAATGACCACTTACAGGATTGCTGTAAAAAATACAGAAACATATCTAAGACCTCTGCGTTGAAATTTATAAATCAATACTAGGATAAATGGAACAAGATCTAAACAAAGAAATATACAATGTTTAGATATCAGAAAAATTGATTTTTTTAACTTTATGTTCAGGGATACATGGACAGATTTGTTACATAAGTAAACATCTGTCACCTGTCATGGGGGAATTGTTGTACAGATTATTTCATCATCTGGATATTAAGCAACTGGTTATTTTTCCTGATCCTATCCCTCTTCCCACCCTCCACCCTATGAAAGGCCCCAGTGTGTGTTGTTCCCTTCTATACATCCATGTGTTCTCATCATTTAGCTCCCACTTATAAGTGAGAACATGCGGTATTTGGTTTCCTGTTCCTGGGTTAGTTTGCTAAGGATGATGACCCCAAGCCTCGTCCATTTTCCTGTAAAGGACATGATGTCTATTTTTTTTTTTATGACTGCATAGTATCCCATGGTGTATCTGTACAGTTTCTTTATCCAGTACACCATTGTTCGACATTTAGGTTGATTCCATGTCTTTGCTATTGTGGATAGTGCTGCTATGAACATATATGCGCATGTATCTTTATGATAGAACAGTTTATATTCCATTGGGTATATACCCAGTAATAGGATTACTAGATCAAATGTGAGTTCTGTTTTTAGGTCTCTGAGGAATCACCACACTGCTTTACACAATGGTTGAACTAATTTACCCTTCTACCAACAGTGAATAGTGTTCCCATTTCTCTGCAACCTCACCAGCATCTATCATTTTTTAAAATAGCCACCTGACTGGTGTTAGATCTCATTATGGTTTTGATTTGCGTTTCTCTAATGATCAGTGATGTTGAGCATCTTATCATATGCTTGTTGGCCAAATAAATGTCTTCTTTTGAGAAGTGTCTGTTTATGTCCTTTGCCCACTTTTTAATGAGGTTGGGTTTTTTTCTTGTAAATTTTCCTAAATTCCTTATAGATGCTGGATATTAGACCTTTGTCAGATGCATAGTTTGCAAAAGTTTTCTCCCACTCTGTAGGCTGTCTCTTCACTCTGCCGATAGTTTCATTTGCTGTGCAGAAATTATGTTGTTTGATTAGATCCAATTTGTCAAGTTTTGCTTTCGTTGCAATTGTTTTTGGCGTCTTCCTCATGAAATCTTTGCCCTTCTCTATGTCCGGAATGATATTGCCTAAGTTCTTTACCGGAGTTTTCATAGCTTTGGGTTTTATGTTTAAGTCTTTAATCCATCTTGGGTTGATTTTTGTATATAGCATAAGGAAGGGGTCGAGTTTCAATCTTCTGCATATGGCTAGCCAGTTACCCCAGCACCATTTATTGAATAGGGAGTCCTTTCCCCATTGCCTGTTTTTATCAGCTTTGTCGAAGATCAGATGGTTGTAGCTGTGTGGCCTTATTTCTGGGCTTTCTATTCTGTTCCATTGATCTATGTGCCTGTTTTTGTACTAGTCCCATGCTGTTTTAGTTGACTATAGCCCTGTAGTATAGTTTGAAGTTGGGTACGGTGATGCCTCCAGTTTTGTTCTTTTTGCTTAAGATTGCCTTTGCTATTAGGGCTGTTTTTTGTTTCAATATAAATTTTAAAATAGTTTTTTTCTATTTATGTGAAAAATGTCATTGGTAATCTGATAGTAATAACATTGAATCTATAAATTGCTTTGAGCAATAAGGCCATTTTAACAATATTGATTATTTTTCTTTATCGAATATTTTTCCATTCGTTTGTGTCATCTCAGATTTCTTTCAGCAGTGTTTTATAGTTCTCATTGTACAGATCTTTTGCCTCCCTGGTTAGCTTTATTCTTAGGTATTTTATTTTTTTGGAAGAATCAATATTTTTAAATGCCAATTCTCCATAAGTTGATCTATAGATTCAAAAATCAATCTAAATCAAATTTCAGCAGGATTTTTGGTAGAAATGGCAAGAGTTCCTAAACTTCAAAAGACTGAAATTCAGGGTCTCAAGACTAAACAACTAAGACCAAACATGTAAACACAGACCAATAAAATATAATACAGAATTCACATTCATGGGCTATTTGAGTTTCAACAAAAGCATGAATATGTTTCAGGACATGAATGTAATTTTTTAATTGTATAGCATCAACTGTATATTCTTATGGAAAGTAATCATCAAACATTAACTTTCAACACACACACACACACGCACACTCATACTCACACCTGAAATAAATAATACACCTAAATGTAAAACCTAAGAATATAAAACTATGAAATACAGAGATGAAAATTGTTACCACATTCATATATGGAAACAATTATTAACTAGAACAAAGATGTGAAAACTATAAAATTTTTAAAAATAGATAAATTGGACTGCATGAAAATTAAAATTCAAGAAATGAAAAGGAAAACCACAGAAAGGAAACAAATTTATAGAAATATAAATAACTCTTACAACTCAGTAATGAGGATTTAAATAGCTCGATATAAATGGGCAAAAAGATCTAAATTGACATGACACATAAGACATTTGCATTGCCAATAAATCCATTACAGTGTTCTGCATATTAAGGTAAATAAACATTAAAATTACAGTGTGAGGCCCCTTCATATCCATTAGAACCATTAGAATGGTTAAAGTTTAAAATGCTGGCAATACGTAGTGGTGACAAGTATGTGGGCAACTGGAAGCCTCCTATACTGCTGGTGAAAATGTAAAATCATACAACTATTTTGAAAATCAGTTTCTTACAAACCTTACATGCACATTTACCATAAGACCCAACAATTCAACTCCTAGGTGTGTTATTTTAGTTAAATGAAAACATCCACATAAAGATCTTTATGAAAATGTTTATAGTCATTTTTGTAATAACAAATAGAGCCTTGCTAAATGATAAAAAGCAATGAATAATGGATAAACAATTTGTGCTATATCCATACAACACAATCCTGTTAAGCAGAAAAAAAAAAAAAAAGAACTATTACCACACGCAGCAGTACTTATCAGTCTCAAAATTATGTTGGGTGCAAGAAGCCAGATTAAACTGAGTATATCCTGTATTAATTTGTTTAGATAAAATTCTATAAAACAAAATTGTATACATATTAAAAGAAAGCAGTTCAGTGGTTTCCTGGAAATATAGGTAAAGGGAAAGATTACACAAGTACGCTTTTGGGCTAAGGCCTTATTTTGACCATAATGATGATTTTGCAGTTATAATCATATATCAAATCTCAACAAATAGGAAACATTAAGTATATGCAATTATATATCAATTATAACTCTATAAATTGGTGAAAACTATTTCCAACCATATTTTCATTTGTTTATTTATGTTTAATCTTGAAATAGCCTTGAGCAACCAATTGGAATGAAATTAGTGATAAGGCTTCAAACTGAATATGACGCAATGCTCTTTTTTTGTTTTGTTTTTGTTTTTGCTGTTGTTGTTTGATACAGAGTCCTGCTCTGTCCCCCAGGCTGGAGTGCAGTGGCATGATCTCAGCTCACTTCAACCTCCATCTCCCAGGTTCAAGCGATTCTCCTGCCTCAGCCTCCTAAGTAGCTAGCTGGGAGTGCAGGCATGCGCCACCATGCCCAGCTAATTTTTGTATTTTTAGTAGAGACAAGCTTCCACCATATTGGCCAGGCTCATCTTGAGCTCCTGACCTTGTGATCTGCCCACCTCGGCCTCCCAAAGTGCTGGGATTACAGGCATGAGCCATTGCGCCCGGCCAATGCTCTCCTTCTTTGCCTATTAAAATAATAGTGTAAGATGAATAGAACATAAAAACCTAATAAATGCAAGTATCCAAGAAGTTAAGATGCCATATTCTGGATCAACTTTCAGTGGGGAGCCATCAGTAAAGAGAGTGTATGTCAGTTCTAGGTGAGACTGGAGGATTTTTGTAGAGGGGAGTCTAAGCAATTGAACATTTCATTTTCTTACTTTTTCCTTCTGTTCTCTCCTCAGTTCTATTTCTTTCTCTCTTCTCTTCCATTTCCTTCTATTTCTTTTTTTTAATTTTTAATTTTTGTGGGTATATAGTAGGGGTATATATTTATGAGGTACATGAGAAGTTTTGCTACAGTCATACAATGTGAAATAAGCACATCACGGAGAACGGGGCATCCACTCCCTCAAGCATTTATCTTTGAGTTACAGAAAAATCCAATTACACTCGGTATTTAAAAATATACAAATAAGTTATTATGGACCATGGTCACCTCATTGTGCTATCAGGTAGTGGGTCTTATTTATTCTTTCTATTTTTCTTTTGTTACCTTCCCTCTGATCTACATTCTTTTCTTTTTGTTATTTTTGTCTTCTACTTTGTTTCTTTGTATTCACAGATGATAATATTTTTAATGTTTTCAGTATTTTCCATTTATTTTATCATCCCTTTCATCACTCATCTTCCAAAATCTAGCTTCACTTTTTATACATTTTTTCACCATTTTAATTATATGCTTTTAAAACATTATATGTGTCTTAATTCATTTAGACAGGTATAATAAAATATCACAAACCAGGTAACTTATAAATATCTTATTTTCCTTATTTCATTTTACCTTATAAACTTTTTATTTTTAACAATTCTAAGCTGGGAAGTCCAGTACCAAGGCACTGGCAGAGTTGGTGTCTGTGGCGGGCTGCTTTCTGGTGCACAGATAGCTCCCTCTCACTGTATCCTCACATGGTGGAAGGGAAGAATGAGCTCCCTTAAACTTCTTCTATAAGAGCACTAATCCCACTCATGAGCCTCGTGACCTAATCACTTGCCAAACACCCACCTATTAATACCATCACCCTGGGGGTTAAGATTTCATCATATGAATTTAGGGGAAACACAAACATTCAGACCCTAGCAATATGTCAATAAAACTATAAGAATACCATCATTTCCTATATATCTATAGTTACAATACTCAGATTACTTGTAAATGTCTTCATATTAACATCATGTCACAGGTGAGAACAATGATGGCTGAAAGAGCTCATTTTCATAATATTTCATAAGTAGAAATTAATTGAGCTATGATTTAAACCCACATGTTTTCAACCCACGAGCAATCTCATCTACTACACCTCCTTGTTGGTACATCCTGCCACATTTCTCTACACTGATAACCACTTTACAAAACTATACCTAAATAGATCGAAACCTTGGAAAGAGATTCTTATTTGCTTAGCTAAAGTGATCCTTCTTTTGGTTGTGCTGGAGTGAGGAAGCCCTCTACATACAGATTTTTTTTCATAAATTATGGACATCACAGTCCGAACTACAAGATGTCAGAAATACTCTACTAAGGAGACAAGACATAAAGTTTTGCCTTGCAGTGCTAAACATTTAAGAAAATATAGTATATGTAGAACTCCAGTGTTCTCAGATTAATACTTTAAGATCCTTTTTTCCCAAGACCTGGGAACAGAAGCACAGCAATACAGCCCATTAAGAATTTATAAATAATCTGGCAAACGTGACTTTCATAGACAACATAAAGCAATTTGGGTGTAATATTTTTATTCTAATTTAGGAAATAAGAAGGTAAATGTGTATTTGTAAAGTTTTTACATAGCACTGCCTTTATAATAAAGCACAAACACTGATATAAAAATGCCTAACAAATATTTGGGGAGTTAAATCAAGGTATGACCTCAAAGATTCACAGGAATAAATTTAAACCCTGTTTTCAAATACATATATATTTCATGAATGTTTATACTCTTAATAATTTGACTCTCAAATAAAAGCAATACATAACAGTTATTAAGTTATCGGTTCTAAAACTATTACCATTATAAAATTCAATATTTACATTCATATATTCTATAGATAGATAGTCATGCTTGGTAGTCTAATTTTAACTTAATAATATAAATGTCGGCCGGGCGTGGTGGCTCACGCCTGTAATCCCAGCACTTTGGAAGTCCAAGGCGGGCGGATCACGAGGTCGGGAGATCGAGACCATCCTGGCTAACACGGTGAAACCCCGTCTCTACTAAAAATACAAAAAAATTAGCAGGACATGGTGGCGGGTGCTTGTAGTCCCAGCAACTCGGGAGGCTGAGGCAGGAGAATGGCTGTGAACCCCGGAGGCAGAGCTTGCAGTGAGCCGAGATCGCGCCACTGCACTCCAGCCTGCACGGCAGAACCAGACTCCGCCTCAAAAAAAAAAAAAAAATAATAATATAAATGTCACCAAACAACTTTTATTCTAAAGTTAATGAAGACACAAATAAGTGAAGCCTGTATTAGCTTTAGTTCTAGGCTTGAGCCGGAATAAACAACACATAAAAAGCCTCTGTCATAGGCATGAGGTCCTAAAAAATGCATGCTGATTATAATAATAGTTGCAGTCTTTAGCAATTATCACCCTGACATTTGAGATCTGACACATGATTATAAAGTACCAACAATCATTTTTTGCAACCTTATGAAACTAGTGCAAGGGAAATACTTTCACATTTTCTTCCAAATATTTATATGCTGCTGCTTTGACCAGAGTCAATCATTAGTTTTTATTCAACATTTTTGTGGATTCACTTTATTTACAATTACTTGCCAGGAATGATGGCAGAATATTATCAGCTTAATTGTTGTGCATATATTTCTCTGTGCTGATTAAATTATCTTTTTATAAAGCATTATTTTAACCCGAATATTATTTATTCTTCTCTGTGTCATTCATTTTTTTCAAGACTTTTTTTTTTATTTCTGTGGTTAACAAAATTAGTAGCATCTATGTCTTTCAGTAAAGGAATAAGGGCAGTGAAATAATTTAATTTAGGTCACATTTGGTGATATTCTGCATTATGATAAAATGATCCTCATTCTGTTGAAGTATTTGTCAACTGTTATATTTAATATATTTAATCATGACACACAAGGCATGCTGCAGAACATAATGAGCTCAAAATTGTTGCCATGCTGGAGGAAAGTGTATAATATTGAGGTCCAGACAATCAATGGGCAGAATTTTGGCAAAATACAATTTCCTATTGGGAATTATTTTCAAAGCCTGGGAACGTGCACTTGGGAATGTATGAACACATTAGCATAGACCTCCCTCAATTGATCAAGAGCTAAATCCAGCCTCCATGTAGACAAGAGGCTAGGAAGACACAGACAAGATATTAGATAGCCATCCATTGTCAGAGCAATAGAAGGAGAACATGACAAATTGAGTAGAGATTTCAATAAAGCCCGTTGTCAGATTAACTAATACCACACGGGAAGGACCTACAGAAGGGCAGCTGCATCCCTCAAGAGGTAGGAGCTGATACTGACTGAAGTGGTAATTATCTAACAGCTCAAATGGCACATCAAACATGGGTGTTTGAAGAATAACCGAATATAGTTTCCTATGTAAAAAATGAGTTTCTACCTTACTATAGCGATTTTTTTACAGAAGGATTTCACCTAAATGAGCATAGTCTACAGGTCAAGCAGAGCAAAAGTAATATTTAATACAGAAGAGGATGTTTACTGTTGAGATGAAAACAACTGGGAACAAGATGAAAACTATGTTTCTGTTGAGATGAAAACAACTGGGAACAAGATGAAAACTGGGGACTGAGTCATCAGATACTTCTGGCATGAAGTGTTTCTCCCCAAACTTTCCTAACTTTTCATTTATTTCATTTTTTAAAAAAAGAAATTATACATTATTTAAAATTTTAAATTATCTTTGTAAAATATCAGTATTCAATTAAAACACTATTGTGAACTATTATTTTATTGATTTGAGGGTTTCCTCTGTTTATATGTCAGAGCATACCAACTGAAAGGTCAGGTGGTCTCAAAAAATGTCCCTAAAATGGGCTCATTGTATGCACAACAGTTCAGAACCTCAGGCAAGGTAAAAAGAGACCCGTTTCTTTAAGACAATTCATTCACTGTGACTAGTACCACCCCTGGTTTTGGAATAAGGTGAATCTGTTAAGCACACTGAAAAGCTAATATTGTTTCCAACGCTCAACATAAGCAAACTTAACTCTGGACATGCATTTCCCATCCTGAGAAGTTACACTAAGCTGGTGCATCCCCACAACAACAAGACCCATGTAGTAGAGGAAGCCTTAGAAAATCAGCATCAGCTCTGTGGACTGCCACTAACTGCTGCCAGCTTAAACTCCACCTGTTGCTCTTGTTATTATACCTGTTCTCAAATGCACATTCTAAGTTTGATTTTGATTCCTGTTTCTTATCTTTTTAGCACTGGCAATTGGCCCAGCTCTCTTTTGTGTATTAATAAATTTTTGTCTCCTTTTCAACTCTACAGCCTCTGCTAGTATAATGTCCTCCTCCTCTGGAAATAACTTGAGGGAAGCCATTTGCACCGTATGTGGAACTTAGCTATTTGATTGTGGGTTACTTCCCTTTTGAGCATTTCTATTTTAATTCTTCCATGCAATTCTAGAATAAGAGGGTATACTCACTCTCAAAGTAAATTAAGTAAAATTACTTAAGCAGGTGACTTTATTAGATATGAAGTCCTTATTGGTGTATAGAAAATGGTTGAATTTTGCTACTGGAAAAAGTCATAACGTGCTGTTGTTTGATATCATTTTTACTTTAAAGGATTGTGAGAGTGCTAACAAGTTCAAAGAGTACCCATTTTGGCTCAGAAGCCAGTCAAAATTAATTGAAACTACAAACCATCTTTAAAAATTACACCAAACGTCCAAGTGTGCCAACATTTATTCACTAAGTTGTATTGATTTAGGCATAAAATGTTTGCTTCTACTAATATCAGATTATTGAAGATTTGTAAGATTTTAATCAGGTTGATTGAAACAATTCAATAAGTCACTATTACTATGTACCAGTTAGCACATAGCAATTATCTTTGAGTTTGGAGATGAATAACAATGCACTCAATAAATAATACTTCTGATCTCATCTAAAGAAATCAGAAATTCCTAATATTTGTGTTGTACAGTTTGTGATATGTCATCATTTCAAATGTGATAAGATGGGAATCATCATGTCCAAACTAAATGTGGTCTTGTCATCTTCTATCTTACAAAACATTTTAAAATGGAGAAATGCCCTCTTTTTCTTAAAGTGCTAACTTTGTGTTGTTCATTACATCCTTTAATAATTTATCTCCAAAGAGAACAAACTGACAAAAAGCATTGAGCCAGAACCGGCAGCTTGTCAGTCCTCACTGCTTAGTGAAAAAAAGAGCAAACAGACAGAATTCATTAGAGACTGCACAGCTCTAGTTATCGATTATCATAAGGCTGTATTTTAAAATACTTCATAGAATCATCTAAATTCACTTATATAGTATAAGTGAAGAAGAGAAACACTCTTCTATATTTATTAATTTATTCTATCAACCTGTCATTTGATATCTGGGAGCAAGAAGGAAGAATAAATGTAAAATCCTGATTTCTTCCCTAAGCCTTTCAGTAGAAAAAAATAAATGTTGTAATCATTGAAGAAAAGTTGTTTTTCCTTAACTTTTAAAAAATTATTACCTACATACTATGTTTCCAAATGCTTCTGCCTCATGAATCTTAAATTCTCATTAGCAATTGCAGACAGATTCCAGATAGCTCTGATAACACTTGTATTAAGAGGATGGCAATTAATTACATTTAAATAACAATAACCTAAATTTTAAGTGCCAGTAACCAAATTCTAATACTGTATTTCAAATCAGAGGGTAAATAAATCTTTCTTTCTCTTCAGTCACAGCTCTTTTCACTCATTATTACTTTTGCAATGGAATTAAAAGGTATACTCTTCAGGCATAGCACTGAAACAGGTAGTTTGATGATTTAGGTAAAAATTACAGACATGTATAGAGTTGATAGATGAGATCATTATAGTCATTAAAAAATTGTACAGTTTTCAATGTAATTATCATATAAATTATTTTATAAAATAACTAGTATTTTTCTTTTTATAATGGAAATACATAATACAGTTTACATACACATTTTTAGAAATACACAGAGAAAACATTATACAACAGATGCAGCAGCAAACAAAGGTGCTTTCATTTATCTCAAAGTAGAGATAGACTGCTGTTTTTTTTTTTTTTTAACTAAGTTCAGGGCTACACATGCAGGTTTGTTACATAGGTAAATTTGTGTCATGAGGTTTTGTTGTATAGATTATTTCATCACCCAGGTATTAAGCCTAGTAGCCATTAGTTATTTTAATTTTCCATCAATCAATTCATATTGACCTAACCTATCTTAATAGATAATAAAAATTGATGGTGATCAATGTCTTACAGTTCATTTTCATGATGGAAGAAGATTATAAACCAAAGTGAACAAATGATAGATCAATTTCCCAAAAGAGAAGTTTTTACACAGAATAAGCAGATGTTCCCCAATGGTATATCAGGAAAGCTATTTAGTATTGTAACATAAATGTCCAGTAATGTCTATGAAGTCTATAAATGTCCAGTAAAGTGTGTATACAAACACACACACATACACACACATACATATATTTAATTATATATCATATATTTTATATTTTTGGTTAACATTGCACAGGTTACTTTAAATAGATTATATTTTCTCAAAAGTTTAATATTAATACTAATTTAAACTATTTATTCCAGGCTGGATATTGATTACTCCAAAATGATTTATTTAATGATATAAACAATAATGCTATTTTTATTATATACCTGCTTTTATATCTGCAAGCTGCATCTGAAATTATTATTTTTCATTCTTGCCTATCTTTGTAATTAGAAATCTCACATATATAATCCAACAAATCCTTAAATTTAGTCTACTTTGAAATTAAAGTGTTGTCTTACATCTACAGATTAATCTCATTTCAATTTCCCAGGGATTATAACTGGCATCTCTACTAGTCCATCATACAGGTTGCATTGTGAAATCACCTTCAATTCCCTCTTATTTTCATTTTCTAAAATCCTTCATCAACTTATCCAAAATAATTTTCCCTTAAAATGCTTTTCAGTTTTACCCTTTCCTTTTATCTTTACTATCAAAACATATTCCAAGGAAATATCAGTTTGGATGGGATCAAAGCAAATTTGAGTGGTGCAGAGACCACAGACTTTCAGGAAAGAGGGGTGTGAATGATTTTTGGAGTACTGTGAAAATACATAATTATAGAAAGTGATATTTAAGAAGAATGTGGTTGAAGAAAAGGAAAAGACAAAATAAATTAAGGGAAATGTACTTTTTCTCATTCTGTTAGAAACAACACAGATGGCTATAAACATTCATTTAGAAAATAAAACCCAGGGAAAAAATAACCTTAACATTTTGAACTGAAGTGCTATGCTTAATCAGTGACAGCGACAATACCATTCTTGGTGTTAATGCATTTTTCCACCATTTTTTAATCAAGAATGCATGATCTGTTGCTGGCATTAGCCAACTCCAGGCAGCAAAACAGATAAAATGTCAACAGTATCTACAATAACTCATATAATCACTACACTCCTTTACATGCCACAGAGTTGGTCTGATTCAGGAAAAAAATATGAGTGGAAAATTGAATGAAGTGACTGAAGACTGAGAAGCCATATTTTCCACAATAGGCTGCAGCTCAAGACATTCCAAGGTTTTAATATTAGTAAATGCACTTTGTAGTTTCAAAATGTTTCTAAAGCTCTTAGAAAGCAGTAAGGTTAAGAGCATTATTCGATTAATAAGTCTTTGTTGCAGACAACAAAATGTTTTTAAAGGCATCTTTCTTCAGTAAATGAGATACATAACTTCTACTCACTGATGAAACGGTAAGAGTTCATCCATCTTTGAAAACACATTCCACGTTAAAAAGTCCTTCTAGTAAAGGATCAAACCAATTGAGAGTTCCTTAGTGATGACTAAGGGAAATGTAATATTTCTTATTGGGTTTACACTTAATTTTGTTATCATAAAAATATCTTACCACACTTGTAATGTTTAATAAAAAATTAGAATTATACTTCTTACAATCAGAAAGATGACCTACTGAAAGTATTACAAATGTCAGGGTCAGAAAAATGTAAGAATAAAGCTGGTATCATGAAAGAACATTTCTGACTTCTGTAAAAATATCAGGATTTGGTCCCATCTCCTTCATTAATAACTTTTCATCTTGAGCAATTTATCTAATCAATCTATACAAATATATACAATTTTATATAAGTAATAACAAGAATAAAACCTTCATCATTACTTTACCTGAGAAAAAAGAGAGATTATGTGTGGGGGAAAAATCTAAGGAAACTGCAATAAGCTTAAGCAAAATTTAGTTATACAAACGTATCTCATTTTATTGTCATTTGCTTTATTGTGTTACAAATAATGCACTTTCTAAAATTGAAGGTTTATGGCAACACTGTGAACAGCAAGTCTATCAGCATCATTTTTCCAATAGTATGTGCTCGTTTTGAGTCCCTGAGTCACATTATTGCAATATTTCAAACTTTTTCATTACTTGTTACACTAATCTGTGATCGGTGATCTTTGTCATTACTATTATAATTGTTCTAGGCCACAAAACCATTATAATTACATGGGCCGCAAACTGCACTCATATAAGATGGTGAACTGAATCAGTAACTGTTGCATTCCTCTATCTCTCTCCCTCTCCTTGGGGACCCATATTCTCTAAAATGTAATAATATTAAAATCAGGCCAGTTAATAACTCTACATGGCCCCTAAGTGTTCAAGTGACAGAAAGACTCACAAGACTCTCACTTTAAATCTAAAGCTAGAAATGGTTAAGGTTAGTGGAAAAGGCACACCCCAAGGAGAGACAGGCTGGAAGCCAGGCTTCTTCCACCAAACATCCAAGTTGCAAATGCATAGAAAACATTCTTGAAGAAACTTAAAACTGCTACTCCAATGAATACATGAATAATAAGAAAATGAAACAGTTTTATTTCTGATACGGAGAAAGTTAGTGGTCATGATTAAAGATCAAACTAGACACAACATTCCCTTAAAACAAAGCCTAATCCAGAGTAAGGCCCTCACTCTCCTCAATTCTGTGAAGACTGATAGAGGTGACGAAGCAGCAGAAGAAAAGTTTGAAGGTAGCAGAGGTTGTATTGTGAGGTTAAGAAAAGAAGTCAGCTCCATAAAATAAAAGAGTAAGGTGAAGTAGCAAATGGTGATATAGAAGCTGCAGCATGTTATCCAGAAGATCCAGCTAAAACAACTGACAAAGGTGGCTAAACAACAGATTTTCAATGTGAATGAAAGCTTTACATTGAAAGAAGATGCCACTTGGGACAGTCATAGCTAAGAGGTAAGTCATCCCTGGCGCCAAAGCCTCAAAGGATAGGCTAAATCTTGTTATGAGCTATTTTAGCAAGTGACTTTAAGTTGAAACCAATGCTCATTTACCATTCTAAAAAATCCTAGGGCCCTTAAGAATTATGCTAATCCATCCTACCCGTGTTCTATAAATGAACCAGCAAAGCCTAAATGACGGCACATCTGGTTACAGCACGGTTAACTGAATATTTTAAGCCTACTATTGATACCTACTACTTAGAAAAAAAAATTCCTTTCAAAATATTACTGCTCATTGACAAGACATCTGAACATACAACAGCTCTAATGAAGAGGTACAAGGAGATTGATGTTGTTTTTATGCCTACTAATACAACCTCAATTCTGTAGCCCATGAGCAAGAAGTAATTTTGACTTTCAAGTCTTATCATGTAAGAAATACATTTCTTATGGCTATGACTACCATTTTTTTAAGGGTATAACTACCCATTCCTTTGGCAGATATAAACAAATAAGTTGCAAACTTTCTGTAAAGTATTCACCATCCTAGATGACATTAAGAACATTTGTGGCCAGGTGCAGTGGCTCACGCCTGTAATCCCAGCACTTTGGGAGGCCGAGGTGTGCGGATCACCTGAAGCAAGGAGTTCAAGACCAGCCTGGCCAACATGGTGAAACCCCACCTCTACTAAAAATACAAAATTAGCCGGGTGTGGTGGCACGTGCCTGTAGTCCCAGCTACTCAGGAGGCTGAGGCAGGAGAATCACTTGAACCGGGGAGGGGGAGGTTGCAGTGAGCCAAGATTGTGCCACTGCACTCCAGCCTTGGCAACAGATTGAGACTCCTTCTCAAAAAAAAAAAAAAAAAAGAATATTTGCAATTTATGGAAGCAGGTCAAAATAGCCACATTAGCAAGAGTCTGGAAGAAGTTGATTCCAACACTAATAGGTGAAATTAAGGGCTTTAAGACTTTCATGGAGAAAGTACCTACAGATATGATGGAAACAGCAAGATAATTAGAATTAGAAGTAGAGCCTGAAGGTGGACTTGAATTGTTCCAGTCTCATGATGAGGAGTTTCTTCTTGTGTATGAGCAAATAAAGTGCTTTACTGAGATGAAATCTACTCTGGGTAAAGATGCCAGGAACATTGTTGAAATTATAGCAAAGAATTTAGAACATTACACAAGCTTAGTTGATAAAGCGGTGGCAGAGTTTAAGAGAACTGACTCCAATTTTGAAAGAAGTTCTACTGTGGGTAAAAGGTCATCAAACAGCGCTGCATGCTACAGAGAAATATTTCATAAAAACAAAAGTCAATCAATGTGGCAAATCTTATTGTTGTCTAGGAAATTGCCACAGCTACCCTAACCTTCAGCCTCCACCACCTAATCAGTAAGCAGCCACCAACATTAAGGCAAGACTCTATCAGCAAAAAAACGATGACTCACTGAAGGTTTAGATGATTATTCGCATTTTGAATCAATAAAACATTTTAAATTAAGGTATGTACATTGTTTTTGAGACATAATGCTATTACACACTTAATAACCACAGTGGAGTGTAATCATAACTTTTATATGTATAGGGTTATATAAACCCAGTGCATATACAAGTTTATTTTATTGCAATATTATTTTTTCAATAATTATTGCAATATTCACTTTACAATAAATTTGCAACTTTATTACAATATTCACTTTATTACAGTGGTCTGGAACTGAACCCACAATATCTCTGAGGTATGCCTGTGTTAGGTCTGTTTCTAACACTAATTTACTATGTTAGTATGTGACAGTAGGTCTTTGAATATATTTTTTTTTGTGAAATGTAGCATGCAAGCAAAAATCCATGAGATAAATAGATGTATGTTTCAAAGGATGATAATAATTTGAAGACACGCAGTTTAATAATGTTACCAATATGATTGACATCTCCTTTTGACCGTCTGATAACTCTCCTCATATACTACAAAATCACAAAATTTAACCATTACTATGTATTTTTGATAATCATCTTGTCTTTATATTTTTATGACACATATATTTATTCCTAACTATATATGATTCAAATGGTCTTCTTGACAGGGTTCTGGGAGTCAAAAGGGCTAGCTTGGCTTCTTCAAAACATGGCAGTGAGCTTCCAAAAAGGAGAATTCCAAAGCAAAAATATTCAATGTGTAAGCATTTATCAAGTGTTGTTTGCATCATGCTTGCAAATGTCTTATTGGTCAAGCCTAGAGTCAATGTGGAAGGGCACAACCCAGGGACATGTATATCGGGAGATGTGATTCACTGGGGACCACCAAAGTCATAGTCTAGCACAGTGATCTAAAAAGCTATATGTGCAGTATCACAGAAATATTCATCTGGATAGTGGCTGCCCAAATGTGAAGACAGAATTAGATATAAGGTTTCTACTACCTAGAATGGATGCTAAGAAATGAGACACTTTATTTAGTCTTAGATGGAGAGGAAAAACAATCTGAGAGAAGGAACATAAAATCTGAGCAATACTAGCAAAACTGAAAACTTGATTTATAATCTTAGATTATTGAGCCAGATCTTCTTAAAGTCTTCCAGAAATCCCCTGTGGATCATCAGAGACAAATTTAGAAATAATCTCACTCAATAGTTGGGGGAAAAAATGAATGCAGGAATGATGATCCAGAAAGTTACATATTTCCTATCTTAGTCATGGCCCAAATTTAAAATATATCTTATATTATCCACCAAATAGAACTACCTTTAGCAGTATGATGGTTTTTCTTGATGTAACTATACTGGAGAAATATTTGAAATTCTAGATTTTGTTGTCATTTTTGCTGCCTTCACAAACAGCCTTAATGATAGACTCGTCCCCAATAACAGAGCAGTTTTTAAATAATAAACTTACATTGACAGAAACTTTAATGCACAGTTAGATTGGAGAGGGCTGAAGTGGTCTCTCTAGAGGCCAAGAGACTGGATGAGTCCCCATGGCAACATGATTTCAAGTCAGTGAAATAACCATGAAATCAAAGAGTAAGGGAGCAGCTGTGGGATCTAGCACATTTAGCACAACTAATCAAACCGAGGTCAGCAGCTGGTATAAGCTGTAAAGGGAAAAAATAAACTCCAGTGACAGGTTCTTAAAATATTGTCCACAGACACGTAAAAACAACGGTATTGTGTTGAGGTATTGCAGAAAGGGTGTTGCTCAGTTCAGCAATGTTTGCCACCATGGACAGCTAAACTGTCTTAATGAGCAGCTTCCAAAATGAAATATAATAGACAGAAGAGATGGACTGTTGGAAAAATAAGTATGGCAACTCCAAATGTCGTGCTGACAATAAATCCTAATATCTCCTGTTCATTCTATGGATGGATTTATTGAACTACATTTCATCCCATTTCATACCTAAGACTACACAAGTTATTTTAAATCACTTTCTGGGGAACACTGTGTTTTCTAAACTATGCCATAAAAATTTACTTATTATATCTGACTTTAGGCAACCCATTTTACCTACCTGGCTTACAGTTCTATAATTTTTAAAGTAGAAGATTTGTCCTCCCTCCCCCCCGCCAAATAATTTCTGGATCTAATATTTTATTGTGGTTCCTATTATCAACCAGTCCCTGGATAAGCTCTAGGTAAACAAAGTGGCAAAAAGCACTCTTCAAGAAATTAGTTATTTGGAAGTCTAACATAAATTCATGAAAATATAAATAATAAGCCAGCATGGGCTAAGCCTAATATTTTCAAAAAACATATATAGGTCGGGTGCAGTGGCTCATGCCTATAATCCCAGCAATTTGGGAGGCTGAGGCGGGTGGATCACCTGAGGTCAGGAGTTTGAGACCAGCCTGGGCAACTTGGTGAACCCTGTCTCTACTAAAAATACAAAAATTAGCTGGGCATGGTGGCCGGTGCCTGTAGTCCTAGCTACTCAGGAGGATGATGCAGCAGAATTGCTTGAACAACCTCCTGGGAGGCAGAGGTTGCAGTGAGCTGAATTGCACGATTGCACTCCAGCAGGGTGAGACTTCATCTCGGAAGGGAAGGGAAGGGGAGGGAAGGGGAGGGAAGGGGAAGGGGAAGGGGAAGGGGAAGGGGAAGGGGAAGGGGAAGGGAAAAGCGAAGGGGAAAGGGAAAGGGAAGGGGAAAGGGAAAGGGAAGGGGAAAGGGAAAGGGAAGGGGAAGGGGAAGAAGGGGAAGGGGAAGAAGGGGAAGGGGAAGAAGGGGAAGGGGGAAGAAGAAGGGGAAGGGGAAGAAGGGGAAGAAGAAGGGGAAGGGGAAGGGGAAGAAGGGGAAGAAGAAGGGGAAGGGGAAGGGGAAGAAGGGGAAGGGGAAGAAGGGGAAGGGGAAGGGGCACCTATAGCAAGTCCTCCAAGAATTGGGAGGAAGTAGAAATCACTTTGGGCCAATATTTTCGAAAATTTTCCTAACAGTGGGTAGAAACTGGATAAAATAGAGTGAGTTGAGCACACTGCAAGAATGGTAACTAAAGTGAGTTTAGGTGTGGAGACAGATGTTTAACTTTGGCCTTGAATAAGCCAACCACCACCATCTGCAATGGTGTCTCCATATATAATTTCCCAGATGTCTAAATATTTAGTCCAGATATGCACCTGCTCTGTTATTTATACCAGTTGGTCTTTTTCCTTTGCCCTATTTTCAGATGCCCACTATTCCTACTGGGGAGAAGCCCAGACTGACAATATATAAAGAGTAAGTATTGTATTGTATCTCACTTAAACAGTGCATTTTTTCTATTTGATCATTCTTCTACTTAATACACCATTTTTTTGCTCAAAAGCATGTTACTAAAAATAAAAACAGATCACCCCTCTGACGATGCAAATGGATCTGATGTAATTAATCTATATATCTAATCGCTATATGTCAACACTCACTGACTACCTACCAATCACTTTAAATTGAATAATTTGGACAATCGAAGAATGGTTGCTGCTCTTATGTAATCAATGTACAATATACAGATCAATTCAAGGTAAGACAGAACATATATTTTGCTTTCCAAGTCATAGTAGAAAAGACATGTAAGTGAGTTTTAACATGAGTATGTGTAAGAAGAACTTGAAGCAGATAATCTTAGAGCTCTGCTTGTCATCCTTTGGCCAACTGCAGTGATGGTGGCCCACCTGCAGCTCAATGGGGGACCATTCTATACGAGATCAGGCTCCCACTACAAGAATTCTATTTCAAACACAACATATGACTCTATATTTTGCTGCCTTTGGGACCTCACCAAGACTGCAAAATCTTTGTCACAATTCTCAACCCCACTCACATTAGACACTCAAAAATTAATATACACAAGTGTCTTACTATTCTGACATTGTGAAGAAAACTGCAGTTGATCCCATTTACATATCATTTTATTTGAAATATTTTATGGCAATTATTTCTTATCACATGAAACATATTTACTTTCTGAACTTTCTTTTTAAACCAATTTCAAAATGTATAAGTTTGGCTCAGTCACAAGTTGAACCCCAAATATGTTGCTATCTGTATCTTATTTTCTTAGTGGGAGGAATAAAGACAGTATTGAAGTGAAAGCGATTTTGTAGTCAAGGACATAGTCTCTGAAAGAGACCCTTCAGGAGATACGAGGTTGCTGGCAAAACTGGTGTTCAGCACTGGAGATACTCAGCATGGGCAACAAGTTATCAGGAAGCAGCCACTCTTAGGGATAAAGACAGGAAGTAAAAGTGATAACAAGAATAATAGAGAAGTAGTCAGAATAGTAGAATTAAAGATGACTGAAGCCATCTAACATACCTCATAATTTTGTCAAAGCAGTTTTGGAACAGGAAGAGGTACAGCAGTAAGAAAATGCATAAATGATTCATGGTGCGTATTCCGATTGTAAATAAGTGTTGCACTTAAAGCTAGATGCCTTCTCATTTTTAAAAGTATAAAATGCTATGTCTTAAATAATAAAGAAGAGAATTACCAAGCTGAGAAATAAAAAATGCCACATCTGGGGCAGGAGTTAATATAAGACCAGCACATGAAAAAGTTTGGATAAAATAGTTATTTGTGTATTATGAAACATCCAGACTTCAATGGAATCTTCTGCACTTGCAACCTCTTTGAAAGGTGGCTTATGCATGCCCATGGCTTATGCATGCTCAGGGGAGCTGGTAATACTCACTCCAAGCTGCAATTGCACTTCTGTAAAACATAGACCTGTTTTAAACTGTGATCTTTCTCCAAAATTTAATTTCTCCACATTATATACCCACTATTTAATCAATGTCTTCCATATTTAAGCATAAACATAATTTGAGAAACACACATGCAAAAAGCTTTAAAACAATTTTTCAAAGTTCCAAAGATTGCTTAAAAAAAGAACATTGTAATAGGAAAAGGGGCTCTTTAGAACAAAAACAATCTAGACTTTCTGACAAAAATTAAGTATGTTTTTGTCTAATTTCCTAGCCTACCTGAGTAAACCCAGAGAAGCTTTCACATAAATTCATGAAGCATCATGCACTAAGATATTCACCATGATATCATTGAGGGTAACGGGGAGCTGGTTACAGCCTAGATTTTCCTAAGAGGATATGTAAAAGAATTATAGTTAATGCATACTGTGAAATGCGTGATGCAGTTAGAAAAAAATAAATTTTAAGGTAATAGAGTAACATTGATAAATGTAGTAAACATTTTTTGTAAAGAGATACGTTTTTAAAAACAGCATTAAACAAGACAGAAAACATTGATTCAGTTTATAAAATCCAAAAAAAAAAAACTTGAACACGTGCATTTTCACATATAGACACACAAGGACATATATCAAACATGTTGAACAGATTGCATATTGGAAGAGGCAAAAGAGTAGGTATTGAGAGGAAGGAGAGAAACAGTACAGCTACATAAGGTCTTGCTTGGGAGACGGAATACTTTGGGAATAGAGAGGACTCTGAGTAATTAATGAGTTAAACTCACTCAGATTGTTTTTTTCAGGTATCAGGTGTGTCCACAAAAACTATGAATGCCAGAGGAAATACTTTCTGAAAGAGAGTCATGGAAGAGAGAAAGTGTTAAAGAGTTTATAGAATTCATGGGATGGTTTTAGGTCATTGTAACATAAAAATTCTGAGATTAAATGATAGCACTTTTTTTAGTTATGTGTAAATAAAAGATGCAGAAGCATATGAACAAGGTTCAGCTGTTAGTGATTACAAAAAAGGAAAATAAATGTGTAAGAAAATGTATCATTGTGAGCAGGGATTTTTCTATATTTTATTTTAAAATTTTGTGTGAATTGCATGTTTACAAATTTATGATTTTATGTTTCATGTCGCATTTGCCCTATTTTCAAAAATTCAATATTTGGCATCCTGCTTATGTAATTATATAACTCTTTATTACTTCCATGTTATGAAATATGATAACATGTTTATAACTTGTCAAACACAGCCAAAGCTCTTCCCCCTTCCTGAACTAGAGGGAAAGATTATGTCTATATTCTCAGAAAATGAACTGCCATGGGTATTCAAAGTGATCAACCCCACCACCTGCACCACAAAAGAATTTGAACAATTACTTTTATAACCTAGCAGTTGCTAATTTCAAATTAGGTTTCACAGAGGAGATTTTTTTAATGAACCATAATTTGATTGCCTGTGATACACACAAATGACTATTTAGTGTATAATGCTAGAATTGTAGGGCCCATACACACCATACCCATACACACACATACACCACACCCACTCACATGAAACTATGCTCTTAGCTTAGACTTTGGTTGCTCTCCTCTTTTCCATTGGGTGCATTCCTCTCTTCTAGTGAGGATAAGACTCCAAATCCATGCAGCTCTTAAAAGAAGGATCATGAATTTCTGATGTCCCAAAACTCCAAGAGAATAAGAATCATACAGGATTCTAGAACACTGCTAGGCAGGAAAAGTGAGAACAGTAATGGCAAAAGTCTGACACTGAAGGCTCCCATGAGAACTCCAGGCGTGGAGGAGTAGGATCTGTGGTGTAAAATCTACCCTCTTTGGTTACACCGTAAGTTGAGTCCATAAGAATTGTGGGGAAATGGGTGCACCCCTCTTGTATACCAGCTTAGAAGAGTTAGGTTGAAAATAAAAGCACTCTTCTCATATCTTATTTCAATTTTCTTAGTTTAGAGTATAAGAATGCAACAAAGCATCGAGTTATTCATAAAATACTGTATTTGGTGTATTAGTAGTTAATAGTTACTATTAATTTTTGTTTGTTTGTTTTTGAGATAGTTTTGCTCTTGTTTCCCAGGCTAGAGTGCAATGGAATGATCTTGGTTCACTGCAACCTCCACCTCCCAGGTTCAAGTGATTCTCTTGCCTCACCCTCCCCAGTAGCTGGGATTACAGGCTTGTGCAACCACACCTGGCTAATTTTGTATTTTGAGTAGAGACAGGGTTTCTCCATGTTGATCAGGCTGGTCTTGAACTCCTGACCTCAGGTGATCCACCCTCCTCGGCCTCCCAATGTGCTGGGATTACAGGCATGAGCCACCACGCCCGGCCTAATTTTATCATGAATACTATTAGTAATAATATACCGTATAATAAAGTTACAGTTTTATATTAATATTATATTTGTATAATGGTTTTTAGTTATTGATACTATATATTACATTATAACATAGTCATGATTTTTTTTTTCTTATCAGGATTAAGGGACTAGAAGAAAATCATCCAAGAAACATAATTCTTGTATTTCTTTCTTCCTAGAGATGTCAATTATCTATCTGGATAAAAATACAGCATGTCACATTTTGCAAAGCAGACATTGGACTTAAATGGAAAATGTGTGGCACCTGTATTCTTATTTCAATCTCTTTATCTCTTTATTTGCATCTGATGTGTCAAATTATCAAGGAACTCTTTAGACAAAGAATAGGACAAGCAAATTAAATAAGTTCTCATAAGCCTTCATCTTTTATAAATTGCCATAAAGCATAAAGATAAGATTCAAGAAAGGCTGCTATTTAAAAGTTCCTGTTTGTAGAATAGCTTCTCTGATCTTGCCATTGTTCCTTTACATTTTTGTCTCTTCAAATTCTGGCAGGTATGCAATATCTCATACAGCAGCTTTTGAGAACAGAACTTGAATAATAAAACTTAGCAATCTGATACTTATGAAAACAGAAGAAAGGTTTATTTTTCTAACTCCAGATATAGTCAAAATTTAGTCAGTCATTGTTAGTGGTATAAGACAAAAAGTAAACACTGCGAGTGTGACTCACGGGTTAGTCTATGTAATTCTACTTAATATGATTGTGAAAAAGTATTAAAATATAGCAATCAGCAATATAATTGATGTAGTAATATAAGTGCAAGAAAAAATAATAAAAAAGTCATCTGGCAGAAAATATATATTTTTCTTTCTGTCTAAATCAAAATTTAAAAATCACCAATGCTTTATAACATTTCTTTTTTATTAGAAATTACTTTAAAGACATAGTCCAAATAAATAATTGCTTAAAGATAATTTACGTTAAAGACAGATCAATATTAATTTCAGTAGGATTTATAACCGTTATGTTGGTATAAGCTTTAATTATACATATTATTGAATATTTTATTGCCCTCAACAAATCTCAATAAAAATCTGGGCAAAAGCAAGAATCTATATTTTAATTCAATGAAAAATAAGAATTACAATTTTAAGTGTTTATTTCAGCTAAAAAAAAGTACGTAGACTTCAAAAAAAAAATACAGCTCTTTTTATTTATAGATAGCATGATTGTCTACTTAAGTCCCCCAGGGAAAAAATGACTGAAAATAGTAAGGAAGGATAACAAAAAAATTACAATGGCATTAAAGAAGGTGAAACACTTAGGTATGAATCTAACAGAAATGGAAGGTGTTTATATGCAAAAAACTACAAAACTTTGATGAATAAAAGAGAAGATCTAATTAAATGAAATATTTTGTTTTCATGGATTATCAGACTTGATATTATGGTATAAATTGTGCATAACTCAACCTATAAATCCAGGAAGCTAGTTTCTAGCTATTGACAAATGAATTCTAAAGTGTGTATTAAAAGGCAAAAGACCTAGAACAGCCAACACAGTGTTGAAGTAAAAACACAAAGTTGGAGGACTTACACTATCCAACTTGAAGACTATAAGCTGCAGTCATTAACACAGTGTGATAACGGTGAAAGAACAGACACATGGATCAATGCAACAAAATAAAGTGCCCGTGTACAGACTCACACAGATAGTCCACTGACCTTTGATAAATGACCAAAGGTAATTAATAGAAGAAATGATAGCCGGTAGAACAACAGGTTCTGGAAATAAATGGATTTCTGTATATATAAAATGAACCAAAGCAGAAAACTTGTATCTTTCATTTAAAAACTTCAAATCTACTATAGGCCCAAACATATAATGCAGAACTATATAACTTCTAGAAGGAAACATAGGAGAAAATCTATGTGTCCTTAAACTTACTAATGAGTTTTTAGAAACAACACCAAAAGGTCAGTACATGTAACAAAATTTGGTGAGTTGGACTTTATGAAAACTAAAAGCTTCTTTCTGGAGTAAGACACTGTTAGCAAAGTCACAGATTGGAGATAATATTTACAAAACATAAATGTGATTTAAACAATTGACTTCAAAGTATACAAGGAATTCTTAACATTTAACAGTAAGAAAGCAAACAACCCAATTTTAAAAATGGGCAAAAGATCTAAGCAGAGAAACCTCATCAAAGAAGATATACATATGAACAGAATTAAATGAAAAAATGTTTAAATTAAATTAAAATAACAAGAGATACCAGTACACTACACATCTATTAGAACAGGTACAATTCCAAAACTAAAGTGCTACTTGCGGATAGAGCAACTGGAACTCTCATTCATTGTTGGTGGGAATGCACAATGGCATAAACATGTTGCAAGGCAGTTTGGCAGTTTTTTTGCAAATCTAAACATAAAATCCAGTAAATATACTAAGTATTTACTACCTACTTAATTTCAAATTTATGCCTCCACAAAAGCCTACCTGCCAATGTTTATAGAAACGCAATCCATAATCATTGAAAACTGGAAGCAATCAGATGTCTTTGGATAGAAGAATGGATAAACAAACTGTGATACATCCATGCAATACAGTATTACTCAGTAGCAAAAAGAAATTAGTTATCAAGCCACGAAAAAACAGAGATGAATCGTGTGTGTGTGTGTGTGTGTGTGTGTGTGTGTGTAAGAAGCCAATCTGAAAATGATACATACTATACGACTCCAATCATATAGCATTTTGGCAAAGGAAAACTTACAGAGACAATAATAAATCGGTAATTACCAGGCATTCTGGGGAAGTGGAGCTTTGAATGTGTGAGGCACAGAACATGTTTCAGAGGTTTGCAACTATTCTGTATAATACTATAATTTGGGTACACAACATTTACATTTGTCAAAATCCATAGAACTTTACAGCTCAAATTTATGTATACAAATTTTTAAATTATCATTTAGGAGGTAAGGGGAAATCCCAGAATAGAATGCACAAGATGACAAACAAACTGTATTACAAATGGGTGAAGCAATCTCACTGAAGTGAGTTGGGAAAAAATGTGCTAATCTAGTAAGATGGAAAATGAGTGTAGTATAGGTGTAACTTGAAATTGAGCAACTAATTAAAAGGATGGTCGATGATGGAAGCCAGATTTCTCACTGTTGGAGTGAGGGAGTACAGGTAAGTAAGAGAAGGAGGCTAGAGTGATCCACATGGTACTGGACTGGAGTTAGAGTTAGTATGAACTTTTGTTATAGTACAGATACAGAGTGTTGCATGTAGAAATATTTATAGATAATACATGGGTGAGTATATGTACATTTACTTCCCTGTTCTGTCAACTGAGAAGACCTAAAAGCAAGGGCAATTTAGTGATACTGAGTACATGAAACTCACATAATTTGGTTTTTATTCCATTTTCCAATAAAAAGAACTAGGGCTCTTTGAATAAATGTCTGATTTTAAAACTGGGGCAGAAATATAACAGCTGAGCCTAAAGAATCTTGTGCCAGAAAGCAAGGAACTGTTAATCACGTATACACACACACTCAAAATTATCAGAGTGTGTCAAAAGGCCCTAAGAGGCAAAAGAAAGTGGTTTCAATGGCCAAAGCTGGAATGATTTAAACAACAAAATAAATAAAGTACAACTGGATAATAACCCAAAGCATAAAATAAAAATTCATGATTTCACTCTGATATAAATAAAATATTTAATAAATGAACAAATAACTGAGAAAGACAAATGTACCATGCAGAAGAATTCAAAATAACTTATGTGGATACTCTGCTCTCAAAGAGCTGGACTGGAAGCCTTCACTTTTAGGTGTGGGCTCTGAATCGTCACTTCCTTCCAAAGAATACAGTATGAAAAGGGGGAAAAAGTGAAACTACTGTCTAGAAACCTGATCAACACTAGCTCGACCAGGTAATGTTAACATTGATCTGTCATGTTGATTGTACATACATTTAATATGATATGATAAAAATATCACCTTATGTCATAGGAATTCCTTCTGAAAACACATAATCTTAGTCTAATCATGAGTAAAACATTGGAAAAATCCTAATTGAGGGTCTTTCTACGAATACTTGACCAGTACTCCCCAAAATTCTCAAGGTTTTCAAAAACCAGAAGTCTGAGAAAATACGATACCCAACAGGAACCTAAGGAAAATATGACTACTAAATATAATGTAGTATTCTGGATAACATCTTGAAAGAAAAAAATGATGTTAAGTTAAAAAAAAAACTAAGAAAGGCCGGGCGCGGTGGCTCACGTCTGTAATCCCAGTACTTTGGGAGGCAGAGTCCAGCAGATCATGAGGTTAGGAGATCGAGACCATCCTGGCTAACATGGAGAAACCCCGTCTCTACTAAAAATACAAAAAATTAGGGGGGCGTGGTGGCGGGCGCCTGTACTCCCAGCTACTCAGGAGGCTGAGGCAGGAGAAAGGTGTGAACCCGGGAGGCGGAGCTTGCAGTGAGCCGAGATCTTGCCACTGCACTCCAGCCTGAGCGACAGAGTGAGACTCTGTCAAAAAAAAAAAAAGAGAAAAAAAAAGAAAATACGAAAAATATGACTTGTTGATAATAATGTATGAGTATTGGTTCATTAATTTAAACAAATATACAGTAGTCTGCCTTATGCCTGGGGGATATATTCCAAGACCACAGCAGATACCTGACACCATAAATAGTACCAAACCCTATATATACTATGCATATACTATGCGTTTTTTCCTATGCACTCATAACTATGATAAAGTTTAATTTATAAATCAGGCACCATAAGAAATAACAACAATAAGTAATAATAAAATATAAAACCATAATATACTGTAATAATTGTTATGTGAATGTGGTCTCTCTCTCTCCTTTCTCTCTTTCTCTCATTCCCTCTCTCTCAAAATACAGTAATATTTTGAACCACAGTTCATATGCATAACTGAAACTGGGGAAAACAAAACTATAGATACTGGGGGAACCTACTGTACTATATTCATGTAAGATGTTAATAGGGAAAACTGGGTCTAGGGTATACAAGAATTCTATATACTATCATAACAGTCTGAAGGTCTGTGCCCTCACAAAATTTGTAAGTTGAAATCCTAATCCCGGATGTGAGGGCATTAGGAGGTGGACACTTTGAGAGGTGATTAAATCATGAGAGTGAAAACCCCATGAATCAATTTATATATGCATATGCATATATGTATATATACATATAAATTAATAGGGCTTCAGATATTTGTATTATATGCTTTAAAACCACTATATTTCCTTTGGTTAAAGATATAAAAAGAAAAATAAGAATGTTGTTAGATAACTAAAAAATATAAATCTTACCAAAATAAAAATTCCAGAACTTAAAAGTCAAAGCACAGAAATTGATTTTTCTGTATATAAGACAAAAACAGAAACAAAGAGAGCACAAAAAAACTATATATAAGTATTAAATCTAAATTAATATTGAATGCATGAAACAATAATTATAATTGCATGTGGCATTAAAATATAGAGAAACTCATAGCAAAATAGCCCAAATATAGAAGAAAATGAATAAACTTAAAAGGGTACTAGGGACCTTGTATTTTTGGAATGATGATAACATAAAATATCCATGCTATATTCTCTACTAAGAAAATGAAATAGTGAAAAATGTCCAGTTTAATTAAAGTTAAAATAGGAGAGAGAAAAAAGAAGTAGGTAGGGCAAAGAAAGACCATGAATAAAATACTATAATAAGATAATAAATAAATAAGATCATAAAAAATAAATAAGATAATAAAAAGAACATAAATAAGATACTTAAAACCAAATATAGCAGTAATTATATTAAGCCATTATGGCCTAAATGCTCTAAATAAAATCAAAGTATTATTAGAGCAGACTACAAAAGGTAAAACTAAACAATACTACAGTCTGTTTTTAAAATTCAGATCTAAAATATGTGGATACAAAAAGGATAAAATCAAAAGTATTACCTAAGGAAGTTCTTCAGTCAGAAACAAAAGGATGTTAGTGAACAATAAGAAGTCATCTGAAGGTTCAAAACTCACTAGTAATAGTAAGTATACAAAACAGACCATTCTAACACTGTAATCATGGTGTGTAAACTACTCATATCTTGAGTAGAAAGATGAACCTATTGGGAGATGAAGTTAAAGTGTGAGTTTAATATTTTACTAGTTTTCTCTTTGCTTGTTTGCTAGTTTGTTTAGTCAATCATTGTTAAGTTGTCATAATTTAAAATAATGGGTTATAAGATGTTATTTGCAAGTCTCACAGTAACCTCAAATCAAAATACATACAACAGATACACATAAAATAGAAAGCAAGAAATTAAAATACACAATATGAGAAAATAATCTTCACTGAAAGAAAGGCAGAAGGGAAGAAAAGAAGTATGAGAAGCCCACAAAACAACCAGAAAACAAATACTAACATAGCAGAAGTGAGTTCATACTTATTCTTTCATTGGAGAGTTTAGTTTGTTTACATTCAGTAAGTATGTATGTATGTATATTTATCAAATGTTAATGAACTAAACTCGCCAATGAAAAGACATAGAGTAGCTGAATTAAAAAAAGAGAACAAATGACACAATGATCTGTTGCCTGCAAGAACCACATGTCACCCATACAGACAAATACAGAATGAATATAAAGAGATGGAAAAATATATTCCATATTAGTAGAAACCAAAAAAGAGCTGGAGTAACTACACTAATTTTGGAAAAAATAGATTTCAAGACAAAAACTATAAAAGACAAACAAGTTTATTATATAATAATGAAGCAGTCAATTCAGCAAGAGGTTATAACCCTTATAAATACATATGCATCCAACACTGGAGAACTCAAATACACAAAGCTAATATTATTAAAGAGGAACATTGACCCCCATACAGTAACACCTGGAGACTTCAACACCCCAGTTTCAGCATTGGACCAATCAGGCAGAAAGTCAACACCAAAAACAAAAAATCAGACTTAATCTGCACTATAGACCAAATGGACCTAAGAAATATTCACAGATTATATCCAGAGGCGGCAGAATACACATTCTTCTTTCCTCTCAACACATCCACCATTCTCAAGGATAGACCACATATTAGGCTGCAAAAGATACTTAATTCAAAAACCCTAAAATTATACTAAATATATTCTCTGAACACAATGGAATAAAATCAGAAATCAATAACAAGAAGAAATTTGGAAACTAACATACACACAGAACTTAAACAATAAGCTGCTGAATGACTAGAGCATCAATGAAGAAATTAAATAGAAAATTTTAAAATGTCCTGAAACATATGAAAATGAAAACATGACATACAAAATCTATGAGATACAGTGAAAACAGTAATATAGCAATAACTGCCTGCATCAAAAAAGTAGAGAAACTTCAAAAAACCTAATGCTGCATCTTAAAAAACTAGAAAAGTAAAAGCAAATCAAAGCCTAAATTAGTAGAAAAAAAGAAAGATCACAGCAGAAATAAATGAATTTGAAATGAGAAAAGCAATACAAATATAAATAAAATAAAAAGTTGGCTTTTTGAAAAAGTAAAATAATTGACAAATATTTAGCCAGACTAACCAAGAAAAAAAGACATAAGAGGCAAATAAAATCAGAAATGAAAAGGGAGACAGTGCAATTAATACCACAGAAATTCAAGGGATAATTAGAGACTACTATAAGGAACTATATATGTCAATTAAATGTAAAACCTAGAAGAAATGAATAAATTCCTAGAAATATACAACCTACCAAGAGATCAAAGTTATGACAAAAAGTCTCCCAGTGGAGAAAAGCCTGGAACCCAGTGGTTTCACTGTTAAATTGTAACAAAGATTTAAAGAAGAACTAATACAAATTCTATCCAAACTATTCCAAAAAGTAGAAGAGGGAATATTATCCAAATCATTCTGTGAAGCCAGTTTACTGTGGTGCCAAAACCAAAGACATATCAAACAAAGGCCTGTATCCCTGTTGATCACTGATATGAAAATCTGCAGTAAAATACTAGCAAACTGAATCCAACAACACATTAAAAAGATTATTTATCATGAACACATGTGATTTATACCCAGGATGCAAGGATGGCTCAACATATACAAATCAATCAATGTGAAACATCCTATCAACATAATAAAGAAAAGAACATAGGATCATTTCAATTTATGAAGAAAAAGCATTTGATAAAAATCAGCATCCTTTCGTGTTTTAAAAAAAACTGCATATAGAAGGAACAAATCACATAATAAAAAGCCTTATACCACAGACTTACAGCTAGTATTATACTGAATAAGAAAAAATTGAATTCCTTTTCTCTCGGACCTGAAAAAAGGCAAGGATGCCAACTTTCATCACTGTTATTTTTTTCTAGGACCTGAAAAAAGGCAGGGATGCCAACTTTCATCACTGTTATTCAACATAGTAGTGGAAGTCCTAGCTACAACAATCAAACAAAAGAAAGAAATAAGGGGCACCCAAATTGGAAAGGAACAAGTCAAATTATTCTTTCTAGCTTGCAGATGATATGATCTTATATTTGCAAAAACCTAAAGACTACATCAAAAAAATAAGGACCGAAAAACAAATTTTGTAAAGTTGCAGAATACAAAACCAACATACAAAAAATCAATAGCATATCTACATGCCAACAGTGAATAATCTGAAAAAAGAAATCAAGAAGTTAAAGATATTTATAATAGCTACAAATAAAATGAAATACCTAAGAATAAACTTAACTAAAGAAGTGAATGATCTCTACCATGTAAACTATATAACATTGATTCAAAAATTTGAAGTGCACTCAAAAAATTGGAAAGATATTCTGTTAATGGAGTAGAATAATTAATATAGTTAAAATGTTCTTAATACCCAAAGAAATCTACATGTTCCATGAATCCCTATCAAAATATCAATGACATTCTTCACAGACATATGAAAAACAATCCTAAAATTTGTATGAAATCACAAAAGACCCAGAATAGACAAAGCTATCCTGAACAAAAAGAACAAAACTAGAGGAATCACATTACTTGATTTCAAATTATACTACAGAGCTATACCAACCAAAACTGTGTGGTACTGACACAAAAACAGACACATAGGCCAATGGAATAGAATAGAGAACCTAGAAATAAACCCATATGCCTAGAGTAAATTCATTTTTAATACAAGTGCCAAAAACATAAATTGGAGTAGAATAGTCTCTTCAATCAATGGTGCTGGGAAAACTGGATATCCAAATGCAGAAGAATGAAGCGAAACCCCTATCGCTTGCCACACACAAAAATCAAATAAAAAAGGATTACAGATGTAAATCTAATATCTTAACCCATAAATCTACTAAAAGAAAACTTTGGGGAGACTCTACAGGACGTTGATCTCGGCAAAGATTTCTTGAGTAATACCCCACAAGCACAGGTAATCAAAACAAAAATGGACAAATGGGATTACATCAAGTGAAAAAGGTTCTGCACAGAAAAGGAAACAATCAACAAAGTCACGAGACAACCCACAGAATCGGAGATAATATTTACAAGCTATCTATCTGACAAGAGATTAATAACCAGAATACGAGGACCTCAAACAAATCAATAAGAAAAAATATAACAATTCAATTTTTAAATGGGCAATATATATAAAGAGATATTTCTCAAAAGAATGCATACAAATGGAAAACAGGTACATGAAAAGGTGCTCAATATCATTGATCATCAGAGACATGCAAATGCGTACTCCAATATATATCATCTTAACCTAGTTCAAATGGCTTTTATCCAAAAGACAGGCAATAATGAATGCTGAAGAGGATGTGGAGAAAAAGGAACCATTGTACACTGTTGGTCGGAATGTAAATTAGTACAAATGACATGTGTATTTATCTTATAACATAGTTTCAAAATATGTAAAATAAATAGAACTGAAAGGAGGAACTTAAAAATTCCATGTATTATCATTAAAAGAAAAACACACAGTAAAAAGTAAAAGCATCGACAAACTTAACACAAGAAACATGTACGGAACATATGAAAGGAAAATATCTTGGGGCCCCAAAATCACTCAGGAAAACTCCAGCTGGAAACTTCTTAGGGCAAACCTGTCTCCCATTCTATTCAAAGTTATCCCTCTGCTCACTGAGATAGATGCATATCTTTTTTCCTCCTTTGGAAAGGCTAAGCAGAAACTCTAAAGAATAAAAGCATTTTGTCTCACCTATTTGTGACCCAGAAGATCCCTTCCTACTTCAAGTCTCCCTTCCCTTGTTTCAAGATGTCCCACCTTTCCAGATAGAACCAATGGACTTCTTACATAGACTGATGTCTCATGTCCCCCTAAAATGTATAAAATCAAGCTATTCCCTGACCACCTTGGGCACATGTCATCAGGACTTCCTGAGGCTGTGTCACGGGCACGTCCTCAACCTTGGCAAAATAAACTTTCTAAATTAATGAGAACTGTCTCAGATTTTTTGGGTTCACAAACATCACACCCACAACTTCAGAATAATTTTCAAGCTCAAATGTAATATCTATTACATGCAAAACCATTGTTTTCATGACAAAAAAACAAGTCTCGACAAATTTTAAATCATGAAAATCTACATTTCGATTAGAAATAAAGATAATAAAAAGAGTATCATATTTTTGGTATTTAAGCATTGTACCTGTGTTACTCAGGGTTCTCCAGATAAACCAAACCTAAAGATATGTACTTGTGTCTTTGTGTGTGCATTTCACCATGGAGAATATTTCCAGCAAAGCTGTAAACTCTTCTTGCTCTTTTCCTGATCAAAGAGAATATTTATGTAAGTATCTCATTACAAAGGCTGAGAAGTCCTGTGATTTGCAACCTGCAAGCTAGAGAACCAGGAGAGCCAGTGGTGTCATTCAGTTTGAATTCAAGGGCCTGAGAACCAGAAAATGGAAGTCCTTGCTCAAGAAAAGAAAGCAAACATGCACTTCCTCTACCTTTTTGTTCAATTCAAGCCCTCAACCAGTTGAATGATACCCACCCACACTGGGAAGGGTGGCTCTTATCTCAGTCTATAGATTCAAAGATTAATGTCTTCTGGAAACACCTACCAGACTTACCTCAAAATAATGTTTTGCCAGCTATGTAGGCATCCCTTAGCAGTCAAATTGACCCTTAAAATTAACCTTCGCAGTACCTGTAAGTATACCAGAGTTAAATTAAATTTTAGTTGATTAATAATGAAATTATGAAATGTGAACACATATTAAACACAGGCAAATAAGCCTGTGTGTAATAAGTGTGAACCCCCAAAATTTGAGAGAGGTGTCAGTTATGTTAGAAAGTTGATTTTACCAAGATTGAGGATGCGCACCCATGACCCAGCCTCAAGAAGTCCTGATTACATGTGCCCAAGGTGGTTAGGGCACAGCGTGGTTTCATATATTTTAGGGAGACATGAGACATCAATCAATATATGTAAGAAGTACGTTGGTTCTATCCAGAAAGGCAAGGACAAACTCCAGGGAAGGAGCTTCCAGGTCACAGACAGGTGAGAGAAAAATGGTTGTACTCTTCTGAATTTCTGATTAGCCTTTCCAAAGGAGGCAATCAGAATATGCATTCAGCCATAAGGGGGATAATTTTAAATAGAATGGGAGGAGGTTTGCCCTGAGAAGTTTCCTGCTTGAATTTTCCTTTTAGCTTAGTGATTTTTGCAGGCCCAAGATATTTTCCTTTCGCATAAGAAATGCAATAAACTACTTGTGTTTAAAAGGCAAGAATCACAAAATCAATAACTAAGCATAAGCCCATGGAATTAAAGAGAGAAAAATAAACAGACAAAGAAAGGAGGAAATGAATGTAAATACAAAAATTAATGAAATAGGGAAAATAGACCAGAGAGAATCAACAAAGGCAAAAAAAAATAATATTAGCAACATTTTAAGAAAACAGGAGGTTGTTTGATGTCTGGTGATATGAATCAAGAAGAAATAAGAAAAATTGGACAAACTAATGACAGAAACATGAAAGATAACTACAGATTATTCAGACAATAAAAAGCATTAAAAAGTGATCTAATGCATAATTTTGTGCCCATAAAAAATACACAAAAAGGGTGAAATTCTTAGCATTAATTTAAATAATCCTCTTTCTAGTGAGATTATTAATGCTATACTACCAAAATAAATCTCAAAAGAAAATAGATAGTCCCAGTTAGCTTTCTTCAGCAGAGAGAAGCAGCAAACTGTATTGTCAAAGTTACGGTTATTTCTTTATTTAAATAATAAAAGACTTTGTGTTCCTTCTTTCTTTTCATTATTCTATGTCTGAACTTTGCTCACTGGAAAAGCATTCTTCCCCAACTTTATTTCTAAGAAAGCATTGATGTGTTAATTGTCATTAACAACTGGTAATAATTGGAAAATTTTTAAGGTACTTTCTTTCATAGGTTCTTTTGGTTGTTTCCCCTGAAACAGAGACTGAGACCGAAATGTTTGTTGAGTAAGTACAAGAGTGTTCTTAGAAAGGAAGCGAGAATTCTCAGAAAGGGAAGGAAAAAAACATCTAAGCAAGGATCAGCCTGATACCATAGAGAAATTTAAAGCTGAATTTTGTCAAAAAATAATTTTTTTCCCATGTATCAGGGACCTGTCCTTTTCTCCCTTGTGGAGGGTGGAGGGTGAGTACTAGAGATGACAGAGCCTTACTGGCTGGTGAGGAAGATCTTGTTTGGACAGGGTACCTCTTTAAAGAGCGCAGCCATCACTCACAGCAACTAGTAAACAGGGCATGGGCTGGTTAGTGGTTAGCAGAGTCTAGAAGGAAACCAAGAGCATCCTTATCCAGGAGCAACACAAAAACAATGAGCATACTTTTCTTTCTCACTTCAAGCATACATTCTAGAGGACATCCTGAAACCTCTCAAGGCAGAATTTCATGGAATTTTGTCCTAAAGTCATCTTCTAATCTTTCCCAGGTCTTGCAGTGTTTATTCATTTAATTCTTATCAACAAATGATATTCTCCCAATATTCTATGAATTTTTAAGTGCCTATATGTGCTTTTCTGTATTTCCAATATGACCTTCCTGACAATTTGGATATTTTAATAACACTTATTTCAGGGACTGTGGAAGGACTGTCACACAGTTTTATAGTGTGAAACTTCTAGTTTATTTAATATTTATAGCAAGCCATTCAGACCATGTCTTACCTTTTAAAATGCTGGGATATTATCTGTAAAGCTGTGCAAAAGCAAGGGTAAAGCATAGTCAAGCATCCATAAGAAGATGAATGTTCTTGTTTCCAAATGCACACTTCCACCCACACATACACAGGCACTCACACACTGGATTATTTTGTTTTCACGCTGCTGATAAAGACATACCTGAGACCGGGCACTTAAAAAATAAAGAGGTTTAATTGGACTTAGAGTTCTACGTGGCTGGGGAAGCCTCACAATCATGGTGGAAGGCAAGGAGGAGCAAGTCATATCTTACACAGATGGCAGCATGCAGAGAGAGAATGAGGAAGATGCAAAAGTGGAAACCCCTGATAAAACCACACTTATTCACTACCATGAGAACAGTATGGGGGAAACCATCCCCATGATTCAGTTATCTCTCAACTGGTCCCTCCCACAACAGGTGGGAACTATGGGAGTATAATTCAAGATGAGATTTGGGTGGGGACACAGAGCCAAACAATATCATTTCACCCCTGGCCCCTACCAAATCTTACGTCCTCACATTTCAAAACCAATCACGCTTTCCCAATAGTCCCTCAAAGTCTTAACTCATTTCAACATTAACTCAGAAGTCCACAGTCCAAAGTTTCATCTGAGACAAGGCAAGTCTCATCCACCTATGAGCCTGTAAAATCAAGGCAAGCTAGTTATTTCCTAGACACAATGGGGGTACAATCATTGGGTAAATACAACCATTTCAAATGGGAGAAATTGGCCAAAACAAAGGGGCTACAGGGCCCATGCAAGTCTGAAATCCAACAAGGCAGTCAAATCTTAAAGCTCCAAAATGATTTCTTTCACTTCATGTCTCACATCCAGGTCCTGTTGATGCAAGAAGTGGGTTCCCATGGTCTTGGGCAGTTCTGCCTCTGTGGCTTTGCAGGGTACAGCCTCCCTCCCAGTTACTTTTATGGGCTTGTATGGAGTGTCTATGGCTTTTCCAGGCACATGGTGCAAGTTGTTGGTAGATCTACCATTCTGGGGTCTGGAGGATGGTGGTCCTTTTCTCACAGCTCCACTAGGCAGTGCCCCAGTAGGGACTCAGTGTGGGGGTTCTGACCCCACATTTTCCTTCTGCACTGCCTTAGCAGAGGTTTTCCATGAGAACCCTGCCCGTGCAGCAAACTTCTGCCTGGGTATCCAGGCATTTCCATGTATTTTCTGAAATCTAGGCGGTGGTTCCCAAACCTCAATTTTGACTTCTGTGTACCCACAGACTCAACATCACATGGAAGCTGTCAAGGCTTGGGGCTTGCACCATCCAAAGCCACTGCTCAAGTTGTATGTTGGCCCCTTTCAGCCACCACTGGAGTGGCTGGGACGCAGGGCGCCAAGTCCCTAGGCTGCACACAGCACAGGGACCCTGGGCCCAGCCCAGGAAACCTCTTTTTTCTTCTAGTCCTCTGTGCCAGTAATGGGAAGGGCTACCGTGAAGATGTCTGACATGCCCTGGAGACATTTTTCTCATTGTCTTGGGGATTAGTATTCAGCTTCTTGATACTTATGCAAATTTCTACAGCCTGCTTGGATTTCTCCTCAGAAAATGGGATTTTCTTTTTTATCACATTGTCAGGCTATGAATTTTCCAAACTTTTATGCTTTTCCCTTTTAAAACTGAATGCCTTTAACAGCACCCAAGTCACCTCTTGAATGCTTTGCTGCTTAGAAATTTCTTCTGCCAGATACCCTAAATCATCTCTCTCAAGTTCAAAGTTTCACAAATCTCTAAGGCAGGGGTAAAATGCTGCCAGTCTGTTTGCTAAAACACAACAAGAGTCATCTTTACTACAGTTTCCAACAAGTTCCTCATCTTCATCTGAGACCACCTCAGCCTGGACCTCATTGTCCATATCACTATCAGCATTCTGGGCAAAGCCATTCAACAAGTCTCTAGGGAGTTCCAAAATTTCCCACATTTTCCTGTCTTCTTCTGAGCCCTGCAAACTGTTCCAACCTCTGCCCTTTACCCAGTTGCAAAGTCACTTCCACATTTTCAGATATCTTTTCAGCAATGCCCCACCCTACTGGTACCAATTTACTGTATTAGTTTGTTTTCATGCTGCTGAAAAAGACATACCTGAGACTGGGAAATTTACAAAATAAAGAGGTTTAACTGGATTTACAGTTCCACATGGCTGGAAAAGCCTCACAATCATGCTGAAAGGCAAGGAGGAATAAGTCACGTCTTATATGGATGGCAGCAGGCAAAAAGAGAATGAGGATGATGCAAAAGGAAAACCATCAAATCTTGTGAGACTTATTCACTACCATGAGAACAGTATTGGGGAAATCATCCCCATGATGCAATTATCTCCCACCAGATCCCCCCCACAAGATATGGGAATTATGGGAGTACAATTCGAGATTTGGGAGCCAAACCATATCACACAATTTATGGCAATCTCAACATGGTGAAAACTTTCAAAAGAATTCTAAACTCTCTGCTCTTTTTCTGCTTAAAGAAAGATTGCATCAAGGTATTCTATCTATCACTTACTTATTTATTCCATTGATTGGGCAGCAGTTAACAATTCCAATAGTAATGGGATACAACTGTTACGGGTAGTTAGGCAGGCATGAGCAGAACAGGAGAAGACTATTCTCCTCCACCCACTAGGAATGTCAGGTTCCACCGTTATCACATTACCAGCACCTGGGAGAGACAATCTCCTGCTTATCCACAGCTGTTAACATTAAAGTGTTAATTGAATGCAGGCAGCCCACCTGGAAGAAGAAAAAGGGATTCCAATAAAATCTCAGGTATTAGGTGAGTGAGCCCAGGCATGGTCATAAGAGACAAAATGGAAGAGAAGGTGGCATGCCCACCTTCCAGGGGCACTCCACTGGAAAAAGGAAGAAAGCCTCAGATGGGCAAGCATACAACTTCCTAAACACACGGCATGTGCTCAGTTTCCAAGGGTAAGAAATGCACTGCGCATGCCGGCAGCCCACCCTCAGGAAAGAATCACGGGAAAGGGATGCAAGATGCTAGCCTATAAAGTCCTAGCATCACAGTTAAATTGGGCATTTGTTCTTCAAGTCACCCACCTGGATCTCTTCTAAGTGCACTTTCCTTTCTTTCCTGATCTAAAGCTTTTTAATGAACTTCCACTCCTGTTTTAAAACTTGCATTGGTCGCATTTTCTGCTTTATACCCCTCAGTCAAATTCTTTCTTCTGAGGAGGCAAGAATTGAGGTTGCTGCAGACCCACATGGATTCGCTGCCAGTAACTCAGATACCTGCCACCAGTAACACAACCAAAAAAATATTTTACTGTCATACCATTTTTTTTTTACATTCTGGAATATCTAGTATTTCCAGATTTATTTTTTTAAACTTAACTTTATAATTTTGCTTTAGAAGTTAAGTTCTACAAAAGCGAGCCAGTGCCACCAGAGGAGATTGTCACATCACCTCAGAGACTACTTGGAAAGAAAACATGAAAACACATCAAAGATCCATTTCCTTCTCAGCCTTTTCTCTTTTTAAAGAAAATAAGTCCCCAGAAGACTAAAATATGCCAATGAATAATAACAGAAGAATTTTTCAAACCTTAAGACATTTTGGTTGAAATTAATTTTTCATGTAGACATTTAGATTATAGATAACAAAATGAATGCCTTACTGTATTAAAAGAGAAAATGAATAAAAATTTGTTAAAGTTCCCCCATCATAATCTTCTTAATAAGAAATTGTCAAGGACAGTTGAAGCCTTCAGTAAAGACATAGAGAGTTTAAGAAAACTAATTTCATCAGCCAGTGCCCTGGCCTCTAGAATCATTGCTATTAGGAATTGTTCTATTATATCATTACAGAGCCTTGTAAGTGACCAATCCACTCCAAAGTCACAGGTCAGGTTAATAAGTTTAAGCAATTTACCAGGTCACCTCAAATAGTAAGAATAATACTGGTAATATAATAAATAATGAAAATGTTAGTGACATCAATTCTATTCATTTTTCTAAATGCTTATTCATTTAAACCGTAAAACTCACAATTTTTGCAGATAAAAAGAGGCACAGAGAATTTAAGTAAGTTGTCCAAGTCTACCTTCTTAGTAAATGTTGCAACTGAGATTCAAAAACCCAAAAATTTGTTCAGTATGTAAAGGTTTGTTCAGGTTGTTCAGTAAGAATTTCTCTTATACAGTATAGGTAAAGAAAAGCTCGGCACAGTCAAGGAAAGCAGTAGACAAAGCTAAGCTTATGGGCATGAGGCGGGGAAACTGTGTAGAAAAGGACTTGACAGCATTGGAAGTTACGGGATTCATGCTACTCACAGTGTAGAGACCCAAAATTCAAAATATAGATTTCATAAACAATTGCAAATACTTGAAGACAAAGAAAGAAAATGGTCATCAACCCAGAATTCCATGCACAGACAAATCTTTCCATAAGAGTTAAGAAAAATTGACATTTTTCATTTATTTCTTTGCCTTCATTTACCAACAACCTTAAATGAAGCCAAGTTTATGATTCCAGTTTCAGTTAATTAAGGCTCAGCCCTTCTTCCTAGTTCTCTGTGGCTCTTGACTCTGCACTCTGGGTCAGCTTTCCTCTTCCATTGAACTTGGCTCTTGTTTTCAGAAGAGTAGCAAAGATCTTCTGAGGTGTTAACAAAAGGCTTTACATCACCCCCTTGCTTTTACCTTTACCATGTTTTCCTGATAGAAGTCTGGATCATATCTGTCTTAGAAGTCATTATTTAACTTGAGAATTGCCAGACATCTGGAGAGGGTGGGGATGAGAAAGAGTTTTATTTTCTAATTCAAGAAGCCCTGGCTTCTTTATATTTAGCTCATTTCTTTCTGTCTTATATTTCCTGCACAGCAAGAAGTAGTCAATTCTTCCTGGAAATCTTCTTCGCTAAGTTTTACAGTTCATTAAATATATATCCTGTTTTTCACAATGCAGGTTACAGCACTGCCAAATTACCACCACTCTCTAATAAGGGTCTTCGTTCCCCAGTTTCCAGTGCACATTCTCATCTTTGTTCAATCCCTCACTGAGAGCCTCCTCCATACCTTTATACATTTAATATTTTGCTTGGGCCCCTTCTAGATTTCACTTAACACTTTCCTTAAGCTTCTCCAGGGCTATTTAGGCTGACTTTTGGCATACAATCCAAAACGTATGCAACATATGCCTAAAAGTTAGCAACAATCACCATTGTTTCTAGGTAGTTGATATTTGTGTTGCTTACTTTATTCCATATCATACTTGGATTAAGTTTCCATCCTTGACAGATATGCCTTTGTTGTATTGCAATTTGTTACTATACTACCTCAGCAAGGGTATAAAACCTAAGAAATGCCATAAGAAAACATATTTCAGTATTTCTGATAATTATATGTATGGCTTAAACATTTTTTTCTTTTTTAGACATGGTTTCGCTCTGTTGCCCAGGCTTGAGTGCATTGGTGTGATCACTGCAGCCTCAACCTCCCAAGCTCAAGTGATCCTCTGCCTCAGCTACTTGAGTAACTGAGACCACAGGTGCACACCACCATAGTCAGATAATTTTTTATTTTTTGTAGAGATGGGGTCTTACCGTGTGCTCAGGCTTGTCTCAAACTCCTGGGTTCCAGCAATTCTCCCGCCTCAGCCTCCCGAAGTGTTGAGATTGCAGTAATGAGCCACCAGCTCAAACATCTCTTCTAATACCTCATATTGAATTCCTCTCATTGAATGTTCACAGGGAAAAATTAAAAACTTATGTGTCAGAACTAACTTGTTTATATTCCATCTAAATACTATTAGCTTTACTTTACTTTTTTATTGTTTTTAATTTGGTGCCTAAAAATTTTGATTGATAAATTTGCAACTGACTTCTGAGAACTGTGGAAAACCTTAAGGAATAACCTGTCTCCCAAATTAATCTTATTCCAGACTTTATCCAATGTTTATTTTTCATGTGCTTCAGTTTCCTGCATTTATTTGCTCTACCAACACAAGTATTTATTTTGTTCTACCCACACAATATGGCACATTGTAAACTAATTCAAGTGATTTCAGGAATGAAGTTGACTCTACACAGAAGTAATACAGGAGTTATTGAGAAATAATTTTTAGGCAACTAGAGAGGGTAAAGGTTCTTGGGGGAATTTTTTAAAAAATAAAAACAGCTCTGGAAACATTTCTTTTCTAACAGCAAGGCGGCTTGAAAACCAGGCCGGCAAGTGTTGATATGCAAATACCGACGATGAGAAACTAGGTCCACCCAACACAGCAGTTCCCACCCTCTTCTCCATGTCACCATGTGTGCCAGGTGTCATGGCTGCCTCCAGATAACACCACCAGCACGGGACATCATGGTGGCCCACATTTGCATATTAAAATCTAAGCTGGGAGGGCCAGGTTTTTCGTGGGCTACATGAATGACACACCTGGTCAAACCAATCCCCTGGGCCCTGTGCAAATAAGACACCGCCTCCTCCAGCCTCCCAATATAACCGACTATGTTTGTGCCACACACAGGGTTTTTCTCTCTCGGCTTGGAGCCCCCCTCCCTCTGGAACAAAATTTTAGAAAAACCTAATATACATTTTTCTGTCTTTAATGTAACAAAACAGATTTGCCACATTATCCAAGTTATTCTGTTGGGTCATTTGTTACAGGAAACATTATTATTCCAGATGCTGTTACTACTTTGCTCTACTCAAAGTCTAATGCTTCTATCTAACCTACTGCCAGAGAACAAACTTAATCAGATCTGCCTAAGTGCAAGGTGGCTTCGATGCTGTTGATTTATGTGTCTCTCAACCCTTAGTATGGTTGATTTCTGCACTGTCCCCTTGATTTAGTTGATCCAAATCAACTACCAAAGTCTCTACCCAAGCCATTATAGCTAAAGTATAGTTCAGTATTTTCTAGACTTAGATTGAAGCCCAGGGAACAGGTTATAAATATGCAGCATGCCTGGGGTCTCAACCCAAACAATGAGTTCTTAGTTGTCACATATCTGCACAAGGTGAATATTGTTTTTTATTTATGTCTGCTTTAAAAGTGAAGCTCTGCTTTTGAAATACACATCCCCCTTAAACACACACACACACATATGTATACACCACATAACCTGCAACTGAGAACGGCAAGAAGCAAGAGATGAAAGACATTTTTGATGTATTATTAACAAAATCTCTAGGCATAAGAATGCATTGGTTATTTACATGGCAAATTAGTGTCTCAGAATCACTAATTTTAATGAATAAGATACAAAGGGGAAGTTGATTTCATATATATATATATATATATACTATTATAAATATCTTTTAATCTGCTAATAAATTTTACACTGTGAGATTACATCAATTATGATCCATGTCTATGATCTTTTTAGCCATGTTAATTTCTTGTTCCTATTTTAATGCTAGATCTAGAGCAGTCTATGTGTGTCTGTGTGTGTGTATATTCTATATAAAATAATAGAGATTGATCATATCTGATGTAATTTCACAGTGTAAAATTTATTATATTAGGAGATTAAAAGATACTTATATTTTTTTTCATTCAGCAACTTGAATTGTACCAAGAATTGTTTAGTGTTTGCTGGTACATTTTATTAGTATAGCTGTGAACCCCAAAATGTATATTTGAAAATGTCCTTGTCCCCATAGTTGTGTCAGTATCCACACATACCAAAACATGCATTTAGCAAAAATTTTGGCATGTTAAGATTATGTATTTACAAATTCACATCACGATATTATGAAATATTAAAAGAAGATGCTAAGATGTATTTATCTTTCTGTTGCCACTTTTAACACAGTACCTAGGAAAATGGAAGGCAATCCATAAAATTTTTATTTATATTAAGCAATTAGTTTTGAAATTGCTAATTACTGCATAATATAGCTACAATCTAAGAACACGGAAGGAGCAAATTCAAAACATATAAGTAAACATTTCTCAAGGATAATAAAATATGAAAACAGAGAAATCATCACATACTTTTAACATCTTTGTCCTCAGAATTTTGTAAATATTCTCCATCCGACAATGATTGATTTTTCACTGGCAGAGTCTCCATGGAATCTCTCATCATTTTGATGAGTTACTAGATGGAATTGTTATTTACTTCATTTGTGCAGTCAATCAGCAATGCTCATTTCTTACCCAAGTCATAATGAGCACATTACTATTTCCACAGCAAATATTAATCAGCAGGTATTCTACTATTGTGCCAGAATACTATGTGCTAAATTGCAATGAATTATGATGCACGTTAATAAAGTAGAACCCTCCAGAGATTGTTGATATACAGTAGTTGTAATTTCACTTTTATTGATAATACATTAAATTGTATTAAGGTGAGAAATACCTTTTAAATAAATGAAGACTTACTCTGCTTGAATAATTTCCCTTCAGAAATTAACGTGTTAATATGACCTATGTGTCACTGTCTTCTCCAATCAACTAGCATGATGGAGATAGGAAGTGCTCACTTTATAGTCTACTACTCTCTGGCTGATAATACTTGCTGCCATGATTAAGAGATTAGTTAACATTCAACATATGTTAATTAAGTTTTTTTATTAAAATGTGTTATTGTTGCCTTTTATTCATGCTTAATACATAGTTTATTACATATAATGAACTATGGGCATATAGTAAAACCATTAGGGCTTTCCAAAAAGTCATTAAAACCTTGCACAGCTGAATTAAATTTTAAATAGTAGGATTTTTTTCCATTCACTTGCTGCTGCTTAAAATAATTATTTTTTGATATCCAGTAATTCATAAAGATGTATTATGTCAAAGGAATAAGGTACATGTGTTTTCAAAATATGTGTATGGTTTATCCTAAGAAATCCAATTAAAGATATTAGAAATATTCTGTGATAAAAGATAAAATCATATAAATTTGCAATGATTGGTGAAGCCATTTAAATTAATGGCATAGGCACTTAGGCACACAATAGAACTCTGTTTAGAAAGATAAAATCCAGTTTTTCTTTCTACAAAATATGCTAATGCCTAGAATGTAGGCTGAAAACTTTTTGCAAATGTGCTATGCCTGTTCCCATCAAGTGAATTATTATGGTTACCAAGAGTTAACTGCCTTACCTCCTGATAATGTTTGGTTTTGTGTCCTTACCCAAATCTCATCTGAATTGTTATCCCCACATGTCAAAGGAGGGACCTGGTAGGAGGTGATTGGATCATGGGGGTAGTTTCCACCATGCTGTTCTCATGATAGTGAGTGAATTCTCACAAGATCGGATGGTTTTTATAAGGGGTTTCCCCTCTTTTGCTCACATTCTTCTCCTTCCTGCCGCCCTGTGAAGAAGCACATGTTTCCACCATGACCATAAATTTCCTGAGGTCTCCCCAGCCATGTGAAACTGTGAGTCAATTAAACCTCTTTATTAATTACTCACTCTCAAGTATGTCTTTTTTGCAGTGTGAGAATGAATGATTACAGCTCCAAATCCTCTTACATCAATGAATATAGGCCAGGTAATGTGGTTGAAACAAATCAACCTCCAAATCTCAGTGGCTTAACAAAACAAAAATTTACTTCTGGCTTATTCAAAGTCTGCTGCATGTTGGGCAACACTTTAATCAACTGTCCTCTCCCAAAAATCTTGACTTCCATCATGATATCGCAAGTGGCCATCATGTCATTTATGTAGTTTTAACATGTGACTTCAAGATTGTTGGGGAAAGGGAAGAGAAAACATGGAGAACATAGATCTCTGCTTCTTACAGGAATTTACACACTTTCTCCTATAACCCATTATCCATAGTTAGACTCTTGGTACCAAACTAACTGCAGGGAAAGTTGGAAAATACAGGGGCATATACACACATTTGGGGAGCATTAAATGTTTCTCCTAAATTTGTGTAATTTAATCCAACTTAAATAAATTTACTAAATAGAACTGAAAATTTGAGACACAGCTATAAAAAAATGACTACCTTTAAAAAACCTTGGTAAAGTCTAGTTGATTAAAAAAGACATACTTACTGACACATTAGGTATCAGTAAGATTTAAGTAAAAAAAAAAAAAAAAAGGAAAGATAGGAAAAGGGCAGTAAAATCTAAAAGAATGCCTTGCCAGTGATTTTAACTTTTCATTAAATTATTTTTTTAAAAAGCAAGTAGTGATACTAGGTGAATTATAGTTGTTTTGGCAAGTTTTATAAAAAGTAAGAGTCTACAGAAACTAATAAAAAGACATACTGAGAGGAAGGGCCTTGAACTTTCATTATATTCATAAATGAATATGATTTAAGCTAAAATACAATGTTTAACGTAAATACACATTATTTTTAAAGAATAATATTATATAGAGTTAAATGGATCTCCCATATACTACTGTGTAACTTTGCCCAATTTATTTAACTTTCCATGATTCAGTTCCTCATCTATAAAGTATATCTATAAAATACATTAAAAATAGTACTCATCTCTTGAAATTGTTTTGAGGAATAAAGGAAAAAAATTGTAACATGCCTACAGAATGTAGAAATCACTGAATGCATATTAGCTACCATTTGTATTATCACAAATTTAAAATGGTTGACAAACCAAATTCTAGTATGATTTCCATCAGAGAATAAACCTATATTTAACTTTTTTTGAGACAAGGTCTTGCTCTGTGCCCAGGCTAAGTGCAGTGGTGCAATCATGGCTCACTGCAGACCCTGCTTCCTGGGCTCAAGTGATCCTCCCACCTCAGCCTCCAAAGCAGCGGGGACCACAGGTGCGTGCCACCATGCGTGGCTGAGTTTTAAATATTTTTTAGTAAAGTTGGTATTTTGCCATGTTGCCCAGACTGGTCTCAAACTCTTGGGCTCAATCAATCTGACTGTCTCTGCCTCTGAAAGTGCTGGGATTATAGGTATGGGCCACAGTGCCCAGCATAAATTAAAAAAATAAAATAAAATAACCTTTAGCTTTATTGCATTTCTGTGTGTATATATTTTAAAAACAAGTGGTTTAGATATTTTAGTTTTTAAATGATTTCTTTATATTTTTTAGATAAAATCTTACTCCATCACCCATGCTGGAGTGCAGTAGCATGATTATGGCTCACTGGAGCCTTCACCCAGGCTCAAGTGATCCTCCCTTGTCAGCCTTCCAAGTAGCTGAGACCACAACAAGTATATGCCACCACCCTTGGCTTTTTTTTTTTTTTTTTTTTTTAAGTCACAAGGTCTTTTCTATGTTGTCCAGGTTGGTCTCAGACTCTTGGACAAACTCAAGTGATCCTCCCACCTTAGGTTCCCAAAGTGCTGAGATTACAGGCATGAGCCACTGCACCCACCCAGCTATTTTTTTTTTTTTTTAATTTCTTGTAGACAAAGGAACTTGCTTTTTGGCTCAGGCTAGTCTTTAACTCATGAGCTCAAGGCATCTTCCCACCTCAGGTTCCCCAAGTACGGAATTATAGGTGTGTCACTGAGCCTAGCCTACATTTACTTTTAATTTAGTAAATTTAACTTTATTTTGAAACACATTTTCCAGCTGGCTGAAATGGTTAACACCTGTAATCCCAGCACTTTGGGAACTGAGGCAGGCAGATCACTTGAGCCCAGGAGTTAGAGATAAGCCTGGGAAACACAGCAAAACCCCATCACTACAAAAAGAATACAAAAATCGGCCAGGAGTTGGTGGTGTACACCTGCAGTCCCAGATGGTCAGGAGGCTGAGGCAGGAGGATCACTTGAGCCCAGGAGGCAGATATTGCAGTGAGCTGAGATCTCACCACTGCCGTCCAGCCTGTGTGACAAAGTGAGACTGTGTCTCAACAACAACAACAAAAATTCAAAATAAATTCAACCTTAAAACCTTGATTGATTTATTAATTTATTTAGGATATAAATCTAAGAATTATATATCTGATCCAAGTAAGTTAAGGTATATGTAGTAGAGTTTTTCAAGCCTAAAAATTAAGTGACATATATAAGAGCAATTGATTTTAGCCCGCTGGGGCTGCTATAACAAAATACCACAGACTGGGTAGCTTAATAATACAAATTTATTTCTGAGTCCTGGAGTCTGGGATGTGCAAGACCAAAGTGTTAGCCAATTTGGTGCCTGGCATGTGTGTCCTCTTCCTGGCTTGCAGAAAGCCACCTCTCTCATATGGCAGAGTGAGGGAGAAGAGAGAGATTTTTCTTTATCTTCTTATAAGGACACAGTTCCATCGTATTTGGACCTCATTTTTATGATGTCACTTAATCTTAATTACCTCCCAAATACCCAATGCCCAGGTACAGTCATTCTGGGGATTAGGACTTCAACCAATGAATTTTGAAGCACTACAATTCAGTCTATAGCAACAGTAAATAAACCCAAAGGGATACAAATGAATAAGCTTTTAGAAATAGTGACCTGAGGTCTATTATCAAAAAGACAAAAGATAATCAGTGTTAGCAAGGATGTAGAGTAAAGAAGATACTGTACACTGTTGGCCGAAATGTAAATTAGTAAGGCCATTATGGAGATTCCTCAAAAAGTTAAAAATAGACATATTGTACTATTCAGCAATCCCACTTCTGTGTATACAACCACAGGAAATGAAGTCCATATGTTAAGGAGTTATCTGCACTCCCATACTCACTACAATTCACAATAGCCAAGATATGGAATCAGCCTAAGTGTTCATATAGGTGCATGGATTTGAAAAATAAAATATATATTTCTTATATGTTAAGCCATTATTGCATTGTTATAAAGAAATATCTGAGACTAGATAATTTATAAAGAAAAGTAGTTTAACTGGCTCACAGTTTGCAGGCTTCATAGGAAGCATGGTGCTGGCATGTGCTCAAGCTTCTAGAGGAGCCTCTGGAAGCTCATAATCACAGTAAAAGGTGAAGGGGGAGCAGGTATGTAATATGATCAGAGCAGGAGCAAAAGAGAGTTGGGGAGGGAGGTGCTACACACTTTTAACTGACCAGATCTCATGAGAAATCACTCACTATTGTGAAGACAGCACCAAGGCATAAGGGATCCACCCCCATGATCCAAACACCTCTCACCAGACCCCACCTCCAGCATTAGGGACTACAATTCAACATGAGATTTGGGCAGGGACAAATATCCAAACTATATCATTCTGCCCCTGCCCCCTCTGATATCTCCTAGTCTTCTCACGTTGCAAAATAAAATTATGCCTTCTCAACAATATAAAATCATGTCTTCTCAACAATATAAAATCATGTCTTCTCAACAATGTCCCAAATTCTTAACTCATTCTAGCATTAACTCAGAAGTCCAAAGTCCAAAGTTTCATCTGAGACAAGGTAAGTCCCTTTCACCTATGAGCTTATAAAATCAAAAACAAGTTATTTAATTCCAAGACACAATGGTGGTGTAAGCATTCGGTAACATTGCCATTCCATAAGAGGGAAATCAACCAAAGGAAAGGGGCTAGAGGCCTCATGAAAGCTTGAAACCCACCAGGGTAGTTATTAAATCTTAAATCTCCAAAATAATCTCCAGTGACTAAACGTACCACATTCAGGACACACTGGTGCAAGGCACGGGGTCCTAAGACCTTGGGCAGCTCCACTCCTGTGGCTTTGCAGAGTTCAGCCCCTGCAGCTGCTCTCACATTTTGTTGTGTGCCTGTGGCTTTTTCAGGCACAAATTACAAACTTCTAGTTGATCTATCGTTCTAGGACCTGGAGAACAATGATGGTGACCTCCTTTTTACTGCTTCACTAGGCAGTGCCCCGGTGGGGACTCTACTGGGGCCTCCAATCCCACATTTTCCATCTGTACTGCCTGAATAGAAGTTCTCTGTGGAAGCTCCACCATTACAGCAGGATTCCATCTGTAGACACAGGCTTTTCCACATAACCTCTGAAATCTAGGTAGAGGCTGCTTCTTCACTTTTGCATTCTGTGCTCTTGCAAGCTTAACAATACCTGAAAGCCACCATGGCTTACTGCTTGCACCCTCTGAAGAAGCAGCCACAGTTGTAAATGGGGCCCTTTGAGCCAAGGCTGGAGTCAGAGCAGTCAGGATGCTGGAAGCAGTGGCCCGAGGCTGTGCAGCACATCAGGCCCATGGGCCTGACCCATAAAACTGTTTCTTCCTCCTAGGACTCCAGGCCTGTGATAGGAGGGGCTGCCACAAGGGTCTCTGAAATGACTTTGAGGCCATTTTTCTACTGTCTTGGTTGTTAGCACTTGGCTCCCTTTTAGTTATGCACATATTTCTAGTAAGTGGTTGCTCCACAGCCTGCTTGAATTCTGTCCTAAGAAAGCTTTATCTTTTTCTGCACCTGGTCAAGCTGCAAATTTTCCAAACTTTTATGCTCTGCTTCCCTTTCAAATATAAATTCCAACTTTAAGTCTTTTCTTTTTTTTTTTTATTTTTTATTTTTTATTTTTGCTTCTACATCTGAGAGTAGGCTGTTAGAAGCAGCCAGGCAATATTTTGAGCACACTGCTGCTTAGAAATTTCCTCCACCGGATATCCTAGGTTGTCACTCTGAAGTTCAAACTTCCACAGATCCCTAGGGCATAAATAGAATGCAGCCAAGCTCTTTGCTAAGGTATAACATGAATGACGTTTGCTCCACTTCCCACTAAGTTCCTCATTTACATCTTCATTGACCTGAACTTCATGGTCCATATCACTATCAACATTTTGGCCACAACCATTTAACTGGTCTCTAAGTAGTTTCAAATTTTCCTTCATCTTTTTGTTTTATTCTGAGCCCTCCAAACTCTTCCAGTGTCTACTTGTTACCCAGTTCCAAAACCGCTTCCACATTTTCAGGTATTTTTATAGAAATACCCCAATCCTCAGTGTCAGTTTTATTTGTGCATATGAGACCATTCTTGCATTGCTATGAAGAATACCAAAGATTGAGTAATTTATAAAGCAAAGAGGTTTAATTGGCTTACAGTTCTGCAGGCATTATAGGAAGCATGGTGCTGGCATCTGCTCAGATCCTGGGGATGCCTCAGGAAGCTCACCATCATGAGAGAAGGTGAAAGGGAAGCAGACACATCACTTGGCCAGAGCAGCAACAAGAGAGAGTTGGAGAGGAAGGTGCCACATACTTTTTCATGACCAGATCCTGAAAGAACTCACTCACTATCATGAAGACAGCACCAAGCCATAAGGGATCTGTCCCCAGACCTAAATACCTCCCAGCAGGCCCCACTTCCAGCATTGAAGATAAAAATGTAACACGAGATTTGAGGGGCAACAAATATCCAAACTATGTTACCATATAAATAAAATATTTAGTCTTTAAAAAGAAATGAATTATTTTCAACAAAATGAATGAGCCTGGTGGACATTATGCTAAGTGAAAGAAGCCAGGCACAGAAAGACAAATACTTCATGATTTCACTTATATTTGTCATCTTAAAATGTTGATGTTATACAAGCCAGAGAGTAGAATGATGGTCACCACGGTTTGAGGTGGAGCTGGGGGAATTGGGAGATGTTGGTCAAAGGGTGCAAAGTTTTGGTTAAGCAGGATGCAGAAGTTTGAGAGATGTATTGTAGACTATAGTGACTAATATAACTAACTATAGTCAGTAATAATTGTGTGCTTGAAAATTGCTCATAAGGTACATCATAAATGATCTCATCACACACGCAAAATGATAAGTATGTGAGGTGATCCATATGTAAACTAGCGTGATTTCAGCATTTCACTGTGTATACATATTTCAAAACATCACATTCTATACCAAAAGTATCTAAAATTTGTATTTGTCAATTACATGTTAATAAAGCTGAGAAAAAAATAATAATTTGGAAACTCAATACATCTTCTTTCAACACTTAAGGAACAAGAAAGAAAAATCAGAGAGGAATGGCAACAAGCATTGGGTAGCACTGACATATATTGGAATCGAGTGCAACATTAATTAATAATATATATCTATCAGATGGTGGAACATAGAAGTATTTGAGATGCAACAATATTTAGACATGAAAAATGGCAGACAGTAGGAAGGCAGTTTGAATTACCTATTAAATAGCAAAGGAACGTGAAAGATTGCTTTCCTCTGCACTCTTTCATTCAAATAGAATGTTCAGATTCTGTATAAAGGGGCCATGATCCTAGATGCCATGCATACAAACATGGTGTGTAGCCTCTAACAGCTCACAGCTCACTGTGGGAGACCTATATGTAAACAGGCAAGTTTAAAGCCATGTAGTAAATGAATAATGGAGTTTTATTCTTGAGAACATAAAGAAAGAAAAGAGCAATACATTTTCAGCAGGGGAAATGTTATAGATAAAAAGGCTTTTCAGAGGTGGTGCTGGGGCTGAGAAATAAAAAGTAAGTACTGATTCATGAGTCAAAGTTGGAATCAACATAGCATTATTTTCAAAGGGAATATCATGAGTAAAGTGAAGAAGGCAGGAAAAAACACATTATAAAGAAGTAATTGAAAACAACTTTGTATTGCTCATTAATATATTACTAGGCACAGAGTGGAGTGATGAGTGGCCTGAGAAGGCCATCATTCTCTTGCAGTGGTCTGTAGACATTACTGAGTCATATGTGTCACTGAAGGCTTTAATGTATCTCTAATCCTTCTAGATTTAGCCTTTAGAACTCTCAGTCTGGAGTATAAGAAGAGATAGATTTAAAAGAAAAATGTTAGATGTAGAAAGACTTCTTAAGAAATACTTTGGGCCTTTACAACAAGAACGTTTAAAGAGTACACAGAGGAATATGAGCCTACAGAAGAGCAAAGGAATAAATTATTAGAAAACTACAAAGAAAGCCAAAAGAGAATGGTATCCTAGAAATGACAACAAAAGCAAAATAGCATATTTCTTCTGTGTTTATAATATGTATGAGTTTCTTTCAAGCTGTTAATAACTAGTCAATGGAAAAAAGGTTTCTCAGGCAAATACATCAGAGAAGTGCTGTTAACCAAGGAGAATTATTTTCTTTAATTCTTTAATTAAAATTCTTGGAAATGTAATGCCATACTTTACACAACACAACCTTCCAAGAGGCACACAGAGTACATCATAGTGTGGGACAGATCAACTACAGTGAAATTCATATCCTTCACTGAGACTTTGATTCAACCAGCTGAACAAACTGTTATGCTGTATTTCTTAACTCCTCCCTCTCCTACATAACAGCCAAAGAATCACGAATTCCTAATCATTGTACCATTTAAATATTTCTTCAATGATTCCACTTTTCTACTTTAATCACTTCCACCTAACATTCTATCATTTTTAACACATTTTGTTAGTCTTTTATTGAGTCTTTTCCTGTATTATTTCATCAACTGCAGGATAAATAATACCTTTTATTTTTTCCTGCATATTTTCTTATAACTTATTGCTCTTCCTCCAGGGAGTATTTTGCATGAATTTCCCAGGACTTTCTAGAAAAAAAATAAAGACAGTTTTAGGTTTGTGATTTTCAAAAACTTGGAGAATTCTAATACTGGGGAAAACACTGATGAATTTTTGGAAAGTTGTCGATGCTGAATGCTACATAAAAAGATCACTATTTTTTTTCTTTTAGTGAAGAACGACAGTTCATAAGATAATTAGAAAGAAATAAAAAACTAGAATATTTGTCCACGTATATGAGAAAGATAACTGGCATCTTTCCATTTACATTACTTATATACTTGTAGACGGCCTTTACTTTTAAAAATATAGTTATGACCAAGCAATCATCAAAAGCTTACATTAGAAAACTGTTACTTTGGATAAACAATACAATCTTTCACATGTCCTACCACGTCTTCAAAATCTCTCATCTGCCTCCTTCTCCAATCATCTGCTAATCTTCCCCCAGCATCTGTGTTCCAGAATGATATATGAGAGAACTTTCTTTGGCTGAAAATGGTATGCATAGCATTCCAGAAAACACAGATCTACCTGTGTTTTATAATACAAAGCAAAGGAAACACAAAAATATTCTCAAACTTCTGTATTCATGGGTTAATCAAAGACTTCTTTCATTCAAGAGGAATTGAATTTTAAAGAATAACTTTTCTTAAATTAGCCCTTCCTCAAAATTTCATTTGAAAATCCTAATATACTTCAAGTTTTCCTCATTGTCAATTTAATTACTTCAACTATTAGGTTTTGAAAAAATTTTAAGCCAGTGAATTTCAAAATTATTAATTGCACAGTCTTAAATAGTGCCATAATTTTAGTTGTTTATTTTTCTGAGTCATCTATTTTGTTTCTATATTACTACTGTAATTTGAAAAGAATGTGATGCTTCTATTACATATTTTAAATTCATAATTTAACAATAAAAAAATTAACATATTATCAACATAAATATGTAAAAAACAATTTTATAAAATAATTTTAAAAAGTTTTTATATAGAGAAAATTCTCTGTGGTTCATTACTCAATAGGATGTGAATTCTAAATCAAATACAAAAGTAATTTTCATTTAGCTTTCTATTCTATTTTTTCTTGGGTTATAACTGCAAAAATATGCAAAATCCAATTTTGTAATTATTTAAAGTAAAAATGAAAATGCATAAAAGAACAATCACTTCTGAATTTGTTTTCCTCCCTTTTGCAGTCAAATTAAATGAAATGATAATTTTAAAGTGATATGCCAGAAACCTTCCTGGGACTTCCCACACCTCCCCACTTTATCAGGGAAAACAATCTACCAATTTTGCTGTTTTTCCATTTTCTATTCAAATGCTAACCTCAATCAATCAATCATGTCAATTTGAACAGATTCAAATTCTACCTAGAATGAAGAGCATTTGAATTTCAAATGATATTGGGAATACACACACAAAAAAATGAATTTATTTTTCTCTCAACTGATACTTGGGTCAGGATCAAACATCCTGTATGAAAGATATAGGACCTTGAGTTCCACATCTTTTGTTGATGAAGAGAGTCAAAATCTGTAAAATATTTGAGAAGATTTATTCTGAGCCAAATATGAGTGACCAATAGCCCTTAACACAGCTCCAGATCCTGAAAACATGTACTCAAGGTGGTCAGACTACAGTTTGGTTTTATATGTTTTAGGGAGACATCAATCAATACATGTAAGAGTTTCATTGGTTCCATCTAGAAAAGCAGGACAATTCAAAGTGTGGGGAGGCTTCCTGGTCATAGGTGGATTTAAAGATTTTCTGATTGACAATTAGTTGAAAGAGTTATTATCTAAAGACCTGGAGTCAATAGAAGGAAATGTCTGGGTTAAGATAAGGAGTTGGAAAGATCAAGGTCCTTATTGTGCAGATAAAGCCTCCAGGTAGCAGGCTTCTGAGAGAAATGGTTGTAGATGTTTCTTATCGGACTTAAAAGGGTGCCACACTCTTAGTTAATTCTTTCTTGGATCAGAAAAAAGATCTTGAAAGTGAAGGTGATTCTCCACAGAATGTAGATTTTCCCCACAAGAAACAGCGTTGCAGGGTCTTTACAAAAATATGTCAAAGAAATATATTTTGGGGTAAAATATTTCCATTTATTTTAGGGCCTGTTATCTGTCATGTGATGCTACACTAGAGTCAGGTTGGAGTTGGATATCTTATTGCTACAAAGAGTCTGTTTCATCAGTCTTAAGATCTGTTGTAATGTTAATGGTGGTCAGTTGTGCCTGAATTCCAAAGGGAGGACGATATAATGAAACATATTCAACCCGTTTCTATCATGGCCTGAAGTAGATTTTCAAATTTACTTTGGAATGCCAAATTTACTTTGGAAAGACCAAAAGTGGTGTTCATCAGTTACTTGAGGGGCTTAGAATTTTCTTTTTAATTTACACTTTGATGAAAGTCTTTATTTTTAAGTGTAAGGGAAAATATTTAGAAAGAGATTGCATATACAACTGAGATTGTAGCCTCTCTTAATGCTTGGAGTGTGTACTTGGAAATTCACAGCTTCCATAACTTTGATGGAAAACTTTGAATTAAAATATTGTATTGCATTTTCATAATCTAACAAAATAAATGTGTTTGAAAATAAATGATGTAAGCACAACTTTCAGAAGAGCTCCTTGTGTATGGTTTGTAGTGCCAACTAGATTTAAACAGAGCAGCTGGTTCCTGGGCGGGATTCCCTATGGTCTTGTGGATAGATGTGTTCCCAGTAGTTAGGAGACTTCTATTTTATTGTTTCTGACAAGCATAGCAGTCTGGTCACAGGTGTGGAAAGATAGCTTAAAAGAAAAAAAGCAAAACATACCCAAATTTTTGGCTGTCATTTTTATTACATTTTCATAGAACTTAAAGTAAACAAAAGTTATAATTTTTAAAATGTGACATCTAAAAGCTTGCTTTATATTATTATCAGTTGAAAATCTACTTTTTATAAAATATGTATTTGCTGTGCTTACATTGTTTGTGTCCTACCTAACATCCTCACATATATTTTAATGGATTAATAATGTAATAGTTTTTATTTATTCATTAAATCATTCCTTCATTTAGTTCAATGGGAACATCTAAAATGGCATTCAATGGCAAGACTTGTTATTAAACAGTATACGATATTAATTTGGTAGCTTTACAAATATTATATATTTGTTTAACTTTACTTTCGGTATAAAGCAGGAATTATAGGAGTTGGATCAAGTGAAACATTGATCATTAAATCACATGTTCTAATTACGTAAAGAGTTTCACTCTTCTCACCTTTGGCTTCCTTTATAGTTCTTATAGAAACATATATTTTTCCTGATATAGTCTTTTACTTTAATTACAGATAATTTAGTATCCAGATCTAATTCTTTTTTGTAATATGTTTCACTGCCTGGTTCTCCTCAATTTCTGCTATTTTCCTTAGTATTAATTATCCTCTTGCTTCTCTACCTCTGTAGTGTTTTGTAAATTTATACATCTCCATAGTTTTATAAAGCATGTATCTCAAAACAACTTGATCCCTTTCTAAGGTTTCTTTCACACTTTTCAATGTGATTTTAGAGTTCTTGCAGTCTAATCACTTTAAGCACCCCGAAAAAAGCCAAAATATGAATAAAAAGAGTATATTGGAGTCAGAAATATTTTGCTGCACCATTGAAAATATTTGTTATATATGTAAATATGGTTCATGGACCTCAGAAGGATTGACACTTTCAGGAATCCCATGATATCTGAGAAAGAGAAAAGCAGCCTCTAATATCCAGGAGTTTGCCTCACATCCACAGGCAAGACATGGTGTTCTGTTGGACATAAGTCACAGAACATCAACGACAGACAAGGCCATTCTGTGACCATACTGAATCAACATTTTGTTTTGTAATCATGTCTACACACAGAAAAAGCAAGGCCAATGTCCATCCCCTGATTTTGGCTGAGTGACTGCTTAGTATTTATGAATTACAGCTTTTGCATCATCTGTAATCTGCCCTCTAGAAACATGAGATGTATGGAAGTACCTCAATTTAAGATCATCCCTGCTTCCTAAAAGCAACTCAGAGCCAAACACCACTTCTTAAATTCTCTTCAAAACCACCAAATAGCTGGGCATGGTGACTCACACCTGTAATCCCAGCACTTTGGGAGGCCAAGGCAGGCAGATCACTTGTGGCCAGAAGTTTGAGACCAGCATGGCCAACATGGCAAACCCCATCTCTACTAAAAATATAAAATTACCTGAGGAAGGTGGTGTGCACCTGTAATCCCCACTACTTGAAAGGTTGAGACATGAGAATCACTCGAATTCAGGAGGCAGAGGTTGCAGTGAGCTGAGATTCCACCACTGCATTCCAGCCTGGGCAACAGAGTGAGACTCTGTCTCAAACCAAACCAAACAAAACAAAAACTACCAAATAAGTCCATATCCTGTAATAAATAAGTCTTTTTTAACACCTGTATGGAACTACCCATAGCTCTCTATGGTGATATGCTCCTTACTAAGATGAGTAATAAAACCAACCTGTTCAAACACAAGGTGTTGCAGGTGGTATTGACTAAACTGTCTAAACCGTCTCCATAATAATACTCAGATGTTATTTGGCCTTTCTTCTCTTTTTGAATTTGAAATAACTATGCAAAATCAATAGCAGATAAAACTATTGGAACCCTTAGCATCAGTTGCTTGACTGACTGTCTTGGGATTGCTACTATATTACTATTTACTGTGTATGTCAACACCACACACTTGGGGAAAAAAAAGGAAAAAAAGAAGAATGGCTTAAAAATGTTCTTTTAAAGCTAGTCAGATAACGTTACATTTTAATATTCTGTGTGGTGAAATTAGAAGTACACATAAGGCACTTTTGTCGCCTACTGAAGTGTGACAGATCATGGGTAAAAGCACATAAGGGACTGAGTTCTGAACTGAATGAGCCATATTTTCCAAGGAACAACAATTTTATTGGAAAGAATGACACAAACTCTGGTTACTCAACTTGGGTTTTGGCAGATATTTAAGAAAATCGGCAAAATGAGCCTGTCACTTCAAAACAAATAACTGATAGTGTTTGCTTTAAATACCAACATTTTTGCCTCCCAGTTAAGGTTAGAATTTGGGAAAATCTAATGGCCACCATGAGCTTGACAGCTTCCAACACTTAAAGGAAATATATCAACATTTGAAAAATTTGCATAATCACTGAACTGATATTTTCTAAGTGGCAAATGCATGATAATCATACACATGTTAAAGATTTACCCAAAGTGCAAGATATTCCAACTTCTTTTAAGGCAATAAAGTATGAAAAGTTCATTGAAATAATTTCAAATTAGAAGTTGCAAATAACCTTTATTTAAGTAACTACCACATACCAAATCTTGGTGTGGTATCAAAGACAAATATCGACAATTACCACGGAAGGTAATTCAAATATTCCTCCCATTTCCAAATATACATCTGTGTAATGATGAATCTTCTCTATACACATTTTTAAAAAGTGAATCTGGAAAAAGACTGAGATACAAATAAGAAATTTCAATTGCCCTGTACTAACCCAAATATTAAATATGTATGCAAAACTACAAAAAAGTTCTTCTCTTGTCATGGTTATTTTTTTGACAATAGAGTTTCTATGAGAAATAGGCTATTTATGTTAACATGATAAGTCTTATTTTATTGGTATATAAAAATATTTGTATTATTCCATTCTTACTCTACTGTAAAAAAACTACCTGAGATTGAGTAATTTATAAAGGAAAGAGGTTTAATTGGCTCACAGTTCTGCAGACTGTACAGGAAGTATGGAAGGTGAGGCCTCAGGAAACTTACAATCATAGCAGAAGGCAAAGAGGAAGGAGGCACATCTTCACATGGCCAGAGCAGGAAGAAGAAAAAGGAGGTGCTACACACTTTTAAACAACCAGAACTCATAAGAAATTACTCACTATTATGAAAACAGTAAGGGGGAAATCCACCCCCATGATCCAATCACCTCCCACAGGTGCCCTCCTCCAACACTGAGGATTACAATTTGCCATGAGATTTGAGTGGGGACACAGAGTCAAACCATATTCTTTCACCCTGGCCCCTCTCAAATCTCATGTGCTTGTCACATTGCGAAATACAATTATTCCTTTTCAACAGTTCCCCAGTCTTAACTCATTTTATCATTAACTCAAAAGCCTACATTCCAAAGTCTCATCTAAGGCAAGGTAAGTCCCTTCTGCTTATGAGCCTGTCAAATCAAAAACAATTTATTTACTTCCAAGAGACAATGGGGGTATAGGCTTTGAGTAAATGCTCCCCTTTCCAAAAGGATTGGCCAAAACAGAGACTGCAAGCTCCATGCAAGTCTGAAAAACAGCAGGGCAGGTATTAAATCTTAAACTTCAAAATAATCTCCTTTGGCTCCATGTTTCACATCCAGGCCACACTGATGCAATGGGTTGTCTCCCAAGGCTTTGGACAGCTCTGCTTTTCTGGCTCTGCTGGGTTCACCTCCCATGGCTGCTCTCAAGAGCTGCTGTTGAATGCCTGCAGCTTTTGCAGGTGCATGCTGCAAGTTGCCAGTGTATCTACCATTCTAGGCTCTGGAGGATGGTGACCCTCTTCTTTCAGCTCCACTAGGCAGTGCCCCAGTGGGGACTTGGTGTGGAGGCTCTAAGCCCACGTTTCCACTCCACATTGCACTAGTAGAGGATCTCCATAAGGGCTCCGCCCCTGCAGCAGACTTCCTACTAGACATGCAGACATTTTTATACATCCACTGAAATCTAGGTGGAAACTCTCAAGCCTCAACTCTTGCCCTCTGTGCACCTGCAGGTTTAACACTACATGGAAGTTACCAAGGCTTATGACTGGCACCCTCTGGAGAAGCAGCCTGAAACATACCTGGGGCCCTTTTAACCACAGCTCCAGCTGGAGTAGCTGGGATGCTGAGAGCAGTGTCTCAAGGTTGTGCAGGGGAGTGAGGCCATGGGCATGGTCCACAAAGCCATTTTTCCCTTCTAGGCCTCCAGATCTGTGATGGTAGGGACTGCCATGAAGCACTCTGTAATGTCTTCCAGGCATTTTCCCCATTGTCTTAGCTATTAACATTCAGCCCCTCCTTACTTATGCAAATTTCTGCAGCCTGCTTAAAAACTGGTTTCTCTTTTCTACCACATGGTCAGGCTGCAAATTTTCTATACTTTTATGTTTTGTTTTCCTTTCAAATATAAGTTCCAGTTTCACATTATCTCTTTGCTCATGCATATGACAATACACTATTAGAAGCAGCCAGTTCACATCTTGAACGCATTGCTGTTTAGAAATTACTTTTTGTCAGATACCCTAAATTATCATTGTCAAGTCCAAAGTTCCACAGATTCCTAGAGTATGGGAACAATGCCTCCCCAATCTCCTTGCTAAAGCAGAGAAAGAGTTACCTTTACTCCAGTTCCTGATAAGTTCCTCATTTCCATCTGAGACAACCTCAGCCTGTACTTCATTGTCTACATCACTGATCACAACAATTTAACAAGCCTCTAGGAAATTCCAACATTTCCTAATCTATCTATCTTCTTCTGAGTCCTCCAGATTGTTCCAGCTTCTGCTCATTATCCAGACCCAAAGCTGTTTCTACATTTTCAGGTATCTTTATAGCAATGCCCCACTTTCCAGTACCAACTTTCTGTATAAGTCAGTTCTTGCACTTCTACAGAAAACGACCTGAGACTGGCTTATTTATTTAAAAAAAAAAAAAAAAGGTTTAATGAGCTCACAGTTATGCAGGCTGTACATGAAGCATGATGTACATAGAAATTTACAATCAGGGAGAAAGGTGAAGAGGAAGGAGACACATCTTCACATGGCCAGAGCAGGAAAAAGAGAAGGGGGAGGTACTACAAACTTTAAAAAAAAAATCAGATCCCATGAGAACTCACTATCATGAGAACAGCAAAGGGAAAGGCCGCCCCCATGATCTAATCACCTCCCACCAGGCCTCTCCTTCAACACTGAGGGTTACAATTCAAAATGAGATTTTGGTGGGGACAGAAATCCAAACCATATCAATATCAATAAATAGTATTCAATAAAATATAAACAATATTTAAACATTATTAGTTGTAATTACCAATACAGTAAATAGAGAGACAGAAATAGTAATTTAGACTATTTAGAACTTCTATAATAGTTTTAAATATAAAGGCATCCTGAAAGCAAAAAGTTTAAGGGCTTCTGGGTTAATATATTAAAAATATTTCCTATAACAATATTAAGCAATTAATGTATAAGTATCTTTTCTTCTCTTTTGGAAACTGAGTACATTAATTGTAATGCAAATAGCAGAGTAAAAGTTTGCATTAGTTCTAAGACATTGTCAACATACTAAGAATACCAAAAAATTATAAGAACTATTGCTTCTTTTATATTCTGAGTTCCCAGAGTGACTCTATTTCCATGATACCCTGACAAAAATTTATTTTTAGAAAACTATTTTGTATCGGGGGAACCAGCCCCCAATATTTCAATGTAGGTCCTTTCTATTTTCCCTAAGTGTCGACCGTCTGAGAAATAAAGAGAAAGAGTACAAAGAGAGGAATTTTACAGCTGGGCCTCCAGGGGTGACATCACATATCAGTAGGTTCATGATGTTCCCTGAGCCACAAAACCAGCAGATTTTTATTAAGGACTTTAAAAGGGGAGGGTGTGTGTGAACAGGGAGTAGGTCACAAAGATCACATGCTTTAAAGGGCAATAAAGATCACAAAGCAAAGGGCAAAGCAAAGACCACAAGGCAAAGGGCAAAATTAGAATTACTGATGATGGTCTATGTTCGGCTGCACACATATTGTCTTGATAAACATCTTAAACAACAGAAAACAGGGTTCGAGAGCAGAGAACCGGTCTGACCTCAAATTTACCAGGGCAGGATCTTTTCCCCACCTTAATAAGCCTGAGGGTACTGCAGGAGACCAGGGCATATTTCAGTTCTTATCTCAACTGCATAAGACAGACACTCCCAGAGCGGCTGTTTATAGACCTCCCCCCAGGAATGCTTTCCTTCCCCAGGGTATTAATTATTAACATTCCTTGCTGGGAAAAGAATTCAGTGATATCTCTCCTACTTGCATGTCCAATTATAGGCTGTCTGCAAGAAGAAAAATATGGCTCTATTCTGCCCAACCCCACATGCAGTCAGACCTTTGGTTGTCTTCCCTTGTTCCCTAAAATCGCTGTTATTCTGTTCGTTTTCAAGGTGCACTAATTTCATATTGTTCAAACACACACGTTTTACAATCAGTTTGTAAAATAGTGGTCCTGAGGTGACATACATTCTCAGCTTATGAAGATAACAGGATTAAGAGATTAAAGACAGGCATAAGAAATTATAAGAGTATTAATTTTGGGAACTGATAAATGTCCATGAAAACTTCACAATTTATGTTCAGAGATTGCAGTAAAGACAGGCATAAGAATTTATAAAAGTGTTAATTTTGGGAACTGATAAATGTCCATGAAAACTTCACAAATTATGTTCAGAGATTGCAGTAAAGACAGGCGTAAGAATTTACAAAAGTATTAATTTTGGGAACTGATAAATGTCCATGAAATCTTCACAATTTATGTTCCTCTGCCTTGGCTCCAGCCGGTCCCTCCATTCGGAGTCCCTGACTTCCTGCATTTTGTCCTATTTTGGATTCCAGTGTTTTAATATTTAGAAAATGCGGAAGATAATACACTAATAGTCAATAACAATGCTTTGTTTATGGGGTATAAATCAAGTATAAAAATCATTTTTAGAAGAATAAAATGTTAGTACGTTGTAAAATTCTCAGAGTGTAGGAAAGAAAACATGAGAAAAAAAGAACGGCTAATAAGAAAAGAATTTCCAATGACAAAAATGTGTACAAAACTATAGTCCTTTGTTACTTTCAGTGAATCCAATTAATTAAAGTGATTGAAGTATATGACTTCTATTTATATAAAGCAAGACTGGCTAATATTTTTAATTTTTAAATTTTAAGTTGTGGGATACATGTGCAGAATGTGTCAGTTTGTTACACAGGTATACATGTGCCATAGTGGTCTGCTGCACCTATGAACCCATCATCTAAGTTTTAAGCCCCACATGCATTAGGTATTTGTCCTAATGCTTTCCCTCCTCTTCCATCCCAACCCCCAACAGGCCCTGGTGTGTGATGTTCCTCTCCCTGTGCCCATGTGTTCTCATTGTTCAACTTGCACTTATGAGTGAGAACATGCGGTGTTTAGTTTTCTGTTCCTGTGTTAGTTTGCTGAGAATGATGGTTTCCAGCTTAATCCACATCCCTGCAAAAGACATGAACTTGTTCTTTTTAATGGCTGCATAGAATTCCATGGTGTATACATGCCACATTTTCTTTATCCAGTCTATTATTGATGGGCATCTGGGTTGGTCCCAAGTCTTTCCTATCATAAATAGTGCTGTAAATAAACATACGTGTGCATGCGTCTTTATAGTAGAATGATTTATAATCCTTTGGGTATATACCCAGTAATGACATTGCTGGGTCAAATGGTATTTCTAGTTCTAGATCCTTGAGGAATCGCAACACTGTCTTCCACAATGGTTGAACTAATTTACTCTCCCATCAACAGTGTAAAAGTGTTCCTATTTCTCCAGATCCCTGTCAGCATCTGTTGTTTCCTTACTTTTTAGTGATCACCATTCTAACTGGCATGAGATGGTATCTCATTGTGGTTTTGATTTGCATTTCTCTAATGACCAGTGATGATGAGCTTTTTTTCATATGTTTGTTGGCTGCATAAATGTCTTCTTTTAAGCATCTGTTCATACCCTTGGCCCACTTTTTGATGGGGTTGTTTGGTTTTTTATTGTAAATTTGTTTAAGTTCCTTGTAGATTCTGGGTATTAGACCTTTGTCAGATGGCTAGAGTGCAAAAATTTTCTCCCGTTCTGTAGGTTGCCTGTTCACTCTGATGATAGTTTCTTTTGCTGTGCAGAAGCTCTTTGGTTCAATTAGATTCCATTTGTCAATTTTGGCTTTTGTTGCAATTGCTTTTGGCATTTTAGTCATGAAGTCTTTGCCCATGCCTATATCCTGAATGGTATTGCCTAGGTTTTCATCTAGGGTTTTTATGGTTTTAGGTTTTATGTTTAAGCCTTTAATACATCTCGAGTTAATTTTTGTATAAGGTGTAAAGAAGGGTTCCAGTTTCAGTTTTCTGCATATGGCTAGCCAGTTTTCCCAGCATGATTTATGAAATAGGGAATCCTTTCCCCATTACTTGTTTTTGTTAGGTTTATCAAAGATCAGATGGTTGTAGATGTGTGGTGTTATTTCTGAGGCCTCTGTTCTGTTGTGTTGGTCTATACATCTGTTTTGTTACCAGTACCATGCTGTTTTGGTTACTGTAGCCTTGTAGTATAGTTTGAAGACAAGCTAATTTTCTTTCCTGTTCATTTTTTGTCTGTTTTTAAAATTATTATTATTTTTAATTTGTTTTTTTAGGGAGAGGTAGTAAAAGGGACATTATATGCTATCATTGCTAGTGGAAAAATGATCATATATAACGTTGCCACTTATATTTAAAGATTAGAAAAAATATTGTAATCACTAAAGGAAGCTAAGTAATGATCCCAATTTCCAGCAAAGCTATTAGAGAAGTTCAGTAATTAGATCAACTTCATTAAGTATTAGAAAAAGCTAAATTTTTGGGTAAATCTTTGAAACATTATGAATTGAGAAACAATTTTATATCACAAATCTAAAAGTCTCTTTCTTATGAATCTTTCAGGATATTAGTAGATAACTCAGAAATATTATAACATTATAAAATCAAAATGTCCTTTGGACCTAAATGTTAAGAGTTCCTCTTTATGCTTTCATAACCCAGCCCCTTCCCACCACAGTTTCTTAATACCTGTTTATTTGCATTGTTCAACAAAGACTACAATAGTATAATTATAGCAAAGGCAAAATGTTGCTGTTGTGGTCTTAATCTTAAACTGGAAAAAAAAGTAATCTGGAAAGCAATCTTTCTTACAATTGGCACAAAAACGATTACAAGGCTCTCAGCAGGTTCAGAATTAATAAAGCTTAAAATAAGCAAGCAAAAAAAATCCTAGATTCCTTATCTCTCATCTAACCAACATTATTGGAATATTAAAGTCAATAACTGGCCCAATTATGCTATAGAAAATATTATCTTTGTTAACTTTTATTTACCTTACACAGTAATGTAATTAAAAATTATAAGTACTATCAAATAACATCAACATATATGAGACTTCAACTTCTTTAAAATAGAATTAAGCACTGAATCAAATTCTGTACTTACACCAGAATCTACCTAGTACATGACCTCATTGTAATCACACCAAATTACCTGCCAATATTTATCTACTCATATCCTGCTCTTAAAGTATTCCCAAAATGATATTAATAAAGTAAAAGAAAATTGTCATAAATAGCATTTCTTCTAGGAGTTATATTTTGACTGTTTAGCCCAGAACCCTTTGGGTTTTGTCTATCTTAAACACCAGCAAACTAAATGCCTTCAGTAACAATATACATATACATATTTTTTAAAAACTGAATATTAAGCATTTTTAATAGCATTTTTAAGAGTGGACAATCTTTTTTTAACCTCATTGTATTTAAAAATAATAGAAACAGGCATCAAAATGGACACAGCAAGAAGCATGTTAATTGTTTCTGAATGGAGAATTAGGTGCTCTGGCTTGTCCTTGAACATTAAGAACAGATGTATCGTAATTTGTTATTATCTACATTCATCTTGTTTCAGTAATTTCATATTTTGCTTTCTAGTTTCAAATTGGGATTCCTTGACTAGAATAAGATCTTGTTCATTCTGAAGGGAGTTTTGCCTCAGTATGCATTTTCTAACTTGCCTTAAATAATAAATTCAATAGTTAAGCTAGCTAGGCAAAGAGGAGTCAACAGTTGTTAAACACCCTCTTCAATGTTTATAGCCAAAGATACTGGTTAGGGTGGTGGGAATCCATTCTGAAGATACAAATTCTGAAATCAAGTAGTTTTGCAGAGAAGTGGCCAGCAAGAAATGTTAAGGTAGGAACTTAAATCATTGATAATGTGAACTTAGGTACTTTGGCCCTTTCCAAGGATCAGAGTTGCTTGTCGGGTCATGTGAGGGGACCTACGAGACCACACTTTTATATTAGTGCTGAGAACTAAGCAGTAGAGAAGAAAATTAGGGAAAGGAAGAATCACATGACCCTTCCAGGAGGAAATAACAAGAGTGGTGAGATCTTTTATGGCTATCCACAAAATAATAGTATTATTCAAGTAAAGGATGAAGTATCTTAATTCAACTTCTTTCATAAAAACACTTTATGAAAAAATGAATAGTTCCTTTTACTATTCTCTATTAAAATCTACAAGAATATTGCTCCAAATAAAAAATACGTTACAATTTGTTTACTGGTGCTTGTGAAATATTTTCTAGTCACGAGCAACAGAACAAATAATATTTGTTGATTTCAAAACACATCACAGAAGCATAAGCCTTTGAAAATAAAGATGCATAATCAAGGTATAAAATATTCTTAATGCCTTGCTAATTATGTTTAGAAGCACAGAAGCTTAATAAATTCAAAATAGCATGAGAAATAGAAGTGCAATTCCATCAGTCAAAATAAAGAATGGGTTCAAAGTGTTTAAACTTCAAAAGCACTATAAGATGCAGTAGTCTTATAGACATCATTAAATCACAGATATTGGAGAGCTCATTAGATTAGATTTCTTTAAAGGACTTTAAATTCAGGCATGATTATTACTATGAGCAAAGTGAAGAGAGTTAATATATTAGCCCTAAGAGGTTAATAACTTATCAGCCAAATCTCTTATAAAGTGGATTTGTTAGGTAAAAATCTAATAACTTTGAATACAACTTAAACAAATAAATAATTTAAATTAAAATGGAATAATTTTAACAAGACCAAGAAATGTAATTAGAATTGGAATGCCAAATCATCAATAGCTACTGTTCATCGAGTAGTTTATATGTGGCAAGCAGAACACAATATTGTCCATTTAAATGGCATCATAATACATTAACATGACAGATTACATAGATTATATTATATACATTATATATGGATAGATTATATGTAGAGAGGTTATATAGATTAAGAAATCCATATAGTGTGTCTCGTTTAATCCTCAAAGCAACAAAACATGGTAGGTTCTGTTAGTATTATCCCATTTTACAGATGGGAGTATCAACCAGTTTTATTTTTCCCTGGGTCTGAATATCTGAAATTCTACATGGATAGCCAGCCCTTCAAGGCTTCAACCTTGCAACAATCAAAGGAAATCTTAGACAAATTTATGTATTTGACCCCTTTGGATTAGACTATAATCCTAATCCACTTGAAATAGTCAGTGTTAAATTTGATTATGTTTTAATCTTGCTATTTCATTACAGTTTTGCTTAAATGTCCACTGTCAGAGAGTACAGAATAGTGGTTAACAGGATAATTTCTAAAGCTAGTTGGCTTGGGTTAACAAGTATAGACAATAGGCTGCTCTGCCTATTAAGTAGCCATGCTTTTATTCTTTACTTCTTGAATAAACTTGCTTTCACGTAAAAAAAAGTATAGATAATAAAAAGACCTCCCTCATGGCAACAGTTGAAAGATTGTTAGACTACGTAAAGTGTTTAGAACAGGCTCTAGCCCTATGTAAGTGTTTTATTTATTTAATTACAATTTCTATGGATTTATTGTATTAATGTTGTACTGTAACACCTAAAGTTAGACTTTTTACTCACCAATGTTCAGCTTTTCTTCTCTAATTGAATTACTTAAGGCTATAAACTTACATCTGAGCACTATTTTACCTGTATTCCACAGGTTTTGACAAGGAGAATTTTATCATTGATATCTAAATGTCTAATTTCTATTATAATTTCCAATTGGACCCAGAAGTTACTGATTATTAATTGGCTTTCTTACTAGATTTCAAAAGCATTTTTCTAGTTATGTCTTTTTTTTTAAGTTACTGCATTAGATGCAATGTAATCACAGAATATTGTGTTTTTTTGTAAAGATCTGCAACTAGCTTTATGTCTTAGGATATAGCCAATTCTCAGAGAGACTTTGTGTTTTATATTTGTACAATATATTTAGCTTATTTATTGGTTTGTTCAGATATCCTATGACCCTATTTATAGCTTTTATGTGTTCTACCAATTATTAAGAAGGTAAGGCAAAAATCCCTCCAATATAATGACAGATTTTCTAATTCTCCTTGTTATTAAAAATTTTGCTAAATATATTCTTAGATGTATCAACTCAGAACATGTTTCTACTGAGTTGAAACATTTATATGCACTTTTCTTCCCTAGGGTGCTTCCTGACCAAAAAAATGTCATTTTTTATATTAATATGGTCTAATCAGCATTCTTTTGGTGTGTAATTGATTAGCATTTGCCTTGTATGTTTTAAATGTATCCGCTTAGATTTACTAATAATGTATTTGCTACCTTATTTGTTTATCTTTTCATTGTTTTCATTTCAGATATTACATACAGAATCACTTTCAGGAAACATCTTACTAGTTGCCTTAGAGAGGGTCTGTAGTGTCTAACCCTCAATTCTTATTTATCTAAAAATGCCCACATACTGTTCTCAGTTGCAATATTTTCAGTTCATATAAAAATCTGAGTTATGTAATATTTTTCTTTTACGAGCACTTTATTTGTTTTTCAGTGTCTACTGAATTCTTATGGTTGAGAAGTGGGTTTTCATGAGAATTCTCTCGTGCCATTGAGGATAACCTATACTTTCCTCTAGATGTTTTTTAAACCTTAGTTTTCCTCTTCTTAATTCTTTCTCTCAATTTCTTCAGTAATGTTGATTAGAGACATCCTATTTCTTCCTATTTTCACTTTCATTTTTCGTGAAACTTTTTAAAATTTATTTACTGCTCTGTGTTGTATTCAGAATAACATCTTCAGATTTATCTTATGCTCACTAATGTTTCTTTAGATATTCATAATCTGATATTGTACCTGTCCAATTAGTGTTTATTTCAATTGCATTACTTTTCCCTTTAGTTTCCTTTAAAATCTGCTTCTTTTTATATAACAATTTTGTTGAGCATGTTTTAATAACTTACATTATTTCAATATAGATATTTTATATTTCATCTGGTAATTCTAATATCTGATATTTTTATGGACCTCACTCTGCTCTCTGCTTTTGATGTCAGTAGGAGTCAGACAGGTTCTTAGACAGAAAGGGGCAGGTCCCCAGTGAGGCCCAACCTTCAAGCCAGAGATGGCCTGAAGCCCAGGGTCCACATTGCCAGTTCTGCCTTGAGTCCGTGATAGAGTGGGCACTTCCTTGATCCCTTTTGGCCAATCAGATGGTGCAAAAGCCCACCTATGGACAAATCAGCACATACTTTCTCTCACACATGGACCAATCAGCATGCACTTCCTGCACTCTGAGCTCATAAAAACCCCAGACTCAGCCAGACTCAGTAGGAGCTACCCACTTTGGGTCACTCGCCACTGAGAGCTGTTGTGTCACTCAATAGAACTCTTCTCTGCCTTGTTCGCCCTCCAGTTGTCCATGTAATCTCTTTCTACACGTTCCTGGCCTGCTTACTGGAGCTGTGGGTGGTGACATGTTCCCATTCACCAGACTGGAAGTGAAGAATGGTGACCCTTCTGGGGGCCCAGACCTCAGGATTCCCTGAGACACAGCTGTAACACTATAGCCCTCCCAACCTCCACCAGCACTGGGTGGGCACACCATGTGATGGGAAGCAGCAGCAGGGCTGGGCCAGCCCAGAAACCATGGGTTGAAGTGAGGTGGCAGGACTAAATGAGCTGTAACACAAATGAGCTGAAACATGCCCTGCCAACTTTCACCATGCTGTAGGTGATGGGAATGAAAGAGTTGTAACATGTGCCTCGCTAAACCCTTTGGGCTCTGTGATTGCTGACATCTCTGAGTTTTTGGGGGCCACCATGTTCCTCTCATCTGGACACCGATGCCCACAGCAGGAACCACTTCCAGTATGCCTGGTTCAGCTGCAGCCTTGCACAGAGCTGATGCCTGTGCCGGCATCTGGAGCTGCCTGCCAAGCCACAGCAGCTGGCACAGCTGGCTGTGCACAGTGGCCAGACTCTGTGCTCACATACTGACACACTTCTCGCCATTTCATGCCTGGCTCACCCTCGATGGGCATGGAATCTGGGCCAGTAGCATGAGTCAAGTGCAGCTTGCCTGACAGAGTGGGTGAAATGAGCAAAACTCAAGCAGAGGTGCCACTGGCCACAGAGGTTTCCAGCAGACAAAGCAACACTCAAAGGATCCTGTGATATGTTGTCTGCTAGTCCTGAATAGTGTTTCATTTTTCTATCATGTTTTTTGTGATTTGTGACTATGAGTTTATATTCATTGGACTTTACTATGGCAATGCTTTTTGGCCTGATTTGAAATTGAATTTCTGCAGAGAATGTTTCCTACTGCTTCTGTCAGGCATGTAAAGGCATTACTTAGCCCACTTTTAAATTAAATTTTGGCTTTTAGGTGTTTCCTATCTATAAAGTTGTATAAATTTATGATGCAAATCTGCAAAACCATGTTTATGTACTTTTAATATTATTCTTTCTCCTCACTCAGGGCAGTATTTCTTAAGATCATCTGATGAGGGCAAGTGGGTTTATTTTTCTATTTTACTTTAGTATGATCATATTCTTTGGGACACTTAAAATATGATAAGCTAAGGATCCTATTTTCTTTCTTGAATTTTCTGCAGAACAGGAAAAAATGACTTTTCAGTACCATGTTGTAGAAATGAGAATATGCATGTAACTACTGGGAAATAACTATATCACAGTCAACAATGTTTCTTTGACAGATTGAAGGGAAAATTGATTTTTTTAAGATCACAATTTACAAGAAAAATCTCTCACAACTCTAATCAAAAGTGATATCAAAGAACCATGAAAGCAAGAAGGCAATGTTAAGCGAAGAACTTTGGTTGCCTTATTAACTCTCTGTATTTAATTGTGGTCCAATTGGTTACCCATTTCAGTTGCCGAAGGTTTTGTTTTTGCTTTTGTTTTGAGCAGTTCAAATCATATGAGTACTGATATTTCAAAGCTTTCCATCTTTGATAGAAGTAATTTTTAAAAATGAAAAAAATCACTTATTTTCTTTCAAAAGAATTAAAATCATTTTACCTAAAAAATACCATTAAATCCATTAGACTTTTAAAAAAATAAACCTCAGATGCATTATGAGCTATCAGTGACATTATTTTCTTGTATTTTGAAACAGTATTTACCACTCATTACTCACAATTATTTCTAACTATGGTAAAAAAGACAAAAATAAGCACAATTAACAAGGATGGAATAGCCAAGCGGGGTCCTGAAATACTAAATTAAATTATCTTTCTTTCTTCTTGTGTTATACAAAGTATGTCATCATCTTTCAAGGAGTTATTGGACAAAAATGGAGACATCATTTTTGTCATCACTTTGAAATTTCATTTAACGGAGTTGCAAATCCAGAATTTTCCATATTCTGTATTTAATGAGAAAGAGAAAACATTAACATAAGAAAGCATATATTATTACTAAATGAATCGGGAGATAAATACAATGCGACAAAGAACAGCCCTTTCAATGTTAATGTTAAAGGTTACATTAATCCTATTAGTGAACTTTCAGGCTGAATCTTCAGATGATGTTGTCCTAAATACATTTTCTTAAACTTAAAAACCGTGAATAAACAGTACATTCCCAAGAACGAAAGATAAGAGGGCATTATCACCTAGTCAGAAAGGACTTTATCTTACTTCAGTTAGATTTAAGACACAATTATCATGGAAGAATTTTTTTTAATATCCAAATACTTATTCTAAAAAAATAAACTTTGTTGAAATCATTGCTATCTATGCTGCCATTTTTAACAATCTAATTATGATTTTATGTCATAATACTGAGATGCAGGAATTTCACTTTAAACTACAGAATGCACATTTTGAAACTGATATTTTTCTTAAATGTTCATGTGCTTTCTGTATTAAAGCATTGATTCTCATGTTACTATAAAATAGAAAACTCAGCTTACATTTTCAGCTATTAGTGTGTGTAACATATAATTACATATTGAACCTTAAAGGAAGAGTTGAAACTCCACTGAACTTATGTTACTTAAAGTTCACAAAGTGAATATTGAAAAAATATGACTATCTCTACCTCGATGACCCAGACCTGACACCTTCTTAAAAAATTCTTCAGGGACAAAATCAAATAAAAAAACCCAAAGAACATCTGTTTTGTATTTATACAATTATTGATAAATTTCGTGTTTTAATAAAAGTTGTTGAGGCCAACTCTACTCTTTGTTTAGGTACAGCATTTTCTAATTCTTCTACATTGTCTGTTACTACAACAGCTTACTAGGATAACAGCTGATTATCTGTCATCATGGGGTGTAACATTTAATGGAATAATTCTGGAAGAGGTCCTGGCCATATCCACAGATCTTAAGTGAGTTCAGAAGCAGAACTTAAAATTCATATGTTTGACATCAGTGTATGGTCAGTCACTGACCTTGGTTATCAGTTTCTCCTGACATATATTACCAGGCAAAAGGGTCTCACTGCCTGATGCACTAGAAGCCAATACCATGACACATGGTTTTGAGGAAAAAAAATAAAGCTTTATATTGAAAATTTACTCACATGGAGAAAGGAGTCAAGCTCAAATATTTCTATTTGTGCTGGTTTCAGGTCAGTATATTAAAAAATATTCAGCAGTGGATTCTGAGATTAGTAGGTGATTGGTGGAAGGAAAAAGCAGGTCTGGAAAGTCTTTGCGTATGCAAAGTTATCTCTTCATGTTACCTAATGGGGGTATGGTGGAGGCACCTAACAGCCATAATGGGATCCTACTTTGAGAGTGACCTTATGGTCCAAGAAGAATGTCTGCTTTGAGTTCTGAGCAAGGAATCCAGAAGTGGCCAGCTCATTGATTCACTCCTTATCTATGAAGGATGTCTGAACACCCAGCCCATTCCTTAGAAAGCAGACTGTACAGGGAATTGAAGTCCTATATTTTGAGTTAAATGGAAGTTACTAGGCAGAGGGTGCTGAAAATGCTATATAAACTGCATGCTTTTTACAAACAATAGTGATTCTCCTGTCCAGCCCACTACCACTAGACTGCCCCATATATAATTCTCCTCAATAAATCTCATGTCTAATTCACTGAGTTTCTAGTTCAGCCTCTCAGATATGGTTTCATCCATACTGGAGTCAGTAGGGGTCTGGAACAACAATGGGTCACATGGGCAAATTTGGAGGGAGTTAATATGAAACACGTGTGGAAATTTAGGCTGTGATGTCAGCAAGCTCATTTGGTGTAAACTCCAGTCAACCATCTTGGCCCCAATTGATTTCAGCCAGATTTCTCTTTATCTCATAAGCAGAGGGAGTTTCAGTGTTTCAACAAGTTGTTCTTATCTGCTATCCTGCAAACTCAAGAATACATGTTAGCTTCTAGTTTCTCACTCTTTGGGGTACAGTTCCGGTTTCAGCTTTTAAGCAAGTTGCTTGTTTTTTTGTATACTACCCTGTAAGCCCAATAATTTCGTCATTAGTTTCCTTAACTCTTTAAGGCACAATTTCACATGTGCTCCCTCCTTCCCTTTGCTTTGGTTATCTTTTATATTCTCCCACTTCCTATGATAGCATTTACCTGTTTTCTCACCCAACTATGTTAACTTTAACTTACCCTTAGGTCATGAAATTTACTTCTGTCTTATTAGTTTCCCTGTATCCTTGGATGTGTTGCATAATTATGTCAGATGTTATCAGTATTTCTAAATGAGACCCTTGACTCTATCCCCTTGGCTAGTACTGAGATGAGTTCCTAAAGACAATAGGTTTAGGATTATCCCTCTTGCTCGATCTATTATGACACCAAATCCTTGAATCTCTGATGACCTATTATTTCCTCTTCTCAACAGGCATTTATTAAAAACTTTCTATACCAGATTTCATGCTAGATACAGTTTGCTCTTGAGGCCCTCAAAATGTACCACAGTGGTTCTAAATTTTGACAGCAGGTAATGTTAATTTTTTTTGTATTTAAATTCTTTAAAAAAATTTTATTTATTTTACTTTAAGTTCCGGGATACACGTGCAGTACACGCAGGTTTGTTACATAGGTATACACGTGCCATGGTTGTTTGCTGCACCTATTAACCTGTCATCTAGGTTTTAAGCCCAGCATGCATTAGTTATTTGTCCTAATGCTCTCCCCTCCCCTGCTGATATCTTGGCCTTATGCATAGACATTTTAATTCCATAAAGCCAAGGGAGGTGCATGAAAAAAATTACTCCCAGTGAATCTAACACTCATCTCTATATAGGGAAAGACAGGAAACCAATTAAAATGGAGCCAAATATATGTGCTTAAGACAGTTTACTCTCAAACTCCAGGCACAAAAGCCTGGAGAGGCTGCCCAAAATTAGTTGAGTAGACATTCTTTCCTCGCATTTAGCATGGGCTAGAATTGTCCAGTCACACCTAGGCTGTAATAACCTTACCAATATGTTGAAAGGGAGGACACTGAGGTTAAAACATTTTCTCTGGAATCAACCTGTCACCTCGGTGAACTTGAGCAAGTCATTTAGCCTTTGTGAGCTTCAATTTCTTACTTGCAGCATGGTTATTAAATGTTATTACCTTTTAGGGGTTTGGGGATATTTGAATACAATACTGTATGTTCATGCTTAAAGCAATGTCCAGTGCATAACCAATATATAATAAATGCAACATATTCATTTTTTCTAAGAAAACAAAATCAGATGATTTTCTAAAAAACTGTAGTTATTACTTAAAGCATCAATATATTTTGTATTGTAATTTACATATTTTTGCATTCTTTTTTCCCTTATTGATCAAAATAAGTGAATGAAGGTAAGCCTCTCCTGAAGGTATAGGTGAGGGTCCCCCTTATGATAATCAATTGCGAAGCCCTGAAATAAACAGGTCTGGGATTCGTTGATCCACGGGGTTGCCTGACAGACAGAAAAATGATTTAAACTGCATAGATTTACTAGAAGGTAATCTTGTGCCCTCATATTCACTATACATAGTTTTACTCTCCTGAACACACTGAGTTCAACAAGCCTTGTCAGCTAAAGAATATCAGATAAAGCACCACAAATAAGCTAGTTAAAACAATAATCTTAATTTCAAAAACAATGAAAAATCAAGTGGACTTAGATTGTTGCAAAACAACTAAAAAAAATAATTTCAGCTATTTTCAGCTATTTACAAAAGCCCAGAAGTGTTTATGCTTATTTGAGCTTGGTTATTAAAAATGTGAGTTGGCTGGATACAGTAACTCACACCTGTAATCCCAACACTTTGGGAGGCCAAGGCAGGTGGATCACCTGAGGTCCAGTGTTCAAAACCAGCCTGGCCAACATGGTGAAACCTCATCTCTACTAAGAATACAAAATTAGCTGGGTGTGGTGGAGCACGCCTGTAATCCCAGCTACTCGGGAGGCTGAGGCATGAGAATGGCTTGAACCTGGGAGGTGGAGGTTGCAGTGAGCCAAGATTGCCTCCTTGCACTCCAGCCTGGGCAACAAGAGTGGAACTGCATCTCAAAAAAGAAAAAAAAAATCTGAGATATAAAAATTTTAAACCCCCATTGCTTTTAATTTGTACCATGTAAAATACAAACATGTTACATAATGTTAACTCCAGGGATGTTAAGTAATAAGTCAACGTATCAGGCAGAGTCCAATCAGAAAAAAAAAATAGAACCTAAAATGAATATTTCAATGCAATGAAATAGTCACCAAAGAGTAAAAAAGATGAAAAGGTGCAGGTTTAAAAGAAAATGGTGGCCGGGAGCAGTGGTTCACACCTGTAATCCCAGCACTTTGCAAGGCCAATGTGGGCAGATCACTTGAGGTCAGGAGTTCAAGACCAGCCTGGCCAACATGGTGAAATCCTGTCTACACCAAAAATTTAAAAAATTAGCCAGGTGTGGTGGTGCACACCTGTAATCCCAGCTATTAAGGAGGCTGAGGCAGGAGAATTGCTTGAATTTGGGAGGTGGAGGTTGCAGTGAGCTGAGATCGTGCCACTGCACTCCAGCCTGGGTGACAGAGCAAGACTCAGTCAAAAAAAAAAAAAAAAACAGTAGATGGTGAAGCTGCTACCAGCGTTAGGGAGGAGGTGGAGCTGCCCCAGCCCTGGATTCAAGGCTTTTGGTGTAAATAAGAACCACAGATGAGATCAAGCTATTTAGAAATGCATCCTGAACTAGAGCAAAAGATGAGTGTTTCTTCCAGCCCTTCACCCTACTAATTGCTTCCGGTGACTGTCATTGCCTAGTAGGCAGGAAAGTAGTTGGTTAAGAGAGAAGAAGAAAGAAGAAAGAAGTTGGTGAAGAGACCAGAAAGAAAACAGGCAAAGGTCAACATAGTGAGAATATAAGGAAATAAATTACAATTTACTCATGACTTTCTGAAGATCTGTTATAGAACAACTAGGAGTATGTGTTCACATACTCTCAGAGGGTTGTTCTTTGTAGCATCCTAAAATTAATGTCCCATAATTACCTGGCCAATGGTTTCTTTATTTTCTTTAAGTGTTCTTGCCATAAATAAATAACATAATTAACTTAGAAAAAAAAACTTGATTGCATTTATTAAAAATCAACTCTGTATTTAATTTAAAGCAAAATTAAATGTCACTCAAAAATACAGCTAAAGTTACATGTGAAAGAAACCATCTTGTAATCATGCATTAAGGGTATGTTAATGGTTTGAGGCAGTCTTATGTTTGAATACCCTAGAGCCTTGTTGATAATTATATCCTTGTGCCTCTAATATAGGTAGACAACAGCAATCAGGAGATTTTTCAAAATATATTCTCCTCTTGCACTCTCTAAACAGGCTTAGAAATGCAAAAAAAAAAAAACCTCTAAATAACAACAAAAGTTAGCATGAAATAAAATCTAGTGTACCCTAATTTGTTTAGATTGGTCATTTTGTGAAAGTTGTACTCCATTGCATGCATTCTGTACTATTCTATGCACTACTGAAAATAATTGACATTATCAGTAATCTCCATCACGTAAGAAAACCATCAATGTCTAACTCAATGTGCTGGGTGAATTTAACCCGTATTCATTTGTGAGACAAAGTGTGGGAATTCATTAAACCTCTTTGAATATAGTTTTACCATTTAAATATTAGAAAGGAAGTAATGAAAGTCATTTAACATGAACATATTTAAAGGACATTACTAAACTCTCAAAATCTCATGTGGAGGTATTTATCCCATTTCATAGAGAAGGAAAGAAACCAAAACTAAGAGAGGTCAAAATAGCAGTTTCCTACAGTAATAGATGGGCAAAAACCACAATTTTGGCAAAACCACTGCCCCACAATATAATATTAACTAATACTATTAGAAAGTACCAGGCATATTTCTAAGAACTATTGAAAATTAACTCAATGAATAATCAAATAATAACAAGAAACAAACAAACAAGCAAAAAAACCCAAGAGTTCTATATGGATGAAAACTAGGAAGCACAGAGGAATTACGTAATTTGTTCGAGGTCACACAGCTATTAAGTGGCAGAACTTCAACTAGTTGGGCCCTAGGGTCTTCACTGTCAAATAATGTTATATTATCTCTCAACAGACTGTATAGGGATGTTGTGAAGATAATGTAAGTCAATATATGGGAAAATATTCATGGGATATAAAATGCTACGTATACATAAATTATCATTTTAATGCCTAACTAGAGAAAAGTATCTAATAAACACCCATTGCAGTATTATAACAAAAATCACATTCAGTTACTCTGTTTTTGAACAATAATATTGCACAGTAGATACAATCAAGCAATGCTTTCATTTGAGTAAAGATGTACTATATTTTTTCACTGGACTTAATATCTAAATTTTTATTCTAGCATGCCAATTTCTGCTTCAAATAGTCCCAGCTACTTCTCTAATGTTACCATTTCTTATTCTTTCCTGGCTCTCACATATTGAAGCAGATCAGTTTTTTAAGAATATGTCCTAATGGTATAAGCTAAATCTTGCTTTATCTCTTTCCTCTGCCTGTGAGACAATTCTTCCTGATCTCCTCATGAGCTGGTACCACTAGTATTCAAATAGCTTCTTCAGAGGTGCTTACCTGATCTTTCATTCTGAAGTAGACACTCCACCATGCTCTAGTCCATTGTCTTATTTTCATTCTCTACAAAGTAATAATGCATATCTATTTTTTTTCTTTTTTATAGTTACAGACTTTCATGCTCAACAGGAAGCAATCTCCATTTGAGAGGAAGCTTTGTCACTCTTCACTGACGGGCATATAGTAATCGTTTCATAATGTGGGTGATAAATGAATGAACAAATTATAAATAACCAAATAAATATAAATTATGTGACTATAGAAAGCATTGTTCTAATAAGAAAAAAGTCATGGGTTAGATCTTTATGAGAAGCAATTCACTTTATCAGAGTTGCAATACTGAAAATGAACTCAACATGAAATTTTATAATAGCAGTTGAAATATAAAGTTAAGTATGAGTATAAATGAATAAGCACATATCCACACCACTTCATAGAATTTACCTTAGAATGAATGTCATTTTTGGTATTATGTCAAAGACAGTGTTAACAAAAGTAAAAAATGAAAAATGTTATGTTGTTGCATTCTAGGTATACAAAATAAACACAATTTATTTAAAATAGTTTAAAAATTAAATTCAATAAAATTAATTTGATTTTAAAAATTCATAAACAACCCCTTCAGGGAAAAGTTAAGGAAGAAAGAATTTACAAAACAACTAGAAAACAAGTAACAAAAGGGCAGAAGTAAGTCTTTACTTATGAATAATTACTTTCAATATAAATGGATTAAGTTCTCCAATTAAAAGACATAGAATGGCTGAATGGATAAAAAAAACAAGAACTAACTATATGCTACCTGAAACAGACAAACTTCACATGTAAATACATGTATAGATTGAAAGTAAAATGATGGACAAAAGATATTCCGTACGAATGTAAACCAAAAAAGAGCAGGAGTTGCTATACTTATGTCAGATACCTTAAGCCAAAAGCCATAAAAAGACACAAAGAAGGCCATTATCTAATAATTAAGCGGTCAATATACCAAGAGGTTATAACAACTATAAATATACATGCATCAAAATAGGAACACTTAAATTTATAAAGCAAATATTAATAGAACTAAAGAGATAGACTACAATACAATAATAGAGATTTCAACCACCCCACCTTCAGCAATAAAATGATCATCCATACATAAAATCAAGAAACATCAGAGTTCCCATCCAGCAGTCAAAGAATGTGTATCATTCCCAATAATACCTAGCACATTCTCCAGGATATATTATACTTTAGGCAATGAAAAAGTCTTAAAATTTTTTTTAAATTTAAATTATATTAAGTATATTTTCTAACCACAATAAAATAAAACTAGGTAATCAATGTCAGAAACTGTACAACCCCATAGATATTAAACAACATGATCCCGAGCAACTGATGGACCAATGAAGAAATGTTAAAAAATAAAAAAAATTCTTGGAACAAATAAAAGTGGAAAAACAATATGCCAAAACCTGGAGATACAGAAAAGGCATTCTAAGAGGAACACTTATAGCAATTACTGCCTACCCCAAAAATGTAACTGGTACCAAAGATCTCAAATAAACAACATGTCATTGCACTTCTAGGAACTAGAAAAATAATTCCAGAAGAAGTATAAGGAAATAAATAATAAAGATCAGACCATAAATCAGTGCAACAGACCTTAAAAAATACAAAAGATCAATAAAATGAAGAACTAGTTTTTTGAAAAGATGAACAAAATCAACAAATATTTACTAGACTAAGAAAAAAAGAGATACGACTCAAATACAGCCAGAGATGAAAAAGGAAACATTACAACTGGTACCAAGGAAGTACAAAGGATCACTAAAGACTATTATGTAGAAATATATGCCAAAAAATTAGAAAACTTAGAAGAAATGGATAAATTCCTAGACACATACAAACTACAAAAATTTAATAATAAAGAAATAGAAAACTTGGGACCAATAAGGGGTAATGCTGTTGAATCAGTTATAAGAAGACTCCTAGCAAAGAAAAGCCCAGGACCTGATGGATTTGCTCCTGAGTTTTACTAAACACTTAATGAAGAACTAATAGTAATTCTTCTCAAACTATTTCAAATAAACGAAATAGAATTCTTTCAAACTCATCCTATGAAGTCAGCATTACCCTGATACCAAAACCAAAGATATACACACACAAAAATAAAACTAGAGACCAAAATCCCCGTGAACATGGATGAAAAAATCCTCAGCAAAATATGAGTAAACTGAATTCAATAACATATCAAAAGTGTCATTCACCATAACAAAGTGGTATTCATCTCAGGTATGCTAGGATGGTTCAACATATGCAAATCAATAAACATGATACACCACATTAACAGAAATGGAGGACAATAATCATACAGTCATCTTAATAAATGCAAAGAAAGCATTTAATACAACTGAAAATCTCTTCATAATAAAACCCTAAACAATTTAGGCATAAAAGAAACAGACCTCAACACAATACAGTCAATACATAAGAAACCATCAACTAGCATCATACTGAATGGAAAAAAAGTTGAAAGCTTTTTCTCTAAAACTTGGGAACAAAACAAGGATGCCCAGTTTCACCAATTTTATTCAACATAGTACTGAAAGTCCTTGCCCGATAAATTCAGTAAGAAAAATATAAAAATTTCATCCATATTGGAAGGGAGGAAGTCAAATTGCTCTTTTTTGTAGATGACATAATCTTAGATGTATTCAATCCTAAAGATCCTACCTAAAATTTGTTAGAACTAATAAACAATTTTAGTAAAGTTGCAGGATCCAAAATCAATATACAGAAATTAGCAGCATTTCTATAAACCAATAGCAGATGATCTAAAAAAATAAAAAAATCCTATTTGTAATTGTTGCCAAAATAATAAATATATAGGTGTCGATGTAACCAATAAGGTGAAACAATGAAAGCTATAAAATAGTGATGAAGAATTAAAGAGGACACAAGTAATTAGAAAGGCATCTCATGTTTTTACATTGAAAGAATTGATATTGTTAAAATGTTCATACTACCCAAAGTGATCTACAGATTTAATGCAATTCCTAACAAAATACCAATAGATTTTTTACAGAAAATGAAAAAACATCATAAAATTTCTATGGACAAACAAGACTCCAACTAGCAAAAGCAATTTTGAGCAAAATAAACAAAGCTGGAGACATCACACTACCTGACTTAAAAATATACTAGAAAGCAATAGTTACCAAAACACATGGGAGTGGCATAAAAATAGACACATAGACCAATGGAACAGAATAGACATGGCCCCCACCCCCCACAAAATCTGTGCATTTACAACCGACTTATTTTTGACAAAGCCAACAAGAACATACATTGAAGAAAAACCAGGGCCTTCAATAAACGGTGCTGAGAAAATTGGATATCCATATCCAGAAGAATTAAAATAGACACTTATCTCTGAGCACTTACAAAAATCAACACAAAATAAATGAAATAATTGTAAGATACAAGACTACCAGAATAAAACAGGGGAAAGGCTTCATGCCATTGATCTGTGCAATGAATTTTTGAATAAAACCTTAACAGCACAGACAACAAAATCAAAAATAGACAAATGGGATTAAATTGGACTCAAAAGCTTCTGCACAGCAAAGGGAATGATCAACACGATGAAAAGACAAACTACAGGATGGGGGAAAATATCCACCAACTGTGCATCTAATAAGGAGTTAATTTATAAAATATATAAGAAACTCAAACAACTCAATAGCGAAACCTAAAAAAAAATTAAAATTAAAATTATTCAATTCGAAAATGGGTAAAAATCTCAATATACATTTCCCAAAAAAAGAGTAAAAGGCCACCAGGTATATGAAAAAAATGCTCAACATTACTAATCATCAAGCAAACGCAAATCAAAACCACGATGAGAATCACTTCCCACTATCCCAGTTTGTATGGCTATTACAAAACAGATAAAATATAACAAACACTGGTTGGGATGTGGAGAAAAACAGACTCTTATGAACTGTTGGTGGGAATGTAAATTAGTATAGCCATTCTGGACAACAGTATGGAGGTTCCTCAAGAACTTAAAAATAAAACTAGCTGTCCCACTACTGGTTATCTATCCAAAGGAATTGAAATCAGCATATCAGACAGATATCTGCAGTCCCAGGTTTATTGCAGCACAATTCACAATGGCCAGGATATAGAATCAACCTAAGTGACCATCAATAAATGAATGGATACAAACAATGTGGTATATATAAACAACAGAATACTATTCAGCCGTAAAAATGAAAACCTCTCATGTGTGACAATACAGATGAACTTAAAGGATATTTTGTTAAGTGAAATAAAACAAGCACAAAAGGACAAATTCTGTATAATCTCACTCATATATGGAGTCTACAAAAGTTGATCTCATAGAAACTAGAGAACAGAGTAGTGGTTTCCAGAGGCTGGGGAGAATAGGGAGATGGGTTGTGGGGAGCAGTTGGTCAATACGCACAAAGTTAGGGCTAGAAAAAAGAAATAAATTTTGGTATTCTATTGTATAGTGGAGTGACTATAGTTCACAATAATATATTGTATACCTCAAAATAGCTAAAAGAAATAATTTTGAATGTTCTTACTACAAAGAAATGACAAGTTGTAGAGGTGAAAGATATGCTCACTATTCTGATTTAATCATTAAATAAGCTATAAATGTATTGAAACAACACACTATATCTCATTAATATGTACAATTGTGTCAATTAAAAACATGATAAATTTTACAAAAAACAGAAGTCAAGCAAACATTAAATTCATTAAAATTAAGTTGATTTTAAATATTCATAAAATATCCCTTCGGTGTAATATAACATAATGGAAAAAAAGCAAATTATTATAACTATGCTTTTACTCCAATTCCATTTGTTCTTTTTGATGTTTTTTCAAAATTATTTGCGTTTTAATTCTCAATAGTCACTTCAAACCATTGCACTTCTGAAAATCAAATAGTTTTCTTTTTCTTTATTCATGTTCATTTACAGTCACATAAAGCACTTTCTCTAAAGGCTTATTTTCTATTACTTGCTTTTATGACTGTTGATGTATGAAATAAGCCATTCAACTGAAAAACAAATATTTAAATTGAATAAGAATGACATTGACAATGAGGTTAATATGCATAAATGTATATCTAGATCAAAGTAACTTTTTCTATGATTTACAAAAAATACAGTTTACATTAAGGCAGCAAGATCAATATGCTTCACCACTGTTAGTGGAAATGTAAATTACAGATAACAGTATGGAAACTGCTTCCATTACAGAAAACAGTATGGAAGCTGCTCAGAAAATTAAAAATAGAACTACATAATACGATAATCCCATTACCAGGTATATATTAAAGGGAAATGACATCTGTTTGTCAAAGAGATATCTGAACTCTTGTTATTGAAGGACTGTTCATAATAGTAAAGATATGAAATCAACCTAAATGGCTGTCAGTGAAATCCCAAAATATATGGAGGTTAAATAACACATGGTTCAAAGAATAAATCTCAAGACAAATTTAAAAATATTTTGAACTAAACGAAAATGAAGACACAACTTAGAAAGAGTTATGTGATTGTGATGCAGCAAAAACAATGCTTAGGAGGAAATCCATAGCACTGAAGTCCTATATTAGAAAATAAGAAAGATCTAAAATTAATCTGAGTTTCTTAGTGAACTTTAAAAAATAATAAGAACAAATTAAAGCCAAAGTAATCAGAAAAAAATGAAAGATTAGGAATCAGAGAAGAAATTAATAAAAGTGACAACAGAAAATTAATTTAAAAAACTAATAAAACCAGACACTGATTCTTTTAAAAGATCAATAGAATTTATAATTTTCTGATCCAGCTAACTAGGGAAACAGAGAGATGACATGACTTTCTAATATTAGAAATAAAAGAGGATACATCATACAGGTGTCATGGACATTAAGAGAGTAATAATGAAACATTATGAACAACTGTATGGCCCAAAGTTGATAACCTAGATAAAATGTACCAATTTTTTGAAAAAGACAAATTGTAAAAACTCATAAAAGAAACATATCATCTGAATAAGCCTATATTAAGAAAAATGAATCAATAATTAATCACCTTACAAAACAGAAAGCATCAGCCCCAAATGGGTTTGTTGGAGAATTCTAGCAAAAATTTTAAGAAAAAATTGTACCAGTTATCTACAGCTTTTTCAGAGTATAGTCACATTGACAATACTTCCTAAATTATTCTGTAAGAAAGCATTACTCTATTACCACAACCGGAAAATAACATTACAAGAAAAGAATAGTATAGGAAAATAAGAAAAGAATAGTATAGGAAAATATATCTCATGAACATAGATGCAAAAATCCTTAACAAAATATTAACATATTTAACATACAATTTGTAGAATTATACAACATAATAAAGTGGGATTTATCACTGATAGATGAGGTTGGTTTAATATTTTAAAATCAATTAATGTAATCATTATTTCGACAGGCTAAAAAAATAAAAACCACACCATCTTACCAACAGATGCAGAAAAAGCATTTGACAAAATACAACACTCCTACATGATAAAAACTCTCAGTAAACTAGTAATACAGGAAAATTTTCTCAAGTTGATGAAGAATATTCACACAAAACCCCTCTACCTAACATCGTACTTAATCTCGAGAAAATCAAAGCTTTCCCACCAAGACTGGAAACAAGGCAAGCATGTCCCCTCCCACCACATCTTTTCAACATCATACTGAAAGCCCTAACTAATGCAATATAACAAGAGAAATAAATAAAAGGTACACAGATTGGGATGGAAGAAATCAAGCTGGCTTTGTTAGGAGATGACATGACCATCTGTGTAGAAAATCTGAAATAACCACCAAAAAACTTTTGAAAGAAATAAATGATTACAGCAAAATTACAGGATATAAGGTTCATAAATAAAAATCAATCACTTTCCTATATATAATCAATAGACAAGTGGAATTTTGAATTAAAAACAGATTATAATTTACATTAGCACTCTAAAAATAAAATAATTAGGGATATATTTTACAAAATCTGTACAAGAACCATATGAGAAAAACCACAAAACTGTCCAATGAAATCAAAGAACTAAATAGAGTGATATTCCATGGTTATAGATAAGAAAACTCAATAATATTAAGATGTCAGTTCTTCCACACTTAATCTATAGATTTGATACAATCCCAATCAAAATATCAGCACGTTATTTTGTGCATTTTGAGAAATTAATTCCAAAGTTTATCTAGGGAGGTAAAAGACCCAGAATAAACAACATATTGAAGAAGAACTGACAGTACCCAACTTCAAGACTTACTATAAAGCTACAGTAAGCAAGACAATGTGGTGTTGGTGAAAGAATAGACAAATAGGTCAGTGGAACAGAACAGAGAGCCCATGAATAGACCCACATATACATAGTCAACTGATCTTTGACAAACACGGTCTATCATTCAGCACTAAAAGAAAACCATGAGCTATCAAGCCATAAAAATACATGGAAGTATCTAAATGCATATTACTAAGTGAAATAAGCCAACCTGAAAATACGATATATTGTAAGATTCCAAATACACAACAATCTCCAAAACTACGGAGATAGTAAAAATTTCAGTGATTGCCCTGGGTTGGGGGGTAGGGGAAAGAATGAACAGCCATAATACAGAGGATTTTTAGGTCAATGAATATACTCTGTATGATTCTATAGGGAAGAATGCATATTATTACACATTTTTCCAAACCGATAGAATGTATACACCAAGGGTAAACCTTAATATAAACTACAGACTTGGAGTGATTATTAAGTGTCAGTGTAGGTTCAGTAATTGTAACTAATGTACCACTCAGGTGGGGGATGTTGCAAATGAGGGAACCTCTCCAGGTGTGGAGCCAGGAGATCTACAGGAAATCTCTCAAGTTTCCTATTAATTTTGCTGTGAATCTAAAATTCCTCTAAAAACATAAAGTGATGCACACGTACACATAGAGTTGATCATATCAACTTAGCTTATCAATTCAAGCAAATTTGACAGGATTAATGCATCATAGTAAAGGAGAAGATTCTGTGCCAATAATTTTATTAAATATATTGAAGTATTTAAATATTAATGTCATGTCTTCCTTCTAAATATTGCCCTTTAATTCATCTTTAACATTCCTAATTTTCTGTAAGGGTATCATGAGTGTTTAATGTAATGTCTGTGTCTTACCAGCTTTGGATTTATTTTATTCTTATGCAGAATAAAATTATTAATTTAATTTGACTTGCAATGTTAGAATATTGATGTTGAGCAAACAAATTTGCCATTGAAAGAGCTGATGCCTAAATATGTATATTTAAAATGTGTACTTTACAAAGCTATTGATTTATTCATTTATACTCTTCTTGTTCTGAAGGAATAATAAAGGAAACCTATACTTTAATAAAATTAGTATCCCCAGTCACCATCTAACATTCACTAATCTGTTAGTATATCAATAATGTATCAAGAAAGATCCTTGAAAAGGGTAAAATACTCATATGGATTTAGAAAATACTTATTTGGGGAAAAAGAGAATGTCCACAGTCTAATATGAAGATTTGGTGGGTCAGCAAAGTTAAAATTAGGAAGGATAAATATCATCTCTCTCAGAAAATGTATTTATTATAAGGAAGCAGAATATATCCTGCATATATATTTTTTCTTTTTAGAGACAGAGTCTTGCTCTGTCACCCAGGCTGCAGTGCAGTGGCACAATCATAGCTCACTGCAGCCTGCAACCTCGAATTCCTGGACTCAAGTGATCCTCCAATCTCAGCCACCAGAGGAGCTAAGACTGAAGGCATGTGCCATCAAGCCCAGCTAATTTGTATACTTTTTCTTTTGTTTCTGTTTTTTTTTGTTGTTGTTTTTTGTTTGTTTGCTTTTTTAGAAATGAATCTCACTATTTTGCCCAGGCTGGTCTCCAACTCCTGGCCTCAAGAGATCCTCATGCTTTAGCCTCCCAAAGTGCTGTGATTACAGACATGAAATACCACGTCTGGCCCTGTGTTTGACTTGAAGGATCTTTCATATGTACTTATTTTGATATTTTACATATCTAATTTTCTCTACTTATTAGTTTTGCTAAACTCAATTCATGTAGGATAACTAATAAACAGTGGATTTAGTACAGTGTTTTCACTCCCAGGTAACATTTACAAGAGGCCATCTTTGTCACTTCAGTCACCAATGAACATTACTCTTATTTCATCTTTGTTTTTGTTTGTTTGTCCATTTCTGACAGATTTTTTCCTCAACCGAACTTACTCCACTGGTTTGTTCTTTGTTTTACAATTAAGTGAGAGATACATCTCTGATAATTTTATAACCAGAGACACCTTTATTTATTTGGTTTATGAGATTCATAAAACAACCAAATAAAACTAAAAATGCTCCTAAATTTGACCTAGAATGTGTTGGAATTTCTTCTTTGCTCAATAGGAAAACTTTAAAATTTCCTATTGTTTAAATAGAAAGAACATGTTTGTGTGCAGACAACATACAACTGTGGTACAAAATGATGATGAACAGTTTTGTGACAGAGGTGAAAACAAAGTTTTGGGGAACAGTGAGAAGAAAATATGGATTTATTCTGACTGAACATGAGGAAAAACTTGACAAAAGAGGAAAAAACTTAAGTTAGCCTTAGTGGATGAGCAAATTTTTGACAGATGAGTATGTTAAAGAGTTTACTAGATATTCTAATATTTAAAAAATTGACTGTGCAACATTTTTGGCAGCTCTTTTTTTAATTAACTTTTTCCCGCTTAAGCTCTGGGCAGACATTTAGCAATTCATCTTCTAGTGCTGCAATGAAATAGGCAATTGTGATTAGAATTGTTAATAGCTCAATGTGAGGATAAAATACAAAAAAGATAAAAGACACAAGTCTAAGATAATAAAAAGCCATAGTTCACCAGAGATTAGATTCCCCATATTGCAGATTTTGCTATGTAGCCTTTAGTTAGGCATGAGACATCACTAAATGTATCCCATTTACTTGTTATGATGGTCTATTTAGGAAAAGAGAAAGCTATAGTACTTTGATATTTTACCAGTTATACTCCAGTCTGGGAATAAACTTTCTCCAAGGAAGGTAAATTATTTCAATGTTCAATTGATAAAAAGATGGTTTTCTAAAATGTGCAGTTAATTATCCACTTGCTTTCAAAACAATGAATTCCCTTTGGCTCAAGTTTGCATCAAGATCACTTTATATTTTATTATCACATCATCAATCTCCTTTTGTTCTCTATCTCATGAATCCCATCTATGCATTAACTTTCATGACAATATTCCAGTTTTAACTCAGTCATATTTTCTGTTGGTATGATTGTAAATTTAGAATATACTTATGCTATTTATTTTCACAAAAATTCCACATAAATAGGAAAAAAATCAGGGAGATTTTTGTGGGGAAATCAATATAGAAGATTTTCTTCCTGGCTTTAATATTTAGGAGATTTGTAATCTCCTGGGACAAAAAATGTCCCAGGAAGCAAATGTGCTCATTATGAAAGTCAAAATATCAGATATTTGCTAAACCTACTCTGATATTTTCTAGAACTAAACTATAAAATTATATATATCCAATGCAAGTATATAGTCTTTATTCACCTTTTACTAAAGAACCAAATTTATGTACCGTTTGAAATAATTTGAAGGAGATGTCTGCTTTGGAAATCAGGAGAAAACAACATGTTAAGGAGATCCTTATGTAAATGTGGGATCTCATGTTGTAACGACTTTGAAAGGACATATGACTACTCTAAACTTAGAATGAGTAATCCGTTTATTATTTTCATCCCTACCAAAGCCTATTCTAAGTCTAGGTCAATAAGCTAAACTTCCTTAAAGAGTAGAGGAACAAACTAGTTAATGAATAGGATTTCTGCATGTAAACAGGAGCATAAAAAGTAGGCCTTGGAAGAGACAGTAGAGGTTCCAGAACCACTGAAATCTCTTGAAGGAACCGAACATGGTCATAAAGTTAGGCAGGAAGGTCATGGGCTAAATCCAGGAAACCATGTATTTGCATTATACGAGCAGAAAGAACAAACTTACTGGACTCAGCCTTCAGCATTGCATTCGTTGTCATCTTGAGCTGCCAGATTAACTAAAAGATGCGAAAAGAAATACCGAAAAAAAGAGGGAGATCTGGACATGATTACTACCTGAAAAATTTGGCTGATGTTTAAACTTCATTTCTCCAAAAGTCTCAGGGAAAAACAACAGCTGTAAGACCGGAAAATTTCAGCAGCTTCCTGAAACTAACACAACATGTTTTGGAGTTTCATTCTGCTAAGTAGGAGGGATTTTGTAAATATTTTGTGCTTGATGAAACTCTAGAAGGGTCAGGACTCATGAGTAAGAACGGTATTTTTCCTTAAGATAATATTCTTGCTTAAGAGATTTGCTTAAGCTATAAGATCAAAATGGAAACTGACTTATTTTAACACAGGGGTCCTCAACCCCTGAGCCATGAACTAGTCACTGGTCCATGGCTTGTTAGGAACCAGGCAACACAGCAGGAGGTGAGTGGCAGGTGAGTGAGTGAAACTTCATCTGTATTTACAGCCACTCCTCATTACTCACATTACCGCCTGGGCTCCACCTCCTGTCAGATCAGCAGTGACATTAGATTCTCATAGGCATTCAAATCTTATTACGAACTGTGCATACAAGGATATAGGTTGTTCACTCCTTATGAAAATCTAATGCCTGATGATCTGTCACTGTCTCCCATCACCCCCAAATGGAACCATCTAGCCTCAGGAAAACAAACTCAGGGCTCTCACTGATTATACATTATGGAAACTTGTATAATTATTTCATTATGTATTACAATGTAACAATAATAGAAATAAAATGCATGATAAATGTAATGCACTTGAATCACCCTGAAACCATCCCCTGACCCTGGTCCATGGAAAAATAGTCTTCTATGAAAGTGAACCCTGGTGCAAAAAAGGTTGGGGACTGCTGCTTTAACAAACCCAAAACCTAAAACTCCACAAAATAAACACTCACCAGTAGCTTAATTGCCCTCTAGGGCAAAACTCAAAAACTCTTAAAAGGATAATTTTAAAAAAACAGTTTAAAATGTATCATCTACAATTTTCAGTATGCTGTTAAAAAATAATAAAGATGTGGGAAAAAAAGAAACGTGAAAATGTGAAGAGGGAAGAGAAAAATCAGTCAATAGGAAAAGAATGATAGAAAACTATGATTTTAGAATTAACCGATAAACATTATCACAAACTATGATAAATGTGTAAGTGAATCTTCAGAAAATTATGAGAATGCCAAGTAAACAGATTTGAACTATCAGAAGAGGTATGAAAAGTCTTAAAAATGGAATATTTAGGACAAAAATGTTACAAACAACAAAAAAAGCATTTTTGTATGGGATGAAATCTGTAAGAAAATAGGTGATTTTTAAAACATGGTAAACAATTTGGTTAACTATGTAATTATGTACCCCACAATTGTGGGATACACCTTGTTTCAAATATACAAGAAATGTTATAAAAATTGATGGAATTCTGGGCATAAAGTAGCCTTTAGAAAATTAAACAAACTAAACTAAAACAAAAAAAAATGTGTTTTCTTACTACAATGCAGCCATTCTAGACATCAGAAATAATATGTAAATAACTCATGGTTAAATACAAAATTAAAACAGAAATTTGATTTTTTTTTATGAATGATGGAACTGGTGGATTGTATCTTATTTTCAGGGAACTCTTTAACCCAAGCTGAAAATATCAGAAAAAAATAGTATTTTATTTTGTTTAAAAATCAGTGGCTAAGTATCCATCTCAATGTTATAATTCACCACTGTGCCCACAGTCTTCTTGTGTTCTATCTATGGCTACATACCAATGTTACCCCAAACAGTGGTTAAACAACACACAATCATTATACCACAGTTTCTGTGGGTGTGGACTTGACACAGCTTAGCTGGATCTAATGTTTCAGAGTCTCACAGTCTCCACTGAAGGTGTCAGCTCAGACTTCAGTCTCTTCTCAACAGGGGAAATATCTGCTTTTGAGCCCACCAGGTTGTCAATAGATTAAATTCTCTGTTGCCTACTAAACTGGAGGGTTCATTTTCTTGCTGGCTTTCAGGTATTGGCCACCCTGGGTTCCTAGCTGCTTCTTGTCTGGAAAACCAGTTCTTTCCCACGTGGCCTTTCTCAGCATTGCCACTTATTTCATCTAAATCAACAAAGGAGAGAGTCCACTAATGAGAATAACGTTACAGCCTTATGAAACATAATCACAGAAGAGACATCTAGTCACCTTTGCCATAAGTTATTATTTAGAGCAAGTCAAAGATCCTGCCCACACTCAAAAGGAGAATGCTGAAGTGTGTGGAAACCATGAGGTAGGAATAATCAGAGACATCTTGGAATCTTTCTGACACACTTTTAGTATTTCTCCATATGAACTCCTCATTTTTCTCCACCCAGTGCAGCATTCTGAGAGGCTAACTTTCATGGCCTGTGGTTAGGTATGGCCATGGGAGACACAAGTGCAGGCAATTGTAAGACTAGAAATATATGATATTGTTCACGCCTGTAATCCCAGCAATTTGGGAGGCCGAGGCAGGTGGATCACTTGAGGTCAGGAGTTTGAGATCAGGCTGGCCAACATAGTGAAACCCCGTCTCTACTAAAAATACAAAAATTAGCCAGGTGTGGTGGTGCATGCCTGTAGTCCTAGCTCCTTGGGAGGCTGAGGCAGGAGAATAGCTTGAACCTGGGAGGCAGAGGTTGCAGTGAGCTGAGATCATGCCACTGCACTCTAGACTGGGTGACAGAGTGAGATTCCGTCTCAAAAAAAGAAAAGAAAGGAAAAGAAAAGAAATATATGATATTGTAGTATTTGCTCTGCTGGCCTCCTCCCTTCCCAGGCATGGTTTGATAGGGGCTGCTTTTGGCTACTAAAGCTCAGCAATTAGGTTGTTGGCTCTCACTTATGGCATCAGCATTTCTCCAAATTATTATAATTTGCTTCCCTTTTACTCATCCCTTCAGGACCAGGAGTGGTAATGAAACTTGGCTCTTGGTAGTCTGCGGTGCTTCCGCATCTCTTGTATGGTTCCCTAAACTGCGCCCATTTCATTGCAAATAATCTCCTCTTTAGACTCTTTTCAATTATGCTGGGGAAACGTGCCACATGTTTTCTCTGAGACTAACTGATAAAACCACATGGTCAAATCACAGAAGAAAAATCATAGAACTTCAGGAGATGCAGGAAAAGCATTTGTTAATATTCAGCAGCAAACATTGATTAACAATTTTAAAAATAACTATTTTTAATACTAAGAATAAAAGGAAATTTAATCTGATAAAGCATATTCTCCAAAATATTGGAGCAAACATGAAGTCAAATGGTAAAACATTGAAAACTTTTCCTTAAAGATTTAGAATAATACAATGTTGTTTCCTATCTTGTTATTTAATATTGAATAGGAGACCTAATAAAGTAAGGCAAGAAACACACATAAACACAGATGCACACACACACACACAGATATAGACTGGGGAAACAATTCTCATTAGAAACAAATGTCAAGAGTATTAACATATATAAAATTATCTACAGAAAAAGTGTTAGTATTAAGAGAAATTAGCAAGTTTGATAAATTAAAAAATATATAAAAAAATCTATAGTCAAATATTCCAAAGAGAAGTATGAGAATATGAAATTTATTAGCATTAACTTAATAAATCTATGGAATCAATGCAATTGCAATCAAAATCTCAATGTGCTCAGTGTGTGTGTTTGTGTGTGTGAAAGTGGACAGAGAAAAGAAGAGAGTGCACACACATGGGTGATACAGAAAGCTAATTCTAATGGAAACACAGGGCACTAAGAATGGCCAAGCTACTTTACTGAAGAAGAATGCCAAGGTGTGAAAAGTTGTTCTACCATACATCAATATTGATTATAAAGCTATAGAAATTAATACAGTGTGCTAGTGGATAGCTGAATGAGCAAATGGTAAAATATAGATACACACAGATACACAGACACTTGATTTAGGACAAAAGAATGCAAAGAGCCACAGAAAGATATTATTATAAATAAATGGTTCTAAGTCAATTGGATATTGTAGCAGAAGAAAATGAACCTTGACTTCAAACACACGATATACAGGAAATGTTTAGTGTAAAATGTAATGACTTTTAATATGAAAGGCAAAATCTTAAATCTTCTAGAAAATAAAATAGAACATGTTTTTGACATTGGGAGTAGGCAGAGTGTTAGCCACAAAACACTAGACTACATTTTTGTCTAAAATAAAAGACTACATTGATATAGTCTTTTAAATTTTAAACATTTCAACTTAACACATAAGTAGTTTATATATAAAATATAGTTAAAATGTATACATACCAATAAGTAAAAGAAAGGCAACACAATATAACAGTGGGCAATAGGAGTAAATAGAACCTTTAAAATATAGATAATCCAAAATGACCAGTACTTCTATCCAAAAGTAATTCCTCTCATTAATAATCAAGGAGCTGGGCACGGTGGCTCAAGCCTGTAATCCCAGCACTTTGGGAGGCCAAGAAGGGCAGATCATGAGGTCAGGAGATCGAGATCATCCTGGCTAACACGGTGAAACCCCATCTTTACTAAAAACACAAAAAGTAGCTGGGCATGGTGGCGGGAGCCTGTAGTCCCAGCTGCTCAGGAGGCTGAGGCAGGAGAATTGCTCGAACTGGGAAGCGGAGGTTGCAGTGAGTCGAGATCTTGCCACTGCACTTCAGCCTGGGTGACAGAGCAAGACTCTGTCTCAAAATAAATAAATAAATAATCAAGGAAAAGCAAATTAAAACCACACTGAAATGGAAAAAATTAAAATAGACATCACTGTCGATGTGGATGTTGCACAGTAACTTATATACTCTGCAGATGGGAGGATAAATAGAGACAATTGGTATCTAAAAATAACTATAGGCAGTATCTAGTAAAGCCAAAAATATGCATATCCTATGTCTCAGCACTCCTTTGTATAAATGCAACAAAATGCATACATATGTTCTACAAGAGATATATACAAGAATGTTCAAGCAGCACTAATTGTAACAGCCATAATTAGAAACAACTCAATAGTTTATAACCAGTAGAATGGCTATATTTTGAAATATTTATTCAATAGAACATTAATTTGTAATGAGAATGAATAAACTCTTACTGCATGCAGCAATATGGATAAATCTCACAAACATGTTGAAAAACAAAACCTAGAAACAAAGAAATATACTCTGTGCAATTCATTTATAAGATTTTGGAAAAGTGGCAAAAGTAAAAAACAAAACAAAACAAAACAAAACAAAAACAGTCCTAGAACTTAGAATAATGGTTATCTTTGCAGAGAAGTAGAAACTGGAAGGGAGTAAGAGGAAGCTTCTAGGGTGTTGGTGCGTTCTAGTTCTTGATCAGGGTACAGAATAAGTGGGAATTTTCACTGTGTGGAAATCCACAAAGATGTATAATTGCTATTTTCACTCCACCTAAGTTGTATGTCATGCTTTAATTTTTCATTTTTAAGCTGATATTATCAAGCACTGGCAAGAAGAAGCACATAAAGAATTGTAAAGTACTGCTGGGAAGAATTAGAATTGTTATGACTACATTAGAAAATAATTTATCATGAATTATTATATAGAATGCATAAACTTATGACTCAGAAATCATACTCTATGGTTGCCAAGTATGAACATGTGCACAAGTGGACATTAAGTAACAAGTTAAGAGGAGCATTTTAATCACAGCATCAAGAATTAACCAAGAACTTCACAAAAATCAAATAAATGATTGTGGCATACCCATACAATGCATGAAACACTATCTGGCCACAATAATAAATGGATCCAAGCCACAGGCAACAACTTTAATCATAAAAGCCTAACTTTCAATAAAAAATTAACAACTATGTGGTTCTATTCTCCATAAAAGGCCAAATGAAACCCTATTGCAAAGTACAAGGAAAAACAAGGAAGCGGTTTCTGTAGAATTCAAACAGGTCATGTGAAACATACTCTGGAATGTAACTTAAAGTTTTAACACATGCTTGTAGATAAAAATGCAAACTTTAATTAACGCATAAATAAAAGCATCTACATCAGTGACAATAATAATAATAATATAAACAGTAATAACGTTTCTAGCAGTTAGACTTCTATGTGTAAGAGCACTGTGATATAGAAGTAATAATAACCAACATTCTACAATGCTTTAAATTTATACGTCCATTACCTCATTATTGAAAAAAGTTATATAATTAATAGCATCACTAGAAGGATTAAACTGTAGCACTTCTGACATTAAATCTTGGACTTCCAGGGTCCATATAATTAAAATCCAAAGTCCTTTAACTTCAAGTCGGCTGTCACAGGTAAGTGGGATTAAGACAATTCTTGGAGTTCTGTTTCTTACATTAAAATAAAGAAATTATACTAGATGTTCACAAGCATACATTTTGATTTTAAATCTCTATTTCTACACCAGTATATGTATATTTTTTCTTTTTGGAAATTAATATATTTGCTCAGTGACAAGCCAAGTAAGATGAAATGTGTAATTTTCAAAGATAACTATAGAAAAACAGTGATTTTATATTTCGATTAACTAACTTAAAATAATATATTACTATGATTCACCAGGAAGATTTTGTTTCTATTCTAAGGGTTTTTAAATGAAAATAACACTTTAAAGATGATCTCTGAAATCCAAGAGGAGCCCAGAAAAGTATGGAAATTAAATATTGTGATGTTTAAAATCATCATTTAGGATCTAGTACTCATATGCAGTACCTTTAGTACGACCCATCAGGACAATTACTCCTCATTCAATTAAATGAAGTTTCATACAAATCTTTACTCCACTCTTAGTTTTATCTCTCCAGGAGCAAATGATTGTATTTTCTTGTTTGCTATTAATATTTGGTCAAAGAAAGAGAGGAGAGAGTTACATCACTTTATTTTTAGAGTATTTCATTTCATGCCAATTGTTTCCTACGCCTTTGACACAAACAGCTGAAATTTCATTATAATATTCATCCTTTACACCACATCACTGTGGTATTTCTTCTTGTTCATTTCATATGCCATGTGTTATGACCCATGAAAAGGAAAAGTTCATTTAGCGAGTGCAAATACAATTCTGTTACTATATAGGGATATGGAGTAGGAGATACCAGGTGCATCACTTTCTGAGAAAAATGCTTCAGTTTAGAGAGTGCTTCCTAACACAGTCAGAGTATAGGAAGTAAAGTGTCACTTCCCTAGATACTAAATTTTCTTCCAGTAAGCTGGTGATTACAGCACATGCAGTCATGATTCATTATGACATGTTCTTCATGTTTGTATCTCTCTACAACTTGAGTATAATTGTTAGAGAAGAAAATAACACCATAAAAACATCTCTGAGTAATTAAACAAGACCTTAATAAGTAACCTCACAGGAGTGATCTGTTTTATGCACATCACTCCTTGATATCTGATTAATGAAAGTTTCAGGACTCTGTAATCTTGCAGAGTTTGGTTACAATTGAAACTGCAGAGTTTTAGCCGATGTAATTATTCATGTGATATAATCTGGACACAGATTTCCTACCTGTCCTTGACAACCTCAGTGATGAGTTACCTACTAACGACTCTTACTTTAACAGGTGAATAAAGGACTGAGCAGAGCCAAATAGAAGAAAATGGGCTACTTATGGTCCCTTGGGCTAGAAGGAAGCCAAGCAAAAGAGAAAGAATCCCAAGGTTACTGAGTCTGACTTTTAAGAAGCAACCATAAAAGCAAAACATTAGGATGATTTGTCATCATACTTCGAAAGTGATGATGAGAAACCTTGTTCTAAGTAGTTACAACAAAGCTACCCCATCTCATTGTCCTGGGGGGATTAAATGTCAAATTAAATAGTAGATCTTGGACTACTCTCCGTATTTGATTTATGAGACTATTGTGTACTGGAATAATTGTGAGAATTCCAAAGGATACAGGGAGGCTTTGGGTAAAACAAATGAAGGAATTCTTCCTTTAAATTTACGAACCTTAGAGTGAACATTCATCACTGTGGTCTCTGTAGATAAATTTCTGAGTCATAGACCTGCTGCTGTCTCAGTAGGCATGCTGTCATGGAGAGAATTTGGGAATTCCGTTGTTCTTAGAGTAAAACTTTAAAAATTCCAGGGAGTTCGAGTAGTTATAGATTTGAGAAATATGAATCCATGAGAGTAGATTCATTAACTTCAGTGTTTACTCATAAAGAAAACAGTATTAGTCCTAAAAGCAAAGAAAGCACCAATTGAGGCTCAGGAGAATTTGCTAGGAATATGACAGAATAACATTTACAAGCCCATGTTTTGGAAAGATCTTAATAAAATTAAATATTGGCTTCCAGAATTGGAAAATTATGCACATTTTTTAAATTTTTATTTTCAACATTTTAAGCCTTTAATTGTACTCTTGAAATATAAACTTGAAGGCTGATGTTATTTTTATAAAGGCATTTTGCCTATACTTTGACCATAAATGGAGATATATGACATCAATTTAATGAACTACCTGAATATTCCCATTTGTTGTAATGTATTAAGAGGAGTTCATAAATAATAGGACCAGCAGTTCTTCAGTTTTAATGGCCCCACTCATAGGATACCATTGCAATTAATTCCCTTCTATTATAATTAATTCCAACATTTGCATTTAAATGCAACATTTTGCATTAAGTATCTTTTTTTTTTTTTTTTGCTTGAGAAATGGAAAAAAAATAAGGCCACATTGAAGTTTGGGAAAATGTAAGAATAAAACTAAACAAAAAGTATTATTTTTCTATGGCTGAAATATTAATAAGCTTTAAACAAAGCTAATGGCAATTTTTTTTTCAGAGAATACAAATTTATATTAATCAGTTTTATTTCCTTCTGTGGAATGTATTTCTTTAAAATATTTATGTTTTATTATTAATTTAAAAATGTGCACTGATAAATTTGGGCATTTTTCAAAATCTACGCCTCTGGTTGTGTGTGTTAGCCCGATAATTTAATTATTACACAACATTTTAAATTTTTTTTAATTTTGATAAATGCAATAATAGTTGCTAATGTTTAAATTTCTAAATCACACATCTGCTGCTCTCTTAGTAGGCATGGTGCAAGGTAGATCTGGGAATTTTATTGCCCTTATAGTGAAACTCTCAAAATTTCAGGAAGTTTCAGTAGTTACAGATTTGCAAAATAGGGATACATGAGCATAAATTCATTAACTTCAGTTTTTGAAGTTACAATTTTATAAGCAAAGGGAAATAAAATTACAGAAAAATAACTTTATAGTAGTAAAGCCAATCAAAAACAAAATTTGTGATATTAATATTATAGTTAATGATCATATTAACATTTCTTTCAATTAAATATCTTAAAAGCAAAATTTCTAGAATAAAGCTTCTAAGCAAAATTTATTTTTACATTTAATTTAAGGAGCAAAAGACAATTCATAAGAAATCAAGGATCAAAGATTTGTTTCTATATACAATTTCACAGTATACCTTGGGGACAGTACCTATCTGGCCCACTCACTTTCCATTTTTACAATCCATTTATAGTCTTATACAATAAAAGACAGTGTAAAACCCAAGTCATCAAAGAAAGACTTAGCAATTACTTTTAGCAGAATTAACTACCATACCAGGAAAAGCAACCAACTGATTTAAGAAAGACTTTCAACCAAAAACTTTGGGGAAAAATCATGTTTTTGTTTTTTTTATTTTTTTACCCAAAGGCTAATAAGAGGAGTCCAGGCTATTGCACAGTTTAATATATGGCAACTATGGCTTAAAATATGATGATCATGACAAGACAATTGTACTTCTGCTCCCAAGATTATCCTTATCTCTTTACACTCCAGCACGGTCACTGGCACCACCTACCACCCGATTAGGGGCTCCCATTCTAAGTGTTGTTTGAATGGTTTCATGAAGTCTGGAGAATACTGGCTGCAATATCGTATCAAAACAACTTCACGTTACAGGCCAAAGAAAAAGGCTTTTAGCTGTCAACTCTTTTTCATTCCCTTTCCGATGGGAAAAGTCATTAGGTCATTTTGTCTTCACTTTTGAAGATCAAGATGGTAGGACTTCAATAGGATGGGAGTTTACAAATTGTATTTCTCTGAACAAGCAGTGAAAGTGACAACTTTCTGATTACACTGCCTTGGACAATGTATTAAATTATAAAAAGTGCCCAATTCTGAAAGATTCTGGTTATATTGTACGTTATACCTCAATCATTTTATATAAAAATATTATCTGAGAGAGAAAAACTATGTGTAAAGATATAAGGCAATGGAGAATAAAATTTGCTGAAATCGTACATAAAGTAAATCTCATTCTTTCTTTCTAAAGATATAACTTTGGGCCAAATTTAGTGTAAAGTCTCAAGCACGGGACATTTACTATACTTCCAATACTTAAATTGTAGAACAAACTAACGGTTCACTTAAGATTGCCAGGCCTCCCCTGTAGGTCTGAACTCTGTCTTATGACATATAAAGGATGTAACATAGGTCACCTTAAAAACATCTAAGGAAATCAGAACTTGTGTGCTCAGGGAATGCATACTCTAAGCTAGTCATCACTGACATTTTTCTGCTCCTCAAGCCTTCTCTGTCACCTGCTATGTTAATCTTTTCACAATTTGCCTATGACCCTTGGTTAAGGCCTTTTGCGAGTATAACAGCATAAGTACTGGGCATGTACATGCGGCACAACATTTATATTGTATATAAGCTGAATCTGCAACAATGGCATAAGTACACCTAATCTTGACAAACCCAATGAGGAGTGTGGAAAATTCTAAAGAGCCAACTTATTCAATACGTAAGGCCATTACATACATTATATTGTTATGTCAATTTAATTATTTACTTTCTCCATTGTTCTACAGCTTTCTGAAATTTATAATGAGCTTATGTGAAACTATATAGTAATATTGCTACTCCAGTTTATGCAAATTTATGTGCAAGGCAAGTTGTAGAGCTAATGGATAAGCTTGACTACAAATTCTTCATCTACATTAGATAGTGCAGTTGCAACACAAATTGTGTGATCATAGAAATACTGCTCATGTCCTTTTAAACCATTTAAAATTTGTGAACTGTATTTCCCCAAAACACACGAAAACTCTGCCCAAGGCCTTGGGAGCCCGTCTCTTGCACTAGTGTGCCCTGGATGTAGGACATGGAGTCAAATGAGATTATTTTGAAGCTTTAAGATTTAATGACTGCTATTCTGGGTTTCAAAATTGCATAGGGCCTGTAGTCCCTTTCTTTCAGTGGATTTCTCCCTTTTGGGAATGGAATGTTTACCAAACACCTATACCCCCATTGTATCTTGGAAGTAAATAACTTGCCTTTGATTTTATGGGCCCATAGGTGGAAGGGACTTGCTATGTTTCAGATGAGGCTTTGGATTTTGGACTTCTGAGTTAATGCTGGAATGAGTTAAGTCTTCGAGGGACTATTGGGAAGGTTTGATTGTATTTTGCAGTGCGAGAAGGAAATGAGATGTGGGAGGGGCTAGAGAGAGAATGATATGGTTTGGATATTTATGCCCATCCAAATCTCATATTGAATTGTAATTTCTCATGCTGGATGTGCGGTCTGGTGGGAGGTGTTTGGATTACAGGGGTGGATCCCTCATGACTTGGTACTATCTTCATGATGGTGAGTTCTCACGAGATCTGGTCATTTGCACCTGCCAACCCTACTCTCTGTCTCTCTGTCTCTCCTTCCCTCCCTCCCTCTGTCTCTTGCTTTCTCCATGTGATGTGCCTGCTCTTGCTTTGCCTTCTTCCTGAGTAAAACCTCCCTGAGCTTGACCTAATAAATATGTAGAAATGAAACAGACTATGCTACATTTCTATAACCACTATTTACATTATTTTGATTAAGATATACACATTTCTCTAAGATACAAAGAACTTTTTTTAAAGGGCTGCAAAATTCATCCAGTAACAGAATACTACTCAGCGCTCTTCGATACATTTTGAGTATGGAAAGATTGTCATACGGGTCCTCTTCTCAGAGGAAGTTACATGTTTTCCTTGGGAATGTATAGATCGTGAAATGATTTCAATACCAAGAAAACACAGCATAGTAATATTTTTCAAAGTCTAGCCTTCAGATCACCTCCGTGGGATCACCTGTTGAGCTTACTAAGGACCTAGTATTTTGGACTGCCCCCTCACCCCTCTTAATCATATAGTCCCTGAGGATGGAGATATATATTTTGCATTGTAAAGAAACTCTCTAGCTGATTCTTATGTGCACTATGAATTAACAACCAGCATAAAATGTACTCACAAAGATGTAAGATATATAATGCTTATCAATAAGAGACCATCATGGGGAAGAAGTCAAAGAGTATTACACAGGCAGCATTTAAGGTGAAGACAGAAGATGACTCATTTCATATAAAAATAACACAGCATTTATAGAAAGAGTATTTTCTTTCAATTTTTAAAGACTTAAAATACAGTGAATATCCTGATTATGGGAACCAGGATAATTGGATGTAAGACTGAAAATCAAAGTCAATGGAGCCAGTGCTAGATATATAGGTTATGTAAAATAAATATTTGTTGGCTGATTAATTAATGAAGGCCTTAAATGGGGAACTGAGAAATTCAAAGGCATTCTATGAAGTGAATAATAGCAATAGACATCATTTATTTCAAATATTTCTATAAAAATTGTTTTGTATTTTCATTTCCCATGATGTTCAGAACACCTCTCAGGATACATAGATAGTATCCTAAGTTACAAAATAGGAAATTCAAGCTTACAAAGTTAAAGTAACTTGCCTAACTTCATGCAGTTACCCAGTGAACCCAGGAGTGGCTCATGTCTACTACCATTGATGCTGCCTCTGCACATGAGAAGGGGGCCTGGAAGGAGGAAGGATATCGTGTACACAGTATGTTCAATGCTTCAGCTGTCTACACGCTCTGACTGGTTCTTTGTACATTTTGTTTTTAAATGAAATCCGTCAACTAAACTTAGAATACGTATTGTTCTATCTGAATTATGTTTTTGCTTTTTGCTGGGGGAGAAATAGTCTAGCTCTTTCAATGTAGGCTTTATTTATTTAGTTTTTTAAAAATTATATATAAAACAAACACTATGTAATTTTTTATAGTTTTATACTGGAGGCTTCAAGTCTCTACATCTAATCCTGTCACTGTTCTTAAAAGTGAAAAACTTCTCCAGCATCTGTGCTGGAGAGGATATGGAGAAATAGGAAAGCTTTTACACTGTTGGTGAGAGAGTAAATTAGTTCAACCATTGTGGAAGACAGTGTGGCGATTCCTCAAGGATCTAGAACCAGAAATACCATTTGACCCAGCAATCCCATTACTAGGCATATACCCAAAGTTTTATAAATTATGCTGCTATAAAGACATATGCACACATATGTTTATTGCAGCACTATTCACAATAATTAAGACTTGGAACCAACCGAAATGTCCACCAATGATACACTGGATAAAGAAAATATGGCACATATACACCATGGAATACTATGCAGCCACAAAAAAGATGAGTTCATGTCCTTTGCAGGGACATGGATGAAGCTGGAAACCATCATTCTCAGCAAACTGACACAGGAACAGAAAACCAAACACCGCATGTTCTCACTCATAAGTGGGAGTTGAACAATGAAAACATATGGGCACAGGAAGAGGAACATTACACATTGGGGCCTGTCGGGTTTGGGGGTTTATAGGAGGGATAGCCTTAGGTGAACTACCTAATGTAGATGACGGGTTGATGTGTGCAGCAAACCACCATGGCACGTGTATACCTATGTAACAAACCTGCACGTTCTGGACATGTATCCCAGAACTTAAAGTATTAAAAAAAAAAAAAGTGAAAAACTTACTTTATCTTTCCCAAAATCAGCCAATTGACCTGAATCCTGTGCAAGACTGTGAAGTACAATTATTTTCATGATTGGTTTTCTCAGAAGCCTAGCAATAACTCTGGGGTGAGAATGGTTAATGAGTAAAACACATTAACCTATGTTTAGCATTTCTTTTAAGAAATGAGATTGTGATTTCAACTTAGATGACAATCACCAGGACCAGGCCTGCACATTGTTGAATCATCACCGACATAACCCTCACTGATAGCTTTAATGGTAGTGCAATAACAGCAACTGCAAAGTTATAATATGACAATGATCTCTAAGGCCCCTACCACCCAGCTCTTCAAATATCACTGAAGTGTTGAGAGGTGAGAATTATAGGCTATATTTCTTTCTGTTTGGACTCACTTTGTAATTGCAGTTGCTTAAGCCACCTAGTCTATGTGATTGTGTTGTAGCTGCCTGAGCTGATTAAGAGATGCCCTGTTGCTGTTCCTGCTGTTAATAATGATCATGAAAAAAATTATGAGATGGCTTCTCATTTCATTTGGTGCTGATTGTGGATATAAGTTCAGGTAAGGTTCTAGGAACCTAGGTTAAGATAAATTAGAATACAATGCTCAAAGGTAATTAGGGGATTTGTGTGTGTGTGTGTGTGTGTGTGTGTGTGTGTGTTTCAGTTTTGAGGGAGGTCACTGAGGTATTCAGAAATTTCAATCTAAATAATTTCAATATAATCATTTGAGCATGATCCTCATTGGATCATGCTGAAGCTGAAATTTTTGGCAGCAGCAGGACAGGATAAAAAAAGAATGTATCCAATTAACCTAACTAAAGCTTTTATAATAGGGATATATATGTTGTGGTATTTGTTTATAAAGATAACGCTTTATGGCAAAGAGAAGGAAAAGGTTGCCCAACCAATAGGTAAGGCAACACATCCCAGGGGTTAAAGAAGTTATGCTGAACATGAGGTTTTCCACTTGAGGTCACTCCCTGATGAGCCACAGGGCAAACCTCTCTTTACTCACAGATTTACAAATCTTCCATAAAACAATGAAAATGGGCATCATCCTGACCCTCAGCACCATGATAACAAGGAAGGCATGATGAGCCTTGGGGGAATCTTTCAGTACAGTATTTTTTAAAGTGTCATTATTCCTATAAAAATGGAACTCAGGCCTTTTGCTTTAGCCAGTGGTTTATTTTATTTAATATGCTATAGTTTATATGAAGTACCAGGGAATATAAGGAAGTGAGTAATCTACAGATGTTATTAAAGTGAAGTGAAAATGAGGCAATCATAGAGGCTCTGATAAGTTTTCTGGCCTCAGTTATCGATGTATTTTGAAATGTATTTAAGAGGCTGAGTCACCTGAATAAGTAAGTCAGCAGCTTCTTAGGACCAATTTTTTTTCTTCACAACTTAGATGGGTCACAAAGAATTCACATCTCAAAAGAGAATAGAATTGAATTTTTCTAATCTAATTTTTTAGTAATAATAAGAAATGATGTTTCTAGCTACTTAAATAACTTTTGATGTTTTGGCTGTGTCTCCACCCAAATCTCATCTTGAATTGTAGTTCCCATAATCCTCACGTGTTGTGGGAGGGGCCCAGTGGGAGACAATGGAATCATGGGGGCGGTTACCTCCATGCTGTTCTCATGATAGTGAGTGAATTCTCACAAGATCTGATTGTTTTATAAGGAGCTTTCCCCCACTTCTTTCTTCACTTCTCCTTGATGCCACTATGTGAAGAAAGACGTATTTGCTTCCTCTTCTGCCATGATTGTAAGTTTCCTGTGGGCTCCTCAGCCACGCAGAACTGTAAATCAGTTAAACCTCTTTCCTTTATAAATTACCCAGTCTCAGGTATGTCTTTATTAGTAGTGTGACAATGGACTAATATACTTACAGACTGTCATCTACTTGTGTTCTGTAAATATGTGTTAAATTAAATTTGGAACCATAGCTAAACTACTTGATAAATGTTACTTATGTTTTCAGAGCAAGAACATATGCATGCATTATGGTTCATTTGTTATATTTTATTATAACAGAAAATTTTAAAATACCACAGATTTCAGAATATTAATTGGAAGTAGATTATATATAACAGTACATTCCAAATATGTAGCATTTTCCCAACTAATGATAGTATTAAGGAAAACTTAAGGCATACACATAAATTTTTACTTTGAAGTCAAATATCTATATAGTTTTAGTGAAGTTATGGTGAATATTAAATTACGTAGACAGCAGCTTCAATTTTCCATTTCAGTTTCCATGTACAGATAACACACAAATTGAATTTCTTCTAGGCCATAATTGAATATGTATTTTCTGTATATGTGAAATACATATTCAGACATGGCTATACAAAATCTATATTTATAACCGGAAGTAGTATGGAAATTGAGGTACTTCATTATTTTAGTATCTGAATATTGAAATAAATATTACATGCAAATAATTTCATCAGATTATGTTAATAAGGTATATCAAAACAATAAATAAAAATAACATTTTAATAATAGTGAAATGGAAAGATATAAATTGTTGAAAGCAGAGAAATGGTAAGATTTGTTTAGAGGCTACACAATTTAATTTATGCTAGTATAGATCAGTTTAACACATTTAATATTTTTTATCTGAAGTTGAATTATATGTAGATATTACCATCTAAGGCAATATTTTAAATATCAAATATTACTACATCTTTTCTCTTTCAACAAAGAATCCATCTCAGCTCTTTTATTTTGCTTGACATCTTTCCATCAGTCTGTGTCCTTGGCAATCATTGTTATTCACGGACATAATTTGCACACAGCCCTCAAAATTTTCCCTGCCATTTTAATTAGTGGTCTCTGTTCACACTGTAAGAACTGAGAATGCAAGTATTGAATTCATGTAGTTAATTAATAATAACTATTATTTGCAGGACAGAAAACATTTTGAAACACAAACCTATTACATTTCAAAGACAAATATGTATGGAAAAACAGTGGAACATATATGGCACTGTTGTACAGCTATTATAAAGGAATTAAGTCCATGAAAATTTTTCTATCTGCTTAAGTCTCAAGATTATAGATACTCTTATTACATTATCTGAAGACTTAGAATAAAGCCCTGCTTCATGATTCCTCAAGTATTATCAGTGCATCTATCATGTGATTTTTTAATTCATCCATGAAGAAAAGGAGATGACATCCTAACCATTTTTCATCTGTACCCATAGCCCTGATTTTCAATTAGCTACAGACGTTTGAATTATTTTCTGAGGGATAAAAAGTATTTTCTTCCAGATGTATTTGTTTTCAGATAAAGATTAAAAAATCCAGACACTAAAAAAACTACTGAAATTATGTGTGTGTGTGTGTGTGTATATATATATAACCATATATATATATAAAACCATATATATATAAAACCATATATATATATATAGGTGAACATATACATGTTCCTCAGCTCTTCAAAGGAACGTTTTCCTAATATTGTCTTTGTAAGCTAAAATGTCGCCTCTGAATTCGAAAGGGTCAATTCAGTTTAACTCTGACATATATGTTGTTTGATTTATTTGCCTACGTATGTAAAATGATAGTCTCATTGACAAGTAATATTAAATACTTAATATTATACACACTAGATTAATGAAAATGTACTATGTTTCATTTCCAAACCTAAGTGGAAAATGCTTCTCTAATAACCTATTCATTGGCTGCAAGCTTCTCAGAACATTGCCTTCTATTTTTGGAATAAACTTTTACTGTAATTTAGATTCTACTTCAGGCAAACAACCTGCAGTAGTATTTTCTTGCAAAGTTAAAAAAGTATTTGCAGGCAAACACAAAGAAAAAAATAGAGCAGACATATTTGCAAGAGAGAATTCTGAGGTGGTAGAGCAATTTCCTAAGTAAACAGTGGTGATTTCTCTCAAGAAGACTACACAAAAAATATAAAATTATTCAGGCTACTAATAAAACTATGTGTTTTCTAATTCCTTACAGGAAAAATATTCATTTGTGGATATAACTGATTTTGTTGACTATCATTATTAATATAGCATATATTAAATTACAATTCATACAATGTCTACTCCTATTTACCTTTCAATTTTAAAAGTCCCCAACATTTACGATATGTAAAAGGTTAATTGATTCATATGATAGTTTAACTATTCCATAAACAGATAATGATCTTTAAAGCTCTTATAATAGGGGTAGTGTAGATTAATGCCATATTCTAAAACTTTAGAGTGTGTTAAAGTAACATAATGTGTATGTTAAAACTCTCATTGCTGAGCCCTACTGCCAGAGTTTCTGAGTCAGTAGATCCGGAGTGGGTCTGAGAATGTACATTTCTGAAAAATTGCAGGTGATGCTAATGTTTCAATCCAGGCTACAAACTCGGGTCAAAACAATTATAAGTTTATCTTCACACTTTATTTAAAGCAAGTAATTTTAAAATTAAAAGTTAACCTAGAACTGCAGTATCAATTCCTGAAATTCTATGCCAAGAGTAATTTATGGTAGACAGGGAATCTGACCTAGTTTGATACTGGAAAACACTAGAGAAATTTAGGTTTCTCTTAAGTTACCTGGAATGTTATTTCATTAGATAGGCAGATTTATTTTTTGTATGTGAGATTCTTTTATGTTTATGAGGAAAAGCAGTTCTATGAAATTTTAGATTATTCAAACCATTTTGATTTAAAACATATGAAACTTATAATCTTTCAAAAATACCTAAAATTAGGGATTTTTAGAAGTTGGCCTTTATGATGTTTACTATTATATGATCATGATGATTAACTTGTTTCATCTTTAACCAGAATCTGTCGTCAGCGAACTCTAAAGCACTTGCTAGGTGCCATTGTTTTATGAAAGGAGACAGAGAGAGAGATACAGAGAGAGAAGGAGGAGGAGGAGGAGGAGGAGGAAGAGGAGGTAGGGAAGAGGAGAAGGAGGGGAGGATGGGGAAGAAAGAGGCAGAGAAGGAGAAGGACAGGGAAAAAAGAAAAAAAAAACTCACATCTAAGGACACAATGTCTTCAAAGCATTTTTTCCCCCTGACTTCCGCCCAGGAATACTCAGGCAGAACTGGCTTTATGCATATTTGACCTGTACAATCACAAGTTACCCTGTGTTCAGAAGATCCCTGTGCTTAGCTGAATATTCTGCTGTCATTGTCTTGAAATTTCTAATAATTTTAGAACAAGCACCCTGCATATTTATTTTGCATTGTAGCCTGTCCTGTCCTCAGGTAACAAAATTAATTCAAACATCGTTTTTTCTCCTCTTCCATTGTAAGTGTATACTTGTTAAGTAAATGTCTCAAAATTTTAAAAATGAATTAAAGCCGCAAATACTTCTAAGCATATTTACACATAGGGAATGTGTTAAGTATGACAGAATAAAAAGAAGAAAACTAAGGTTGGAGGGGGAAAAAGGAAAATAAGCCTATGTATGGTAGGAACAGAAAAAGCCCGAAATTCATCAAATAAAGGAAAAAGAATTTGAGCCAAAGACTTCCAGGTTTTGGAGGAACACTCCCATGTCTACAGAGGGAAGGACATCAGAGACTTGTAAATAAGAGGAACATATTGTTGAGCAAAGTGGATTATCACATCATCTACTGTGAAATATTCACAGGCAGATCTAACACTTCATATTGTGTGTGGAGGGATTTCTGGCCTAGAGGAGCATAGATAAAATACCCAAATAGCAAAGCTAATCTACTCAATCCATGGCCTCCATTTGGAGGCTCTTATAAATTATCAAATCAATGCATTTTCTGTTACCCATAGAAACAAAAATTAGTATTTATTTTTATCAGATTGCAAAAGTTCTTTCTTACAGATTGAAAGAAAATTCTCAAGCCTTTTTTTGTGCTACTTTTAAAGGACCAGCCTAAGGAAGAGAATGCCTCCATTGTGTGCAGGGAGGCAGAGGGGACAGAGATAAGTAAATAGACATTTTGTTTCCATTATAATTAAATTCCAAGTCTCAGGAAAACAAAACATCTAACATGTTCAATAACTCATCCTCTGTTTGAAATAAAAGCACAGTAAAAATGAATTACCCAAGAAATAAAGCACTCTAAAATAGGATATTTGGTCTCCTGTCCAAAAAGGATTTATTTTCATTAAAAAATACGTAAATGGTAGACACTAAATCAAAATTACTCCGGAATTTGAGTAGCAAAATTATAATTGATGATCTTCTTAAAGGTAAAATGTATTCTATACTACATCGTACATGTTCATGTCCTTAACAGTTTTACAAATAGGATTCTTGAACTTCCAGTTCTTAGGAAATAGTCTTGTTTTGTTTTGTTTTTTGAGACAGTCTCACTCTCTCGCCCAGGCTGGAGGGTAGTGGCACAATCTCAGCTCACTGCAACCTTCCCCTCCCAGGTTAAAGTGACTCTTGTGCCTCAGCCTCCTGACTAGCTGGGGTTACAGGCCTATGCCACCACAGCTGGTTAATTTTTGTATTTTTTTTAGAGATGGTGTTTCGCCATGTTTCCCAGTCTGATTTCAAATTCCTGACCTCAAGTGATCTGCCAGCCGCAGCCTCCCAAAGTGTTGGAATTACAGGAGTGAGCCACTGTGCCTGGTCACTTGGGCAATAGTCATGCAAAAAATAATTACTCTAATCCATCTATGTCATTGTCTCCTTGAATTATGAAACTGAAAAGTGCATATATTTTTTAAAATCACAGTAAAATGTATTTTGGAGACAAATGCTTGAGAATCAGGCCACTAAAATTTAAATACTGACTGACACTTAGTTCTGTGAATTTGTGAAAATGCTTACATTCTCTGAACCTCACTTTTTTATCTCATATTAATGACAACAAGAGAAAAATATCATAACATTTTTTGAGAAGTAAATGAATTAGATGTAAAGTGCTAAGAATGATCCCTGGTATTCAGTAATTATTCTTATTCTTATCACAATATAGCAAGTCCCCAAGACTAATGAAACAATCACAAAAGGCCACCCAGAGGAAGTGCTTTATGAAATGGAATTTAACTTCCCAACAAATGTTATGCACACATTTACTGAAGCACATATTGCTTAACTGGTTCGACATTAGACTTGAATAAAGCAAGGTCTGTGTTTTACTCACTTTTGTATTATTTATGCAAAATTCCAAGCTTAAGGAATATTTGCTGGATTCAAATTGCCATATGACTTTAACTATTGGCACAAATTACTTCCAAACATTATAGAAAGGCTATGTTCTTTAAGATAACAGAATAGGAAGTGATTATAATTTAGATGTGGACTGTAAGAGACCTTAGACATCAAGAAACCCAGGATTTTCATTGGAGAGATGAGAAAACTTGACCTCAAGAAGCCAAATTGCATATCAATATATAGAGCAAGTGAACACCTGCAGTGAGATTATAACACAAGTTCTTCATCAGCACTGGTCACACCAACACTAGGGATTATGAGACCTTTTAGTTTTTAATCCCCAAGTGTATAATAATTTTGCCTTATAACACTCATAACAATAGGCTTCTTTCCACTGTTGAAAATGCCCAGCAAAAGGACAAATCAACCAATTACCTTGCTCTGCTCCTAGAAAAATGACCTCTTTACTCCCTCAGACACTGTGCTCTTTTTAAAAAGAGAGAATCAATGTAAACCTTATGTGCAAAGAAAATGTCACCCAATTATATTTCATTATTTTAAGTGTTATGGATATAGGAAAGAAAACAAAAGCCATGAAAATTCTATCAAAATGTTAACCCTAAATATTCTCCCATTATGAGTCAATTGAATAAAATTACAACGTTAATTTTTTTCAGCCACACCAGTTACATCTTGGCAAGGATCAAATTACAGTTGATATATCTGTTTGACATCTTACCTCTTTCTGATGACTAAAGAATATTTTGTTTTAGAGATGACATATATTCCTGAAATGATTTACTTCATTTTCTCACAGAATATCACATCTCAGGCAAATATAGCTACAGATATATACATATGTATATACATATGTACGTGTGTGTTTGTGGGTGTGTATATATATAAACATAAATATACACACATGCACATTTTATGATCATTTTGATATAAATAAGAGCCCTATTTACAAAATATTTAAAAAATAAATGTTAAAGTTTATAAAATAAATTTATAAAACAAAACCATTCAAATTAGCAGATTGGAAAGCTTTGAAGAATATTCTACATACACAATGAAATTTCTATTCCACTCGTATCTGTTTTCTTATAATAAAAACAATATATAATTTGTCCAACTTTTAGCAGTCTCTACTGATAATACCCATAACTCCGGCTCTTCCATTAGGAGACGGGAGTCTCTGGTTCCTGAGTGTATTACCAATGCTTGACATAATGGTGGAAAAATGATAAATATTTGATAAATAAATGCATCAATTGTTAAAAAGGTCTACAGAGGTTCCCTTGATGCAGAATAATCTGCAAGCATGGTGCTTAAAACAAGTGCTTCCAATAAAAGCCTGATTTCAGTTCAGCAGCCTTCAATGCTTCGAAGATATATGCTTATTACTACTCTGTCCTCAAAAAACCCTCCATATTTTTTTCTATTTTTTAAAAATTTGCTCCTATTTCTTTCCAAAGGGATAGCCAGCCACTAGACACAGTACAACATTGAGTCACCCCTTTGACTTCCTATCCTCACTTCTTACAAATTCACTATCATTCTGTTAGATCCAAGAACATGGACCATCTTCCTGTTCCTTAAAAGTGCCAGGCACAGGCAGACTTTAAGCCCTTTGTACTGGCTGCTTACAACCTGTCATGTTGTGGCCCTTAATAATTATTGCCTTAAAGGATTAAACTTTATACTTTTTAAGGCTTTCTATTTGGTTTTTAAAAATTAAACAAGATCTGCTTAAAGCAAAAATTGCAAGTGATTGTGGGATGGGTTGGAGGAAGGGGTGGTCTTGCTCCTCAGTTAACTATATCAGTATCTTTGACTAGAGGGTTTCTTTGGCTTGTCCTCTTACTACATGCACAGCTTTTACTAAGATGTCGACTAAGGAAATAATAAGATTATAAAATATGGATTCAGGTCCTTGGGAAGCACTGTTGAAAAAATTTATATGAAGTTTCATTTTTTAATTTTGAAATATTGAAATAATGTGTTAAATTGTGCTATGAAACCATGGAGTTGTTCAATTGTCAGAAAGCAAAGTAGAACAAAATATTTCAGAACTCGAAGACAATTTTCTTGGTTTTTGTCAGATTTTACACAGAAATTTGGAGAGACTGAGGAACAAAAGCCCATGTCCTCCATTCCCTAGTTTTCCTTGTAGAGGAACGATGGGTTAGAACATTCTTATGTGCTCCTTCAAGATCATATGTTCTGTTTCACCAAAGTGCCAAATTTTACTTTCTATCCCTACAAGACTATCTTCCATATTATCCTCTTCATGTGAATAATTTCCTATATTAGGAGCCATTTACTTACTTTTTCTTCTAAATTCTGTCAGTGCTTTTTCTTTCAGTAGGTGTTATAGAGCCAGCTTGCCAAAGGAAATAAGGCTGAGCTACAGTGAGAGCAAGTACACAAAGGGGAGCACCCAGGGGAGGTTTGCAAATGCTCTCTCAAATGTATAACGCTGAAATGAAGAGCAAAACATTGCCTAGAATGGTGAGGAGGAAAGCAAGATTTGAAAGTAAACCCACAAAATTACTCTTGCTTACACACTTTGATGCAGCAACCCCATGTCTAGGAGTCTGTCCTAGAAATTCAGCTGCATAGAAGTGACATGTGCATATAGTAATTTATGATGACATAATTTGTAACAGTTAAAGCTAAGAAACAGCCCAGTTTCCATAAAGAGGACAAACGTAAACCATAAGTGGGATACAATGCAACATAAGAGTGAGAAAGTTCTCCACTTACTGTGGGGAACAATCTCCAAGATATGTTTGAAAAAACAATCAAGGTGAAGAATCCTATGTATATTATGCTACCATTGTATTAATAGAGAAACTGAGAGGGGAGCATATACTCATATTTGATATTTATTCATCAAAATTCTAGAATTAGATCTAATAATTTTTACATTTTAATTTCTTTAAAATTTAATTTGCACTTGTAATTTTACAAAAACAGTTAAAGTGTGACCCATATGTGCTGACTGAGAGGGAGGTATGCTCTCTATGGAAACACACAGATGACAGGAAGTTATTCTTCTACACACCATTTAAATTATCCATATTTGAACTTTATAAATTAAATATCTATTCAAATACATCTGATCTTTAACAAAGCTGACAAAAACAAGCAACAGGGAAAGGATTCCCTATTTAATAAATGGTCCTGGGAAAACTGGCTAGCCATATTCAGAAAACAGAAACTGGACACCTTCCTTACACCTTAGGCAAAAATTAACTCAAGATGGATTAGAGACGTAAATGTAAAACCCAAAGCCATAAAAACCCTAGAATAAAATAAAACACAGGGAATACCATTCAGGACATAGGCATGGGCAAAGACCAAAAGCAATGGCAACAAAAGCCAAAATTGACAAATGGAATCTAATTAAACTGAAGAGCTTCTGCACAGCAAAAGAAGCTATGATCAGAGTGAACAGGCAACATACAGAATGGGAGAAAATTTATACAATCTACCTATCTGACAAAGATCTAATATCCAGAATCTAAAAGGAACTTAAACACATTTACAAGAAAAAACAACCCATCAAAAAGTGGGCAAAGGATATGAACAGACACTTCTCAAAAGAAAACATTTATGCAGCCAATGAACATGAAAAAAAGCTCATCATTACTGGTCATTAGAGAAATTCAAATGAAAACCACAATGAGATACCATCTCACGCCAGTCAGAATGGCAATGATTAAAAAGTCAGGAAACAATAGATGGTGAAGAGGCTGTGGAGAAACAGGATTGCCTTTACACTGTCGGTAGGAGTGTAAATTAGTTCAACCATTATGGAAGACAGTGTGGTGATTCCTCAAGGATCTAGAACTAGAAATACCATTTGATCCAGCAATCCCATTACTGGGTATATACCCTAAGGATTATAAATCATTCTGCTAGAAAGACACATGCACACATACGTTTACTGTACCACTATTTACAATAGAAAGACTTGGAACCAACCCAAATGCCCAGCAATGATAGACTAGATAAAGAAAATGTGGCACATATACACCATGGAATACTATGCAGCCATAAAAAATGAGATCATGTTCTTTTCAGGGACATGGATGAAGCTGGAAGCCATCATCCTCAGCAAACTAACATGGGAACAGAAAACCAAACACTTCAAGTTCTCACTCATACGTGGGAGTTGAACAATGAGAACACATGGACACATGGAGGGGAACATCACATACTGGGGCCTGTCAGGGAGTGGGGGACAAGAGGAGGGAGAGCATTAGGACAAATACCTAATGCATGCAGGGCTTAAAACCTAGATGACGGGTTGACAGATACAGCAAACCACCATGGTACATGTTTACCTATATTACAAACCTGCACATTCTGCACATGTATCTAGAAACTTAAAGTAAAATCAAAATAAAACAAAAAACAAATGCATTTCACAATGAAATTATTAAGTAGGATACATTAAGTTTGATTAAATTTGGTATATTTTTAAGAGGAATACCAATGGAGTTTTGTTGGCTTTTTAATTGTTAAAAAAATTTTCATTGAGATATAACTGATGAAAGTTGTATATGCCCAAGTTATTAATAAATATATGCACTGTAAAGTGATTTCCACAATCAAGCTAATTAACATATCCATGTACTTAAGATCTACTGTCTTAGCAAATTTCAAGTATGCAGTACATCGTTATTAGCTACAGTCACTATGCTACACATTAGGTCTCTAGAACTTACTTAGCTTATAACTGTACATTTGTACCTTTGATGGGGAGATGTTGATCTCCCCTGGTCTCTGAGCCCTGATACCCACTCTTCTACTATCTGTTTCTATGAGCTCAGTGTTTTAACATTACACATAAAGCAAGATCACACAGTATTTGTCTTTCTGTGCCTGACTTATTTTACTTAGCATATGTCCTCCATGTTTATCTATGTTGCTGCAAATGACAAAATTTCCTTTCTTTTAGATTTCTTAATTTTAATTATAACTTTTAAGGCTGAGTAATATCCATTATATATTTCTTAATCCATTCATCTGTTGATGGACAACTAGGTTATTTCCGTTTCTTGGCTATTGTGAGTAATTCTGCAATGAACATGGGAATGCAGATACCTCTTCAAGATTAGTGATTTTATTTCCTTTCAATATATAATATACCCAGTAGTGGAGTTGCTGGATCATATCGTAGTTCTATTTTTAACTTTCTGAGGAACCTCCATACCTTTTTCAATATTTTCATAAAACTGTTGGTTATTTGTATGTCTTAATTGGGAAAATGTCTATTAAAGTTCTTTGCCAAATTTTTAGTCAGGTTATTATTATGATTTGCCATTGAGTGGTTGGAGTTCCTTATTATTTTGGATATTAACACCTTGTCAGATATGTTTGCAAATATTTCCTACTATTCCATGGGTTGCCTTTTCATTTTGTTTCTGTACAGAAAGGTTTTAGTTTAATGCAACCCCACTTGTTTATTTTTACTTTGGTTGCCTGTGTTTTAGCAACAATTGATATAAAAAAAAATTGCCAAGAGCAGTATCATTGGGCTTTACCCCTATTTTCTTCTAAGAGTTTTTGGTTACAGATCCTATGTTTAAATTTTTAATCAATTGTGAGTGATTTTTAATTATGCTCTGAAATAAGGATTCAATTTCATTTCTTTTGCATGTGTATATTCAGGTTTTCATACATATTTTATTTAACAGACTACCATTTCCCCATTGTGTATTGTTAGCACCTTTGTTGAAGATCACTTAGTCATATACACATAGGTTTATTTTTGGGCTTTCTATTCTGCTTAATTGCTCTGTATGTCTGTTTTTAACAGTATCATACTGTTTTGATTACTGGAGCTTTGTAATATAATCTGATATCATAAAACATGATACCTCCAGCTTTGTTCTTTTTCCTCAATAATACTTTAGCTACTTATTTGAAGGATTTTTTTGTTTCATATTCATTTAAATTTGTTTTTGTATTTCTTTGAAAAAATGACATTGGAATTTTGATAGGGATTGCATTGAGTCTGTAGATTGCTTTGAGTAATACAAAAATTCTATGAAAGCATAACACTCAATGGTAAAATAAGCAAATAGTGAAAATTAGAATGTCCTAATACTATAATGCTGTATATAAATTGCTTACATCCCAAGTATAAAGGTCAAAAGACAAAACTTTTAAAAATAACTAAGTTACAATAATTTGATAATAACTAAACAATATAAAAAGATATAAATTGTGACAAATCTAAACAGACAAATAATAAATAAGGAAATTGAATCAATAATGAAAAGTCTCCCATCAAAGAAAAGCCTAGGATCTGATGGTTTTACTTGTGAAACTACCAAAAATTTAAAGAATAACTAATACCAATTCTTCTCAAACTCTGTCTGAAAATAGAGGCAGCAACACTTCCATATTTGTTTTATGAGGCCAACAACCAAGATACCAAAGCCAGACAAGGACGCTACAAGAAAAGAAAACTATTGGCCAATATCTCTGATGAGCACAGATACAAAAATCCTCAATAAAATACTAGCAAACCAATTCAAGAGGACATTACAAAGATCATACACCATACCATGGGATTTATCCATAGGATGCATGAATAATTAAACTTATGCAAATAAATTACTGTGATATACCACATTAAGAGAATAAATGACAAAAATCACATGAACAACTCAATAGATGCAGAAAAACTTTTGACAATATTCAACAACCTTTCATAATAAAATCTCTCAACACATTAGATATAGAAAGTATGTATCTGAACACAGTAAAGGTCATGTATCACAGGCCCACAGCTAATATTATGTTCAACAATGAAAAGCTGAAATATTTTCCTCTAAGATCAGGAAAAACACACGAACATCCAGTCCTGCCACTTCTACTCAATATAGTACTAGAAGTCCTAGCCAGAAAAATTAAGCAATAAAAAATAATTAAAAGTATCCAAATTGGGCCAGGCTTGGTGGCTCACACCTGTAATCCCAGCACTTTGGGAGGCCGAGGCGGGAGAATCACGAGGTCAGGAGATCAAGACCATCCTGGCTAACATGATGAAACTCCGTCCCTACTAAAAATACAAAAAAATTAGCCAGGTGTGGTGGCAGGTGCCTGTAGTCCAAGCTACTTGGCAGGCTGAGGCAGGAGAGTGGTGTGAACCCAGGAGGCGGAGCTTGCAGTGAGCAGAGATCATACCACTGCACTGCAGCCTGGGCGACAGAGTGAGACTCCATCTAAAAAAAAAAAAAAAGAAAAAAGAAAACATCCAAATTGGAAAGGAAGAAAAAGTTGTCTCTTTTTGTAGATGACATATATATAAAGAGAAAACTTTAAAGACCCCACCAAAAAACTGTTAGAACTGATAAACAGATTCAGTAAGGATGTAGATTACAAAAATCAAGACACAAACATCAATTAAGTTTCTAGAAACTAACTTCAAAGTACCTGAAAAAGAAATTTAGAAAAACAATCTCATTTACAATAGCATTAAAAAGAATAAAATTTTCAGGAATAAATTTAACTGAGGAGGTAAAATATCTGAAAACTATATGCTGAAAACCATAGAACATTTGAAAAAAATTGAAGGAGACACATATCAATGGGAAGATACACTATGTTCATGAGTTGGAAGCATTAAAATTATTAAAAGGTCCACAGTACCCAAATGAGCAACTTTTTGGTTTGTTTGTTTGAGATGAAGTTTTAGTCTTTTTTGCCCAGGTTGGAGTGCAATGGCATGATCTTGGCTCACTGCAATCTCCACCTCCCGGGTTCAAGCTATTCTCCTGCCTCAGCCTCCAGAGTAGCTGGGATTACAGGCATGCACCACCACACCTGGCTAATTTTGTATTTTTAGTAGAGACGGGGTTTCACCATGTTGATCAGGCTAGTCTCGAACTCTTGACGTCAGGCCATCTACCCGCCTTGGCCTCTCAAAGTGCTGGAATTACAGGCATAAGCCACCATGCCTGGCCCCAAATGAGCAACTGTAACTATAAATGCATTTAAAGATAAATGCAATAACATTACCAATGACTAATACCAATTCTTCTCAAACTTATCTTTGGACTTTCCATACCCCTTTTTATTAAGCAGTATTTTCACGTACCAGGATTATCCCCAGGCTTTCTCCCACTATTCTCAAACACCGTCAATAGTTTTACCTTTTAATTATGATAAAAATACTTTCTCTCTGCTTAACATTAACTACTTACCGTTTTTCTAAATATCTACCAATACATAGCCAGCAGTCATGATATCTGTCTGTTACCTAGAAACACACATCCTGAGATGGTAGTCTCCTGGTTCCACTTTTAATCCAGGAACCTGGAATTTGAGTGCAAAGGGGTTCCATTACAAGCCACAATGTGAATTTAAAAATTAGATGGAAGCACCGAGAGATTTTATATCTTATGTGAATAATTCAACATTTTCTTGAAAACCTTATTGATGTTATTTGATTAACTGTCTTTTCAAGATATTATATAGTGCTTTCTCCTGAGAAAAATTTTTTACTTAGTTTGATTTACTAGCAAATCAGTAGCTAGCATGATTTAATATACTTTCAATTACATCTGATCTCATAAATTCACGTGTGCACCTTTATAGATATTGCGCATACATTTAGCAATTCTTTTACCTAGAAAAAGAGACTTAAACGTGGGTTTTTTTACATTCAAAAAAATTTTATAAAGATGAGAGAGTCAACATTTTTTCTCACAGTTGAATGTTCTTTGAAACAAATAAATTCAATTTATACTGATACCTACACATTTATTCATTTGTGGGACATCCTCCCTTTGAAAAAAAAAAAAGAAATCACAATTAAAATTAGATTTTGATTAGGAAGAATTTTCATTCTGCTGTTAAAAATAGATTTTTCAGAAAACAAAACTTTTATATGGACTTTAATAAAACATCATTCCTTGACGATTATTAAAAAATCAGGAAACAGATGCTGGTGAGGCTGTGGAGAAATAGGAATGCCTTTACACTGTTTGTGGGAGTGTAGTTCAACCACTGCAGAAGACAGTGTGGCGATTCCTCAAGGAACTAGAACCAGAAATACCATTTGACCCAGCAATCCCATTACTGGGTATGTACCCAAAGGATTATAAATCATTCTACTATAAAGATACATACACATCTATGTTTATTGTAGCACTATTTACAATAGCAAAGACTTGGAACCAACCCAAATGCCCAGCAATGATAGACTGGATAAAGAAAATGTGGCATATATATACCATGGAATACTATGCAGCCATAAAAAAGAATGAGATCATGTTCATTTCAGGGGCATGGATGAAGCTGGAAGCCATCATTCTCAGCAAACTAACACAGGAACAGAAAACCAAACACGGCATGTTGTCATACTTGGGAGTTGAACAACGAGAACACATGGACGCAGGGAGGGGAACATCACATATCAGGGCCTGTTGCTGGGGGGAAAGGGGAAGGAGAGCATTAGGACAAATACCTAACGCATGCGGGTCTTAAAACCTAGACGACGTGTTGATAGGTGCAGCGAAACCATGACACATGTATAACCTATGTAACAAACCTGCACATTCAGCACATGTATCCCAGAACTTAAAGTAAAAAAATAATAGTAAATAAAACATTCTTAAAAATAATCTAACAGTGTAGATATTCCATCTATTTAGATCAACAGTTCTAATTTCTAATTCATGTTTCAAATAAAAGAACATTTTATGTTATTAAAATGATTTGAGAAGCTAAAAGGGCTTTTGTTTTTTGCTGGTTACATATATCAAAATCTTTGTGAAAAATTACTATGTTCTATATCTCCCTCAAAATACAAAAAAGAAGAGTGAAATTATACCACAGTTTTGCATATTTCTTTCATGTCTGGTTGAATAGCACACAGCAGGATTACCACATGTGATTGTGGATTCCATCTGTTGCCTCCCACATATATGTAGTTGGATAATGGAGAAATATTTAAAAATAATTTTTCCATGATTGTAGATATTCTTCTTTGCTTCTACCACAAAGTTTAACAAGTGCACAAGTGGTGATTTATTAAAGGTTAGCTGCAATGTGGAATGTGAATTAGTATCAATGTCCTTTTCGTACTCTGTTACATTAAAATTTATTTTTTGAATTAAATTTGAATTAAATAGATCATTTACCCACGCATAATTTTGTAGCATCATGTGCTGGTCATTTGGTATATACTGTCTCATTGAATTATGGAGCTCATGGAAATGTGGACACATTTTGTTTTATGACATCAAGACATCACATTTGTTAATATCACCAATAATCTCATCAGAAAAGTCTTTCAGAATCCTGAATCTCTCAAGCTCATGACAATGGACACAAGTTTTCCAAAAGTGTAGCTTTCACTTGAAATTTCCAGTACAATCATTGACAACAAATACTGTCAGTTATCCTGAAGTGACAGTCTCACATCACTGATAATTTCTAGAAAATACCTTTCAAATACTGAAATCCAAATAATTGGTGTCGGTCATTCTTTACAATAAAATTGTGTCCCATGGAAAACCACCTAGTATAGCTCACAACTCAAACAACTGCATATGAAACAATTGCATCTACTCAAGTAAAGCATCGTCTTTCCTTTAGTAACAAATGTGTGTGGTGTGTACTTCCCATTTAACCACAGCTAATTTTTTAAAATACAAGGATTTAAGGTTCACTCAAGTGTTACTCTCCTAAATAGTAAAGAGAATAAAGGGAGGCCACTAATCAAAGCAGAGTCATAAACTGATGAATTATTATTTTATAAGGTGAAGTTTTCTTTACATCTTATTCCTCTCCTTTGTATGACACCCTTCCTTCCATTTTGGTCAAAATAAAAAGTGTTTCCCAAGCCTAGTTCCATACAGGAAAACGTAAAGTTTAATTTTTGGATCAGAATTGCTCAATAAATATTCTATCATGTTGATGGTATGAATACTCACTCCATCTCTTAGGTGATTTTACTGTTCTTTACTTGGACCATAGAATGCAGATCTAAATGTGATATTAGTAACTTATCATATATGTTATCATTTAGCTCTCTGGGTTATATTATACACAGAATTTATATGATTTCTAAACATTTTTAAGATGTGCATGGATAGCATTAAATGTTGAGAATAAGCAAAAGTTTCTGATTAGCCTTAGTTTTCAAATTAGCTTCAACCACAGATAAAATTCACTAAAGAATATAATCAGTATTCCAAAAATTATTGTGTGGGTATCTTCACAATTCATTCACCTTCTTTTTTTTTTTTTTTTTTTTTTTTTTTTTTTTTTTTTTTGAGATACAGTCTCGCTCTGTCACTCAGACTGGAGTGGACTGGCACCATCTTGGCTCACTGCAACCTCTGTCTCTGAGGTTCAAGTGATTCTTCTACTTCAGCCTCCTGAGTAACTGGGATAACAGGCATACACCACCACGCCCGGATAATTTTGTATTTTCAGTAGAGACGAGGTTTCACCATGTTGGTGGCCAGGCTGGTCTCAAACTCCTGACCTCAAGTGATCCACCAGCCTTGGCCTCCGAAAGTGCTGGGATTAGGGTCATGAGCCACTGCGCCCGGCCTCACTTTCTAATTCTATCTCTTCATAATAAAGCCACTAGATTTGTTTTGTAATTAGAACACTTTTTTATAAAGTGCACAGAAGTGCTTGGATTTATGCTGAAAAAAGCTGAATAAAATAAATACAAATGAAGTAGAGATCTCAGTCCACTGGATTCATTATGTGGACCACAGGGCAATAGAAGTATTTATTGTCACTTTGCTAGCTGATAAAAAGTATCTGGATTTATTTCATATAATGTACGCTATTTCAGTTCTAGGAGAGTTTGTGAGAAATTGTTAAATTATATTCTTGAGATAAAGAGTTGAGGTCTGATAACCAGTTGGAGAAAAGTTTAGGGATAAATTTTCCCAAATAAGAAGTACAAATGCAAAGAAGATGAGATATTTATAATTCTGACTGTGTGTTTTAAAAAATACCTGTTACATATTAGGGTTAATAAAGACAAAATAGGTAGAAAGTATAAGAAAATTGGAATTAAAATTATTTTTTTGATATTTTTCTTTAAGTGACCTAAATCACATGACAATAAAATATAGAATATGTTTTTTACAAGGCATAGTACCAAGAGCAAATAGTTGCAAAGATTATTTTAAGCTAATGGTTTAAATCATATATTATTTTACTCAATCTTTGGCTGGGGAGTTAATTTAGAATAATTGTATTTGTACTATAGGCAAGAACCTGTGGCTGAATGTAATGGAACAGCATCTCACTGGGAAGCAAATGACTTTATTTGCTCTTCAGCCAGTCAGAACACCTCCAGCAGCTTAAGCATGGCACGTAGCTTACCATGAAGCAAAATAACTGTGCACAGGATGATGGGCTTTTCTTTTGAGGTGCTAATTAGTCATAAAATTCACACTGGAATCAAAGTAATTAAAGATCAGAAATTGTTACTTACAGGCTGCATCATTTGGAAATGAGTAAATAATCAGGCTAAGGTTCTGGATTTAAGATCTCTTTGCCAAGTGGTTGTCAGCCAATACACAGGCCGTGTTTGCCAGAAAGACTTCTGAGCCTATGAGCCTTCAGCATCCTGTAGTCCTCATGAGTCCCCACTGTCATGATAATGCCTTTCTTCCTCCTTTGTCCCCAAGATAGGCTCCTAGGAACTCTGATTTCAGAAAGCTACCTGGAAGCAAATCTTCTCACAAAGTATATTTAATAAAACCATTAACAGACTAAAGACGTGAAGAAAAAACTATTTCAAATTCTTATAAGAAAACCAGAATTATATTTAGCGAGGCACTAGCTTTATTAAATGGAAAGGGCATGAACTCGGGATAAAAAATACAAACAACAACAATAATACTATAACAAAGGAGAAATATGCACACCTGATGTCATAGGTTTTGTAAAGTAAGTAGAGTTTTTGTTTTAATACATAAATTCTATCCCACAAAATCTAACTTTGTACTGCTTAAGATAATAAATGACCAGTAAGAACATCAAGAAGCATAACTATCCTACAGCCTTTTATGCATAGGTAATAATTACAAATGGGTATGTGTGTGAAAAATATATTTTCAATATATTTTTAAAATTTCAAAACTTATGTTTCCATATGGGTAAGCTAAGTATCTTACACCAACTCTTTTACCAAGAGTAGACATTAGCCCTGGAATCTAGAAGAATCCAAAAATTAGATCAATTATCCTTCAAGTACGAGCAAAAAATCTAAAAAAGTTCCCTGATGATTCAAGGACTCACCATCCTCCACTGCCCCAAGGTCCTTGAAGTCACTTCCTTTCCCCAAAAGCCCAGATACCATTTTGAAGAAAAAGCAGAGAACAGGAATCTAAAAGACTGAGGTATTAAACCTATAGAAACTAATGATTTACTTGACTGTGCTGATTAAAATCTTTTAAGTTTCTAAGTTTGCTGGATTGGACTACATTTCATATATTTTTCCTCTAACACCAATCAACGGCATGTCTGTGAGGGGGAAAAAAAGCAAAGCTTCACACATCCAAGTTGCAGTACTATCAATTATGTGATCAGAATGAATTCAATAAGATAAATAAAACAAAAAGAAATAGATGAAAAGAAGAAAATGACAAGGAAAAGAAATGCAATTAATTCCCCGGGCCTTTTGATCCGTTATAATTTTATTTAACATACGTCTCATCTCCTACAAATTTCTGTCTCTACTTCAGAGTTGATGCTTTAACAGTTATTTTTATCTTCATGTATCCGATGGCCTTCCTCTGTTCACCTCACATTTCCTGTTATTTTGTGCTCTGTCACCTCTGGGTTTCAACAAATCCCCAAAGTTCCTCTCCCGTAACGCTTTCTCTTTGACTTCCTTATCTTCCCATGTCCTACCTGTACTATCAATGCCCAGTGATCAAGGTGTTACAGGTAGTTCAGCATGAACAGGGCAGAAGTGGGCTCCCCGCTCCACCCACTAGAAATATCGGGTGATGATTCGGCAATTATCGCATTGCCTCTCAAAGTGTTAAGTTGGCAGCCAGCTCCAGGGAGAGGCCATTTCCTGATGGTCCACACCTGTTAACATTAAAGTGTTAAAGGCAGGCCCAGGGAGAAGAAACTTCCTAGGCATGCACAGTGAGAGACAAAAATGGTGAAGTATGATCTTTCAGGTACACTCCACTGGAAAAAGGAAGAAAGCCTCAGGTGGGCATGCGTACAACTCCCTAAACACACTGCATGCTCACTTCCTGAGGGTAAGGAGTGCTCTGCGCATGCGGGCAGCCTGTCCAGACCAGCTCCATAGGGGAGACCCTAACCTAGCAGCGCTAGAGGAATTAAAGACACACACACACACAGAAATATAGAGGTGTGAAGTGGGAAATCAGGGGTCTCACAGCCTTCAGAGCTGAGAGCCCCGAACAGATTTACCCACATATTTATTAACAGCAAGCCAGTCATTAGCATTCTTTCTATAGATATTAAATTAACTAAAAGTATCCCTTATGGGGAACGAAGGGATGGGCCGAATTAATTGCAGCAGGAACACGCCCTTAAGACACAGATCCCTCATGCTAATTGTTTGTGGCTTAAGAATGCCTTTAAGCAGTTTTCCACCCTGGGCGGGCCTGGTGTTCCTTGCCCTCATTCCCATAAACCCACAACCTTCCATCTTGGGCATTATGGCCATTATGGACATGTTACAGTGCTGCAGAAATTTTGTTTATGGCCAGTTTTCGGGCCAGTTTATGGCCGGATTTTGGGGGACTTGCTCCCAACACAGCCCACCCTAGGGGAAGAATCACAGGAAAGAGGCACCTATAAAAGTCCTAGGGACACGGTTACACAGGGCACTTGATCTTCTCTTCTCTCTCTTGGACTTTCATGTGCCCAACTGAATCTCTTCCAAAAAGTTCTTTTCTGTTATAAAGCCTTTTTATTTATTTATTTATTTTTTCTTGTCTTAATTAGCCTTCTATTTTTTTTTTAATTATACTTTAAGTTTTAGGGTACATGGGCACAATGTGCAGGTTAGTTACATATGTATACATGTGCCATGCTGGTGTGCTGCACCCACTAATTCGTCATCTAGCATTAGGTATATCTCTCAATGCTATCCCTCCCCACTCCCCCCACCCCACCACAGTCCCCAGAGTGTGATGTTCCCCTTCCTGTGCCCATGTGTTCTCATTATTCAATTCCCACCTATGAGTGAGAATATGCGGTGTTTGGTTTTTTGTTCTTGCGATAGTTTACTAAGAATGATGATTTCCAATTTCATCCATGTCCCTACAAAGGACATGAACTCATCATTTTCTATGGCTGCATAGTATTCCATGGTGAATATGTGCCACATTTTCTTAATCCAGTCTATCATTGTTGGACATTTGGGTTGGTTCCAAGTCTTTGCTATTGTGAATAATGCCGCAATAAACATATGTGTGCATGTGTCTTTATAGCAGCATGATTAACAGTCCTTTGGCTATATACCCAGTAGAAATAATGCCACATATCTACAACTATCTGATCTTTGACAAACCTGAGAAAAACAAGCAATGGGGAAAGGATTCCCTATTTAATAAATGGTGCTGGGAAAACTGGCTAGCCATATGGAGAAAGCTGAAACTGGATCCCTTCCTTACACCTTATACAAAAATCAATTTCAAGATGAATTAAAGACTTAAACGTTAGACCTAAAACCATAAAAACCCTAGAAGAAAACCTAGGCATTACCATTCAGGACATAGGCATGGGCAAGGACTTCATGTCTAAAACACCAAAAGCAATGGCAACAAAAGCCAAAATTGACAAATGGGATCTAATTAAACTAAAGAGCTTCTGCACAGCAAAAGAAACTACCATCAGAGTGAAAAGGCAACCTACAAAATGGGAGAAAATTTTCACAACCTACTCATCTGACAAAGGGCTAATATCCAGAATCTACAATGAACTCAAACAAATTTACAAGAAAAAAACAAACAACCCCATCAAAAAGTGGGCGAAGGACATGAACAGACACTTCTCAAAAGAAGACATTTATGCAGCCAAAAAAACACATGAAAAAATGCTCACCATCAATGGCCATCAGAGAAATGCAAATCAAAACCACAATGAGATACCATCTCACACCAGTTAGAATGGCAATCATTAAAAAGTCAGGAAACAACAGGTGCTAGAGAGGATGTGGAGAAATAGGAACACTTTTACACTGTTGGTGGGACTCTAAACTAGTTCAACCATTGTGGAAGTCAGTGTGGTGATTCCTCAGGGATCTAGAACTAGCCTTTTTAATACACTTCCACTCCTGCTCTGGAACTCACCTGGGCCTCTTTTTCTACATGCTGCCTCTCAGTCGAATTATTTCTTCTGAGGAAGCAATGGCTGAAGTTGCTTCAGCTACGTACAGATTTGTTGCTGGTAACTTGGATCTCTTCCACGGGTAACAAACGGGCCTGTGCAGTGGCTTCCAGTCGATAATGTTCCAAGGAAAACAGGTTGCAAGGTTTCTCAAAAGTAATTTCTGCAACTTATGAGTGTGATATCAAAATAGGATATATTTTAATTTTGAGGGTTTTTTTTTTTTTTATGATTCTATTTCTCCAGTGGATTGGAATCAAGAATAGAGACTGCGGGAAAAGAAGCAAAACTGAAACCAACCCAATTGTCCCATCAACAGTTTTCTTATTTTGTTTTGATAAACATAGAAATTGACCCTTCTGGTCTTAAAGCATGAAACATATATTTGTTTTTTCTGAGTTCTTTCCTCAGGAAAGAACTTTCAGACCTCTCAGAAAAATTATGAAAGAACTGAAACTAACCAAATAATAATATCCATATAATGAGATGCCAGACTCCTCATTCATCACGACTGCTTCATGGCCCCTCACTAGTTTCTGTTTTCTTACACATTGTTACATTTCTTCCCTGCTATATAAACCCCTAGTTTTAGTTAGTCTCGGAGATGGTTTCAACTGAACTCCCATCTCCTCAGCTGCAGCACCCAATTAAAACCTTCTTCCCTGGCAATACACATCTTCTCAGTGACTGGCTTTCTGTGCAGCAAGCAGCAGGACCCAGACCAAACCCCTGGTGGTTTGGTAACAAATTAACCCTATTTGTCCATGCCCAATGTACAGCTAAGGAATTCCAAGAACCAGAAGTTGAAGGTCCAGCATGAGTTTGTTATTTTTCCACAAGTTATTTCAGTAAATTCAATAAAATATGTTATATATTTTCAATATATAATAAACCTCTTTATTCTTCAGTGGCCATTGACTCTACGCTTCACCTGAAACAGGAAATGGTAAGGTGGCCAGCAGAGAAAGAGAGTGTGAAATGAAACTAGAGAGATGAAATGGGCCAGATTACTAAAGATATTTTAGTTTGGGGGACTGTTTTCTCTAGACAAAAGGAGAGAAATAAAAGTCTTTTAAGGAAGAGAATGACATATTGTAATTGGCAATTAAAGCCATTGAGAGAACTTCTGCTGAAAGAAATCATGAAGGAGGTCAAAACCACTGCTCCATATGGAAAACAAGCCTATGGAAAGTAGTGTATTTGCATTGCTATGTGTGGAGGGCTAAGAGAGATACACTGGGCTTGGATCTGAAATGTATCTTCCCTAGAATTTTCAGTAATATTTTGTGATAGTTGTTATGGGATACTGTAAAATTTGAGCTTTATCTGGTTTCCTAATGCATAAAAATGCTGACTTTCATAATAGTAATATTTCAGTTTTGAAATATAAATCAGTATAATTACAGAATATATGTTCTTGTGTACACGTGTGGGTGTGTGTGGACCTTCATATGTGCATATATACATGGTATATATATATGCCTGTTTATGTGTATGTGTGTGTGCACATGGCGTTTGTGTGTTTGTGTATCTTTGGGAAGGGAATGATAGACCATCCAGTTGGAAACCTACCTGTGAAACCTTTAGTAAAGAGATTTCACTAGGTTTCTAGGTGGGAAATCAAACTAATAAAATCGTGACTTGGTTACTCAAACATAAGGGGTTCAGTTTCAGTGCTGCTGCTTGCCACACAGTAAGTCAATCACTGAGGTGCCAAGTATTACCAAGGAAGAAGGCTTTAATCAGATGCTGCAGCTGAGGAGATGGGAGCTCAGTCTCAAATCCATCTCCCTGACTAAACCAGGGATTTATATGGCAGGTGAGAAATGTAACAATGTATAAGAAAACAGGAACTAGGGAGTGGCAAGGAAGCAATCATGTTGAATGAGGTCTCCAGCATCTGATGAGATGATCTGGTTTCAGTTTTTTGATACTTTTTGTGAGAGGCCTGGAGGCCATTTCCTGAGGAAAGAATTCAGATAAAACAAATATAATCACACCTGTAATCCCAGCACTTTGGGAGGCTGAGATGGGAGGATCACGTGAGGCTGGGAGTTCAAGACCAGCCTGGCCAACATGATGAACTCTGTCTCTACTAAAAATACAAAAATTAGCTGGGCGTGGTGGTGCATGCCTGTAATCCTAGCTACCTAGGAGGCTGAGGCAGGAGAATTGCTTGAACCCAGGAGGCAGAGTTTGCAGTGAGCCGAGACTGTGCCACTGCAATTCAGCCTGGGCAAAAGACCAAGACTCTGTCTCAAAATAAATAAATAACTAAAAATAAAAACGAACATAAGTTTCAAGTTTTTCAGACTAGAAGGGTAAAATCTCTATGTTTACCGAAAAGAACAGTCTATGAGTCTATGGGACAATTGAGTCGGTTTCAGCCTGACTCAAAGATGGCCATGCCTTCTGTGTTTAGCACTTTTCTCATTAAAATTTGATACACGATTTGTGTGTTTTGCAATACGCTAACAGGTATCTATAGGCTTTGTAAGGAAGGCAAGGGAAAGGTCCCTTATTCTGCCAATGGATTCTGCACTTTAGTATCTCCAGATTGGTTCTCAGCAAAAACCTTTCAAACACACAGCCCATTGGAGGCTGTCTCAAAACTTGCAGCTAGAATTCACATATATCAGTGATCTTGTGGTTCTTTTGTAAAATTTCTGTGTATTTGTATACATTTGTATCTGAGTATAAGTACTCCCACAGCAGTATCCTCTTATTTTATTTTATTATTATACTTTAAGTTTTAGGGTACATGTGCACAATGTGCAGGTTACATATGTATACACGTGCCATGCTGGTGTGCTGCACCCATTAACTCGTCATTTAGCCTTAGGTATATCTCCTAATGCTATCCCTCCCCACTCCCCCCACCCCACAACAGTCCCCAGAGTGTGATGTTCCCCTTCCTGTGCCCATGTGTTCTCATTGTTCAATTCCCACCTATGAGTGAGAATATGCGGTGTTTGGTTTTTTGTTCTTGCGATAGTTTACTGAGAATGATGATTTCCAATTTCATCCATGTCCCTACAAAGGACATGAACTCATCATTTTTTTATGGATGCATAGTATTCCATGGTGTATATGTGCCACATTTTCTTAATCCAGTCTATCATTGTTGGACATTGATTTGGGTTGAAGAATTCTCAATCAACTACCTTTTTCTTTTTGCTGGAAGAATTACTGGCCTCTTCCCAAAAGGAATTGAAGAGTCTGCTCTGTAGCCTCCCCAAGCAGTGAGACTCGTAACATTTTTTCTTCTTTTCCTTGTGTGCCTAAACTATGTTTAGGGTAAAATTGTACACATATATGTAATAACTCTTACTACATATAAGAGTTATTATGTACAATATGTAAAATTGTATTATCTACAATATATAAAATTGTGTACAATTTTACCCTAAACATAGTTTAGGCACACAAGGAAAAGAAGAACAAATGTTATGCGTCTCACTGCTTGGGGAGGCTACAGAGCAGACTCTTCAATTCCTTTTGGGAAGAGGCCAGTAATTCTTCCAGCAAAAAGAAAAAGGTAGTTGATTGAGAATTCTTCAGCCCAAAGCATCGTTGAAAAACATTCCTCAGTGCAATGACAGCAGAAAATTTCAGGCTCTGAGGTTAGGTCTTTAAGTAATATAAATGCAAAAATTACAGTTATATAATACAATCCAAAAATAATGTAATTCAGGACTTGCATATGGTAGTGAATATCCAGAAAGTGAAGGAGGTGAGGCACAGAGAGAACTACCTTTCACAACCACACTAAAATCACTTTTCATTTTTCTTCTAAACTTCACTTAAAGAAGAATAAAAAATAAAACATTTTCAAGTAGATTTTGGCATAAAGCCAGTTCTTAAAAAAAAAAATCTCAGTTCTGTTCTGGTCAGATTGATTATCAGAAAGTCGGCTTCCAACTTGATGAGATTTATGCTTACTTTGCTTTGAAAATTGACCTTTTCATTAAACAAAGCTTTACAAAGACCAAATAAGTCCTTATAAACTTTGTTTCCAATGCATCATCACACATGTGACTTGTCTGCAAATAAGAATTCTGCATTCCTAGGGCCCAGTTCTCTTTTATTTATACCTTTGATCTCAGCACATTTTCTCTGGAGGTCTCCAAATACTACTGTCCTTATTGGATCTTACCCTAATGCTGCCTAATGCCGCCAAATGCCCATGTCCTACAGTCAACTGTTCCAGTGGGAAAATAATATTTACTTCTTCCTTTACAAGTGGCCACTCAGAACTGACCCATGACAGTATTCTTCATCATCTTCCCTTTGTAAACCTCCTGCATCCATAAGTCAATTTCTTTAGGATGAAACTTTAATGAACTAAAATATCACAAATGGCTGTTATCCTGTATCTGCTATATTTGTCGTCCATTTCTCAACTTGGTCTTTACAGTTCACATTTATTCATGATTAATGTGTTTCCAGTTAGTACTAGTAGAAAAAAATTCCATTTCTTCATGGTTCACTAGAGAAGATTATAAACCTTCTAACTTAAAATTATGTTCATATTGAAATTCTGCCCAAATACAAATCCCAGATAAAGCTTCACATGTCCTGTTATGTTCTTCCTTGGTGACCTCAGCCTACAGAAATTTGTGTTTTCTCCAAGTGTCTTTTGCATTTATGGCTCCCAGCATAAACTTAATCACACATATTTAAACTCTACAGTTGTTCTCTGTGTAAATTATTGCCTCAGCAGTGCTTAATCTCCTTGTCGGTAGGATCTATATTATCCTTCCTCTGTATCCCATGAAGTGCCTAGAATACTACTCTGTAGGGGTCAAAAGTGTTGATAGATTTGACTTTGTAATGTCATAAATGGGAAATTATAAAGAATATTTTATCTCTTCAATTGTTAGATTTCAAGAGTTGGGTTCTTTCTAAACTAAACTCCTGGAAATCAGAGAAAATGTAACCTGTTGACAGACTCACTCAGCATCCATCTCGGTGCCTTATTAGTTAGAATGCAATCTCAGTGAAGCCAGGGATGTTGACCCTCCTGTTCACCCCTACAAGATGGCACACAATTTGGGTCCTAGACAAGTGCACGTTGAATGAAAAAAAGTGAGTTGTACCAAATAATTTCTGGGATGTTTTCCTAGCCCATATTTCTCTTTTTGAAAACATGCTATGTGGTTTGTTGGTCCCTAAAAAACTCATGTTAAAATCTTGCTCCCAGATTGGTAGTGTTGGGAGGTTCAGCCTACATGGAGGCGTTTGGGTTATGGAGTAGATCTTGCATCAGTGGCTTGCTGCTGTTCTTACTCTTGCAAGACTAGATGAGTTCATGGGACTGGATTAGTACTTGCCAGAAGGGGTTGTTATAAAGCTGGGATACCCCTCAAGTTTTCCTCTTTTCACATGCATCCACCTCCCCTTTGGCCTTCTGTGTCATGTTGTGACACAGCAAAAAGGCCCATGCCAGAAGCCAGGGCCATGCCTACAAACTTCTCAGCCTGCATAACCATGAGTTCCATAAACCTCTTTTAAATAAATTATGCAGTCTTGGGTATTCTGCTATAGCAACACAAAGCCAGTTAGGACAGAACACTACTTCCCTCACCAAAGGTGAGCCCCATAAGCAGAGAAAGCCCCTTTTATTTTTGTCATAACTGATTAGAATTTTAATACATGCTTGACCTAAACCAGTCAGTCAGATTCCCCCTTATTCTTGTTGAACTATTAACTTGGGGCACTGGAGTACATAATAGGGATGAAAGCTGACAGTAGAAGTGAATTGCAGGGCTGGAAGAACCACATGCTGCCATAGATACCAACGGCATAGCTCTCAGGTACCAGAAGGAGAAGACAAAGCTGATCTGCAGAGAAAGGTGAAGGAGCAAATCAAGGGGAAGAGACTCATAGGGCAAGAATAGACAAGCTTTGCCCCAGGGCTCTTGTCTGGTCCTGCCTCTGATACCTCAGGAGTTTGACTCATCCCCTGCCCTTAGTTTCCATGAATCACTCCTGGGCAGTCACCAGCCATCTCTCAGGGTTTCCTATTATTATGTCACCAAACATATTTTATGAACTCAAAATATTCAATAAATATGTGTAATAGAGATTGAATTGAGAGGACCATAAAGGTGCTTCTAAGTAATAGACAGAGGACTTGAACCCTGCTGTCAGTTGCACCATAGGTTGTGACTGAGTGCAAGTTAAGAATGCTGAACCAGATTACATTCATGGATGCTTCTACCTCTCAATTTCTGTCATCTGCCAGGTACCAGTCATTCCAATGAAAATGATTATATTCAATTCACCAAATATTTACATTCACCAGTTCACCGAAACTATTACATTCAATTCCCCAAACTATTTACATTCAATTCACCAAATATCCAGACATTTCATCACATGTGAGGATATATCTAGGCATTTATAGCATTTTTTAGTTTTCACTTAGTTTAAATTAAATTGGTGCAGTTTCTTTTCAAATCCATTTGTAGCTCTTCACATTCATATATCACCAGATTTTATTTCCTTTATTCTGGGATCTTTCCAAAGAAAATGAAATCAAAAGTATGTTTAAATAGGCTTTTCTAATCCATGTGCATGGAACACCTGTCTTTTTTACATCTGTAGAAGGCTCTCTCATTAACAATTTAGTGTTGTGATTTTATGATTTTTTTCTTCTGAACATATTAAAGCAGCTTTCTTAACAACATTTACAAGATTTTCTGGGCATATGTAAGTGTAAAAAACATGCTACAGGCCTTGATAGAAATTAATACAGACCCAAGGGACAGAAAGAATGGTGCATAGCAAAACAAACAAACAAACAAACAAAAGATATTTATATCACATCCAACTCTAATATTTCAATGAACTTTTATATAATTACTTCTATGTAGTTGAATGCTAGTTTGTAAGATGGACTTATAGTTGTTAAAGACTGAGAAAAAAACACATTTTGAACTCATAACTTTTTCTATTCTTTGTCTTAAGCAGCTGCAAAATGTGTTTGCTAGCCCTAATTAAATAGTATGTATAAAACTATATTTGTTACATAGCAACACCGTCTGCTTAAACTAAAAAATACATATACATATCTGTGCCTATATGTGTGTGTGTGTGTGTGTGTGTGTATATAAATATATCCAATATTCTCTTATAACTTGGTCCAAGTCCAAAATATTAGTTTTGTTGATGTAGTTATCTACAATATGATTACATCATATGTTCCTCCAGGAAAACTCACGTTAGAAAGATGGCAGAATCCTCTTTCTGACCCTGAGTTCATGCCTCAATGTAGCATAGTGGCCTATTTCATAGCATGCTGGCATTCATCCTGGTACAGGGGACCATCCACCCTTGTCCTCAGATGCACACAGGCAGGCAGGGAGCCTATACATATTCATAGGTCAATCTCTCCCTGGTGGGACCCAACCCATCTGAGTATCCAGACTCATTTAAATGGAGCAGAATAGTTTCATGAATGGCCAGCAGGAAGGGGGAGAGAAGAACTGGCTGACAACCATGGGAAGGGAGGAAAACCAAGAGCTTTGTTAAAATGAGGACTCAAAGAAATCAACAAACGTGCAAAAAAACAACAAATAGTTTAGTTTGACTCTGTTAGATGTTGCATGAAATGATGAATGGGAATTAAATCTAGAAATTTAGATCAGAACCAGATTATAGATGGCATTGATTACCAGGCTAAGGAAACCAAATCTCAAACCACTGATGATTTCCAAGCAGAGAATTGACTTAGAACAATGGAAACGGGAATGGCAATATTAAATCCTATTATCATGTCATAATCATTTACACTAGGCAGAATACTGCATGGAAAATAAAGATTAGTAAGGCATCATATTTGCCTTCAGGAAGAAAAAAGTCTACATGTATACAACATAAAATAATGAATAAATATCCTCATACTAGAAAGTAGAGAGGATTAACTTCTTAAGGAAGGACAGGAGTGCTATGGGGGTCATGTCAGTCCTATAAATTCTTTGCTGCTGTATCCTTTTTCTTCCATTAATTGACTCTGACCCTCTATTAATTCAGTCCTACTTCCAGTCTTCAGAAACAAATATGATTTCAAATAAAAATTATTGAACCAACTTTTACCCAATACTCTGAAGCTTAGCAAAAATCACCTTTACCACCCACATCTAATAATAGCAAACATCCCTTGAGCATATGCTAGATGGCAGGCATATTTCTAATCATTTCATAAGCCTCGTCTCATCCAATCTTTCCAAAAGCACTACCTGGTAAGTTCTGTTACCATTTCCTGAGGCTGAGAGATATAAAAGAAGATGCCCAAGGCTACCGAATTTATATTCCTTGCTCCTAGTCAACACATACACTGCATATGACATAATTTGAAAATCAGCCTCTGACCTGGAGTCAAAAGCCCTCACATTGTTCCCAGTGTCTGCCTTTTCTTTGAGATCTTGTCCTCACATTGTGCTCACATTTTCTTACATAGGTTCTGTCTTGTCTTGCCTGCTGTAGTCCCTGTAGCAAGACAGTCAATGTCTCAGAGAAAGACAGCTTCATCAGCCTAGCTCTGGGAACAAGGGGATGTGGGGTAAAATCAAAGCTGACCTGTAATAGAGGCTCAGAACCAGATTCAGATATCTCTGTCTCCACACTGGTTCTTTCTCAGTCCCTGAGGCATATACACTCCTCACAACACCAGTATTTACCTTAAGTGTACTAGATGCAGGCCACATTCCCAGGAAATTGACCCTGAAATGCTTGGATTGGTGCATGGAGAGCTTATTGGGAAGTCACCTTTGGAAAAAAACCTAAATCCTTTTACCATGTCATAATCATGGGTGAGGAAATGACGGGTGAGGGAAGCGAAACTCGGCAATGCAGAAATTGAGTTCTGATGCGCATCTCTTCAGATTACCTAGTTGTGAACCTGGATCTAGAAGGCCCTTTAGAATTCTCCCAGTTGAGACAAGAGGGCAGGAGATTTGCATGCCCATTCCACTGGCTTGTCATTGGACACAGGCTACCCCATTAGGTAAGGCAGCTTCCTCAGCCAAGGTTAATTCCTGGACAAGGACTTAATCTTTAACCATCTGAGGCAATACTCCCTGTAGTTGGGGCAATGGTTGATCCATTCTAAAGTGGGTTCTAGACAATACACACCACTATTGACCTTAGCCCCTCATCGTGATTTCCATCCATCTTGAAAAAGCTTCTGGTTCATCTCTTTTCCTACAAAAACTTAAATAAAGGAAGGTTAGCTGGCCAATCACATCCACTCCCACTGCAGCTGGTCTTAGGGTCACAATGGGTACTCATCATCTCTCTGCTACTACCCATGCTATATTTCCCAGATCTTTGTCTAAGGACTTGAAGGGCTTTGGGAACATATCTGATGTTGTGAACCAGACCCTTATTTCCAAGGGCAATGCTTTCCTGTCCACCTTGTCCTTCTCCAGGTGCACGTGATGAAATTTCAGTGGGTTCCTCAACTTGATATTGTGGAGAGCTCTGGAGCTGGAAATTCCTTGGCTTGCTTCAACTGAGGCAAGGAAGCCATGTCTTTTTACTCCCACATCAAGTTATTGATTATAGGCTGCCCCCAGGAAGGAGGCATAAAATCAGGCAAAGCACTTTCCTTTAGCTGAGAATAGTTCCTAAAGAAACTTAAACTGTAGGCAGTCAGCTACAAAACAAGATAGACAAGAAAAGCAGTTGTGAGACTGACTGCCTAATTCCCAAAGCAAAATGTGGTTGGCACACAACAGGGTTCAAGGGGTTCTGGGTCTGTAAACTGGCTCTAGTCCAAAAATTAATTGAGGGGCTGTGATTCTCTGTTTTTATAATTCAAATTAGTCTTTTGTCCATTCGACCTAGAAGTTTTCTCCTTATATAAATTAAGTAGGAATGCAGCAGGCTTCCTGTCAATTTCACTTCTAGGAACACCATTATTAATTAGCCAATGCCAGAGCTCTACATGAGTCAGACTATTCTGATTGCAGCTTTCCCTCTGCTGGCCATTACAGTAGTAGCTGTGCCCACCTTGCCTTTGACAGTTAAGTGCTGCCACTTGGCCCCTGCCACCTGGGGATCCAATTATTCCCACTGTATTTAAATTTTGTAGTTTTGTGACTGAGATTCCCACTGTTAGATCTGACATACAAAGAAGAGCAATTACAGGGCTCTTCAAAGATGCAGGTGCTGCCCTCACAAATCTATTTCACAAGGCATTGGTCAAAGATATCTCTTCTGGACCCTCCCAGCTGGGATGAGTAGGTCTAAAGTGACTAATCCACTTCACCGTCCCAATCTCCCTCAGCCTTTAGATCTCTTCCTCTACATTAAACCAAGGGAAATCAGGCATTTCCAGCTCACTCACAGTGGGCCACCTTTTAATCCGTATTTCAGATAACCAAGCAAATAAGCTATTGGAACTTTTTCTAACTTCCCGAGCTGCAACATTAAATGCAGAGTCCATACTTAGTGGGCCCAAATCAATAAATTCGACCTGATCCAACTCTATGTTCCTTCCACCATTATCCCATACCCTTAATATCCATTCCCGTGCCTGTTCTCCAGATTTCTGTTTATATAAATTAGAGAAGTCAAGCAGTTCTTTTCTAGTGTAGCCCACCTCCTCATGGGTCACACTCACAACTTCACCTCTAGGGACCTGCCGGAACGTTAGTCTAGTTTTAGGTCTAGAAGCCAACAGGGGTGTTGGGGGTGGCTCCTGAGGAGAATCAACATTATTTTGCCTGGCAGCTGCTTCAGAAGAGGTCATCACTGTTGCCTCAGGCAGCACAGGGTTTATCTCTTCAGACAAACGCAGAATAGTTAATGGCAGCATGGGTGGAGGAGGGGATGTTGCCACTACTGAGGATGGGGAAGCTGTTCCTTCTGGCAAAAAAGATTCATCAGGGCTTGCAAACTCAGTGTCCCCAGCTTCATCAGGGTCCTCCCAGATGTCCCCATTTCAAGTTGCATGGTCCCATTCTTTTCCAATCAATGTCCTCACTTTAACAGTAGACACCTGGTGAGGTTGTGCATGCACCTGTCATTGCAGGTCAGCCACTCACATAAGAGCTTGAGTCTGTTTTTCCATGATTTCTGCTCTTTCTCGACAGGAGATAAGACTTAGGGCAATCATAGCAGATTTGAGGCTTAGTATCTGCTTTTGAAGCTGGGAGACAGAATCCCTGAGTTCATTATTTTCTTTCATCACTCTCTCCAGTGAACTTGGGAGCAACCAACCAGCTTCATTATGTTCCTTGGTTCTCCACATATGATCAAAGGTATTATGTATAGAGTCACTAAACTGCTTGCCCCTCATGAGGGGTGAATCAGGAGTATCAAATGCATTTATTTTGCATAACTCTCTAAAATCATCATGCCAAGGACTATCAGTGTTCTCCATATTATTAGAAATAGAATTTTTAGCATTTTTGGCTCTAATCATATTAAGCAGCCAACTCCAGAAACCCTAAAGTCAATGAAAGAACTCCATTTTTCATATTCTGTTCCTCTAGAACCACTCCTGATACCAAAATCTGTATTAGTCAGGGTTCCCTAGAGGTACAGAACTAATAGGAGATAGACAGACAGACAGACAGACAGACAGATAGATAGATAGATAGATAGATAGATAGATAGATAGATTTCTATCTATCTATAAAGGGGAGTTTATTACGCATTAATTTATATGATCACGAGGTCCCACAATAGGCTGTCTGCAAGGAGAGCCAGCCTGAGTCTCAAAACTGAAGAACGTGGAGTCTGATGTTCTAGAGCAGGAAGCATCCAGCATAGGAGAAAGATGTAGGCTGGGAGGGTGGGCCAATCTCACCTTTTCATGGTTTTCTGCCTGTTTTATATTCACTAGCAGCTGATTTGATTGTGCCCACCAGATCAAGGGTGTGTCTGCCTTCCCCAGCCCACTGACTCAAATGTTAATCTCGTTTGGCAACACCCTCACAGACACACCCAGGATTAATACTTTGCATCCTTCAATGCAATCAAGTTGACACTCAGTATTAACCATCACAATAAGCAAGGAAAAAATATTGGAGGAAAGATCTTCTCAAAATTATAAGACATATGAAGACATATATGACTGCTTATTTATAAAGCCATATCACAGTAAAATTTCCCAATTTTAGTCAATAGCTATCTACTTACTGACCACAATGAATAGAATATTGTGTATAGACAGGCACCAAAGTGCAGAACACTAAATCTTCGCTTTAACAAGCCTCATTATATGGAAAGAATACATTAATTTATTCAATCAATTTGTGTTGACTTGTGTTCAAACATCTGTCACTGTATAGACAATTTAGGTGACACAGAACTAAGCACATGACCTCTAAGTTTATGATTAATTGGGATAGTGAGGAAGATATAAAATGAATTATATTAAATGAGACACAGAAATGGGTAGTACAGAAAATATACCAAAAAAATGTTGAGAGGAATTCATTTCAAATTTGAAGCCATTTGTGTCATATTTCACATCTGTTATCGGTACCCATCAGAAACATTTCTAGAAAGAAATTCACAGAGAGCTATGGGATGCAATAACCAACAAAGATGATCACATAGGCATATGGGTAAGCAGCTCATGAAGACTGAAATCAATACCAGAACTTGAAGTAAACAGGCTTAGAAAAGAACACGATGGGGGCAATCAGAAAATAATGCCTCCTAAGCAAAAAGAAATGATGTTTTTTAATATTTATATATGTGTGTGTGTGTGTGTGTGTGTGTATATATATATTTGTTTGCTTTGTCTCTATTGATAAATGTTTGGCAGTTTTCAAATGGTTTAAGATACCAACCATCTGAAATATAGGTCACTGACAATAGGTGAGCCAGAAAATCAATATACTACATCTAAGGAAGAATTGATTTGTTTAAAAGGAAAGAATACAACTCAACCAAAAGTAAATAGAAAATGAATCTTACACTTTACCCCACAGATGAAAATATATAAACTCTGAAACCACACACACAAAAACTATTACTAAAAGAATCTCTTGCAAGTTTAAGTCTGAGATATTCTTGTCCAGGGACTGATAATAATGAATTGTTCTGTATTTTATTTGCTTTTTCCCTAGTTGTTATACTCCATCTTCACAGGTAGTTATTAATGCAGTAGAGTGCAGATTATATATGTTTCAAATAATGAAGTGTGAATTATCAAGGACAAAAATCAATATTTCTATAGAAAATATGCATCTTTATTACATACCTAAAATGGTGCATTTAGCCCTTAAAATGGTAATGATAAGCATGTGATTTTATTTTCTGTTAATGTTATTGTATTCTTTTTAAAGTCAGTGTTCTTTTGTTTGTTTTATTGAATCTTATTGGAATTTCTTTTATTTAATAGATTTGGTCTTGTCTGGACAGAATAATCAATAACTTGATTCAAACATTGATCATATTTTAGTTCTTGGGATAAATGAAGAGTTCATGAGTATCCACCATATGTTTATAATTAAAACTAACATATGTGGCTAGCCAGTTTTCCCAGCACCATTACCATTTACAAAGAATAGGAGATCCTTTCCTCATTGCTTGTTTTTGTCAGGTTTGTTGAAATCAGATGGTTGTAGATGCACAGTGTTATTTCTGAGGTCTGTGTTCTGCTCCATTGGTCTATATGTCTGTTTTGGTACCAGTACCATGCTGTTTTGGTTATTGTTCCCTTGTAGTATAGTTTGAAGCCAGGTAGCATGATGCCTCCAGGTTTGTTCTTTTTGCTTAGGATTGTCTTGTCTATACAGGGTCTTATTTGATTCCATATGAAATTTAAAATAGGTTTTTTCTAATTCTATGAAGAATGTCAATGGTAGTTGGATGAGAGTAGCAACGAATCTATAAATTACTTTGGACAGTATGGCCATTTTCATATTGATTCTTCCTATCCATGAGGATGGAATGTTTTTCCATTTGTTTGTGTCCTCTCTTATTTCCTTGAGCAGTGGTTTGTAGTTCTCCTTGAAGAGGTCCTTCACATGCCTTGTTACCTGTATTTCCAGGTATTTTATTCTCTTTGTAGAGATTGTGAATGGGAGTTCATTCATGATTTGACTCTCTGCTTGCCTGTTATTGGTATAAAGGAATGCTTGTGATTTTTGCACATTGATTTCGTATCCTGAGACTTTGCTGAAGTTGCTTATCAGTTGAAGAAGTTTTGGGGCTGAGATGATGACATTTTCCAAATATAAAATCAAGTCATCTGCAAACAGAGACAACTTTACTTCCTCTCTTCCTATTTGAATACGCTTTATTTCTTTCTCTTGCCTGATTGCCCTGGCCAGAACTTCCAATACTATGTTGAATAGGAGTGGTGGTCCTTGTCTTGTACTGGTTTTCAAAGGGAATGCTTTCAGCTTTTTCCCATTCAATATGATATTGGCTGTGCATTTGTCATAAATAGCTCTTATTATTTTGAGATATGTTTCATCAATACCTAGTTTATTGAGAGTTTTTAACATGAAAGGATGTTTAATTTTATCAAAGGCTTTTCTGAATCTATTGAGATAATCATGAGTTTTTGTCTTTGTTTCTGTTTATGTGATGAATTACGTTTATTGATTTGTATATGTTGAACCAGCCTTGCACCCAAGGGTTGAAGCCAACTTGATCGTGCTGGATAAGTTTTTTGATGTGCTGCTGTTCTCGATTTCCCAGTATTTTATTAAGGATTTCCGCATTGATGTTCATCAGGGATATTGGCCTGAAATTTTCTTTTTTTGTTGTGTCTCTTCCTGGTTTTGTATCACGATGATACTGGCTTCATAAAATGAATTAAAACTGGACATCTTCCTTAAACCTTATACAAAAATTAAATCAAGATGGACTAAAGACTTAAATGTAAAATGAAAAGCCATAAAAACTGCAAAAGAAAACCTAGGCAATACCATTCAGCACATAGGAATGGGCAAAGACTTCATGACAAAAACACCAAAAGCAATTGCAACAAAAGCCAAAATTGACTAATGAGATCTAATCAAACTAAAGAGCTTCTGCACAGCAAAAGAAACTACCATCAGAGTGAACAGGCAACCTTCAGAATAAGAGATAATTTTTGCAATCTACCCATCTGACAAAGGTCTACTAATGTCCAGAATTTACGAGGAACTTAAACAAATTTACAAGAAGAAAAAAGAAGCCCCATCAAAAAGTGGGCAGAGGATATAAACAGACACTCCAAAAAGAAGTCATTTATGCAGCCAACAAACATATGAAAAAAAGCTCACCATCACTAATCATCAGAGAAATGCAAATCAAAACCACAATGAGATATCATCTCATGCCAGTCAGAAAGGTGATTATCAAAAAGTCAGGAACCAATAGATGCTGGTGAGGCTGTGGAGAAATAGGAACACTTTTACACTGTTGGTGGAAATGTAAATTAGTTCAGCCATTGTGGAATACAGGATGGTGATTCCTCACGGATCTAGAACCAGAAGTACCATTTGACCCAGCAATCTCATTACTGGATATATACTCAAACGAATATAAAGTATTCTACTATAAAGACACATGCACACCCATTTTACTGAAGCACTGTTTACAAGATCAAAGACATGGAATCAACCCAAATGCCCATCAATGATAGACTGGATAAAGAAAATATAGTAAATATACACTACGGAATACTATGCAGTCCTAAGAAGGAATGAGATCATGTCCTTTGCAGGCACATGGATGAAGCTGGAAGCCATCATCCTCAGCAAACTAACACAGGAACAAAAAACCAAACACCACATGTTCTCACTTTTAAGTGAGAGCTGAGCATTGAGAACACATGGACACAGAAAGGGGAACAACACACACCAGGTCCTGTTGGGGGGTGAGCGGTGAGGGGAGGAAACTTAGAGAATGGGTCAATAGGTGCAGCAAACCACCATGTCACATGTATTCCTATGTAACAAACCTGCACATTTTCCATATGTATCCCTTTTTTTTGGAAGAAATAAAAAAAACCAACATATATATTAATTATACTTATATTTAAACCAACATATATATTAATTATAAACATACACTATAAATATGTTTATATATAATATGTATTGTTTCATTGTAAACACTATATATATATATATATATATATATATATATATACACACACACACTCTTTTCTGATGTAAAAATATTGGAAAACATAATTCAAATGAGTAAGTTTAAAAGCAACAAAGAAACGTGAGTTGAACTGAGTCTACTATTACTTTTGTCTTCCGACCAAGTATACCCATATCCAAAGTTTTCTAGTTACATTTTTCTCTTCTAATTTATTGAAGCATCCAGAGATTCTATCATACCTTCAACCTTGAGAAGAAATATCTGAGCAGCTAGCCTAGATGTAAAATACAACAGGGTGCAAACTGTACTCTTCACTGGGAGTACCTCAATTCTGGAGAAAATTTTTAAATGTATTTGTAAAAGTGTTTATGCGAGGTTAAATGCTAAGGAAGAAAAGCAGTTAGCATTAAAATCACTCAGCTCATGTTTGATATTTCTGTAATAAAGGATGATTATCCTTGACTTTAGATTACGTATCATGATTATAACTTTCATAATATAACTATTCACAAAATTCTCCAAATTAGCCAGGCTTCTCAAACAAATCTAAAATTTGAATCTATATTGCCTTCTCTTGCTTGAATGTCCTGATTACAATCAGCAAATCTCAAATACTTTCCTCAGTTCTAAGTTGAATGCTACATACATTTTATACTAATTATGACTTTAAAATTTAACTATAATTCAAGAGACAACTAAAGAAAAACAAAGCAGCACTTTTGTGAATGTCTCATTAATTTTAATTAAATTTTTAAATTTACCCTTCCATCCTACATTTATAGCAAAATTACAAAGCTTAAAGCTTTTAAGCCCTGTCTACTTGAGTAAGTGAGAGTTAGCCTTGTTCTATGATGATACTTGGTTGAATTCTGGGAGCATGGAGGGTGGGGAATTGACTGTTTTCCAGAAAACACTGATGTCCCTATTTCTTTCATAGTAAGTTCTCTTCCAGAAGTTTTCTACAACTGAGGTGACAGTTGCCTAAGGATACAGCAGGTCTTCCCTTTATATCATAAGTCTTTCACTCATGGAGCATGTAGTTATGGTGGATGCAAGAGTGGGCTACTAGTAGGTAGGGCTAGGCCAGGAATGGTCAAGTTCAGTGGCCCTCTGTAACTTCTACTGCCTTCTATGAATTCTCAGTTCTACTCACAGTTTCTACCACTTCCAGTAACTTGGTAGCTTTTTCTCTGAATCATTGTCTCTACAAAACCTTAGCTCATTGTTAACCAATGTTAGGCAAGAATTTACTAAATATTCACTCGTCAATACCTCCATGAAATCTTTAACAAACTAACCTTAAATCCTGATTACTCCTTGCCATAGTAATGTCTAACAGAAATTTGAAAGTAGTCTTCACCAAGCAAAGTTTTCATTATCTCAAGCCCATGCTATCTAAAATCTAGCTGTATGTGAAGATGAAGACTAAATATCATAAGTTAAGAACATCCAGTAGTAGAAATAACAAGAAAAGAAAATGAAAGAAATCAAATTAAGGTGCAACACAATCTATGTAATTTGACTATAATTTGACTATGTGTGTGTGTGTATATATATACACATACATACATCCTCATGAAAAACATAAAAGAATGTGTCAGAACATGATTTTTTTGTTGTTGTTTTTTTTTTTGAGACAGAGTTTTGCTCTTGTTGCCCAGGCTGGAGTGCAGTGGCACAATCTCGGCTCACTGCAACCTCCGCCTTCCGGTTTCAAGCGATTCTCCTGCCTCAGCCTCCTGAGTAGCTGGGACTACAGGCACCCACCACCACTCCAGGCTAATTTTTACATTTTTAGTAGAGATGGGTTTTCACCATTTTGGCCAGGCTGGTCTCGAATTCCTGACCTCATGATCCACCCACCTCGTCCTCCCAAAGTGCTGGGATTACAGGTGTGAGCCACCATGCCTGGCCCAGAACATGATTTTTTAAATTAGTATTCTTATTATTTAAACTCATGTGAAATTCAGGTAAATTTTATGTAACTAAAACTAGAAGTCTGAATGTTTTGTGAAGCATGGAATGAATTATTAGGCAAATAACAAAAGCTGGAGAAACTCAGTGTGTAGACGATCTTGTTCTAAAGCCTTAAACAACACATTTCATGCTACTTAGCTCCCAATACTAAAGTGAAAAAGTCAAGTATTGTTTTTCCCAGCCTACCTTGCAGCTAAAGGTGGCCAAGTAATCCAGTTTTTACTCATGATATTTGATGTGAGATAATGCTTTTGATAGGAAAGGGGAAAAGAAGCTGTCAAGGTACTTCCTCCTGAACCCTTCTTCCTGCTTAAATACAGAGATGATTATTGAAATTACAGAGATAAGGCCAGGCGTGGTGGCTCATGCCTGTAATCCCAGCACTTTGGGAGGCTGGAGTGGGTGGATTACCTGAGGTCAGGAGTTTGAGACCAGCCTGGCCAACATGGTGAAACCCCATCTCTACTAAAAATACAAAAATTAGCTGGGTGTGGTGGTGTGTGCCTCCACGCCTGGCTAATTTTTATATTAGCTACTCAGGAGGCTGAGGCACAAGAATCGCTGGAACTCAGGAGGTGGAGGTTGCAGTGAGCCAAGATCTCACCACTGCACTCCAGCCTGGGCGACAGAGCAAGGGAGAGACTCTGTGTCAAAAAAATATATATATAGGAATTACAGAAATATTGGCTATTACATCATTAAGCCACTGAATCAAAGCAAACAATTTCCTTCTGGTGGACTTCTTATATAAGAAACATACATGTTACATTTGCATAAGCCATTATTGCTTATTGTAGCATTTTCTTTTTTCTTTATTTCAAATACATGTTGCTTAAGTGAATCTTTGAATTACACTGCTGAATTTTCTTATTACTCTTGTACAAAATATACAGACTGATAAATGATAAATAGATGGATAGACAGACAAATAGTCTGATAGAAAATAGATGCATAATGTATCAACACTATAAAGGGAATAGTGTGTGAGTTCGAACAGCCTGGCTTTAATTCCCTGTTCCATTACTTAATATTTGTGCAACCTCGAATGAATTTGTTTATCGCTCTGTGCTTTAGTTTCCTGTATTTAAAATGCATTTTCTTAAAAATAAATTAAAAATGCATCTTATGACAGTTATTATTCAGTTATTTTAAGGCTCATAAGAATGAATACATACAACACTAAAACTTAGTAAGCATTAAACCAAAGGCAACAGTAGCACACTGAGTCTTAATTTTTCTCTGATGACATACAATGTAAGATAATAGAAGTGCACATTTAAATAAAACACACATTTGAATTAGAATATTCAGAATCAATCATTGGGCTCCTACAGAAAGAGATGAATAGTTAAAATTTCTCTAATACTTTAGCCTTGTCATCAATTTCATATTTTTTTCTTTTCGCTCTGTTCCTATGGCTCTTCTGATGACATTAAACCATCTTCCCCTCTCTGCCCCGATATCATTCTTCCCCTTTTCTCAGGACCCTGGAGGATTAGCTTGAGCTTGTCAAGGAAGGTTTCCAAAACATATAGTTTTAAAATATGCTAAATATAGATGTTTAAGATAATCCAGTAGTCTTTTTTTCTCTACATTTCATTGTTCTTAGCTTAGAGCTATCTTTTAGCTTAAGCTCTCTGTTAGGGAATGAGGAGAGTCAAAGAACTACTACTTGTCTGCATCTGAGATCTGAAGCATCTTGAATAACTCAAAAGGGAAATGGAGTTGAAAAACCAGAGTACCTCTTTTATTAATGATAAACAGGCATCAAAAGAACCTAGAATAGAGAGAGTTACTCAAGCATCACTGGGCCTCTTGGGGCTGACACTAAATTTAAAGTAAAAAACGATAGAGATGGACACATGCTCTATGAGTAGTATTTATGAGGGTGGGACCTGAGTTCTCTATGCTCAGTTTCTTCTTGCACACGCCTCATCAGATTACGACCTTCCTCATTCCCCAGGGAGCCATGACTTAGGAAGTGAACAGGAGACTACAACGCCGTGTGAGCTGTCCTCCCTGACTAGAGGAATGCCATGCTAGCTGTCCTGTCTGAAAACCTACCAGTTGCAAGGAAACGTTACAAGAGGAGACAAAGCCTTCACCCTCAATGCTGGTTCAAGTTGTACCTCTCTTACTTGATATTAAGGGCCCTAAATATTTCCTAAATGAATGACTTCTTTCTTTCTTTCTTTCTTTTCTTTCTCTCTCTTTTTTTTTTGGACGGAATCTTGCCCTGTCGCCAGGCTGGAGTGCAGTGGTGTGATCTCAGCTCACCGCAACCTCCACCTCCCAGGTTCAAGTGATTCTCCTGCCTAGGCCTCCCAATTAGCTGGGACTATAGAAGTGCACCACCACACCCAGCTAATTTTTGTATTTTTAGTAGAGATGGGTTTCACCATATTGGCCAGGATGGTCTCAATCTCTTTACCTCGTGAACTACCCACCTTGGCCTCTCAAATTGATGGGATTACAGGTGTGAGCCACCGCACCCGGCCTGAATAACATATTTCTAATTCATTGTTTTCTTCTTGGCTGTGGTAGGTATAATCGATGCAAAATAATTAATTAAGATTATTGGCCAGGCGTGGTGGCTCACGCCTGCAATCCCAGCACTTTGGGAGGCCGAGGCGGCTGGATCACAAGGTCAGGAGATCGAGACCATCCTGGCTAACATGGTGAAACCCCATCTCTACTAAAAATACAAAAAATTAGCTGGGCATGGTGGCAGGTGCCTGTAGTCCCAGCTACTCAGGAGGCTGAGGCAGGAGAATGCTGTGAACTCGGGAGGTGGAGCTTGCAGTGAGCTGAGATCGCACCACTGCACTCCAGCCTGGGTGACAGGGCAAGACTCCGTCTCAAAAAAAAAAATTATTTTCTAATAATGTATAATATTTACAACCTTACCTCAATAAATTCATCAGCCCAATTTGCCAGAAATATTTGATAAAAACACTAATATTCCTGGGAATAGACCATTTAAAACAATTATAAGGAGGTTTTATGAACAGTGATATAAGGTTGTTTCACTGTAGCATACATACCAGCAAATCAAATTAATGAATATTTATCAAAGTATTATATTCTATAAAATATAGTGCTAGTGTTATAAGGAATAAAAAAATGATGTGACAAAAGTCATAAATACTTGCGATGTTTGATTTTTTTTCAAAATCACTAATGCAAATTTAGTTGGGGATATAAAGACCAAACACAAAAATGTAAGTGGCAATGCCAGAAATGTATACCTTATCAACAAGGCTATGAAACTGTTACTAAACAAAATCTTATTAATTTTCAAAATAGAATTTATAACACTAGCTGTGCATACAATGCAGGGAGAGATCTCATTGAAATGCTAAAGCTACCTAGAAGAAGGGATCAAGGTTATGAAGGAAGAAACAAAAGAGTAAAAAGGAAAGAAGGAAAGAAGGAAGGAAAGAAGGAAGGGAGGAAGGGATGGAGGGAGAAAGGGTTAAGCAGTTCACATTTTAAAAAAGAAATATGACATTTTAAAATTGGGAAAAAAGTAGTAAGAAGACCATTTTGACAGGCACTAAAGATTAAAGCCTGAACAAATAAAGATGTCAAAGTGAATATAGTTCAAAAGCCATGCTAAGGATCTGGACTTATGAACAATGAGGATTAAGATAAATTTTTCTGTTATTGTGTTGCCCAAACCACAAAAGTGGCCATGCTGACTATACTAGCTGTTGTTCCTTCATGTATTATGTCTAGTCATTTGTTTTCTTCTAGGAAAGGTATATTGAAATATCCAGTCCTAGTACTACCCTCAATTCCCTGACAGCATCCAATCCATAGCAAAGTCCTGCTTCCTTAAACCCTTCCCAAGATCACCTAACTCAGGCCCACATAAGTACTTCCTGACATCTTACTAAGACATCCCACAGTTCCCCATGCTGTGTGTTTCTCCTCACTTCACTGTGTCTTAAACCAACCTGTTCAGTTGCAGATGTGTTCCCAGTGGTGTTTGGTTCGAAGTCATTGGCACAACCATGCCCCTATCACTCACCCTTAATTTTTCTTTGTGTGGTAGATGACATGCTGCCACTTTCAATTTGTAAAAAATAGAAAATGTATATTCTTTTCACATTGAATCCTAGACACAAAGCTACCACTTGAGAATACAAATTGGTGTATGCTGTGCAAGCAAGAGGTGAAATGAACATATAAAACTAAACAAATAAGGGAGAGAAATGTCCACCTTTATCTCAGTTATTTCAAACACAGATCTAATGGGAGGCGCATCCATAGCCATCCATCATAATTGTTTCTTCCTATGTTTTGACTCTTAGCGTGCCTGGTGGAATTTTTAAAATCAATTACAGTTTCAGTCTCTGAAAAATGATCCCATGTGAGGGAATCTTTATTATCATGGATGTGATATACATTCTTGTTATTTTTTCCTTGAAAGCAGAGAAAAAATATTCTATAATCTTTAATATAGAGTGATTTATTTCTTCATTTCACCAACCAAAATTTTTTTTGGATTGAAAGAATTATTCTGCATATTGCTATCCCAGCTCCTAGTAATTTATGTGATTTTTATTCTGAACCAATTAACCAATTTACATGTTTATCCTCTCATAATTTTTGTTTGTATCTGAATTTACAAATGTAATGTCCAACTTGATTCATGATATATATTTTATAAACTGTTACTCCTTTGTCTGAATTTCAGTTAGGATTTAGAGAGAAAATACTATTTTTCATGCCTAACAGAGTTTGCTTACTTTTCTTCATTTCCGTATATTCCTAACTAAGCACTGTTGGCCTGTAAAGAAGCCTTCATTAAGGTTCTAGCATAAGTTGAACTATTATTCTAAACTAACCATCACCGTAAGATAACTCTAACTCAGTTACATTGAGCCATGTGTATATCCTTTCAAACTGTCTTATTAACTCTAATTTTATCACTCTGTAAATTGAGTAAGATGAGTCTTCTCAGTTTGTTCATTTTCAGAATTGTTTTGGCTGTTTTAGTAACTGTGCCTTTTCATGTAATTTTAGAATCAATTTTTGGGTATCTCCAAAAAAAGTCTTACTATTATTTAGAATAGGATTGCATTGAATTTTTAGATAAAATTGGAAAGAACTGACATTTTTAAAAAATATTGAGTCATCCAATCCATAAAGTTGGTTCATCTCCCCATTTTGTTAGATCTTCTATGATATCTTCAATCAGTGTTTCCTGGTTTTCTCTCTACATATATCCTGTACATATTTTACTTCTTAAATTGATATCTAACTACTTCCATTTTTGTTGCTGCTATATAGGGTTTTTGTGTTGATTTTGTTTTCAAATTCCAGTTTTTCATGGCAAGAATGAACAATATATATATTAAAAAAATTGACTTTGGACATTGGCACTGTATCCTGTAATCTTGCTAAACTCATTCACTAGTTCCAGAAATGGTTTGCTGTGCTTGTTTGCAGTTTTTTGGAATTGTCTACGTAGGCATCTGTGTCATCTGCAAATAAATATAAATTATTCCTTCTTTTCCTTTTTTATATGTATGGTTTTTCCTTTTTTTCTCCCTTTATCACAATAGCTGGGAATTCTGGTACAGTGTTAAATAACAATGGTGAGATTATATCCTTGCATTGTTTCTAATCTTAGAAAATATTTCGTCTCCAGATACTAAGTATGAAGCTAGCTGTAGAGTTTCTTTGTTTACCTATGCCCTTTATGATGTTAGGCACTTCCGTTCTATTTCTAGCTTTTTAGTTTGTTTTATAACTTTAAGTTCAGGGGTACATGTGCAAGATGTGCAGGTTCTTGTGGTGTTTTATCATAAGCATTGCATATTCTTCATTGCTTATTTTGCAACTATTGAGATGATCACATGTTTTTCTAAGTCTGTTAATATAATAAATTATTATATTTTTATACTATTTTTAACTTTATAACATTTAGAGTTATATTAATGTAATAAATTATACTTCTGTATTTACAAATGATGAAATATCCTTGCACTCCCAGAATGAACCCCACTTGGTCATAGTCTTTAAAATTCATTTTAAATATTGCCAGATTGAATTTGCTAATACTAAGTATTAAGTATTTCTGCATCTATGCTCATGAGAGGTAATGATCTTTAGGATTTTGTAATATATTTGTCTAGTTTGGCTACTAACAAAACATCCATTATTTTCTGAGAGGTCGTATATAATTGCTGTTAATTATTTCATCAATGTATTGTAGAAGTCACCAATAAAACTATACTGGCCTAATGTTTTCTTTTGGGAAAGTTTTACACTACTATTTCAATTGCTTATTAAGTCTAAAGCTTTTTAGATTATCTGTTTCTCTTTCAGTGATTTTTGTAGGTAGTGTCATTCAAGAAATTCAACAACTTTACTTAAGTTGTGGAATTTATGGATAACAATTGTTTGTAGTAGTTCTATATTATCCTTGCAATGTCTATGGAATCAACAGTGAAGACCCCTCTTTATTTCCTATTGGTCATTGGTATCTTCATTTATTTTTCTTTGCTAGCATGACTAGAACTTTATTAATTTTGCAGGTTTTCTCAAATCTGCAAAACAACAAATCTTTGGCTTCAGTAATTTTCCCTATTGTTTCTCTATTTTAAATTTCATTGATTTCTACTCTAATTTTTATGTTTTTCTTGTACTCACTTTAGAGAGAGAAATATTTGAAAGTTGTTCCTGCATGTAGAACAAACAGTAAACATCCTGAAAAGATTTGATAGCCAGTCTACCTTCTGTCCATCACCTATAGACACCCTCTTCCTTCTCAAGTCAAACTCAGTGGGTCAGTCATGTTCACTACTATGCTGTTACGGAGATGGCTACGAGAGAGTGGAACCACACTGTGGAAGAAGCTTCTGTCTTCTCTGACAAGGAAGAGGAGGTGACATCTTAAGTTCTATGATAATAACATACAAATACATTCAATATATTTAGATTTAAGTCATATACTTCTAATAAGATAAGTTGAAAATAATTAGACTAAGCTGTTCATATGCAGAAGCATGTAGTAAGCATAACAAGATGATTTTGGAGTCTATGATGATCCTGCATACAATTTTTTTCTGGTCAAATTATTTCATTTTTTTCCAAACTGCCCTCAAGCCTACTAGATTAAGAAAAAAATAAACTATGTGATTGTTAAAAATAAAGATCAGTAAAAATATATCAACTTTCCAAATGTAAAATAATGCAGCCAGTATTCACATTGCACAATGCTTTATTAATTGAGACATATGCATATTGGAGTTGTGCAGAGTGAGGATGTGTCTCCAATATGCATAAGTTTTTCTTAAAATAGTGAAATCTAAAGTGAGCACTCTGTTTAAGAATTAATTACAGGAGTTGTATAGTCAACGCAATATCATGTGACTTTTTATGTTTGTCATTTAATGTTCAAAGAATATCAGAAATATAAATGTCTAGAAAGAGACAAAAATAACTGCTGGAAAATAACTTAATCTTTTGACCCACACTGTGTTCCTCCTGAGTTTCATGTTTTATTCTATTTCAGTTATTATTTTCTTTCTCCAGATGCCCTTAATTGTACTTTAACAACAGATTGCAGTTATAGTATGCACTATTCTCTTTTTATTATACCAGTTTGCTGTTCCTTAGTATATGACGTTGTTGTACCTCTGTATTTTATCCTTCGACTTTTATCTCTGTTTTAATTATTATATTTGAATACACAAAACAATGCCCAAACTGTTTTGAATGGTAAGCCGAAAAGTTCTTTTTTTTTCAAGGCAACTTTCTTCTCAGAAGCAAGCTCTCCCTATCTACGGAAATATTTTTGTATTTTCTCACGGAGCCTTACAATTTATAAGGGATTTTATTTGTTTCCACCTTTTCAAAACTGAATAATCCCTGCTATGAATCCACCATTATAAGCTCTAACAAAGATCTTCATTGTTCACTGCAACATTATTTATGAGAACAAATTATTAGACACAACTTAATATAAAGGGCCATGATCAAATATAGACTTTGTCAACATAAATGTCTTCCTGTTAAAAAACAAGGGAGATATAGAATATATACAAAAATATATATACAGATATATATGTGCCTATTAAAAAGAATAAAGGACACTAGGACATATCAACATGGAAGCATATCATTGGTAAATCACTGAGTGAAAAACTGGGGAGTGTGTTTACCTACAGGTATATAAGGCAACAACTTTATTGTAATAAAGTACCTATCTTGGTCTGCCTGCCTATTTAGCTCTAACCTGACTCAATAATGCATAGCACATAGAAGACATTAAATAAATATTGTTTGACTCATAAATCTCTAGAAGAAGGCAACCTAGCTATTAATCATGGTTACATCAAAAAATGAGATTATGAGGATATTTGGAGAGAGAAGCAAGATTTTTCACCCTTTTTTATATATATTATATATAGAAAGATAGTTTAGATATTTCACGACACACACACACACACATATATTCTACAGCACATTATATGCATGTGCATTAAAATACTGCAACTATATAACGTATTTCTATAAAATGCTAGAAAGCCAATAAATATTTGGGGAAAAAACAAAATATTAAACATACCACTTAGTAACATTAATTATTAGAGAGGCTGTAAACTTCAGTTGTCTTTGCCTTCTGAGAGGCTACAATGTAAATCCCAAAGTAGGTTGTGATGTGGCAGCCTTAGTTCAATATTCCAGATAAATCTAAAATTTAGCATTGTGGTATCCATTGGTTTAGAGTGGCTTTGAAGACTTTATAGCTTATACATAACCATGAAAAGGGGATGAATTCCTGGTATATTTTAGGGAAGACAATTATTTGTACACCAACATTAACATTGCCTCAACAACTTAGATGAAATGGTACTAACACATTGTCGATGAAATTTACTGACCAAGAAAACTTGGCCTTCAAGCACTCTTCTTTCAAAAAAGTCTAACTCCAAATATCGTTTGCATATAAGCAAATCACAGTGGTTTTCCAGAGAAGCATGGCAGGAATTCCTTTTATGGTCGATGCTACTGGGGATTTCTGTAACAGGTGGTGCATAGATCATAAAGAAAAATAAAAAGCAATATGAAAAAAGTAAGCAAACATTAAATTCCAAAAATATTCTGTACCATACCCTAGCTGATGTTTTTATCCTTTCACTCTATTTAGGTGGAGAGAATCCTTCATTTTTTTAAATTAAAAAAAGCAGAAAGTCTTAAGGTGATTTCTCCATACAGAAGTATTAAAAGGGTCAATTTGTCCTCTACTTCATTCATTCAGATATTTCCCCATATAACAAATATTCATTAAACATCAATTTTATCCCAGGCTCTGTCATAGGTTGTGAATACACATTTCAACAGTAATGATGAAGCCCAACTTTCTAGGACTTTCCTGCCGAAGTATTCCCTTTATTTTAGGGAGAAAAAACAAAAACAACCATGCATATATATATATGTGTGTGTGTGTGTGTGTGTGTGTGTGTGTGTGTGTGTGTAATATGTGTGCTTATTTATATATAAATTATATAGATTATATATAAATTATATTATTAAATTAATATATAATAAATAATATATAATATATAATATATAATATAAAAAAAAATTTTATATATAATTTATGACTCCCCAGATGTGTAATTACTAATACTGTACTGTTCACCAGAACCCTTACCAATAACATAAACAATCGATTAACACATATTTTTATGTTATATATATCATATACTGTATCCTTACAATAAGGTAAACTAGAGAAAAGAAAATGTTAATTAGGGAAATCATAAAAAAGAGAAAATATATCTCCTATTCATTAAGTGGAAGTGAATTATCATAAAAGTTTTCTTCCTTGTCACCTTCACATTGAGTAGGCTGAGGAAGAGGAGGAAGTGGGGGAGCTGGTCTTACTGTCTCGGGGTGGCAGAATCCAAAAAGGTGGAGAAGGTGGAAAGGGAGGTAGGAGAGGCAGGCACACTCTGGGTAACTTTTACTGAAAAACATCTTCCTATAAGTAAATTTGTGCAGTTCAAATCTGTGTCATTCAAGGATTAACTGTGCTAAACGTATTATAAAACCATAAGTAGTTTGTTTCATTTTAGGTTAGAGATTTTAAATATATACTAGTAAATATCAATAAGCTTAATATAATTTTCTCTTGAAATGTTTAGCTGCAAATGTAGGCATGAGACAGACAGACAACCAAGTTTATCCAGTTTTTTATATTGGTGAGAAAAATGGAGGTTAGAAATGTAATGATGTTCACAAAAGGATGAATCTAAATAGGGTTTATGGAATCTAAGCTGAGTAAGGAGAGAAATGAACGTGGACAGTCAGTCATCTGGATCCATAGGTTGAAGATCTCAATGACATAGAACATCTTTACATGGGGACATTTGTTAGAGCAAGTGAGGAGGAATTATTGTGTTATGTGGATGTGGTCAGGAAGTGGAACTTCAAGTGCAAATCCTGGGACTTCATCTCGTTCTCCTGACTATGAACTGACTTCTAATTTGCTCTCAACACTTTGGACTCTGACCTAAGAATTTGATGCCTAATTTTTAATTAGGTTTCCTGTTGTTACTGTTGTTTTAGAGTGTTCAGCTGTGCATACACGCATGCACAGAATTCACTCTAATTCATTTTGAAAGGTATAGACTTAAGAGATATTCAGAATTCACAGAATTACTGCATAGCTAGAGAGAAATTTTCTAGGCTAAATTTTTAAGACCAAGAATTACACCAAAATACCCTGGCAAAGATGCAGACACTGTCATGTTGTAAGCCTCACATAATACCACTGTCAGGCAGCTGCCACCACCACCCCCAACACCTGGATCAGCAAATGGCATGTGCCTGTTCCCTCAGTTAGCTCATGTCTTACCCAAAGCCTACCATGTGGGCACTGATTGGTGGAAATTAAATGACAAGTTTTCTCTCCACAGACATGGGAAGCTGGGATGTCTGTTGCTTTGTGATTCCATGATAGACTTGACAACACAGAAACTACCACAATGTGAGGAAGGTGCGCAAGGGGCTTCTGGAAGACTTTAAAAAGACTCAAAGGGAAGAGCTTAAGTTACTTATTCCAATAGCAAAATGTGCTGTTATCCATGTTGTTTAAAGACCTTGCTCTACAAGTTTGTCTTTATCATACTGTACAATTATCTATACAGTACTAAATACAGAAGAGTGTTCAGTAATGATAAGTGTGTGACGATGAGATTACATTAGGAGAGACAAATATGTGTTACCCAGTCATTCTACCCACACAGACTATGTATGTAGATTTTTTTAAAAAGTGACTACTTTTCAGAACACTTTCCAAACTGTATTCTAAATGACAAATGCCCAGTTAGTTCATAATATATGTAGTTTAAAATATTTCAGATCGAAACACAGGGAAATGCCCTGGCATGCTTCCTGTGAGAGAATTATTAGACTCCAGAAAGCAGGAGACTAATTCATGATACTAATCTAGAAAAAAGTGTGAGTTTCAAATTATAAAGCCAAGCTATCAAGTGGAATGAGGTTTAAAGCCTTTACATTTTATATTTATTTTTGCCTCACTTAACCAAATACCTCAGATGAGTGCATATTTTTAGCCTAAACTTACACCATAATTACCTCAATTCTGGATCACACTGCCAATGTATAACTATTAGTATGTTACCAGAGGAAAGTTGGAGAAACAATTCTGGTAAAACATTTTTTTATGTGAGAGAGAGAAACCCTGTAATTTTCAGCAAAATGATTACATAAAGAGCTACCTATAATTTTATTTAATTGTACCTTTTTATTTCATTTTGTCAACCTAGCTTTTTTTCACCCTTGTCTCAAAAGAAAGACATTACAACTATGTTCAAAGCAAAGTTTTCAGGGATATTTACATAGTTAACTGTTCTCAATTTATGTCTAAGATTACAGCATTTTAAACAACTAGCAGAGAATGTAAAACTCATAATAGCAATATTTTCCTTAGGTACAGGTACAGAGAGACCTCTCCTTTCAAATATTGAACATAAAAGTATTAATCATGAGTTACATATAAGTAAAATTAATAAGACTGTACATTAATTATGAATAATAGGCTATATGGCAACAAATGCAAATATAACCCTATAGATTACCATCAACATATCAAACTATATAATCCACAATATGTTAAAAGTCCATGTTGCGGCATAATATTTCATTGTACATATGTATCACATTTTCTTTATCCATTACAATCACCTGCTGATGGGTAATTAGGTTATTTCCATATGTTAACTGTTGTGAATGCTGCTGCAATATAAATGGGAGTGCAGAATCTCTTTAGGATCCTTGTTTCAATTCATTTGGATATATACCCAGAAGTGGAATTGCTGAATCATATACTAGTTCTATTTTTATTTTTTACAGGGCCCCCATATTGTTTCCCAAAACAAGTGTACCATTTTACATTTCACTAATATTTCTACATCCTCACCAATATGTGTTATCTTTTGTTTATTAATAATAAGTGAAATTAGCCAGTCTTACAAAGACGAATCCTGTATGATTTCACTTATATGAGGTTATCTAAATAGAGAAACATGGAGGTAGAGAATTGAATGGTGGTTTCCTGGGAATGGGAGGGGGAAATAGAGGATTGTTCAGCAGATATAAAGTGTTAGTTTTGCCAGATAAGTAAGTGTGGAAATCTGTACAACATAGTGCCTAAAACTAACACCATGGTATTGTGCACTTAAACATGTATAGAGTGTAGATCTCAAGTTAAGCATTCTTGCCACAGAAAGGACACAAGGAAACTTATGGATGTGATGGATTTACATGTATTACCTTGGTTGTGCTGAGAGTATCAGCAGTGTATTCATCTGATAGTATACATTAAATGTGCATATCAATTATACCTCCATAAGCTGTTAAAAATTCCATTATGAAACTTTCCTTTGTTGTTGCTACATAGAGAAAAGGTGATGGTGAAGAATGCTGATTATTAAATCAGTTTTCCTGAGTTCAAAGCCAGCTCTACTGATGATACCCTCATGAGCAACACCAAATTCTTTAATATTTCTGTTTCCTCATCTGTAAAGGAAGGATTATATTAGTACCTACTTCATAGGATTGCTGTGATGCTTAAATAAGAAAATACATGTAAAGGACAGAAACCAGTGGCTGGCACATTTTGGAATCCCTACACAGGTTAGATTTTTAAATTAAGTGTCCACCTTTAGAAATATTTTTCATGACTCACTGACAGATTTTTCCATTTATATATTTTGTTCCTGGAAGACATAAAACTATATCTTCAGTGCATACTCAGTTAACACATCAATGTTCTATTCATACTACTTAAAAATTCTAGAGCTTTACATGAAGTTTATTTATTCACCTAGATGAGTGGCTGGCACCCTTTTTCTGCATAGGGCTAGTGAGTTAAGATTTTAGTATTTGCAGGCCATACGGTTTCCGGCACAACTACTCAACTCTGCCATTATAGTGCAAAAGCTGCCCTAGATAATACTGAATCAAGTAGGTGTAGCTGCAATCTCATGACACTTTATTAAAAAAAAAAAAAAAAGCAAGCAGCAAGCCAGATCTGGCCTATGCGTGTAGTTGTCTGACCCCTGATCTAGATATTTGAAAAAATGAAAATAAAGTGCTCAAATATTTCAACCCTATTTAACCTTTTCTAAGGGAAATAAATTCAATGAAGCTCTTTGAGTATCACAATTGCACTCTGTGAGTATATGTATCTAAACCCTGAATTCACATTAAATAAAACAAGTATAAGCAATAGTCTGAAAATTCTGTTTTGTGTTAACAAACACAAAGAAGAGCTTTTAGAGTTTATAAGACTAGAGAAACGTGCCTGATTCAACACTTAAAAGATGGAAGTAACGCAAGTTGTTACTCTCATATGTTTCTCTCTACTTACCATATGAAGATCAAACACAGTATATGCATTATTTAAAAAATACCATTAGTGTATTATTAATTCAATATTTATAACTGTTAAAATGTTATGATAGAAAATCCTAATTGTCAAGTATAACGTTTTCTAAAATAAAAAGCAGCTAAATCTATCCAATCAGAGCCTGACTTAATAGAGATATGTCCATAACCACAATCAATGGAGTGGTGACCTTACTCAAAAGGTCACTGCATTAGTAGTGCCTCTCATGAGAGATGATGGCAAATTTGTGCATTTTTGAAAATGATAAACGAAAGAGAAACTAAAACCATTTTAGAAAAATCTGAATATCAACAATACAAAATAAAATATATATCATCTTGATTTTTTTAATTGTGTTTTGTTCTGTTTTAGGCTAAATTCTTGAGGTAATTGCCCAAACTTTCCATTTAATTTTTCAAAGTATGCCTAAGTGTGTAAGGAAAATAAATAACTGGAAGGCTGGCTACTATGCAGGTTTTGGCTTTTACTTCCTGGGGCCCAGCACCTTCCCAATTACCCAACATGTAGAAGACACTAACCTTGTGTAGAGTGTAGCAGGGGGAGACGGCATGGACCGTACTTCCCAAAACATGACTGCACATTCCCTTGCAGGCTACTTCTGAACAGTAGAGTCCCAAACACTGAAAGTATCTCTGAGGACTTTTCAAAGGGTTTAATCCTCCTGTGCATTCACCAGCAAATACCTAGGCCTCAAGGAACAGATTTGATTTCCTAAGCTTTTTCTGTCTACACTAGAAAAGTTGATTATTATGCAGAGGGAGGACACATAGCCTCGTGTCCTGGATGGACAGCTCCACTGGCTTCTACTAGAAAGGACGGATGTCAGTCTTCATTATGAGAACACATTCCTTCTCACCATAGCTCTCATCCTGAATTCCAACCCCCAACAGATGTCTGTACATTGAAGACTGGTGTTTACCTCTCTGTGATTTCCAATACCGGGGCCAATTTCACTGACCAATAACTTCTGAATTGTTGAAGGGCTGCTACTAGACCCCTGCCCAAGTCTTTCACTTTAATAGGATACAACTAGGAGTTTACTACATCCCCTCCCCTCCTCATGGTGACTCCTTGGCACTTTCTATGTAACTCTTCTATGATCCCTACCTAGCAGCTTCTCTCTCTCCACTAGATAGCCCTTCAATCCAAACCAGTTCTAGAGCTGGAGACACCTGGTATTTCTGTATTCTGTTCAAACATTAGAGCAATATCAAATCCTAGACAGACAGACAGGTAGATACAGAGATGGACAGAGAGAGAAATATATAAAGAAATTGCTTCAAATCTTTTGTCTAATCTAGTTCACATTTATGAAACACAATACAAGTCAAAAAGAGAGAGAAAAATAATTACTTCATTCAGATGATAGTAATGGAGATCCAAGGATATTTGTCAACAATTCCACCCAAAATTGAGTAAAGGATTTTTTGGGGCAATTTTCTACTCATTGTTTATGTATACATTTAATAAGAACATATTGTATTGCTATCTAAATACATTTTGTATTCTACATTTTTGTATAGTTTTCCTGTTTACTACTGCCTCTTTTATCTTATAGACATATCTAACCCTTTAATCTCACCTGTATTCCCAGGCATTAACTAGCATTTGTGGATTATACACATTGCTCTCCAAGCACAAACAATGTACACAATTAATATGTATGTAAAAGAATGTGTTTTTTTGGTCTGTGTTTTAAAAGTGGGATCATGTGGTCTCTATTTCTCTAGTTCTCAAATTTCTTGAGCTAATTCACATAAGAAGGCTCACATGGAATCTTACTTCACATGAAAATCACCAAATTTTTTAACATCTCTGCCCTCTATTTCTTAACTATCAATACATCAAGAAGCTACTTTCTGGTCATTTACAATGTTTTAATTCTATATGTAAATTTGCATCTGAGAAATAATTTTTACCAAAAATAAAGAAAAAAGAAAAGAAAATCTTTCCTCCTTAGAAATCAAAATATCTAGTTACAAAATAACACAGGTTCCTGCCACTACTACACACACATACAATTATGAAATTTGAAGACATTTTTGTCTTAATATTACATATTTGGAGTTGGACAAAATACACTTAATTCCAGTGACATTATAATTCACTCAATGGATGGAAATAAAAACCTAATTATCTGTGATTTAACCCACTACTTCTCAAAGTGTAGTCTATAAATACATAGTTGGTCCACAATCTCTTACCTGTCTGCCATAACTTAAGTATAGAAGTTGACAGCATTTCAAGGTATTTCTGGTACTTTGGAGAAGAATTTCATGGTTGCTGAGTCACAAGACCAAGATATTGGCTTGTATTTTATATGTCTTTTTTCCTCCAACTTGATTTCCTCCAATCAAGATATAATTGACAAATAATAATTTTATATGTTTAAGCTGTATAAGATGTCTTGATATACATATACATTGTGAAAGAATTACCATAATAAATCAAATTAAAATACTCATCATCTCACACAGTAAACCTTTTTCTTTTTTTGTGGTAACGATATTTAGTATCTACTGTCTTTGCAAATTTTATATATACAATGCTTCATTATTAACTATAGTTACCATGCTGTACATTAGGTATCCAGAATTTATTCATCTTATTGTACCCTTTGACCAATAACTCCCCATTTCTCCCTATCCACAACCATTGGTAACCAGCCTCCTACTCTCTGTTTCTATAAGTTCAACTTTTTTAGAATCCACATAAATGCAAGATCATGCAGTATTTGTCTTTTCATGTTTGGCTTATTTCACTCAGCATAACGTTCTACAGGTTTATTCCTGTTGTTACCAATGGCAGGATTTCCTTGGTTTTTAAGGTTAAAAAGTATCCCACTGTGTGTGTGTTTATGTGCATATTACATTTTTAAATCTATTCATCTATTGATGAACACATAGGTTGTTTCCATATCTTGGCTATTGTGAATAATGCTGCAGTGAACATGGGAGTGCAGAAATCTCTTTGAGATTAGTGATCTTATTTCCTTTGGATATATATCCAGATGTGGAATTGCTAGTCATATGGTAGTTTTATTGTTTAATTTTCTGAAGATCCTCTATTCTATATTCCATAATGACTATATGAGTTTGCATTCCCACATATGTCTTTGTTATTTTATTTCTGCTCTGTGGCAGATTAGGAAAGCGCACACACGCACACACACACACTCACACACACAAACACACACACACTTTCTCTGAACCACAGAAAGTCTGAGAGGCAGAGCTCTATGGCAACAGTCATCAATCTTCACGTTATACACTACTGTTCAGTATTTTAAAACCTCTGTTATACTCTTGTAAAACAATAATTACATGATATTTACTATAAGTATCTACTACATGCTGAGTATCATGGAAAAGTATACAAAGTGATAAGACATGTCTATAATCTGGGTAGGTAAGAACAGAGGCAGAGGAAACAATTGGGAAACTCAGACGCTTTGTAATGAAGACCTATGGTGGGCTCTAGATGAACCTTCATCATCAGAAGCAGCTGAAAATTCTTTTAATGCTTTCTTATTCTATCTCAAGCTAACAAAGGGCACAAAAATTGATATTCATCATGCTCTTTTTTAAACCTAACAACTGTTCAAACAGACATTGAGAACACTGGCATTTCAGTAAAATCCTTAATATTTGTGAATCCAGTTTTTCTTTCTTTCTCCACCAACAGGTCTTTTTGCAATGGTCAGAGAAAAGAAGAGCAGAAAAGTCCCAAATCATTTATAACACTCAAACAAATAAAACAAATAAAATGCACCTTTGGAATCTCACTTCACCTCATAAAGTGACTTCACACTTCACCTCATGAAATAATGAAAAACAAAATCCTCTTTTTGTCAGCAATTTGGACTCAGTAAGACTGTATTAAACCAATTGCTTTAAGACAAAAACATCTTTGTCATCCTACAAGAGATGAGAACTGACAGATCCAAGGGGGGAAAGAGGAATGCTCTTATTGTTTATGCTTCACACCTCACAGCTTTATCCTCAAGCCAGTCACACACACACACACACACACACACACACACACACACTCTCACACACACATGCCTGCACGTGCGCGCGCGTGCACACACACTTGACAGTTTTTTAATCTATATAAAAGCATAAACTCCATAAGGCAATCAAGTACCCATTGTTCTTTAGCTACTTTGAGGCTTTTTTTTGACATTACCAAATATTAGCAGGAATGTTCAAAATCAATTTCACATTAAAAAAATTCCTAACAGTCAGCATTCTTCTTATTACAGGAATCACCACAGAAACACATGTAAAAACATAAGATTTTACCATTCCCTTAAATATGCATGAAATTATTTTAATTATTTTATTCTCATTCTCTCTTTTACTACAACGTGTTCCTAGTAAATTTTAAAGTGTATTTTTTAGCAAGAGAAAAAAAGGGTCAATTGTACACTCATATGTACAAGTTATCATGAATTTAGGTCTATATGGCTTAACGAGAGGATTTTCTTTTCATTCTTTACTTGATTATTCACCTTCAACAGTAGAGTTGTGAATTTAAAATTTAAATGACCTACGTATTAACTAATAAATACCGTACAGACCTTGGCATTAATTCAAATGGTATAATTCTGACAGCAGTAAAACAGGAATCATGGTGGATCCACTACTATAGGAGGCATGGTAAATGTTTCAAAAGATTGCAAGATAGTGATGTCTGACCAATTGTAAAGCTAAGTCATTCCTAGTATATTAATTCCAGGATTTCATGATTAAAATGTCTTAACCATTTTTATTAAAGTGTGGTATACTTTAGCATAACTGATAAATAAATCCATAATTAATTTAACTTACCCATCATCGATTTACAAATTTTAAGTTATATTAGGTTGGTACAAAAATAATTGTGGTTTTTGCCATTTCTTTTAATGGCAAAAACTGCAATTACTTTTGTACCAACCAATACAAACTTTCTTTGATACTGAGGTATCTTTTCAGAACAAGAAAGATAAAATAGGTCAAAGGATTTTGCCAAAAAAGTAATTTGACCATTTACATAAATAATACCCTAATCAGGGAAACATTTCTGAAGCCCTTCTTGATCACCTTCCTATTCCTTGGTATTCCAAACATGAACCTCGCTGTCATCATCAATAAGCTATGGGCATCCTGATTTATTTGCGTGTCCTTAGTACTGTGCACAAAGCCTCACTGGTAGACAGTAGACATTACATAAACACTTGTCTATGAAGAAATCTATTCAAGCTTTCTGTTTGGACTTGAATAAAAAAATATGAAATCTTTCCATCTATCAAGAAAACAGAACCCCACTGCCCTTTGGGGGTTTAGCTGAGGCCAACGTATGATAAAGTTGTCACTAAAGAATTCAAAAAAATATATAAGGTTGAGAATGATCAAAATAAATGTAATGAGATTTCATTAGACAGACAACCAGTCTAGACATAAGAATGCTTCCAACCATCTGAGTAACAAGTCAATATGACTATTTTCTGGTAAAACTGGGAATGCTTACAGACGCCAGGGGTGAAAGGCATTCAACAATGACTTATTTTAAGGATGAATTTGTAAACTGCCAGATAAAGGGCGAGAGATTGCCAGGATGGTATCCTACCCACCTGCCACCTTATTGCAACGGCCCTGAGTTGCAGACACTTGTCACTTATGTGCCCTGGACTGTGTGTAAGAACTGTGTTCCCAATGCACAGTCAACACAAAGTCCTCTGTGGTTCACTGGAACCACCACCAGCACCATCACCATCACTAGAAACAAACAGATTCAAAAGCTAGCAAATAACATACCTGTTTTCATCACCTGTACTAAAAAATAAGTCCTGTCTAGAATAGAATTTTAGAACAAATGAAGATTGCATTCAGCACCCTGTCCATCCTTTTCCCGTGCCACTCCCTTACACCTACCAGTAAAATATTGGTCCTCTTTCAGCCCAGCAGTCCTCTGACCACACCATACCTGAGCACATTTACTGTGGACAGCATGTTTAGCTTGAAGTCTTTCCTTCTACCCCATCATAGCTACCACTGTTGTGAGAACTCCCATGTCCAGCACTCCAGGGAGGTGACATCAGGTACGAATAAGGTGATACCAGGTACCGTGACTATTTGTTAAAATGTCATGAACTAGAATAAGGCCTGGAAATACACAAATGTATATCATAGGTAAATAAATGACTGTTAAATATGTTTATTTGGTATGATGCTAAAAGGATATGCATTCTTATAAAGGAGCCTTGTATCTGGCAAATGTGTTCCAACATACTCACTGATGATGACGGTGAGTGATGTCTATAAATATACATGGAAATATGTTTGTTTTTGCTAAAATAAATGTATTTTATTCTAAAATATTCTAAAAATACTGAAATAAAAAATATTTCATTTATTAACCATCAGAATGTAAGATCTAGTTTCCATAATCCAGGGTCTATTTAGAATATATTACGTAATTATTCAGTGTTAGACGTGGTAGTGATGGCTCAAGAGAAAATAAGATTTTTAGTAAGGAAAATGACTAGTTCAGAAAATAAGTCAACTATAGAAAGAAATCAATCAAGTATCCATTGTGTTTGGTTCCTATAAACAGTGCCTGAACATCTAGCCTGAACTGGGACAAAATCACTTTAATTGCACTACTGCTTTTCAGTTTAAAACCACTATCAGTGATTTAATGTCAAACTCTGGGTCTTTATTCAATTATCAGAGTGGGGGATTCCCTGAGAAATTGAGAGGTGTGCTTCAAAGTGCAACTGAGATTTGAACAAGCCTATTAAGTGTCTCTGTCCTCACTTTCTATATAGCATATTTAATCAAAAGTTTAGAGTCATCATGGTTGATGTGAAAGTCAACAAGACTTATTATGTCTGAATGAAATGACTGAGGGAAATAAAGATAAAAAACATTAAGTTTATTAGGGAACAGAAAAAAATGGGAAAGAGATGGACACAAGGAGAGGGGGAGAGAGGTAGGTAATTTATAGTTTAAGTCAATAAAAAGTTTAAAATTTTCAATTGTATGGAGTTAACATGAGTAGAACTTTTAAAAATCCTTTACAGTAGAAATAAGCAAAAAAATGCTATTTTAATTAAATTCCAGCTTCCTGCTCTAAGCTCGCAGTGCTGTACTTACAGCCATTTCCAAACCAAACCAAAACCTTCCTCTAAAGAAGCCTGGGAAATTGAGGTAATAGTCTATAAGTGTCATCAGTGGTGTTCACGCAAATACTCTTGTCTCTCTCTCCTTTTAAGTACATGGAAAGATTGTACTCTCCAAACATGAGGTAGGCTCATGCAACTTCTGTGGGTTTATTAAAAGTGACAAATGACACACCTATGACAAGTACTTTCTCTATGGAAATTTAAGTACCCGTGTGAGTTTTTACTATGTTCTTTTCTCCCCCTAGGTATCAAGGAAATTTCAGATACAGCTAGATCCTAGAGTGAGAATACAGGGTAAAACATTCTCCTAGGCAAATCAGGTTGATATGTAACATGAATAACAAATAAAATATTACTGCTTTAAGCTACTACATTTCTGGTCTTGATTGTTGCAAAAGCCTAGCCTACCTCTTCTGCCTGATACATACAGAGTGTCAACATTCAAGGTTGACAAACACAGATTATGTTTGTTAAAGGATCGGCTCTAGGTAACTGAAGATTAGAAGTTGATATGTCATAAAAACACACAGATTTCACACTTTCACTCCCTACCTCTAAGATATTGGCCATTTTATTTTTGCTGGCATAGTTTATCTGATGATTAGATGATCCATTATATTCTGATGATAAAATGATCTATTTTATGTAAATGGTGAGAAATAGCAGTCAATACATTTTAATAATTTTCTCTATCCTTTTGTATAATCATACCAGTTCTCAAAGCCTTTGACTTTGTTCAACTATTAAAAATTAGGTATTAAATAGTAATATTAAAATGTCATGTTATAAGCAATATGAATCAAGTTGTTACCTATTTTGGGGAGCAGAATGAGACTAAATGAGATTTATGAACTATATTTCAAGTGCAGATTTCATAATACAGGTGTCACATGGACCTACTGGAGCAATAAAATGGATCACTATTCACACTGCAATTGTGGGTCCAATACATTAAATAAGAACCAACTGGCCAGAAATTACTTTCTTAATATAAAAACCTTCTAAACTTGTGAATAATTCAGACTTTCATTTTTTTAATTTTGTTTTTGTTTCAATTAACTACCACTTGTATATTTGTGTTCATTACTAGATACTTGACATGGTTCCCTTAATTACTCTGTGGCCACTCTGTGTGAGTGTCAGTCAGGATAAACTAGGTTACACCTTGGAAAAAAACAAAACAAAACAAAAAAAGAAAACATCTAAATCTTGGTGATTCTTTGTGACAAAAGCCATGAATAAATGTGCTTTCATAGCCAAAATATAGTGTCTACATATTCATAACAGCAATATTAAATATCATATGAAGACTAAAACTGGGCAAAATTATTACAGTATAGCTTCAAAACAGCATAGCATAAAAGACTGCAGAAATTTATGTCTTTTCAATCATGCTGTTGTATAGATTAGCTCAATTCCTGCTGGTTCTGCTAATGTGTAAAAACCCATTTTAAACTGGAGTTCAAGCTGGAATAATCTCATGATTCTTATTGGTCTCATATATCCTCTATGGCTCTAGTTAGGATGATCTCGTGGTTTACTTAGTTTTTTTTTCTCATATAAAAATTTCACCAAAAGTGTTCTAGGCTATGAAAGATTAAGTCTTGGAATAAAATCAAAGATTAGGTTCACAAAAATAATAAACTATTGACAAGGTGTACCAGTCATTTTGTTAAAGACGTGGTCAATAATTAGGTTTATAAACTTTTTTACTAACTGGTAATTGAATTGACCGAATTTACCAGGTGCTTTGACACCATACACACCTCCTTTAACTGATGGTATGGAAAAGAATTCCAAGATCATAATTTATTTGAACTATTTCCCCAACAAATTTAGTGTATAGCACATTATCATGACTTTCTTTAACTTACAATGCCTTTGAAGGCATGCTTATTTTCCAGAAAGTTTATGGGAAATCCATTATTAAATTTGGCCACATCTTTGAAAAATAAGCAATGTTCTTACATCGAGGAACAAATGTTGCCTTAAAGAATAATTTAAGTGCAGCCTATATTTTGTTCTTTCAGTTGTTTCTGGATAGCTGATCAGAGATTTATACAGAATGCTTAAGAATTCATTTTCATATAAATTCTACCAAAGAATCAAAGGAAACCTAAGCAGATTTTAAAACATCACATCTACCATACCCATATTCTCACTCTGCTGGTACAGCATGCAGCATTAAACCAATAACACTGACCACTAGGGTTGCCATATGTGGGACATACTTATGCTAGGGAAAGAAAGTATGTATTATTCATCTGAAATTTAAGATTAACTGGGGGTTCTGTATTTTGTCTAAAAACCCTGGTAACAACGCAGTTCCTTGAAATATAATAGTGGTCAAGTTAAATAACTGTTAATATTTCTTCTGTTTTCTCTGCCTTAGGATGAAGTATTCATTTGTGATGAGCAGTGTGCAAACAATAATAAAGCCAAATCCACATTTTTGTGACACTCCTGACAAACTGCTGCTGTATTAAAGAAATAAATTACAAGTCCTCTATTGCTCCACTGCACAGCTCTCATCCCTATTTTTGAGGCATTTCAATCAACCTTGCAATTTTCACCAAGTAGTAAGATATTAAACATATATTTTATCTGCCCTGAAATAGCATTGATTTTGAAACTGTGAGATCTTCTAATTTTTTTTCCAGATAATGGTCAAACTGGCCCTTTGGGTTATAAATTAGGTTTTTCATGGCTAATATACTTCACATCGGCACATATTATACAAGCAAAAATTATGTCATCAAAAGGCTCTGGTACAATATGAAGGGAGCATAAATGTCAAGATTGATGATGACGGCTCGGAGCCAGCTCATTAAAGGCAATGGTGTGAATAATATAACTATGTTGCTTTTGAAAGAACCGAATATGTATTATCCACCTATCAGTGCACCAAAGCAGCGTCATAAACATAGATCTCTAACTGCAGCCCATTTAAATGATGAAAGGGTATATATTAATCTATGAAATAGATTTTACCCAGGGGGGAAAATTGTTCTATTTATGAAAGTTAAAAACATTCAGTGCACAGAGAAGCACTTATCAGATGAGCATCCACGGTATGCAGATGCATTTTACTAATGCTTCCTGCTAAGATAAATAGTCTGTGGTCATGGAAGATGCTACTATAATTTGCTAGAAATAAAAGAACTAAAAAGAACAACATGTAGGCAGCTTTTTGTAAAGCATGGGGAGTAAATATTCTAAATTACTGGACCTCTGTGTTTTATACAGTTAATTCAAAAATCATTGATAAAACATGACAATAAATATATACGTGTGTATATATATTATACACGCAAAAATAACTGAGTGATTTTTTAAATATTTACTATTCCCTAAAGGTAAGTGAATATATCTTTTGGTAATAACTGTATGCTTGATTCACACCCACCTTCATTTTCAGGATCCTCAGACCCCATTACAATTTTTAGTTTGTGGACATTGTTTACATATGTGAATAGTTCCCTATTCTTTGTATCTGCAATGAGATAAAGGATTTTTAGTTTCCATGCATAACTTTAAAATTTACCAAGACAATTCAGCAGATTCTTCCATAGTACACACCACTCAGGTATCTTTGAAACAAAGTATCTTGTCTGTTACAACGGCAATTCATAATCCAGAAGTTACAGTATTTTTTTTTCTCCAATAACCTCTTATAGATAATTCTGGGCCCATCTCTTACCTTTTGATACCCAATTTACATATTCCAGGGAAAAATGAAATTTCAAATAAGAAAAGTACAAAATAACCACTTCTAATTCAGGGTAGGGGATGGGGCTTTCAATGTTCTCACATACATTGTCTCTCTGAATACCTACACAACCTTACAAGATCACTTATAAGGTTTTCTTTCAGATTGAGAAACTGAAGACCAACAGATTATGTATGCTAAGATCCCCACACTGATAAGTGGCACAGAACATATTTGAACCTGGGACTTCTCATTTTAGGTAGGTCATTTTTCACAGGGCCTCTGCTGGCCCTTGGTGTGGGAGCAAGATGATGCCCAGTAGGGTTCCGACTTCTGGATTAGCCTGACTCTATGTCACAGGATCTTATTCCTAAAAGGGCATTTAAACATATCCTTGTTTCCCAGACTTTCTGGATAACTTCTATGGTTTGAATGTGTACTCTCAAAAATTCAGTTGTTGCCAATGTGATAGTATTAAAAGGTGGGTTCTTTAAGAGATGGGTAGACCATGAGGGCTCTGCATAGAACAGTGTTGACATATGACTTCATCTTAGAAAAAGACTCCATTTTATATTTCAAGAGGCATCATGCCAACAGGGGCCAGATGTTCGCCTAATCAGTAGCGACAATACTCAAGCAGATCAGGGTGTCACCCTTTATTATTAGTCCTCATCAGAGGACTCATGGACCATAAAATGATCTGGACTTCACCAGCTCAAGACAGCCATCCTGACAGATCCCATATTGCTGTCACTAGTGATCAGCAGCTAGGGACTCTTCCTTGCAAGACATTGTCAACAGTCTGGGTCAGGCCAGGATACTCTCTTTGTCCACGTTTCTCCCCTTGGATTGCTTCCTTAACCCCTTTCCTATGTCTCTTTCTCTTGATGTTAAGTGTTACTATGTTTGGTATGAAATTTTAATCTATAACATTTGTATATTAAGTAAACTACTAGGTATGATTTGCCATATTGACTAAGTTGTGGAGTGACTTGAGCCTGTGAGTCCATGGCTGACAACTGAGTCAACAGATAGTACAAAGGAGAATTACCTACTTGGGAACTTTATGAAGTTCATGGTGTTTGTGATTGAAATAACATCAATAAAAGTCTGACCTTGAGAAACAAAACAAGTATACTGGTTATGTCTGACCTTGCACTGCTGACAACAGGCTCCTCCCTGTCAAATGAGAATAATATCCTTACAAAAGAGGCTTCATTAAGAGTTTGCTAGCTTGTCCTTTCTACCTTCTGCCATGCAGGGACACAGTGTTCCTCCTCTCCAGAGGATGCAGCGACAAGGTGCTATCCTGGAAGCAGAGAGCAGCCCTCGTGAGGCACCAAACACGCCAGAGCCTTGATTTTCTACTTTCCAGCCTCCACAACTGTAAACATTAAATGTATGTACCTTATAAATTACCTACTCTCAGGTATTGTTTTAGTGGCACAAAATGGACAAATTCACACACCCAGACACGTAGTCAATTTTAATTCTAACCTCCCTTGACCAAACAATGAGTACACTGTGTCAATTCACCTTCCTAAACCTTCCTCAGATGCAATTCTTTGTCCCTAACTTTATTGCCACTGCCTTTGTTCAGGTCTTTGTTCAAGCTCACCTGGACCACTACTCTAACACCTGAACTTGGCTTCCTAGTAAAAATTTTCTCCTTTGTCTACTTCCAATTCATTCTTTATGGAAAACTTTGTCTAAAATGCAGTCAAACCATGTCATTCCCCTGCTTTAATTATTCCAATGTCACCTAAATTATCAATCAATAAAGTCTAAACATGTCCATAGGACATATGTAAGTCTCTTAATGACCTAGCTATTGATTATGTTCCTGTTAGACTGATTTCCCCATAAGGCCCAAATGAACCCTACTTTGAAGTCTCACCAACTTCCTGATGACTCTATCATTTATCTGTCTATTTATCTATCTGTCTATCTATCTATCATCTATCATCTTTCTAATTTTATTCTAGCTCTCCATAATGTTGCCCCTTTTCCCTAGAATGGCCTTGATCTGTAGCTCTGACAAATAAAATGTTGCAAAAGTGATGCTTCAAATAACATTTTCTTTATGTGCTACAACTTTTAAACAGGACTTTCTCTATTTCTTTCTTCTCTCATTCTCTCTCCTCTTTCTCTCTTTCCTTCTCTGTGTTTGCGTATGTCTGTGTGTGTCTGTGTCTCCAAAGGATTTTAAGTACTGACACTATAGATAATTTTCAAACTACAAAATCATTTTTTTAAAACCTTCCTTAGTTCCCTATTGCCTTTTGCCTTGAGGATAAGCATACTAACTTTTTAGAATGATATACAAGCCATAACTCTTTCTTCCCTCTTCAATTTAATCTCTCACTGTATATTCCCTTTCACTTGGACTTCACCAAACTATCTTTATTTGTTCAAACATATCATCTGTGTCTGTACTTCCTCGGATTTTCTCATGACTTTTTTATTGTTTGTATAAATTTAAGGGGTAAGTGAAGCTTTGTTACATTGATATATGTCATACTTGTGAAATCTGGCCTTTTGACCATCACTCAAATAATGTGCGTTGTACTCATTTAGTAATTTTTTATCAATCATCCACCTCCCACCCTCTGAATCTCCATTGTCTATTATTCCACATTGTATGTCATATTTACACATTATTTAGCTCCAAATTATAAGTGAAAATATGCAGTATCTGACTTTCTGCTTCTGAGCTATTTCACTTAAGATAATGGCCTCCAGTTCCATCCATGTTGCTGCAGAAAAACGTGACCTCATCCTGTTTTAAATAATAAGAACCATCTTCTTACTTGACTGGGTTAAAAAGTTAAAATCCAGCTCATTCACAACCTTTTCAATAATTAATTTTTAGAATTTTATAGGGAAGGTTAAATAGCACAGTATTCGTCAGTCTTGCCATGACAAGTTACCACCAAAAATTCTCAATGGCTTACAACAACTTCATTTCTCACTCTCTTTCATGTAAGCAGCTGAGGATTGGTTGCTGAACCCTTTTCCATGTACCTTCTCATTCATTCTGGGAATCAGGCTGAAGGACAAACCCTTATTTGAACTTGCCTGTTCTGTGGTAATAGCTGGTAGATTCATGCAATAGCTTTTACAGTTGCCTCTTGGATTTGAGACTTATCACATCTAGTCACATATAATCGGTCAAAACAAACCCATGGATCAACTCAACATCAATAGGAGGCACTGTGTGCGCTTTGGCAATAGGCAAGGATGAGTAATCCTTGTATTGGAAAGATGAGTGAACACTTGGAAACAATAATGCAGTCTAGCTCCTTTTGCCTCCATCACATTCATTCGAATAGTTTATCTCTAGAGTTTTGCTCTGAATAAAGACATGATTTATTCAGCTTTCTATCCCCAGCACCTACCACAATTCCTGAAATGCAATGTGTTCATTAACTGTTTGCTAAATAAATTATTAGATGAATGAATAGAAAAGGAAAAAATGAAGGGGAAAAGGATCTAATGTAACAACACTTCACTGCAATTAACTTTTGACAGTTATGCTGTCTTGAACTTAACCAAAAATTTCCAGAGAGCAAGTGTTTTATTCAAATTCCTAACACACCCTCCTGCAAAGTTTCTGCAAAGAGCTTGTCATGATGTGAGTATATATATTCAGAAAATCTTGCCAAGTAATGAATACATAAATAAATACAGTGAATAACAATGGTTGACCCATTCATGTAAAACTATCCTCACCTGTAACTGCATTCTTATATCACTGCTCAGGAATTGTGTTTTTCATGTAAAGGAGATATGACCCTTCACTCGCTGTTCTTCAAAAAACTCTTTGATAAACGACTTGCTTTTGCTCTATTAAACCTAACTCTGGAAAGAACACACAGAAAACAAATTTGCTTTGTTTCATTTTTAAATAAATCTATATAATGAAAATCCGAGGATGAAGAAAGGTCTAATTACAATGCCATAAAACAAAGCCAAAACACATATTTCTGTCCTGTTTAAAAGAAAAAGCTAAAAGCATTATTTTATTGCATTTTCTGAGAGCAGCATAAGATAACATAGACAAAGTCTCTAACTACAGTTCAGTTATTAGGAGAGTGAGCAGAAATACTATTTGAGTGTAAGTATTTTAAAGCTGTGATGGTTAATTTTGCTGTTAGTGAGGAATCTGGGCTGGGCTATCTTCTGTTCCCTCATGCAAACATTCAGTTGTCTGGAAAGAGATGATGGTGCTATAATTGGCATAGACATTACCACTTTGCATTGAATTTGCCTGACTTTGTCATTAATTCCATCCTTGGCATGCTTGTCTCACATTCCTTTCCAAATATAAAATTTAACATCTTAATAAATCTTCCACAACTAAGTAATGCTCCCTACTGATAACACTCTATTTTCAATGTGTATTTTTTTCCAACAAGCTAAATTGAGAATCTGTGTAAAACAGAAAAGGTATAATAAAAACTAATTTATTTGTTACAGTTGGGGAAGGAGGTTCTGAAGAAGGTTTCAAGACACCTGAGATTCCGCTCTTTTAGTATTATGAAAAATAACCATTTTGAAGAAAATATTTCCAAAAACTACACAACAGTTCCCTGTTTTCTTAAAGAAGCATACAAATACGCATTTTCCCCCAAAGAGTCTGCATTATTACTATGTTTCCATTTATATGTCAAATGCTGGCACTCTTATTTTTAAGCCTACCAACAATAGTATTTTGTTTGTCTTTGCTTATGAAATGCACCTCGGTAATTTTTTAATTTGCTACTTATTATCAACTGTAACTGAAAAAATAAGAGAATTTGGATGGTAGAATTTCTCTACAAATTGAGTCAACAAGATGGGAAAAAGGGCCAATTATAAAAAGTGAAACGCAAGCACTATAGCATATTGTTGCTATGATTATTTTTTGTTACATCAATGTTTTTCCTCCTTTTCTCATTTTTTTCTTTTAGTAATTAGCTTCCCCCAAAATTAAGGATGAGTTCTGTGCTAAAATAGATAATATGAAACATATTCTCAAAAAATTTAGACCAACATTAATTGTAGCATATACATTATTTCATATTCTGAAAAATAAAACTACCAATTAAATTTTTCTCATCACTCAGAATTTTTTATTAACCAATAAATGACCACTTACTTACACATGCATTTTTATCTTGCACAGTGAAAAACAAAAGAAAGTATAAATGCAAGAAGCTAATTACGATAATCTCAAATTTCTGGAGCAACTTCATTTTTCTGTGAATCTCTTTTCCATTATGTTGGCCTTCACCATGGGATATAATTTCCTTCAACCAGATTACATAGTTCCAACAATTTTCCCCCTAGCAATTTTCATTATTTGCTTTATCAGTTTTCTCTCATTAACGAACTGAAACTCAGTTTAAGATCTGAAAAGGGACAGCACTATGTTTATTTTCCTGGCTTAATTTGGAGAAAATGACACTTCCTTCTGACCAGACTTTCACTGTGGTTTTACTCAAAAAACTTACAGACTTTCAGATATATAGTTCCTGTTTCCTTTGTAGGATTACGGAAAACACACACACACACACACACACACACACACACTTACTTACACACACTTTAAAAGAAAAGCCTTTGCCCTGGGATCTGACTTAAATGTTATATCAATACAGTGTTGACTCATAGCTGAGGCTACTTTAAAATTTTATTAATACTGTTTAGTACATGCCTATATGTATGGGTCTCTGTGATCTGCCAGAGCCATTTTTCCTTGGTTGGCTTTTTAGATTTGCTATTTTGCTTTCCTGTACAAACATACCTATGATATCTTTCCAGTCCTGGACTAGTTGGCCACTGCCCTTCCTGGAAAACACTATACACTAAGATGGTTAAAAAAAAAAAAAAAAAAGGCATCAGCTTTCTGGGGTCTCAGGAATCCCTGCCTGCTTGTTTGCATTTTCACTCTAAATGACCTTGCATGAGCCGTTGTGCCTTTAGCATGGCATCTGTCCATTTCAATTGTTAAAAGGCTGAGATCAATTATCTTGGCAAGAACCAATCTCAAAGACCCATTTCTCATGTTGAGCCACCTGAAACACATTTTGTTCCTGTCATCTCTCCCTTGATGTCACCCAGGATCTCTAAAACACAATATTATCTGTCATATTTTCACTAGGTGAAAGAGGTTCAATTATTCTCGAAGTTCAGTGTCTTGCAAACACTGCCATAAAAATTCACCCACCTCATTAACAAAAATAATTCCAGTATCTCCTCAACCCCCCAAAAATCCCTGCAAGTGCTCTAGTCCTTAAACATTAGTAAGGCCCACACAGGCTGATGTGGGGAGTAAGACTCCGGCTGTAAGGCTCACAGCCCTTGGAATCAATAGCACTAGCGGCTTTAAGCCAAGACAAGGCAGATGGGGCACTCTTTTTTTTTAGCTATAGTTGGTGTAATGTTGGCAAAGGATTTGAGTGGTGATCCTCCTTGTTAACAGGTCTGCCCTCTCTCAGAAGAGAACTGAGGCATGAGCATGAACTAAAGATGGAAGGTAATTTGATAGTGTCTGTGGGGACAAGCAGGGCTCTTCGTTCAATCGACAGTATTATAAATATTATAATGGAGTTATTAGTGAGAGCAGACTGAACAGCAGCTGGATCGTCACAGTCAAAAATGCTATAGCCTCAGGCTTAAATATGAGAGTGTGCAGCTGAAGAAACTGTGCATCGAATGTTTTGTTCTGCAGAATCCATGGAGCTGCAGAGAAAAGAGCAGTGTATTCTGCAACCTACTCGAGGGAGAAGAGCAGCTCATTATTCAGGAGGGTTTACCCACTATTTGCTCCTAAGGAACAGTAGCGATGATATCTGAGGGACTCACTTTTGACAAGTGCATGTCTGGTTGAAATATTAAGAACTGTGGAGCATGCCTCTGGAGGAAAGAAGGCAGCTTAAGAAATCTTAACAGTGTTTTCTGGGATATAAAAATCCCCCAGGTTCCTAGAACACAGCAGTGCGAGCATGCATGAGAGAGAATGCTGCATGATTATCTCGCACTCTTATTAGGTTCACCAGCTTACACACCCATGCCTGTGGCCACTGGTAAGTCACCATGGAAGTATGGAGACGTCCGCTGGAACTCTTGCCCCTACAAAAATTCTAAGGGAAAACAGCAGAAATGAGTTGTTCAAAACCCTACTTACACTATAGATTACTAAGTAACCTCAGGCAAATTTTCTGCCTTAATTCTTCTTAAGCCTTTTGGGACTAATGGAGGCCTATTAACTTCAAGGTCTTAACTTCAGACCTTAAAAGTTGGTGGGGACTTCAGTGTTAAGAGGAAGCCATTAAAATGGAGACAGTTCCCTGAAAACAATATTTTGCTAATGGATAGGACTTAATCTGTGGCTTACATATGATAATACACAGCCACTCAGGTTGCTATAATCTATACATTATTGAAAAGAATTTAAAGGCTGATGAATTACAATTTTTTTCTGCGTAATAGCAGTGCTTGAATTAAAGCAGAAATATTTACTTATTAATTATAGCCATTTGGGCCATAATTCTAAGGGTGAGAAAATATTAATAAAAGTGATAATTTTGAAGACAGTTTTAAGAAAGGTCATAAAAAAGAGGCCTTTTGTTCCTTGGGAAGCAATTTTCTTAGAGTCAGTCTATCCCAAACCCAATCCTTTCTACTCAAAATAGTGTCTTCCTGCACAAAGACCTTCCAAGAAAGCTAAACTGATGAAATGAGTTACAGGAGAATGAATAATTGCATAATGGATGTGAGGAAACTGATCAGTGAGGTTCCTGGCCAGCTAAGGGGATGAGAAAGCCAGAAATATCTGAGTCACTGTCTTGTGGAGAGGATGGATTTCCTTGAAATGGCCTTCCACAGCAGATGAGTCCCTTGGCCTTGTCCACCCATTGGCAGATGGGTGATGATAAATTGTAGCTTTGAAATATAGATTTAAAGAGCAGCTCTAGAAACTGTCACAAGTTTGTGACCATTCTCATGGTGGGCTTTCTGGTGGCAGGTGCCTGCTCAACTTCCAGGAAGGACAGACTGGAAGTGTAAGGGAGTTAGCTCTGAAGCAGCCCACAGCCAATGACAAACAGGAGGTGCTGGGCAAACAAAGCTCTTACCTCTCTAGAAGGACAATTCTTTAATTTTTTTTTTTTTAAAGATATGGAGTCTCTGTTGTGTAGGCTGAAGTGCAGAGGGACAGTCATGGTTCACTGCAGCCTTGACCTCCAGGACTCCAGCAATCTTCCCATTTCAGCCTCTGGAGTAGCCAGTATTATGGAAATGCAGCACTATGCCCAGTTAATTTGTTTTTCAGTTTTTCAGAGATGGAATCTTGCTATTTTGCCTAGGCTGGTCTCAAATTCCTAGGGGAGAAACAATTCTGAGCCTTGCTGAACACAGAGCCCCAATTTCCAACAGCAATAACAACATATTCATCAGTGCGACACACACTGTTTTATATACGGAATAGAAATTGTGCTAGGCGAAAACATCCAATACAACAAAGGAGTTGGAGATTATTAGGAAAGCAAAGAGAGAGGTGTGTTAGGCCCAGGATGGGTGGAGATTTCTGCTAGGGTTGTTGGAGGTTGGGGACTAAGTACCCATCTTCTTTATGCCCCCAAACCTCAGGAGCCCTGTGTGACTGTGCCATAATTCTCTAGTGTGCATTTGAAATTTAAGTCCAGGGGTCTATTTCTCAGGGCCCAATTGCCTATGGCCACTGGGCTCTTCAGATGGTTGAGAAGCCATCTCTCCTTTTGGATTCTCATTTTTTATTTCTCTTGTACTCTTCCACCTTCTAAAGAGGAATCTATCTTTACAAATAGTCTGGAAAATTTTAGAGAAAATGAGAAGGTAAGGGAATATTTGGCCCAAACCACAGACCAGCTGGACTCTTGTTCCTTCTGATCTCCTTCCCACTTCCCTGCGTCTGTGGCATTGGCAAAGACAGAAACATGAGTTTGCAGGACAGCTTACAACATCATCGTTCCAGGGGAAAAAAAAAATATTCGTGCATGTGGTAGGTGGCTCCACAGTGTAATTTCAAACACAGTGGTTCAGTGACCCTGGGTTTGTTAAGAGAGTTCAGGATGCATGACAACAAAGTGTCTCAATTCTTGATCATCGACCCCCTTCCCATCCCAGGTAAGGACAAGCCTTTGTGTCCAGGCTGACGTGGAGAGCAGTGTGCAGTTTCTGAGAGATGCTGATCAGAAGCAAGTGTCCTAACCATGCTCTGTAAGGCTGCAATGCTGTGTCCTTCTTAAGCAAAGGAATACTCACTGTAACATCAATTAAGGATCATGTAGAAAAAGAAATTCTTTGAGTTTACCAATGAAGAAATATAAGAAAATACTGTTCTGTCCTTATCAATAAGAAACACAGAGAGCCATTAACCTAATATAGGAAGTCACGAATACTGAATGGCTGTGCCTTCCCCAAAGAGAGACAGTGGAATGTGAGCCCTTCTTTCTTTCTTGTCTTTCAGAATCAATGCAGGACAGGAAGTGGAAAAGAGATGGATAATTGAATTTGGTTTTGGCCTGTTCATCCCTGTGCTCTCCAAGAGCTATCTATAATTTCTCCTCCCTTCAGTTCCTGTGTTCACAGTCTCGGAAGATGTCACTGCCAGAACAACTCTCTCAACAAACAAAACGAAACCCTCAGCAGGGAGCCTCATGGAAGGGAATTAGGGCTTAGGATACATCTCCTCCCAGAAGTCAATTTAGCCCTAAGATTTGGAGTATGTTTCCCTGGCCTTTACACATAGAAAAGGCAAAGGCCTAGAAGATCTCCTTCTACACATCATGTCAGGGTCAGCTTCTGGGAAAGTGGAAGCAGAAATGTTTTCCTGGCCAGTAAAGATGCTGCAAGTTGAGAGAACAAAAAACCCACTGGGCTGATCAGAGAGGGAAAAAAGTGAAGATTATCCATTGAATTCATGCTTGGACTTCAGGTCAGCAGAGTCCAGCTGCTGGCAGATCCCTTAGGTGAACATTCTTATAGCCTTCCTGCTGCCCCTCCTGGCCTGCATTTTCTAAACAGAGACAGGAAGATTGGACACAGAGACAGATACCCAGGCCAACTTCTGAAATCCGAGGACCAATAACTATAGCCCAGATATCTTCCTTCCATGTCCCACAGGGAGCCTGTGTCCCTATAAGCCCCATGAGTCTGTGTCCCTAGTCAGCACCCAGCAGGATAAACCAAGGGTCCCAGGAAGCTGAGGGCACTGTCACCATCTTAAGAGATGTGTGTTTCATTACCAGAGAAGTCTCTTACAACCCTTCCAGAGAAGAAAGTCTAACTCAGATAATCATCTCTATACAGTGAGAAATTGTATTAGCACTTCTAGGAGCACATCTTCTGAAGAAGGCCTCTGCTTTTTCCAATCAGTGATGTCTCTTCTTTCTCATAGTAGCTGGGACTACAGCAATAACATACTCATTAGTGCAACACACATTGGACAATATATGGAATGCATAGAAATTGTACTAGGCAAAAACATACAATAAAACAAATGAGTTGGAGATTATCAGGAAAGCAAAGAGAAATGTGTGTTAGGCCCAGGATTGGTGGAGGTTTCTGCTAAGGTCAGTGAAGGGCTGGGTCAAGTGTCCACCCTCTTCATTCAGAATACGTTTTGTTTCTTCATATAGGAGAGTGAACTCTTCTGTCTGTGCCATGGTTTGGACTGAGGTTTGTAGTATCCTGGGAGCTTGGGGTTTGAGGAAGACAGTGTCAGTCTCAGATTTAATATAGTGCCTTTTTAGCCTTCTTTATTAGTCCATTCTCACATTGCTAAGAAGAAATACCAGGGACTGAGTAATTTATAAGAAAAGAGGCTTAATTGGTTGACAGTTCTGCAGGCTCTCTACGAAGCATGGTGGCATCTGCTTCTGTGGAGGCCTCAGGGAGCTTTTACTCATAGTGGAAGGCAAAGCCAGAGCAGGCAGTTTACATGGGGAAGGCAGGATCAAGAGAGTGAGGGGGATGGTGCCACACATTTTCAAATACCAGACCCCATGAGAACTCACTATCACAAGGACAGTACCAAGAAGGCTGATATTAACTAATATCAGCCATTAATGAGAAATCCACCCCCGTGATCCAGTCACCTCCCACCAAGCCCCACCTCCAACACAGGGGATGACCATTCAACATGAGATTTGGTGGGAACACAGATCCAAATCATGTCACCTTTTAAAGAGAGGCCAGATGCATGCAGGGGGATTGTGAGGAGCTTTGCACACCCACTCCCATCCAAGATCTTTTCAATCTGCTAGAATATCTTAACTTTAAAATATAGTTAACTTGTATAACTGTCATTGGACAAGGTAGACAAGGGCAAAGAGTGGGGGCCAAGTATAAAGTCATTCAGAAACTTTCCAAAATGAGAATAATCAAGTAAAGTTCTAGCCCTAAAACCTGGCCCAGGCAGTTCTTTCCCTGTTTCCTCACTATCTTGATCTTCACATAGCTGGGGAGAGGAGGGTTACAGCGAAACAATACAGCCAGAAATCCTTTCACTAAGCTTCCAGAAAGGGCAAGAGATAAGCAGCTTCACATATCACAAAAGTAGAAACTGGAAGATTAGAGATGGCAAGACCTCAAATTACACAGTTGGGGTACAGCCTTTGACCTTGGATCTCTTAGTGGGGAAATAGCTGTCACCAGCCCCAAAACCCTGATCCCTTCTGGATGTAGCCTGGGAGGCAGTATGAACTTCACACCTATTATCTTAGTATTAATGAAATTGGACAGAAATCCAGCCCACTGACATTCCTTTATACTCTTTTATTGTGAAGAATCATCTGAAAAAATGATAGAAAATACAAGAAGCTGTTTTAAGCAACAAAAGGTAAAGTAATGACTTGCAGAATTAACAAGTTTGGGAATAGGCCTGCGTCAAGCACTGGGGTACTGCATGGGCTCAGCTGATACCCTTAGGATTCTGTTTCCTTCTATTTCACAGCTCTATCCTATTGTTTCTTCATTCTCAGGTGTCATGTGGTAGAAATTGGTCTTTTAGCAAGTCTAAAGTGAAACCCTTCCAGGTTCAAGTGCAACTGAAAACATGGTGCCTCTCTCACAAGAATTCCTATAAGAGCCTCATTTTCCTTCTTGGACCTAGTTGGGTAACATGTCCATCCCTGAACCAGTCACTGGGGATGGGATTTTTTTTTTTTTTTTTTTTTTTTTTTTTTTTTTTGCCTTTGCCTGAGACACTACCCACCCTTGGGTTTAGTGTAAGGGTAGAAGACAACTCCACCTATACATGGATAGAAACAAAAGAATGGAGGTAGTTTCCCTAGAAATGAATGTTGATACTTGCTTCCAAGTCTAAAACAGTTATAAAATAAGCAGAATAACTTGCTTGCCACTAAATCTCAATGAGCTGTACTTCTCAGTGACAAAAAAAGTAATTAAATCTAGCTCGAAATAGACATCATAACAAATGACTAATAATCCAGATTTTCTGTCATCTCTCATCCAACACAAAATAGATCCCTATAATCTATTAATCCATTTATAGAGAGATTTATGTTCAGACTATAAAACCACGCTTGCAATCATTACTGCCACCAATTATAAATACCTTTTTGTCTATAAACCAACCAATAATAAAAACAAAATCCAAAGTGAGCAGAGATGGAGGAAATCTAGAGAAACAGAGATTGAGCAAAAATAAAGTACTATTGCCAGTCTTGGTTTCCTCTGTAAGCCAAGACATGCTGGGACTGTACTGCCTATGAGGTGCCCTTCTTGGGCAATAAAGTGAAACTTGGCCTTCTCGGGAATCCTTCACACATCTCAGTGAATGACCTCCAAAAATAATAAAAAGCGATTTTCAGTGAAACAGGTCATAATTACTCTCATACTGATATAAAAAGAACACTGTCAAAGGTTTATTTAACTCGCTGATTAATGAGAAAACCAATAAATGCTTCAATTAATTCTAAGGAAAATCTAAAATACCCAAACAATATAGGGAGACAAGAAATGCTGAAAAGAATTTCCAAATAGACACCAAATGGGTCTATTCATAAGATACTAACCAATTACATTCTACCGGGCACAATGAATGTACGTATCATTGGACAGGAAGCATTTGCATTATTATCGGTTTTATACAATTTACAGAGATGTAAAGTAGCTCAAACTTATGGAATACAGAGATAATTCAGAGGAAATTTAATATTCAAAAGAGTACTTTTTGCCATTTCAAAGTCTTTCACAGTATCTCATGACACCCCAGTATACCTCAATAGGCATTCCATTTAGCAAGAGGCATGTGACCCCATTCTCATACTGTACACTCTATTACATTGTAACAAAAGAAGAGATTTTTCCTAACTTTCTAGTCTCATAATATCTTTAGTGATATAGCTCTCCTAATTTTGTTTGAATCCCCTTATTCCTAGAACCGAACTACAAGCCATGGATGTTAGACCAACATAGTGTAAGTTCATCATATGGTACTCAAAGTCACCTCTCCTTACCACAATATAAGTAACTAAATGACATATCTTATTTTTTATATACCCTATATAGGCTATTTATATTCTTTATTATGTTCTGTGTTGACACTTAACAGTTCTTTATTTTGCAGCATTTGTTTATGAAATTCCTTTCAGATACACTCTATGTTCCACTTACATTTTACAGTGGCCACATTCATCTGATTCCATTCTTTTGTTCATTGAACATTCTTTATTTAAAAAAAATTCAACATTAGTATCATGAGCTGGTATTCTGAACATGTACTGGCATAAATTTAACAACTTTGAGAATTGCTTTTCAAATTTGATTTGTTGAAACACATAATGGATATCTTTCATAATGGAACTTCCTTTATTTTCTTTTTCAGGATTACATTAATTCTCTTGATGAACAACCTTTTAAATTGTTGTCTGCTAATAAAAATAGAACATTGTCATCAAATTTTAATCCCTCTTTTCTCAACATACACATAATGATACTCCTGGTTTCCATACTGGAAGAATATTTAATAACATTAACATAAAAGAATTGGATTCAATTGAATTTGGCTTCAAATGATAGTCATGACAATCACCATAAATACCCACTTCAGCTCAGAATGTCCTGTGCACAGGTAATATTTCTTTTAAGAACCTTGATATATACAAGAGTGAAGTTTTTGTAATTTATCTCTTTAACATATTGAACAAGTTCTCCCAAGCAATGGAATATGTCAATAACAGTGTTTGCACTTCTTTCAATTTACATAATTCTGTTGCTAAGGAGACACTGAATATGACAAACAAGAAATAAATAGGCCTCACAATAAATTATTTAAAATGTCAAGAGGAATTTTTGAGATTATTCCATCAGAATGAAATATTATTTCAATACATCAAATAAAAAGAGAAATCTCTCAACTCGATTTGATGAGAAGAGCCAATGGTTTTAAGATATGAAAGAACTGAAAAACCCTAACCTCCAAATGTTTTACAGAAGTTTTACCAAATTTTTTCAAAAGCTTATCTTATGCAGGTTGTCTTATAAAACTTGTTACCCAGATCATTTCATAGGCTAATCTGTAACATTACTTTCAAAATTTAATAATACAAGAAAATCACTTAGAGACATAAATTCAAGTGTATGAATAAGATATTAGTTAAGAAAATACAACAATATATTTCTAAAATCACATTCAATTAGGCTATATATCAGGAATGAAAGGCTGGTGCAACATAAGCAAATGTATAAATATACTTCAAAATAACAGATTAAAGAAGAAAATTACATATTCTTTCCGTAGATAAAAGACTATATTTTAAAGCATAAATATCAATTTAAGAATTTAATATGTTTTAGCAAACAGAAAACTTCCTTAGCTACTTAACCCTTATAAAACAAAAGTTGAAAGATGGTTAATACTGTGATGGTTAATACTGAATGTCAACTCGAATGGATTGAAGGATGCAAAAAACCTCCCAGCCTACATCTTTCTGCTGTGCTGGATGCTTCCTGCCCTCGAACATTGGACTGGAAGTTCTTCAGTTTTGGTACTCAGACTAGCTCTCCATGCTTCTCAGCTTGCAGACAGCCTATTGTGGAACCTTGTGATCTTGTGAGTTAATACTTAATAAACTCTCTATTATGTATATATATCCATCCTATTAGTTGAGTCCCTCTAGAGAACCCTGACAGATTTTTGTAGCTGGAGTGGTTCTAAAGGAACAGAATATTAAGGATGGAGTTCTTTCATTGGTTTTGGGGTTTCTGGAGTTGGCTGCTTAATATGATTAGACCCAAAAATGCTAAGGACTTTACTTCTAATAGTATGGAAAATACTGATATTCCTTGCATGAACTGTTTAGAGAATTATACAAAATAAACACATTTGCCAGTCCTGATTGATTGTAGTGACTTTATACATAATACCTTTCACCATATGTGGAGAACCAACGAACTTAATGAAGCTGGTTGGTTGCTCCGAAGTTCACTGGACAAAGTGATGAGAGAAAATGATAAACTCAGGCATTCTATCTCCCAGCTTCAAGAGCAAATGCTGAGCCTCAAATCTGCTAAGATTGCCCTGAGTGAGTCTTATCTCCTGTAGAGAAGGAGTCGAAATTGTGGAAAAACAGACATATGCTCTTATTATGCGAGTGGCTGACCTGCAATGAAAGGTGCACGCATAGCCTCACCAAGTGTCTACTGTTAAACTGAGGGTATTGATTGGAAACCCTGCAACTTGGAATGGGGATGTGTGGGAGGACCCTGATGAGGCTGGGGTCACTGAGCTTGTAAACTCTGATGAACCTTTTTTTGCCAGAAAAAAACAGCTTCCCCATCCCCAAGTAGTGGCAACATCCCCATCCCAGTGCTGCCATCAGCCTTTCTGCTTTTCTCTGAGGAGATAAACCCTGTGCTGCCTATGGCAACAGTGATGGCCTCCCTGAAGCAGTTGCCAGGCAAGATAATGTTGATTCTCCTCACAAGCCACTCCCAACACCTCTGTTTGCTTCTAGACCTATAACTAAAGTCCTGTTGGGCCCCTAGAGATGAGGGGGAGAGTGTGACCCATGAGGAGGTGTGCTACACTGGAAAATAAGTGCTTGAGTTTTTAATTTATATAAGCAGAAATCTAGAGAACAGGCATGGGAATGGATATTAAGGGTGTGGGATAATGGTGGCAGGATCACAGAATTGGATCAAGTTGAATTTATTGATTTGGGCCCACTAAGCAGACACTCTGCATTTAATGTTGCAGCTCAGGGAGTTAAAAAAGAGTCTAATAGTTTATCTGCTTGGTTAGTTGAAATATGGATTAAAAGATGGCCCACTGTGAGCGAGCTGGAAATGCCTGCTTCCCCTTGGTTTAATGGAGAGGAAGAGATCCAAAGACTTGAGGAGATTGGGATGATGGAGTGGAATAGTCACTTTAGACTTATTCATCTCAGCTGGGAGGGTCTAGAAGATGTACCCTTGACCAATGCCTTGCCAAAAGATTTGTGAGGACAGCCCCTGTATCTTTAAAGAGCCCTGTAATTGCTCTTCTCTGTATGTCAGATCTAACAGCGAGAATCTCAGTCACTGAACTACAAAATTTAAATACAATGAGAATAATTGGATCCTGAGGTGGCAGGCGCCAAGTGGTGGCACTCAACCATCAAAGGAAAGGTGGGCATAGCTACCTTAATGGACAGCAGAGGCAAAGCAGCAATCAGAATAGTCTGACTTACGTAGAGCTCTGGCATTAGTTAATCACGGTGTTCCTAGAAGTGAAATTGACAGAAAGCCTACTACATTCCTACTTAAATCATATAACCAGAAAACTTCTAGGTCAAATGGACAAAAGACAAATTTGAATTATAAAAACAGAGAATGACAGGCCCTCAGTTTCTGGACTTGAGCCAGTTTACAGACCCAGAAATGCTTGAATGAAGGGGAAGCCAGTTGTCTTGAGGAAGGACCCCACTACACTACCAATAATTTATGCTGTTAATCTTTCTCCCAACCTTCCCCATGGAGACCTCTAGCCTTTTACTAGGGTATCTGTGCAATGGGCAAAGGGAAATGATCAGACATTTCAGGGACTACTGGACACTGGCTCTGAGCTGACGTTAATTCCAGGGGGACCCAAAACATAATTGTGTTCCTCCAGTGAAAGTAGGGGCTTACAGAGGTCAGGTAATTAATGCAGTTTTAGCTCTGGTCTGACTTACAGTGGGTCCACTGGGTCCCCAGACTCATCCTGTGGTCATTTCCCCAGTGCCAGAATGCATAATTGGCATAGACATCCTTCGCAGCTGGCAGAACCCCCACATTGGCTCCCTGACTTGTAGGGTGAGAGCTGTTATGGTGGGAAAGGCCAAATGGAAGCCATTAGAGATGCCTCTACCTAGAAATATAGTAAATAAAAAACAATGTTGCATCCCCAGAGGGATTGTGGAGATCAGTGCCACCATCAAGGACTTGAAAGATGAAGGGGTGGTGAAAGATGTGGGGGTGGTGATTCCCACCACATCCCTGTTCAACTCTCCCGTTTGGCCTGTGCAGAAGACAGATGCATCTTGGAGAATGACAGTGGATTATCATAAGCTTAACTACGTGGTAACTCCAATTGCAGCTGCTGTACCAGATTTGGTTTCATTGCTTGAGCAAATTAACACATCTCCTTGGACCTGGCATGCAGCCATTGACTTGGCAAATGCCTTTTTCTCCATTCCTGTCCATAAGGCCTACCAGAAGCAATTTGCCTTCAGCTGGCAAGGCCAGAAATATACCTTCACTGTCCTACCTCAGGGGTATATAAACTCTCTGGCTTTGTGTCATAATCTTATTCAGAGAGACCTTGATTGCTTCTCACTTCCGCAATATATCACACTGGTCCTTTACATTGATGGCGTTATGTTGACTGGATCCAGTGAGCAAGAAGTAGCAAACACACTAGACTTACTGGTAAGACATTTGTGTGCCAGAGGATGGGAAATAAATCCAACTAAAATTCAGGGACTTTTTACCTCAGTAAAATTTCTAGGGGTCCAATGGTGTGGAGCCTGTCGAGATATTCCTTCCAAGGTGAAGGACAAGTTGCTGCATTTGGCCCCTCCTACAATCAAGGAAGAGGCATGACGCCTAGTGAGCCTATTTGGATTTTGGAGGCAACACATTCCTCATTTGGATGTGTTTCTCTGGCTTATTGAGTCACCCAAGAGGCTGCCAGTTTTGAGTGGGGTCCAGAATGGGAGAAGGCTCTGCAACAGGTCCAGGCTGCTGTGCAAGCTGCTCTGCCACTTGGGCCATATGACCCAGAAGATCCAATGGTGCCTGAGGTGTCAGTGGCAGATAGGGGTGCTGTTTGGAGTCTTTGACAAGTCCGCATAGGTGAATCACAGCAGAGGCCTCTAGGATATTGGAGCAGAGCCCTGCCATCTTCTGCAGTTAACTACTCTCCTTTTGAGAGTCAGCTCTTTGCCTGTTACTGGGCTTTCATGGAAACTGAATATTTGACTACAAGTCATCAAGTCACCATGCAACCTGAACTGCCTGTCATGAACTGGGTGCTTTCTGACCCATCCAGCCATGAAGAGGGTCATGCATAGCAACAAAATCTGATCGGGCTCGAGCAAGTCCTGAAGGCACAAGTAAGTTACACGAGGAAGTGGCTCAAATGCCCATGGTCTCCACTCCTGCCACCCTGCCTTCTCTCCTCCAGCCTGCACCAAAGGCCTCATGGGGGAGTTCCCTATGATTAGTTGACTGAGGAAGAGAAGACTAGAACCTGATTCAATGAGGGTTCTGCACAACATGCAGGCACCACTCAAAAGTGGACAACTGCAGCACTACAGCCACTTTCCAGGACATCCCTGAAGGACAGCGGTGAAGGGAAATCTTCCCAGTGGGCAGAATTCCAAGCAGTGCACCTGGCTGTGCCCTTTTCATGGAAGGAGAAATGGTCAAATATACTATTATATACTGATTCACAGGTTGTAGCCAATGGTTTGGCTGGATGGTCAGGGACTTGGACGAAGTATGATTGGAAAATTAGTGACAAAGATATCTGGGGAAGAGCTATGTGGATAGATCTGAGTGGTCAAAAATTGTGAAGATATTTGTATCTTATGTGAGTGCTCACCAGTGGGTCACCTCAGTAGAGGAGGATTTTAATAATCAAGTGAATAGGATGACCCTATTCACTCAGCTTCTGTCCACAGCCATCCCTGTCATCACCCAATGGGCTCATAAGCAAAGTGGCCATGGTGGCAGGGATGGAGGTTATGCATGGGTTCAGCAACATGGACTTCCACTCACCAAGGCTCTCCTGGCTATGGCCACAGCTGAGTGCCCAATTTGCCAGCAGCGAGACTAACACTGAGCCCTTGATACGGCACCATTCCTTGGGGTGATCAGCCAGCTACCTGGTGGCAGGTTGATTATATTGGACCTCTTCCATCATGGAAAGGGCAGTGGTTTGTCCTCACTGGAACAGACACTCCAGATACAGGTTTGCCTATCTTGCATGCAATACTTCTGCCAAGACTACCACCCATGGACTCATGGAATTCCTTATCCACCATCATGGTATTCCACACAGCATTGCCTCTGACCAAGACACTCCCCTTATGGCTAATGAAGTGCGGCAGTAGGCTCATGCTCATGGAATTCACTGGTCTTACCATGTTCCCCATCATCCTGAAGCAACTGGATAGAATGGTGGAATGGCCTTTTGAAGTCACAATTACAAAGCTGACTAGGTGACAATGCTTTGCAGGGCTGGGGCAAAGTTTTACAGAAGGTCGTGTATGCCTTGAATCAGCATCCAATATATGGTACTGATTCTCCCATAGCCAGGATTCATGGGTCAAGGAATAAAGGAAGTGGAAGTGGTACCACTCGCCATCACCACTAGCGATTCACTAGCAAAATCTTTGCTTCCTTTTCCCACAACGTTACGTTCTGCTGGCTTTGAAGTATTAGTTCCAGAAGGAGGAGCATTGCCAACATGAGACACAACACCAATTCCATCAAGTTGGAAGTTAAGATTGCCACCTGGACACTTTGGCCTCCTTCCACCTTTAAGTCAAAAGGCTAAGAAGGGAGTTAGAGCATTGGCTGGGGTGATTGACTCAGACTATCAAGATGAAATCAGTCTACTACTCCACAATGGAGGTAAGGAAGAGTATGTGTGGAATACAGGATACCCTTTAGGGCATCTCTTAGTATTATTGCCATGTCCTGTGATTAAGGTCAACGGGAAATGACAATAGCCCAATCCAGGCAGAACAACAAATGGCCCAGACCCTTTAGGGATGAAGGTTTGGGACACTCCAAAAGGGGGGGAAAAAAAAAACACTACCTGCTGAGGTGCTCGCTGAAGGCAAAGGGAACTCAAATGGGTAGTAGAAGAATGTAGTCATCAATACGAGTTACAATCACGTGACCAATTGCAGAAACAAAGACTAATTGTCATGAGTATTTCCTCCTTCTTTTGTTAAAAACATGTTTGTGCATGTATATGCTTGTACTAAGAAAATATCTTAATTTTATTTATCACATGACATAAAATTTATTGACATCGTATCAGCATTTAGGTATTAACTTTCTCTAATAGTATTTGGGTGGGGCATAGGTGTGCGTTTCTGGTCGTATGAAGGATATTTGTATTCTGCTAGGTGTAATTATGACCTTATTATTATCTTTATTAGAATATTATGTATGATCTCAGGAGATGTGTACAGGTTCAAGTTAACAAGGGGTTGACTTGTAATGGTTAATAATGAGTGTCAACTTGATTGGATTGAAGGATGCAAAGTATTGGTCCTGGGTGTGTCTGTGAGGGTGTTGCCAAAGGAGATTAACATTTGAGTCCCTGGGCTGGGAAACGTAGACCCACCCTTAATCTGGGTGGGCACCATCTAATCAGCTGCCAGCACAGCTAGAATATAAAGCAATCAGAAAAATGTGAAAAGACTGGACCGGCTTAGCCTTGCAGCCTACATCTTTTTCCTGTGCTGGATGCTTCCTGCCCTCAAACATTAGACTCCAAGTTCTTCAATTTTGGAACTTGGACTGGCTCTCCTTGCTCGTCAGCTTGCAGATGGCCTATTGTGGGACACTGTGATCATGTGAACTAATAGTTAATAAACTCCCTGTATTAGTCAATTTTTACCCTGCTGATAAAGAAGTACCTGAAACTGGGCAATTTACAAAAGAAAAGTTTAACTGGACTTACAGTTCCACATGGCTGAGTGGAAGACAAAGAAGAGCAAGTCACCTCTTATATGGGTGAGAGCAGGCAAAGAGAGAGAGATTGTGCAGGGGAACTCCTCTTTTTGAAACCCTCAGATCTTGTGAGACATTTACTATTATGAGAAGAGCATGGGGAAGATGTGCCCTCATGATTCAATTACCTCCCACTGGGTCCCTTCCACAACACATGGGAATGCAAGAGGAGATTTGGGTGGGGACACATATTCCACCCCGGCCCCTCCCAAATCTCACATCCTCACTTTCAAAACCAATCATGCCTTCCCAACAGTCCCCCAAAGTCTTTACTCATTTCAGCACTAATCAAAAGCCCACAGTCCAAAGTCTTATCCAAGACAAAGCCAGTCCCTTCCACCTATGAGCCTGTAAAATCAGAAGTTGGATAGTTACTTTCTAGATAGAGTGGGGTTACAGGCATTGGATAAATACAGCCATTCCAAATGGGAGAAATTGGCCAAAACAAAGGGACTACATGCCCCATTCAAGTATAAAATCCAGCAGGGCAGTCAAATGTTAAAGCTCCAAAATGATCTCCCCTTTGAATCCATGTCTCACATCCAGGTCATGCTGATGCAAGAGGTGGGTTCCCATGGTCTTGGGCAGCTCGACCCCTGTGGCCTGCAGAGTACAGCCTCCCTCTCAGCTGCTTTCATGGCCTAGCAATTGAGCATCTGTTGCCTTTTCAGGCAAACAGTGCAAGCTGTTGGTGGTTCTACCATTCTGGGGTCTGGAGGATGGTGGCCCTTTTCTCACAGCTCCACTAGGCAGTGTCCCAGCAGGGACTTTGTGTGGGGGCAGAGCCCCCACATTTCCCTTCCACGCTGCCCTAGCAGAGGTCCTCCCTGACTGCCCCAGGCCCATCAAACTTCTTCTTGGACACTGAGGTCATTCCATACATCTTCTGTACCTAGGCGGATGTTCCCAAATCCCAATTCTTCACTTCTGTGCACTCACAGGCTCAATACCATGTGAAAGCTGCCAAGGCTTGAGGCTTACACCCTAGAAGCCACGGCCCGAGCTCTACATTGGCCCCTTTCAGATTGGCTGGAGCTGCTGGGACACAGGGCACCAAGTCTCTAAACCACACACAGCACAGGGATCCTTGGCTGGGCCCACAAAACCATTTTCTTCTAGGTCTCTGTGCCTGTGATGGGAGGGGCTGCTGTGAAGACCTCTGACATGCCCTGGAGACATTTTCCCCATTGTCTTGGGGATTAGCAATGGCTCCTCATTACTTATGCAAATTTCTGCAGCTGGCTTGAATTTCTCCTCAGAAAATGGGTTTTTCTTTTCTATTACATTGTCAGGCTGCAAATTTTCCCAACTTTTATCCTCTGCTTCCCTTATAAAACTGAATGCCTTTAACAGCACCCAAGTCACCTCTTGAATGCTTTGCTGCTTAGAAATTTCTTCTGCCAGATACCCTAAATCATCTCTCTCAACTTGACAGTTCCAGAAATCTCTAGGGCAGGGGAAAAATGCTGCCAGTCTCTTTGCTAAAATAAAACAAGAGTCACCTTTACTCCAGTTCCCAACATGTTCCTCATCTTCATCTGAGACCACCTCAGCCTGGACCTCATTGTCCATATCACTATCAGGTTTTTGGTCAAAGCCATTCAACAAGTCTCTAGGGAGTTCCAAACTTTCCCACATTTTCTGTCTTCTTCTGAGCCCTCCAAACAATTCTAACCTCTGTTACCCAGTTCCAAAGTTACTTCCACATTTTGGGGTATCTTTTTAGCAATGCCTTACTCCTGGTACCAACTTACTGTATTAGTCCTTTTTCATGCTGCTGATAAACACATAGCTGAGGCTCGGCAATACACAAAAGAAAGTGGTTTAATTGGACTTACAGTTCCACTCCCATATATATATATATGTATGTATGTCTTATGATTTCTGTCTCTCTAGAGAACCCTAATACATACCCATTTTAGGTTGAACTACAAGAAAAAGAATATGTATTTTAGATAAATATATTAAATTTACTTTAATCCCCTCCTGAAATTTGGTTGGAAGTTTATTTATATACTAATTTTGAGCAAAATGGTATCTTCATAATATTAAGACATTCCAACTAAGAGCATGGATAACCCATTTATTTTATACACTTTAAGAAAGTATAATCTTTTACTATGTAGAAATATTGTGATTTTATTAATTTCTATATATTTTATAAATTATATTGCTGCTATTAATGTTTTTCTTAATTGTATTTTTTCTGGCTGATCGTTGTTGCTATAAAGTTTTTGTAAGTTGATGTTATACTCAGCAACTGTCATAGTTTGCTATTTACTTTTTTAGCTTTTTGACTGGGAGGATAACATTATCTATAAATTAAAACAACTTTATTTCTTCTTTTTAAATTCATACATCTATTATTTCTTACTTATTAGCGCTGGTCAGAACTATCCGTACTATTTTTTGTTCATTAGCTTTTGAGGACCAATTTGGCAATATCATTTTTTAAATAACAGCTTTACTAAGATATAATTCACATACCATATGATTTCACACTTAAAGTATACAATTGAATGGTTCCAAATAGATTCTCAATTGTGCAAATGTCACTCCAATTAAAATGATTAATTTGACGACTTCACAATTAAGAACTTTGGTTTTAAAAAGGACAACATGGACAAAGTTAAAAAGCCAATAGACTGAGAAAAGATATTTCAAATACTATATTTAAAGACATAAGTAAACTAATATAGAAACAAGGGGCTGGGTGAGGTGGCTCACACCTGTAATCCCAGCACTTTTGGGGGCCAAAGTGGGTGGATCGCCTGAGGTCAGGAGTTCGAGACTAGCCTGGCCAACGTGGTGAAACCCCATCTCTACTAAAAATAGAGCAGGCATGGCGGTGCATGCTTGTAATCCCAGCTACTTGAGCGGCTAAGGCAGAAGAATCGCTAGAATCCAGGATGCAGAGGCTGCAGTGAGCCAAGATCACACCTCTTCACTCCAGCCTGGGCAACAAAGCAAGATTCCATCTCAAAAAAGAAAAAAAAAAAAAAGATTTTCTGCAAATCATTAAGAGACAAGAATCCAAATAGAAAACTAATTCTACACAAAATATATTAAGCATGTCACCAAAGGAAATATAAAAAGACTGAGCAATATATGAAATGATTATCAAACCTATTTGTGACTAGACAAATTTAAAAAAAAGCCAGAGAGATATAATTCTATTCCCATCAGATTACTTAAACCTAGAAAGTTGTATAATAGGAGCCCTTCTCATTGTTGCTCGTGAGGGTATAGACTGGTGCAATCATTCTGCAGATATATCTGGTAGTGCTCTGTAAAAATAAGTATATTTAGTGCTAGGATTCTGCATATATTCCCAGATAAGTTCTCACACAAATTCAGTAGGGAACATATCATTAATGAGAAACAGGTGCAGGCAATCCAGTGTCCATCCCTAAGAAGAATGAATACATAAATAAAATGTCATAGAATACTATGCAGCAATTAGGAGCAATGAGCTACATAAATACACAGCAACATGGACATATCCTCAAACCAGAGATTTTACCAAAACAGTGAAAAACAATGAGATCTATGGTCTAACATCATTTCACTAAATGTAATTGCCTCCACACGGAATAATAATACTAATTATAGATAAACACATGTAATAAAAGAATCTGTCTGAAATGCATTATAATGACTGCCTATGAATAAAAATGGAGTAGACAGAGTAAAGGAAAATGAGAATGGGGAAAATGAACAAAAGGAAAAAATAGATAAGATATATGGTGCCAAAACTGCTAAAGAGAGTGTGCCATGATATGAGTAATATATTAACACCCAGATCCTGAAGTTCAGAGAGAAGGACTGCATCGTTTCTCTAAGGTTCCACAGCCTGTAAGAGGCAAAGAAAATCTTGACCTCGGATCTTCTGAACCCAAGCCAATTCCTCTATTACCTAGTAACAGCAATGATTGTAAGAACATATCTCACTTGACACAATAATCTAGTGGGTTAAACATGGTGGATCTTATTATCTCCATCTTACTACTTAACAGACCATGACTATCATTATACAACCAGTCCTACAGTTAATAGTTGGTACATCTTGAACTTGAAATATGGGGCATCTGTTTCCATGGGGCACTCTTTCCACTATATCATCATTCTTTCAGTAAGTTATGGTCTCATATCACATAATTATCTCCTTTGAGGGTTATTTTAGAATAAATGTGGTTTTAGTTCAACACTATTTGTTGAATAATTGGTAGCAAGGATACATAAATTTTTAATAGTTTTTTTCTTCCAAATGTATTTTAGGTTCAAGAGAGTACATGTCCAGGTTAACATTAAAATGCATTTTGTTTTGTTTTCTCAGATAAGGATCTCTAATAATTCAGACAAAGAAGACAGAAAATCTTTCTACTTTGCTTATGGACAAATATGTCCTAGACTTACAACACCAGAATTTCTGCTTTCTAAATGTAAATAGTTTAAGGCAGTGATACTAAGGCAATGTAAATTGGGCAGAAAAAAAGTTATTAAAAAGGCAAAACAACAATGATAATGTTATAAAAACTTTATCTCTGCACCTTTGAGACTTCACCGACCTTGTTTGTTTTCCTCCTAGAGGCCAGTTTGGGCGATTTTTCAGAACAAATAAAAAAATCAGGAAATGTACAAGATATTTAGAAGTTAAAAAATGTGTTTCCAAAAAAAACACAAAAAATACTAAATGCAGGGCATAATAACGAATTAGAAAAATACCATCATGGGCACTGGAAGACTGAGAAAATTGTTGCATGCCTGGAAAAATCTGAATAGGCACCATGTAACAGAACAAGATATTCTAGGAAAACATCCTTGTTCTTTGAGATATATGCAAATTGTTTAGGAATGGAATGTCAAGGGAAAGTTAACAAAGCTATAAAAATACAAACAAATCATGAGCTTAGATGAAGTGTATGCAGGAATTAATGGAATTATTCTTGTAACTTTTCTGGAGGGTTAGAAATTATATAATGTGAACATAATAAGTTATTACATAAAATATTTTAAGTGTCAGCTTAATGCAATAGTCATTAAAGAAGTATTTTTATGGTTTCTTTGGACTCCATTAATCCACTAATCTAGAACAATCCCACTCCTCTTTTTTTTCAGTCCTTCATGATACTAACAGTACATTGTGCAGAATGTCTCTCAATTTGATTGTTTTTACAATGTTTTACACAAATAAAAAAATCTTTGCATTAATATTGCCAATTCATATTACATCATTTTTATTGCACAAGAGGCCATATGATATAAGCTTGTGTCAGCATTAGTAATACTGCATTTTAGCTTTTATTTCAGGTGCTGTTTAACATACTTATTCCCTGTGAAGGTACCTCTTATTTATATATATAGGTATAAGCTGGGTGACATAAAGGGACTATATAACAAACAGGTTTCTAAATTTTTTCTCCAATAATTTTAACATTCATTGATAATTCCTGCTGGAATTGATTATTACCACAGTGGTTGTGAAAAGATTTTTTCTAGTATTTATTTACTTGTTAGTTTGTATTCTTGTGTAAAGAGGGCTTTACTGCCCCCTTTCATTTTTAATTTTTGTGAAGAAATTTTCAGATATTTTCTATATATATATTAAATGCAAGGTTATGATTTGTTTAAATAGATAACTCTCCTATAAAGAAAACAGGAAAAGAAAGATTTGAATATTTTCCCACCCTATTACATTTTTTATTATTTTCCTACAGCCTCTTATTGTTAAGTTTCATGGTTATATGTTACATGTATTTACTCTCCAAGAAGATACAAGCTCTTTTAGAGATCATCTTACATGTCTACATTGCTTGCTAAGAATTGTCATAAGGCATAAACAGTGCTCCAAAAATATCTATTGAATGAATTAATTTTCAAACATATTTGATGATTAAATGAATTTATAATGTCTTAAAAATTCCTACAACAGTAGTTTTTTTAATCTTTTACTTTTGCATTTATAATAATAATAAATTTACTTAAATTCTAAATAAATGCAAAAGGAAAAAATAAAAAGCGGTGAAGAAATTAGTCTTACAGAAATTAATGTTTTGCCAACTAAGAAAGTTACATGTATTTAAAGAAGATTCTTTACAAAAATATCAAATGCTCGATTCATAGATATAAGACAATGGAAGAAGGAAAAAAAGAAATATTCAAGAGAAACTTAAATTCTAGTATTAGAAAATACAACGTATACAGCAAATTGTGCTTCTACATTGAAAAATATAAACTGCTTCTCAGGCTAAATTATGTAATGTTAATAATAACAAGGAAAAATGTATTTGAATCTGCATTTGTCCTATAAAATCCAATAAAAGAAAAAATATACAAGTATCATATAAGAAGCCCAAAGTAGATGAAACTAGACTAATAGTAACTCTAAATATGCAACAATATGGACAAAACCAGAGGACATTATGTTGAGTGAAATAAGCCAGGCATAGAAAGACAAATGTCACATATTCTTACTTATAGTGGGAGCTAAAATAGTGATTTCATGGAGGTAGTGAACAGAATGGTGTTACTAGAGGGTAGGAGGGCAGAGCGGGATAAAGAGGGGTTGGTTAATGGGTACACAAGTACAGTTAGAGAGAAGGAAGAAGACCTAGTGTTTGGTAACACAATAGGGCGACTATAGTTAACAATAATTTATTGCATCTTTCAAAATAACTAAATGAGTAGATTCTAAGTGTTCCTAGAACAAAGATATAATAAATGTTTGAAGTGATGGATATTCCAATTACCCAAATTTGATCATTACACATTGTATGCTCATACTGAAATATAATATGTACAACATAAATATGTACAACTATTATGTATCTATAAAAATTGTAAAATATTCTAGTAGCATCCTGAATTCTATATCCTTACCCTCTTGGCATGGAATGAACCAACAATTAAGGACCACTGTGTCTAGATGCAGATAATACATTACCTCAGGGTATTATTAGAAATTACACATAAAATAATAACATTAAACAAAAAAGTTATAAAGAAAATCCGAGCATATTATATATGTTAATCAATCCTCACAATACAGCCAGAGATACATATAGTTACTACTTATATTTCACAGTTGAAAAAAAGTAAGATTTTTTGTAAAATGACTTGCCTTAAATCACACATAAAGTTGGAGGAAGTCAGTGTTGAAAGTTAACCACTGCCTTCATTATCAATAATAATATCAATTGTTTACATCTTAATGATGAAAATGCAAAACACTATACCAATGTACAGATGTGGGGTGTCTGCATGTGTGTGTGTGTATGTGCAAGAGTCTTTCAGTAGGGACAATTTGATAGTAACTAGCATGTATTGGATGATTCAAATAAACTAAGAAAGGCTAGCTGAGGATCTTAGAGTGAGAAACAGGATATAAGTAAAGACATGGGGAGAAGAATTAACTAAAATTGAGAAAAGGAGGGGAAAGCTGATTCTTGAGTAAGAAGTATGGATGGGATGTTGGGTAATGACAGCAACTAAGTAGGAGTTGACTCAAAATTTGGGTAAGAGAGGCAGCCAAATGCTAGCAAGGCTAGGGGATCACATTTTTACACTTAATGGGGGTCATTCTTCTCCTAGATGAAGATCACAGGTTCAGATATAAAAATAAGAGACTGCCCTCCATATCACACTGTGGCACAACGCTACTGAGTTGCCTCGACAACTTCAAACCAGCATTGCAAGTTTTGGATGAAAGTTGTTTTCTTATGTTTCTAATAATGTTATTTATCAAAATAAGATAGAAATGTAAGGAACTTCAAAGTTTTTTTCTATCTATCGTGCACGTGTAGTATTCATTAACAAGATGCTGTCTGGTTAAGTATGTGCTAAGGACATTAAAGATCTTAACACCTGCAAAAATGTTTAATAAATTACTATAAACCTTGATGGAATCACCTGGCACTTTTCCTAATTCAGAGGTAATCTCAAAAATAATTTGATCATATCATCACTTAAGCTGTTATGTGTAAGACGTTATTAGTTGGTAATAAAAACAATTGAATGATAATTATTGTGAGGACAGACAATATACCAATCTTTAGCAGCAAACAAATGATATGCCTCTCTCATTGAAACACCTGAACCTAGTTTTCTGAATCTCCAGAGACCAAACAAAAATAGTGATGTTTTTAATTGTCCTGACTTTAATACACATTAAAGAAGAATGTGCTCCAGAAGCATATACAGAATTTGTGAATTTCAAAGTCATGACCCAGCCATCCCATTACTGGGTATATACCCAAATGACTATAAATCATGCTGCTATAAAGACACATGCACACATATGTTTATTGCGGCACTATTCACAATAGCAAAGACTTGGAACCAACCCAAATGTCCAACAATGATAGACTGGATTAAGAAAATGTGGTACATATACACCATGGAATACTATGCAGCCATAAAAAATGATGAGTTCATGTCCTTTGTAGGGACATGGATGAAATTGGAAATCATCATTCGCAGTCAATTATCGCAAGAACAAAAAAACCAAACACCGCATATTCTCACTCATAGGTGGGAATTGAACAATGAGATCACATGGACACAGGAAGGGGAATATCACACTGTGGGGACTGTGGTGGGGTGGGGGGAGTGGGGAGGGATAGCATTGGGAGATATACCTAATGCTAGATGACGAGTTAGTGGGTGCAGCGCACCAGCATGGCACATGTATACATATGTAACTAACCTGCACAATGTGCACATGTACCCTAAAACTTAGAGTATAATAAAAAAATAAATAAAATAAAATAAAATAAAATAAAGAAAAAAAAAAGAAAATTCATTTTATATTGAGAGACCATGGCTTTTCTAGAAAAGAAAAACAAAGTAAAGTGTAATCCTTATAAACCCTGGAAATTTTGACTTTACTCCTTTTTATTATTAGTACATTATCTAAATCTCATACAATTTTACATTATTTTAGATTATCTAAAATCAGTGTATTTGTAGTTTTCTGTCACTCCCCAAACAAATTACCTTATACTAACACACACACGCACACGATGAAAAGCAATATGGATAACATAATCCATTACAGTAATGCTATTAAATATTTTTAATATGCCAGAAGTTTAAAAAAATATGCAATAAATTAGTGTGTTGGAGCAGAAGGAAAAGGAAACTTTTCACTTTTACCTTCTTAATTTTACAATTCCAAATGAAGACTTAATAAAATAAAATGAATGTAAAATGTCATTACTCAGCACATTTCTAAAACATGTCTCAACTCTCATCTGAGTGCAATTAAAAATGCCATTTTAACTTAAAATTATAAAATATTCATTTGTAAATGTCTATTTTAAACTAATCCCTCTGATAATTAGAGGCCTTTACTTTTCTGTTCTATAAATCTTTCAGATTCCAGATTATCCAAAGTTATTTTAAGTCAGCATAATATAAATCCTCTCAATTAAAAAAAATAAAGACTATAATATGCTATTCTTTAGGATTTTATTCTTGAACTTTCTGAGTAGGCCAAATATCTCAGATCTGTCAGAACTAGAGATTCAGAGAGCTATAATTAGTCTCTTCATTTTCTCCTTTCCTTTTAAATTCCACTCAGATAGTGCCCTTTTCACCACCACCACAGCCATCCTCATCCATGAGCAACTTATGATATATGATTTATATAATAAATCATACAAAAAAAGAGTCAATTTTTCTGCAGGCTGAACTACTGGACCAAAATCAAGTCTACACTAGTATGGTGAAGTAGAGCACAATTTTAATTACTCAAATCATGTGGTGTATTCTTTTAGTGAACATACATTTTACTAAAATATTTAGATGACTGAATCAGAAGTGGTATTGTTGTATAAAATGCCTGAAAATAGCATACATTACTTGCTTGTCTTACTAATGGAAAGGTGTCCTGTCTTACCCCAATCCTTAGTTCTTCATCTATAAGAATTAACCTCATTTCATACTGCTTATTTTACCTTAAGAAGACCTCATGATACCATCAGTATTTTATTTCTGTTACAAATATAATTATTATTTATTTGGTTTATGTTTTCCAACCAGAAGGTACTAAAAAACAGACAACAACGATAGCAAAAAGAGAAAAGTAGATGAATCTGTAATAGTTATAGTGAAAATATCCTGAGGGAAGAATCACATGATAGTTCTTTTGTGGCATTGTTAGAATTATTTTTCAAAGAACTAAGACATAGAGATTTCTGTCACGAGTGCATTCTAAATATATTTTATGAAAAAATATTTAAGCAAAAGACTAAGGGATTTTATTGCATTGAATAAAAAGCTTGGTTTAAAAAGCTAATACCACACTATAGATGCGTTATTAAAATTTCCTCAAACACATTTTTTTTTACGCTTTGCTTCCTTTATCTTTGCAACGTACGTGTTATAACCTACTAGGTATAAAATGTAGTCCATCTGTTAGAGTCCTTTGGGAAGTTTCTGTAGTCTAATGTTTGGAACATGCTAACTCATCACCATACAAGAAAATATGACACATTTAGTGCATTATTTCTCTGGGGACTGTATTGTCTCTTGACAAGGGGTTACAGAGAGAGACCTGAAAGGTCATTCCCATCTCCGCCTTTATGGTAACACAATGGGCAGCGGTCATGTTTCCTTTCTCAGGATAACTGGCCAGCTTACCACCAGGTACACATGCAGCCATTTTGGTATAAATAAAGGCAATAGTTGGCAACTAGATATACATGTAGTAAAATAGGAAGGTTATGAGATTCTGATAATAGGTACCATGCATTTTAAGAATTTTCAAGCATGACAGAGGTTCTTTGACTTGAACAATCATGTTAAATCGTGTGCAATTTAGAAAGACTGAAGATTAGGAAATAAAAATAACCAGAAAAGGAGTATGAATTGCTCTCAAAATTCCTGCCATTTCAAAACAAACCACAAAAGAATCCTTACGAATTTACTAACTTGAGAGTGCCAATGAGAGTAAATGGAGATTCTGACAGGGAAGAAGAAGCACACTTAGACTCATGGAGCGATTACAGGCATTACTCACTTGAAACAGAAAATTGAGCCCAGCTGCTTTGCACTGACCACTGGGGATGAGCTGGGTTTCTGTTGTCTGCAGCAATTCTTGGCAAAACTCATTGACATCTAATACATGTTTCTATGCCTAATAATTAAAAACCAACACGTTCCAAACAGTTGCACAGAGTGCGAGGTCAAAAGACCATGTTAGGACAGCTGAACTAGCTCAGCTGCATTTCCTGAGGAAAATTACTTTCATAATTAAGCTTTAAAAAGTGTAATTTGAAGAAGAATTTCCCCTCTCCCTAAGGCCTGCTCTGCTCCCGTCAAAATTCTTATAATGGGATTTTCTTGGAACAGAGACAGAATATCAACAATATCAGCAATATGACCTGGAAGCCATATTGGAAAGGAAGATACATCGGAATAGCTGTTGTTATTTTCCTTTTTATCTGTGGTCTTTCCTCTCCATTTCTATTATTTATTGCCAATCTTTCTCTTATAAGTAAAATTCATTAGAAGTGCTCACTCATTACTACTCTTATTTCCAGCAAATGCACACATCCCTTTTATTATCTGATGTGTTAATTCAATGAACAACTAAACATATTCTGCATCTATCAAGTGTTATACACTAGGGATACAAGGTTGAGAAGGGCATGGTCCTTACAGACAGGACGGAAAGCTCACAAAAGAGAAGGCACAGAGAAGTCAGCATAAGATTACAATTTCATACATTTGGTAGAATCACATATGTAATGAGGAACTCAAGGATCAGAGCATACATGTTTTGAGGGTCAGAAAAATGTTGCCTGGGAGAAGTACATTCAACACTGAGATAAGAAAAAAATGAATTGGAATTATCTGAGTGAAGCGAAGGAGGATCTTTTCTCAAGCATTTGGAAGAGTAGGTGCAAAATTCCAAAGGTGAGTAAGAATTGTTATATTCCAAGACTCATCATACTATGGTTTTGTTGCCCAGAAATCTTTATCCACACTATCTTCACTCCTGTTAAAAATACACCATTTCTCCTGGGTTGGACCCTTGGCATTCTCTGTGTCCTTTTCTTTCTAGCCTTCTCAAGGACTTCTCTTTTGCAGTTAGCCCTTATCCTTCTGTTTTATCTATTTGTCCCTCTCTTTACAATCACTTAATCCATTACATGTACTTTATAGTTCCTATCAGTAAAGAAAAACAAGAAACAAACTTCTCTTGACACCTGTGCTAAGAAGTGTGGTGTCTTATCTTGAGGCTGGTGCACAACCAGTGAAGGGTATCAAGCAACTAAATACCATGAGGTTTAACCTCCTGAAAATAGCATCCTGGCTTTTGTGTGCAAAATTGATTGCAGGAGGTGAGACAGTAAGTAAGCATACTTATCAGGAGGCTTGCTAGAAGTCTTATCTAGACAGTGGCAGTGGAAACAGAGATTAGACAGCTGGAGAGAGAGAGTAAGCAGTGACAACGGACAGAACTTCATCAAATCAATGCCATGAGAGCAGCTCCAAGCAGGGACTCAGTAAACATGGAGGTGGAGGGTAAAACTTCCCATGATCCCAAGCAACCTGCTTCCGAGCCACCCCAGCTAAACATATTCAAGTGAAAGTGTTGCACCTGCTTCACAAATACATGCTTTAAAAAGTTTATTAACCATTCTCTTCCATCCATCCAGACTTTCTAAGCCCTGGCTAAGGAAAACACGAATTCTGAAATTTCTTCTAATTGGCTCTTAAGGGTTGGGGGTGCAGGGAGTCAAGTGTGAAGTGCAGCCTTCAGTTTGGGAAACTTTGTGGATCATAATCTACACTCACCATCTAGAAGATGCTCAACAAATATGTACTGAAATTTTCTATTCAGCAAAACAGGAAGCACTAGAGAAGGTGGGACTGGATTAGATGATTGTCCAGCCTGTTAAACGTGTGAAATGGAGATGTCTGGTGACATTTTACATATAGTCATTAGACATGGGTATCTGGTGCTCAGGGAATAAATGGGTGAGAAAATTCAAGTCTTTGTAGCTGTAAAGTTTAATCTTAAAATATTGAGAAAACACACACACACACACACACACATATACAATCACCACACCATCTTGAAAGTGTTGGAAAAGACTGAGGACAAAGCTCTATGAATAATATCTACTAGGAGTGCTACTATTTATACCAACTTATCTATGTTTTAATTTAATTGTCCTCAGTTCTTACTTTAGTTGGCTGCTAACTACTTTATCACCCTGTCCTCCCTGGATAATTTCCTCAAGGATAAAGTAAAGGGATTTCAATAGAGAATTATAAGTTCTATACCACTTCCTAGCTCTAAAATTCAGAGTGTCTGATTCTCAGACCAATTTTTAAACTCCAGAGAAAATTCTACATTTAATTTCAAAGTATGTCAGCATTTCAACATGAATCACCTGACAACCCCATGAATTAAAAGTTCTACCAAAAATGGGACCATTCTTCTCAGGCAGATTTGGGGAACTCTCACAGCTGTGTTTACCCAGAAGCAGAACCTGAGATAAGGTTTTGAGCACATGGTGTTTATCTGGAGAGTAAAGTAGATACCAGTATAGGAGAAGGGAAATCAGACAAGTAAGGTGAAAGAGCTCACTGTGAATTACTAGAGATTAACCCCACTGGGGAGACACAGAGGGCCAGAGATATCCCATCTGGACGATGAAAGAGCTGGGGTCGTTATAGACCATCTCCTGTTAGCCATTTTTTGAGGATTCTACCTAAGACACATCCAGCCAGCTGCACACAAGCCAAAGTGTTTTCTACAGCCACAGAAAGTCTTCAGACAAAAAGAAGCAGGTGCAAAAGCTGGAAATCAGGTAGCAGGCACAGTCATAAGGGTGAGGGGATACAGATAAAGTCATTATCTGCTCTATGAGTTCAGTGGGAACAGACTGAATGTCTTCAAGCCCAGAACCTGAAGAACCTCATGCCCAAATAAAATGCTGGACAGTTCCTGTAAACTGAAGACACCAGTGCTGGCTAGTATGATCTCCAGACTTTCATGAATCATTACATAATCTTGTGACTTGTGCATATCTTAGCATTTACCTTTACCTTTTCATAAATGGAAATGTATAGATACAAACAATAATTAAGACAGAATTGTTATGAGCAATATCTGAAACAGTGCTATGCATTCTATTTCCTGTAAATTCATTGATGAAATCACATTGTGACATAAAATATCTTTATTTCAAATTTGCTTAACTTGTAAGGCTAGTTTGGAATAGAAACCTAGAATAGTAACTACATGTTACTTTTATTTTCCAAAATTGTGAATTTAATCATTAAGAGTAACAAGTACAAACTCTTTAGTAACTTTGCTGTTATTACTAAAACTTCTTTGTGTAGCTGGGATGGAGTAAATATTCTATTCACTTCCCCAAATCTCTTTAAGTCCTCTCAGGACAATTACACTTCACCATTTTTCAGAAATGGAAAATAAATGATAGACTGTGTTTTACTCTGAACTTCACTATTTTAATAAAATATAGTTACATGACAAGGGAATATATTTAACAATGCTTTTAAATGGATGAGTTTAAAATGAGAATAAATTCTCATTTTTATCTATGTCCTGAATGCTTAGGCTAGTGCCTTTTGAATAAGAGCTCAAAAATGGTTTATTAAAATAATGTTATTAATACTCTCAACCTCTTTCTCAATTTGGACTCTCATAGGTTTGTGTCTGTAAAACGGATGACTGACAGTGATACTTGAGCTCCAGGCAGTCCAGCAGTCTCTACAAGTATAATTAAAGAAGAGAAGATTTGCTATGTAATTCTAATATAAAACAGGGATTAGCAAGCTAGCAAGTGGCATGACCACAGCTTGTCCTAGGCAAGATTGTTTAAAAAGCCCTTGGTTTTTGCGACTGTAGACTGTAGTGAGCTAGACGGTGTCCCCTCATGTATACATACTACACACCCACACACAAACACCACACTTACATATTTTATATACATAATATACGTGTGTGTATATATGTATGTGTGTATATATGTGTATGTGTGTATGTGTATGTATATGTGTGTATATATGTATGTGTTTATGTATATGTATATGTGTGTGTATATATATTTTTATATATATTTATATATATATTTATATATATTCCACTCAGAATTTGTGAATGTGACATTATTGGGGAACAGAGGGTTGCTATGATCTGAATGTTGGTATCGCCTCTACACTTTTATGTTTGAGTCTATTCCTTAGTGTGGTAATAGTAAGCAGTGGGACCTTCAGAAATTGATTAAGTCTGTACGTGCTGATATCCTTATAAAAAAAAAAAAAGCTCAAGGGAGCTCCCCTATCCCTTACACCAAGGAAGAACACGGCAAGAAGATGCCATCTATGAGAAACAGGCCCTTACCAGACAATGAATCTGCTAGACACTTGATCTCGGACTTCCCAGCCTCCAGATAGAATAAATTTCTGTTGTTTATAGATGACCCAGTCTAAGGTATTTTGATATAGCAGTCTGAACAGAATAAGACAGAAATTGGTACTGAGAAATGGGGTGCTGCTGTGACAGATACCTAAAAATGTGGAAGTGACTTTGGAACTGGGTAATGAGCACAGAGGCTGAAAGGGTATTGAAGTTTATTGTCATAAGTGGACTATAAAGGGTGATTCTAATGAGGGCTCGGAAGAAAAGGAAAGCTTTAGAGAAAGCCTCAAATTTCTTAGAGATTACCTAAGTGGTCAAAAGCAGAATGCTTACAGAAATACAGACAATAAAGGCCATTGTGATGAGGTCACAAAAATGTAGAACGTGTTATTGGAAACTGGAGTAAAGGCAAAAGTTCTTATGAAGTAGTAAAGAAACTGCCTGTGTTTAGTGTTCAGTGGTTTTTGAAAAGAGACACTTATGAATGATGAAATAGGATATCTGGTGGAAGAAATCTCTAAGCAAAGTGTTAAGTGTGGACTACAGCTTCTCTTGACTTATACAGTAAAATGTGAGAAGAGGGAAACAAGTTGAAGATAAAAATTTATAGTCAAAATACAAGCAGGACTTAAAAGATTTAGAAAATTCTCAGCTTGGCCATGTTGTAAAGAATGAAAAGGTATGTTTGGGAGAGAATACCAAGGATGTGGCCCAGCAACCATTTGATCAGATTAACATGGAACTGCAGAAGCCAGGTGCTTTTCATCAAGGCAATGGAGGAATGACCCCCACTAAAAGCATTTCAGACATCATGACGGCTGCTGCTCCCATCACAGGCCCAGCGTGCCAAGGCCTAGGGGACAGAACAAGGTCAAAAGAGGGGCCCAGGATGCCCACTGGAGCTCAGCACTTCCTGCCCTATGCTACCTCATCTCTGCTCCCTGCTTTCTGACACAGCACTGCTCAGTCATTCCAGGCATGGCTCCAGAGGGTCCAAGTGTGGTGTGGGCTCCAGTGGCCACCTTTCTGGAGGGCACAGATGATAAACGTTGGTAATGTTCTCTAGGTATCATCTCCACCAGGACACACAGTGCAATACCATAGAGGGAAAGCTGACTCCACACAGATTTCAAAGGATGCCCTGGAAAGTCTTGAGGCTCAGGCAAAGAATTGACATAGGGGTGGGGCCACCACAAAAAGCCTCCACTAAGGCTGTGCTTGGCAGAGTCATAGGAGCAGGCCTACCCTCTGACCATAGACCAGTAGAGCCACTAGAGGGCATTTCCAGCCTGGCATGTGGCTCTAATATGTAAGTGCTGTCATGTGGGCTGGGACTGGGACACCCAGAGCCTTGGGGGCCCAACGCCTGCCCAAGTGTGCCTGGAAGATTGGAAGATGGGGCATCAAAAGGAGATTATTCTGGAGCCTTAAGATTTATCGTTTACTTTGTTGTTGTTGTTGTAGTATTCCTTCCTACTTCTCCCTTTTGGAATGGGAATGTCGATTCTATGTCTGTCCCACCATTGCATTTTGGAAGCTCTTTACCTATTTGATTCACAGAATCACAGATGGAGAGCAATTTCTCTCAGAATAAACATACCTTGAGTCTCACCTACATCTGGTTTAGATGACATTTAGTTGAGACTTCAGAATTTAGACTTTTGAATCTGTGCTGGAACAAGTTAAGACTTTTGGGGCCACTGAGACGGAATGAATACATTTTTCATGTGAGAAGGACTTGAATTTTGGGGAACCAGAGGTGGAATGCTATGGTCTGAATACATTTTCCTAAAATATGTATGTTTGAACCTAATCTGCAGTGTGACAGTATGAAGACATAAGGCCTTTCAGAAGTGATTTGAGTCATGAGGATGGAGCTCTTACAGAATTAGTGCACTCAGAAAAGATTCTTGAAGTAGCCCTCAGCTTCTTCCACCATGTGAGAGCACTGAGAAGGTGCCACCTATGAGGAACAGGTTCACAGACATAAGATCTCCCCATGCTTTCATCATGGACTTTGCAGTCTCCAGAACCAGGAGAAATAAATTTCTATTGTTTATGTTAAAACAAACTAAATATGGCCTGAGAAGCACTCTGTATTTCTATATTTGAGTTATTGTGGATGAACTGTAACCTAGCTTAATATTCAGACAAAATTGAAAACCTAACTTAATAGTATGCACCTGTAACAATGGCTGAGTGTTGGCCAATCCCAGCGGCCATACTTCAACCACTAATACGCTGCTGAATGTTCAGACTGTGTTCAAATAAGGCAAACTCTGAGCTGAAACCAATCTCACTATTTCATACGTCACATCCGATTCCTGTACTTCACTTTACCTTTTTGATCTATGAATTTGTTCTGACCACGAGGCACCCCTGGAGCCTCTGTGAATCTGCTGTGGTTCTGGTGGCTGCACGATTCGTGAATCATTCATTGCTTAGTTAAACTCTTTTACATTTAAATCGGCTGAAGTTTTCCTTTAATCATTTATAAATTACCCGGTCTAAGGTATTTTGTTATAACAATCAGAACAAACTAAGACAAGGGTCCCTGAAGATGTAATTAAGTTAGGGATCTTCCAGTGAGATAATTTTGGATTATCTGAGTAAGTCTTAATTCCAATAAAATGTCCCAGACACAGAAGAGAAGATACCTAGAAGTCACAGTAATAATTCTCCCCTAGAGCCCGTGGAGGAAATGTGGCCCTATCAATACCTTCCTTTCAGAATTGTGGCCTCCAGAACTGTGAAATAATACATTTCTCCTCTGACCCAGTTTGTGATCATTTGTTATGGCAGTCACAGGAAACTAATACAGGTATTATCTTTTCTATAAAAGCTATTTTCAGTCTTACAAGCAACCTTTTGACAGGGTTTTCTGTTTTGATATCACTCGAAACTCTATCAAAGTTTGTGACTCCGATGCTAGCTTTGACCTTTTCAGTTTGAGCAAATATGGTGACATGACCAGGCTTCCCAATGTCTGTTTTCCTTGGATTGTCAGCACATAGAGTATTTTACTTCCCTACCGGCATTAAGCAAAGCATGGCCCTTTGGTTAGGTCTGGTCAATTAAACAGAAACAGATGGGGGACACCAATGTGTGATTCTTTATGTTTTGTTTTGTTCTTTTCATTGCTCCAGATGACCAAAAGTGCCTTAGTCTGCTTGGACTGCTATAACAAAATACCATAGACTGCATAGCTTAAACAGTAGATATTAACTTCTCAGAGGTCTGAAGTCTGAGAACAGGGTGCTAGCATAGTCTGGTTCTTGGAGGGGGCCCTTGGAGAAGGCTCTCTTCCTGATTACAGATGGCCATCATGTAGCATTGTGTGGCAACATAACACAGAGAGAGAGCTCTGATGTCTCTTCCTCTTCTTGACACACTAATCTCATCATGGGGCCTCTCACTCATGACCTCATCTAAACTTAATTTATTCCCAAAGTCTCCACCTCCAAATACCTTCACTTTTAGAGTTAGTGCTTCAACAAATGAATTTGGGGGGAACATATTCAGTTCATAACATTAAAATTCAAATGGTAAAATGAAGGTGCCACTAAATCAGAGCAGCAGACATCTTCCCTTCCAGACCAATACAAGGCTTGTATGAACAAGGAATATATTTCTTCTCTGTTAAACTATATTGATTTTGTGATACTTGTTACTATAGCATAACTTAAGTTCCTCTAAAACAGCATATAAAGCTGGAATTAAAAGGGTGCTCTTTGGTTAAGAATTCTGCTTATAATCTAGAATGGTAACTCCAGATAAATTTCTTGGGTTACAACTGTGTGAACCCACAGATTAAAATTTCTCTAAGTATTAAAGAACTGGGTGAACACGCATTGTTATATGATCTGGACCATGATATACACAAATCTTATAAAGAAGCACATATAATAACCAATGTTTGATTTATAACATAAAAAAAATAAGACATTTGCTGGAAATTGAGCACTCCTAAGGTCATCATGTGTAAGTTTCAAATATCCAAATCCCAGATTTCTAGTAAGGAAAGCAGAAACATAAATCTAGACATCCTCTTATATGAGGGGTGCTCTGGGGGTGTCAGGTTTGACATTATTTTAGCTAGTCACATGGCCCCACAGTACTTAACAGGGCACAGAACTGGCAGAGAAGTTAACGTTTTCCACAAAGAGTGAAGGAATTAGTCCAACTATTCACTGTTTATTATTAGTAGCAATAGTAAGCAAAACAAGTTATGTTCATGCGAACATGAATGCTCTTCCAACTCACTGTCAAGCTGAAAGTTTATACAATGCAATAAAAAGCCATTCCGTGGCTTTAAAAAATCAACAATAATAAAAATAAAGAAAAATTTTAAATAAAAGCAAAAAATACTGACACTATCTGGGACCTGGACATTTAATATCATTAACGTTTTTATCAATTGGAATAACTTTTGTTCAATGTATTGTATTTTAGGGAAAACCTAAAAGAAAATATTTTCATGTCCTAACCCCTGCACCTGTAAATATTAATATGTTACTTTACCTGCAAAAAATACTTTGCAGATGTGATGAAGGATGCTGCAATGAGGAAGCAGCAGTTAGAGAGGAGAGAAAATGCCATGCTGCTCGCTTTGAAGTTGGAGGAAAGAGGCCACAAGCCATGTAATGAAGGAGGCCTCTAGAAGCTGGAAAAGGCCAGAAACTCCCTTCCCGCCCCAGAGCAGACAGAAGAAACACAGGTCTGTCTGCACTTGCATTTTAGCCCAGTGGAATTGATTTTGGACTTCTGCCCTCTAGAACTGTAAGACAACATGTGTTATTTTAATCTCTGAAGTTTGTGGAGATTTGTTAGAGCAACAATAGAAAACTAATACAGATTTTAGCTTTTTTAAAAATTTTTTTTACTCATGTTGCTTTCAGTTTTAAAAAGTTCTAAAGATTGCCAGTCTTCAGTAATTTGGTATTTCAACTTGCTCTGTGTAATTAAAATGTTTTAGGAACTTTCATTTCAAAATTCCTCAATCAGAAGGTGGGGAAAGTTGACAGAATAGAGGCCTATACTGTTCGTCCTCCCACAGAACATGAACTTTAACAACTATGGGTACATAGAAAAGCAGCCTCAGAAGAACCAAAAATCAGATGAACAATCACAGTACCTGGTTTTAACTTCATACCACTGAGAGAGGCATTGAAGAGGGTCTGCACTACAGACAAAATGTATCTAATAGATATTTATAGAACCCTTCATCCAATGGCTGCAGAATACTCATTTTTCTTTTCAGGACATGAATCATTCTTGAGGATAGATTTTATGTCAGTTCACAAAACAATTCTCAAAACATTAAAAAAATGAAGTACTATCACAGATCAATAATAATAATAATTTTGAAAACTATACAAACACATAGAAATTAAGCAATATGCTCTTAAATGACCAGCTGGTCAATGAAGTAATTAAGAAAATAAAAAAATAAATATTCAAATAAATGATGATGGAAACGCAACATATCAAAAGCTATAGGTTACAGCAAAAGTAGCACTAAAATGGAGATTTACAGCTATAAGTGCCTACATCAAATAAGAAAAACTTTAAATAATCTAATGATATATCTTAAAAAACTAGAAAAGAGACAATTGAAACCAGAATTAGAAGAAATAATAAACATCAAAGCAGAAATAAATGAAATTAAAGTGAAGAAACCAATATTAAAAATCAGTAAAACAAAAAAGTTGTTTTTTTGAAAAGATAAACAAAATTGACAAATCTTTAGCCAGACTAATGAAGAAATAAAGGGAGAAGATAAAATCAGAGATGAATAAATAAATAAAATAAGTAAAATCAGAGATATAAAACCAGACATTGGAACTAATACCACAGAAATTCAAATGATCATTACTGGCTACTATGGACAACTATATGCCAATACACTGGAAAATACAGAGAAAGTAGATAAATTCTTAGACATATACAACCAACCAAGATTGAACATTGAAGAAATCCAAAACCTAAACAGACCAATAGTAAGTAAAATATTAAAGCTGTAATAAAAAGTCTTTCAGTAAAGAAAAGCCAGGGACCCAATAACTTCACTGCTGAATTCTACTAAGCATTTAAAGAAGAATGAATACCAATCCTACTCAAACTATTCTAAAAAATAGAGAAGGAGGGAATACTTGTAAACTCATTCTGTGAAGCCAGTATTGTCCTGATACCAAAACCAAACAAAGACACTCAAGAAAAGAAAACTACAGGGAATATCTCTGATGAATATAGATGCAAAAAGCCCCAAAAAGGTCTTTCATCATGACCAAATGGGATTTATCCCAGAAAAGCAAGGATGTTTCAACATATACAAACCAATCAATGGGATATATAATATCAACAGAATGAAGAACAAAAATCATATGCTGATTTCAATTGATGCTGAAAAAGAATTTGATAGAATTCAACATAGCTTCATGATAAAAATCCTCAAACAACTGGGTAAAGAATGAACATAGCTCAACATAATAAAAGCCATATATGACAGACCCATGGCTAGCATCATACTGCATGGGGAAAAACTGAAAACGTTTCCTCTAAAATCTGGAACATGACAAGGATGGGCATCTTTACCACTGTTATTCAACATAACACTAGGAGTCTTAGCTACAGCCATGAAACTAGACAAAGAAATAAAGATCATCCGAGTTGAAAAGAAACAAGTCAAATTATTTTGTTTTGCAGATGATATGATCTTATATTTGGAAAAACCTAAAGACTCCATCAAATTCTACTATAACTGATAAACAAATTCACTAAAGTTGCAGGATACAAAAACAACGTACAAAAATCCACAGCATTTCTATATGACAACAGTGAACAATCTGAAAAAAAAATTGACCCCGTTTACAATAACCTCACATAAAAATTAAATAGACAGGAATTAACTTAACCAAAGAAGTGAAAGATCTCTACATAAAGACTACAAAAACATTGATGAAAGAAATTGAAGAGTACACCAAAAATGCAACGATAGCCCATGTTCATGGATTGGGAGAATCAATATTGTTAAAATGTCCATACTACGAAAAGCAAACTACAGGTTCAATGCAATCCCTATCAAAATTTCAAGGACATGCTTCACAGAAATAGAGAAAACAATTCTAAAATTTATATGAAAACACAAAAGACCCAGAATAGCCAAAGCTATCCTGAGCAAAATAAACACTAGAGGAATCACATTATCTGACTTCAAATTATACTATAGAGCTATAGTAAGCAAAACAGCATGATACTTGTATAAAAACAGACATATAGACCAATGGAACAGAATAGAGATTCTAGAAACAAATTCACACATCTACATTGAACTCATTTTCAACAAAGTTTTCAAGAACATACACTGGGAAAAAGACTATCTCTTCAATAAATGCTTCTGGGAAAACTGAATAGCCATATGAAGAAGGTAACTAGATCACCATATCTTGTCATATACAAAAATTAAATCAAAATGAATTAAAGTCTTAAATTTAAGACCTGAAACTATGAAATTACTACAAGAAAACATTGAGTAAACTCTCCAGCACATTTTTCTGGGCAAACATTTATTGAGTAATACCCCACAAGCACAGGCAACCAAAGCAAAAATGGACAGATGGGATCACATCAAGTTAAAAAGCTTCTGCACACCAAAGGATACAATGACAAAGGTGAAGAGACAACCCACAGAATGGGAGAAAATATTTGCAAACTACCCATCTGACAAGGGATTAATAACCAGAATATATATGAGGTTCAAAGAACTCTATAGGAAAAAAAATCTAATTAATTTAATCTAATCTAATCTGATTAATCTAATCCAACTAAAAACGGCAAAAGATTTGAATAGACATTTTTCAAAGGAACACATACAAATGGTAAACAGGCATTTGAAATGTGCTCAACACCACTGATCATCAGAGGAATGCACCCCTGTTAAAATGGCTTTATGCAAAAGACAAGCAATAACAAACGTTGGTGAGGATGTGGAGAAAAGGGAGACCTTGTACAGTTGGTGGGAATGGAAATTAACACAACCACTATGTAGAATATTTGGAGGTTCCTCAAAAAACTATAAATAGAGCTACCATAGAATCCAGCAATCCCACTGCTGGGTACCCAAAAGAAAATAAATCAGTTTATCAAAATGCTATCAGCACTCCCATGTTTTTTACAGCACTGTTACCAATAGCCAAGTTTTGGAAGCAGCCTAAGTGTTCATCAATAGATGAATGGTTAATGAAAATGTGGTACTTATATACAATGGAGTAGTATTGAGCCATACAAAAATGAGATCCTATCATTTGCAACTACATAGATGTAACTGAAGGTCATTATGTTAAGTGAAATAAGTCAAGCACAAAAACACAAACATCCCATGTTCTCACTTATTTATGGGAACTAAAATTCAAAATAATTAAACTCACAGAGATAGAATAGAGGGTTAGTTACCAGAAGCTGAGAAGAGTAATAGTGAGTGGCTGGAGGCAAGCAGGGCTGGTTTATGTATACAAAATAATAGTTAGAAAAAATGAATAAGACCTAGTACTTTATAGCACAACAGAGTGACTATAGTCAATAATTTATTTGTACATTTTAAAATAACTAAAACAATATAATTGGATTGTTTGTAACACAAAAGGTGAATGGTTGAGAGAATGCATACCTCATTTTTCATGATGTGATTATTATGCATTGCATGCCTGTACCAACGTATCTTATGTATTCCATAAATATATACACGTACAACATACCCACAAAAATTATGAATTAAAAATTTAAAAAATGGCTGGGCGTGGTGGCTTACACCTATAATCTCAGCACTTTGGGAGGCCAAGGTGGGCAGATCACAAGCTCAGGAGTTGGAGACCAGCCTGGCCAACATAGTGAAACTCCATCTCTACTGAAAATACAAAAATTAGCCCGGTGTGATGGTGGGCACCTGTAATCCCAGCTACTCAGGAGGCTGAGGCAGGAGAATTGCTTGAACCTGGGAGGCAGAGGTCGCAGTGAGCCGAGATCGCGCCACTGCACTGCAGCCTGGGTGACAGAGCAAGACTCCGTCTCAGAAAAAAATAAAAATAAAAAAACAATTCTCAGTCGACAACTTGTAATGTTTTGGGGGAACAGCAGATCTAAGGCGTTCTAAATTCTACATATGTTATGGTATGAAAAAAAATGGATTTCTGCTAATCTCAGGGAATTCCTTCTTATGCATATGTGTAAACTTCCTGTAATTTTGCCATTCAAAGCAGAAAAACAGAGCTAAATAGAGAAATGCTAGGCTACATTTCCATAGAAGGAATAAAGATAGTTTAATATTGCAGAATATATTCCACTGACAACACATACTTTATTTTAAACAACTTTCCCCATCTTCACAAGAAATACACGAACTAAAAAGAAATAGGTCTTCTTGTGGGTTTTGACGTTTGCTTATTATTTTTAAGAACTTCTGTTTGAAAAGATGCCCCCTGACAGAGACAAACCTCAATTCCTACCAAGTGTGATATATCCAGCCACTTTTAAAAATATTTGAACACAATGCTTTTTAAAACAGGCTGTATCTTTCAGCCTAGAAGCTACAGCAGACGTTTTTGCTACTTTTGCTACTAAAGGCAGTGCTGGTGGAACTGCAGGTGGCACAGCCTGAAGCCAGATTAAGTGTCCTCCTGCTCCTTCTGCCCTTTTCTGCTATTGCTGCAGACTGGCAGACACTTCTGGCAAGGCCGTCATGATCATGGAGTTTTCATATTTTTCCCTACAACTGAGAGAAGTCAATGAGTAACAAGCAACCTGCTGATAGTCAAAAGACACTAAATGTCTCCAAGGCCAAAATATCACTTTTTTTATGGACACATGAAAACTCTCTCTGAATTAAGTTGATACGTTTTCTCAACGCTTCATATTTACTTTGTTTTTAAATCAACTGTAAGATCAGTAGGATGGAATTGGACAAAGGTAATGATCCGTTGTTTTCATAAATTTTAAAGAATTTTTTAATTCATAAAGATTACATTGATCCTTTCAATTTTTCAAAATATAATATGGTTTTCAAAAGTTTGTGATAATGTTAGCATGCCAAATATCACTCAAGATTCATGGGCATTATTCAGTCATATAAAAAATCCTTAAAAGCACCACTTTCATCATCTGACAGTTATACTGACCAAAAAACTGATCTCTACTGAAGCAATGAGAAGTACATTAATCACCCTGACATGTCTATTAACTAGTCCCCACGTACCAGACCCACCAAGATGCTGTCAGCAGCTATTCCACTGGTGGTAATTCTGGCAGGCTCTGAGATATTACAAAATGCTTGCATAAATATCACTTCACTCTCTTGGACTCCCAAGATTCAGGCATTCTGACTTTGGAAGAGCATGGAGGATGTTATTGCATCATTATTTTAAATTTCAAAGTTAACTTCATTATTTTCTAATGCTTAAAGCATAGACTCTGAAAAAAACCAAGTTAATCAAAGGATGATTTTGAAACTATTCAATAGTGGCTTTTCATTGAATAAAACAGCATCACATTGAAAGATAAAAATTCACATATATTGTATATTTCTCAATCACGTGTATATTATGTTTTAGAACTTTTTTCATTATAATTGAAAATACATATTATTGCTAAGACATCCATTTTTAATTTCTCAGGTATCATTAATTTTTAAATTGACCTCCTCAAACCATAATAGATTATGAACATAAATCTTAATGATTAGACAAGTTCTAAACATACCTCATATGACTTCATAAATAGGAAAAAAAATCTATATAACAGAAATTATAAAACACACGGGATGTTCCAGAAGTCATTAAAATGGAAGTGTATGGTTAATGCTAAATAATTTCTTATTTTCTTTCTAAGATGGCAGAGTTCTACCCAATTTATAAATATGCTTAGCTTACCAATAAACTTCCTCAGAAAACGGGTGACTGCAGTATATCCTAATAAAAGTATATAATAGACAGATGTTAGGATCTTCCTTAATCCAGTTGTTTATTAAAACTATAATGGAATTGAAATTTCAAGGAAAAGTTACCGCATATAAAAAGTCAATATTTAAGCTTTCAAAGCAAATTGTGTATATACAATATATATGCATATATATGCATATAAATATATAAATATGTATGTATATATAATTTGCTTTATTAAAACAAAACTATCTACATTTTTGAACTAGAGAAGTAACAAGCAAAAGCAAAAATCAGTCCAATAAAGACTAGAATATATTTTTCTACTTATATTGCAATAAAAATAATAAATGACAGAAAATGCTTAATCTCTGCTCAGTCATAATAAAAGTTGCCTTTATCTCGCACTACTTTCGTAGCTTACTTTTTAACAATGAACACATTCTGTAAGCTATGTTTATTAGAAAACTCTTGCTCAATACATTTCTCATGATAGTGAATGTAAAATAACTAGATACTGATAGCCTGAGAGACTTTTCGCCATGGAATATTACATTGTATTGAGGAAAGAGGGGCACAGCACTTTGCTAGAAGGGCTCAATCAAGTGTGTACTCTAGAAAACAGGGGCTTTACTTGTGAAGGCATTTAAAAATATATTTTCCATTGCCAAAATCCACAAAGAACACTGATTCTGTGGAGGGACACAGCTCCCAAAAAGAATAAAAATGTAGTTCACCAATGTTACTAAAACAAAAAGTGACTGTGTCAGATAGTTGTTCAGGAGTTAACGAGAAGTGAAAACAGTCTGTGATTAGTAATAAGAGTCCTGTTGCAAGAACCAGACATCACAAAATAGAAATCTTGAGATAAGACAGTTTCAGACCAAGAATTCTGCCTAGCCAAGATGATTAAGCATCATTACAAGCTATTTAGAGAGAAGAACAAGAAAGTGAATTTGTAAAACCTGTACATTATATATAGCATTGTTCCTCAATATTTTATCTACCTTCTGTGTGATAAATTAAACATGTTAGCCCTCCTGTAACAATGTCTAGATATTCTTATAACGGAAATTCTCATTTGTGTCTCCAAATCAGACAATATTCTGTCAAGCTTTACTTCCTTTTTTGTATGTATTATATGTATGTATTATAAATAATATTTTAAGCGTTCTAAATATAAAATTATGTAATATGCTTTTAGAAATTTTAAATGTTCCTCTTCACCACTGACTGTCCGACAGACTTTGAACACTTTAGGCAGATCCAAATGTTGTACCTTCAGCCTATAGCACAATACCTGGTCCTCAAAAATGTTTGATCATAGGAGAAAGCATGAAGAATAGGAAGAACAAGTACAGCAATGAAAAAATGTGTACCCTAATAATTGTATGGAGATTAGCTGAGAATCTACAGAAATTAAAGAAAAATTTCTATTTCAACACAGCCAATTGGCTATACATACATATCATCTTACTCTAAAAACCCTTCTAGAATAATAGCAAAAAATTACAGGGCCAGGTGTCGTGGCTCATGCCTGTAATCCCAGCACTTTGGGAGGCTGAGGCAGGTGGATTGCTTGAGCTCAGGAGTTTGAGATCTGCCTGGGCAATATGGCAAAACCCTGTCTCTACAAAAAACACGAAAATCAGCCAGGCATTGTGGTGCATGTCTGTGGTCCCAGCTACTCAGGTGGCTCAGGCAAGAGGATCACTGGAGCTGAGAAGTCGAGGTTGCAGTGAGCTGTGATCATGCCACTGCACTCCAGCCTGGATGATAGAGCAAGACCCTGTCTCAAAAAAAAAAAAATTACAAAACATGAATTGTCAAAAACAAAAGTAGTATCAAAAATATCAGTGAACAAAGGACTTCAGCAAATATTTGGAAGATGGCAGCTGATAAATTAGTAAAGTTTTCAGAGACAAAAACCTGAAATGCCTTCAGAGGCCAGCACTTAATGAAATGTAAGCTGATAAGGCTTTTGGAAATATTCAGATCCAAGGCAAGCATGAATGACCTTGGAGACTGAAAATAAGGAAATTGATAGAAAATTTTCATATAGAGATATTAGACTCCTTGGGTCCCTTCTAGAAATTTGTGCTCCAAATTTGAAAAAAAAATAATAGAGATTAGGTCATTTAAGAATGCAAAGAAAATGTATTTTCCATGCATGCCATTTTACAAATCAATTGAATAGAGGCAAACCAAGAAAAATTGAAAATTGATAATCTAAGCAAACAAGGGATTTAGCAAAGAAGAGATCCAGAAAAACAACCTTAGAGCATTCCAAAGGTGAAATCAGTCTGCATGTGACTAGGAAAGTAGATTGTTCCAAGGAGAAGATCACCAAGGGGAAAAAATGGCTTTGCTAGCTTATCTGCTATGTTTGAGTGTATGGCCTGGGGAAAGCATAAGTAGGCATGTATTAGGGTTCTCCAGAGCAACACAACCAACAGGACACATAGAGATTAATAGAACTGGCTAACACAGTTATGGAGGGACAGAAATCTCATGAGAGGACTTCCGCAAGTTGGAGAAACAGGAAAGCTTGTAGTGTGACTCGGTCTACATTCAAATGCCTCACAATCAGGGAAGCTAATGGTATAACTCACATCCCTTCTCAGCCCAGTCCGAGGCAGAGGGCCCAAGAACCTGGGGTACTGCTGTTGCAAACTTGGAGTCCAAAACTGAAAAACCTGGAGTTCCGACGTTCAAGAGCAGGAAAACAGTGGCTGAGTCCAGAAGCATGCACGAAGGCATGCAAGACAGATAGAAAGAGAGGACTGTCTTTATCTTTTAGTTCTGTCTTGACCTCAGCCCACTAAACAGTGCCCATCCAGATTTGGTGAGGGCAGATCTCCCTTACACATTCCACCAAGTCACGCAGCAGTCTTGCAGAAACGCCCTCACAGACACACCCAGACATAGTGCCTTACCAGCCATCTGAATATCTTAATTCAGTCAAGTTGAAATCTAAAATTAACCATCCAAAGGTACATGACAGATTCTACATTAAATAAATAAAGCTAGGTACATAGAAAATTATGTAAGTTCAAAAAATAAATTTTACTGTCAAAAGAAAAAGTTGAACAAGTAAATAAAATCACAGTATATACTTTTCCCTGCATTGAATAACATAGATAATTTAAATATGAATTATTATTTAAATAAAAATTTACTAAAATATTTGAAAAGATACCCAAAATATTATAAAGAGAATTTACTTCTAGATGAAGATAGTGGAATAGATTTTGGAAAGAACCATTTTAAGGTACTCACATATTTTCTGTATACATATGTGAGGGTCTCAAATAGGATAACATTGTTTTCTGTGCAACAAACATTGAGGTAACAGCTAAAAAGTCTCAACCTGACACTATCAAATATTTTTGTTTGAATAATATATGCATAATTCTTAACAAATAAGTACATATGCTTCTTATCTTTCAGTTTATAATGAATTCAGTACTTGAATAGTGATACATAGATCCTGTAGTGTGGAAACATCAAAAAACAACTTTCCTAAACGCTGGCTTACAAGGATGCTACATATCCAAGTTTGGTGCTAGGGGCAGGAGGAAAATGGTGGATTCTTGCTAGACAGGTGTCTACTTTCTGTGTAAAGATGGATAAGGTAAAAGGATTTACATTCTTCCCCCTGGTCCATATGTGTCATAGAAAAGTATTAAAATGTGTATACACAAATAACTATATCATGAGGCAGACCTACTTCCTGATCAATAGGTCCAATCACATACTAATATAATGAACTAGAATAATTTAGAGAATGGGAATGCAACCAAGGCCCTTTCAGGCCAGATAGTGACAGAAGGTCACAGAGTTGGAATAGCTATGAGATAGGTCAGTAAATGGCTATGGAAATTGGAAGCCTGCTGTTGGTGGTGGTATTTACTAAAGGGTACACAGGGGAAAAAACAGTTCTCCAGATCAATAATTGCACACTGGGTAGCAAATACTATGTTGACTTGCTCTAGTCAAGAAAACCCAATGAATGCTACATTAGCAATTGGAGTTGCTACATGATACAGGTGATAATCCATTGTCAATCTCCATAGTCTATCTCCTTTTTGCATAGATGAGGGGGGTAATTAGAATAGGATATGGTAGAAATCACTACCCCTGCATTCTTCAATTCCTCGAAGGTAGCACTGATTTCTCTGGACCATTCAGGAATACATACTGCTTTGGGTTATCTAGTTTTGTAGGTGTAGGTAGATCTAGTGCTTTCAATTTAGCTGGTTCTACTGTAATGGATCTTATCTCACTAGTCAGATAATCAATATGAAAAATACTGCTCCTTGCTGAGTGTGTTTATTGTATACTATGGTTTCAGAAACTGAGAAAATAACCATTGGATGTGTTTGAGGACCAAATGATTCCGATGTAAAGTGAATCTCAGACCAAAGTCCATTTGTTACCTGGCCTTCATATACCCCTAACCCAACTGGCTGGCTGGACAATAGACTTTTCAGACACTAGAGTCAGTATAGAATTAAATTCAAGTAATTCTGTAGAATCTTGGAGAATCTCGGAAGAGGCAGCATGAATAAAACAGTACCAAGGATCTCTCTGGGTAACATCTAGTTATTAGAGTAACCACAGATTCCTTGTCTCTGAAAATTACATGCTTCAGTTTTAAGGCTCCATCATCCTCAGTGGATTTATGGAGTCCATTGTGGTGGCTAATAAGGATGATCAATTCTTCATATGTTCATGACCATTCCTGTGACTTCTTTTGTTACTCGTTCAAATGTTTTGTCCATTTACTAATTGGGTTGTCTTTTTAGTTTTGACTTGTAGATGTTCTTCACATACTCTGAATATGTTATTTTTCAGACATTTATGTCAAATATTTTCTCTTATTCTTTGGCTTGACTTTTCACTTTCTTGTGTCTCTTTAGAAGTAAAAATTTTTAATTTTTATGAAGCCCAAATAATTTTTTTTTTCATTTTCTATGTTGACTTATTTTTGAATGGTATCTAAGAAATCTTTCCCTACCTCAAGATCATGAAGATATTTTTTCAGCTTTCATTTATTAACTCTTACTTTTAGGTCAGTGGTTGACTAATATTTGTTGAGTTTTGTTTTGTTTAAGATTAAGATTAAGTTTTGTTTCTCCATGGAGTATCATTTTTCCTTTATTTTTCAATAGAAATTATTAGTTATTTCTGTCTTAATTGTTGATATGATTTTCTTTCTGCATGGAATTACCATGGTCAGTTTGTTACATATCAACTGACTATATGTGGGTCTATATTTGGGCTCTGTCTCCTCTACTAAGCTATTCATCTATTTTATGTGAATATCTGTCTTGCAACAACTGTCTATGTCACATTGTCTTGACCACTGTACCTTTGTACAACCTCTTAAAATTAGGTAGTGTAAATCCTCCCATTTTATTATGCTTTTCATGATTGTTTTGGATCTTCAAGAGCCTTCTAATTTCCAGAAAAAAAAATACAGATATTTTACCAAAAAAAAAAAAAAAAAAAAGAAAAGGCCTGCTGGAATTTTCATTCGTGATTACATTAACTATAAATCATTGTGGGGAGAACTGGAAGCTTAACCATATTGTGTCTTCTAATCCAGAAATATGGCATATGACTCCACCTATTTACATATTTTAAAACTTTCAGCAATGCTTTTTAGTATGTATTTCTATGTATTTTTCTTTTCCATTTCAAATGGGAAGTGGAGGATTAGAGAGATCTAGCAATTTACCTCAACACATGGGCAAAGCCATCTTTAACTCCAATGGATGCCCTTTCATAAAAATATTTAAGGAAATTAAAAATTACCTAATCCAACTCCCCTTCACTTATAGCTGCAGAAGTGAAGTCTCAAAAATTAGAGGTGCCTGGGATTATCAACTGCATTCATATAAAAACTGGCACCTACTTGCAGATATGATTCCCAAATTAGTTATTTTTCTGACGCATCCTGCTTGAAAATTTAAAAAGCATAAAAAGAGACTGAACTTTATAAAACACTATGAGTTTTTCCCTACTTCTTCATCCAGCATCAAGCTATTCAGTTCTTATCATGTTGTTTAATAAAAGTGTCTAGCAGGTTCTTAAAAAGCTCTACTGGAATTCATACCTTCTTATTATTAAATGACGGTATGAGGTAAAATTAAGTTAGAAGGGAAAAAAACACACCTATAACAAACACAGAAAAATGTAATATAAAGAACTATTAGCTCATAATAGGGGATTAACTAATACAGGGTACAGGCAATGCTAAAGAGCAGGCAAACCATACATACAGGGAGCAGCCACTACACCAGGTCAGGGCTGACCCAAAGAAAGCACAAGAGAAACAAAGGTGTGAGAGGATACACCTAGGTAAGGCTCAGGCCTTGTTGGAGAGGGTGTATCTGTGGCCCACTTCATGATGGAGTCAGCATGGTGCCACAGGCAAGGGTGGCAAGCAGAAATCCACCTACTGAGGCACCAGTGAAATTCCTGGGAAGCTGACTAAGGTACCAGTGAAATACCTGAACACTGGGATATGGGTAAGACCTGCTGGGAAGCCACCCTCAGGGGCTGCTGAAGCTCACTAGGAAGTCACTCACTGGGGTGCAGGGAAAGTTGTTGAAGGTCACCCCTGGATGTCTCACATGTCACCAGCAGCAGCATGCTACAGGAACAAGAGAGAAAAAGCACAGTGCAACAGAGAATAGAAGCTCCTTAAACTCCTTCCTCTGGCAGTGTCTTCTACTGTCCTATACCAGTCAGAAAAGAAGAAATGTTTATAGGGTCTGGGTCTACTATCACAAAGTAATATAAAGAAGGGCAGATTTTGAGTTGAGTAGCAATGCGCTGATAACCAGAACAGTGACTAGGTAACATACACTCCCTTCACTGACCAAAGGATGCAGTAGGAGCAAATCCAAGATCAAAATAACAATCTTTAAAAACTGTGATATTTATAAAGTCATGATAAAATTGAACAGTAAATACAATGATTTAAGTATTGAGTGGCTCTAGATTTATTAAATCATTCTATTCAAACGAAATTATTAAAGATCTACCATACAGAAGGCACTGTGTAAAGCATTATGGATTTAGAAATCATTGTGACCTAAGATCCCACTTGAACTCCTGTGATAGGACTCCATGCCCAATCCTAGCAGGATTGAATTTAGTTTCCATCCACGCTTATCTACTCAAAACCTTTGCTTCAGGAACCCTCATTCTCTTTTGCATTAATTTTTTACATTGTCTATAAAACATTTTGAAAGAACTATTTTGTTTCTAATGTCTTTTTCCCCCAATATCTTTTAAACCCATTCCAATAAGTTCTCTTTTCCATTGATCAATTAAATGTATCCACCAAAGTCTCCTATGATCCCCACATTTCTAAATCCAATGATCAATTATCAATCCTTATCTTCGATTACCCTCAACTGCAGGTGATTTAATTAAAGTGCCTCTCCTCTTTGAAATATGTTCTTCACTTAGCTTCCAGAATACCTCCGTCTCCACAGTCTCTTCTGTTGACTGTGACCACCCTTTGATGGTATCTCATTTCCTTGACTTTTATATCTGAATCACTCCAGGATTCTGTTCTTAGATCTCATTTTTATCAACTCTAACTCTCTTGGTGACTTAACAATGCCTCATGCCTTTCCTAAGTATTATATGTGATTGACTCACAAATATTTATCTCCAGCTCTATTATATCTCCTGATTTCTAGGCTTATATATCCAATAAAGTTCTTAATATCTCCCTTTGGATTTCTAATAGACATCTCAAACACACATTGCTCAAATTTAAGCACTTGATTTCCCCCACCTGAATGGCAATTTCGTTTTTCTAATTGCTCAGACCAAGAACATAGGTTATATTTGACTTTATCTTTTTCTCATGCCTCACAGGTAATCTGTCAGCAAATCCTGTAAGACCAACCTCCAAGATATATTCAGAATTTGGCCACCTCTTACCACTTTTGCTATTACATATTGCCACTGCAGTCCAAGACATCGGTTTTCCAGTTGGACTATATATGTACTCCTCACCAATCAATCTACTATTTAGACTACTCTGTTCAGGCTATTTCCATAAAAACAAGCAGTGTTTTATTTCAAAGCACAAGACAGATCACATTGTACCTCTTCTCAAATATTGCCAGAACTTTCCATCTCCTTTAGAGAAAAAGCAAAATTTCTTAATCCTCACAATGTCTTATAAAACCATCCATAATCTTGTGACATGTCTCTCAAACTACTTGTCATACTTTGGTCCTCATCATTTTTCATTTTAGGCAATGTATCAATTTCTTCTTGACACTGTAACAAATCACCACAAACTTAGTGGCTTAAAAAATATTTTCCTACAGGTCTGGAGATCAAAGTCTGAAATCAGTTTCACTTGGCTAAAGCCAAGGTGTCAGCAGAAATAGCTCTTTCTGAAAACCTTACAGAGAGAAGCAGTTTCCTTGCCTTTTGAGTTTTTTTATGGCCACATGTATGCCTTTTTTCTTATTTCTTCTTTCATCTTCAAAGTGTCCCACTACAACACCCGCTTCCATTATCACATCATCTTCTTTCCCGAGTCGTCCTGCATTCCCTTATAAAAACCCTCCTGAACACAACAGACTCACAAAGGATACTGAAGGATAACCTCCCCTCCTCAAGATCCCCAACCTAACCACATCTGTGAGATCTCTTTAACCATGTAAGGCAACATATTCACAGGTTCCAGGGATTAGGATGAGGAGATCTCTCGGGACCATTATTCAGCTGACGACACCCACTGATCATCAGAGATGCACACTGACCTCCCGGCTATTTCTCACATGTGACTGGCACCCATCTACCTCAGAAACTCTGCACTTACAATTCCATATATCTGGAATGTTCTTTCCCTAGAGAGCTACATAAATTCATTCCGAAAGTCTTTTCATGGCTACACTATAAAGCTTTACGCACATGCCCTGGCTCTTATTCTCTATACTTCACTTTTCTGCTGTGGTATTTATCACATCTAATGTAAAATATATTACATTTATCATGTTTAATGTCCATTCCTCCACTAGAATCTAAGTTCCAAGATAGAAATAATTATTTTCTGCTTCACTCAATTTTTAACTCAAGAGCCTACAACAGTGCCAGCCGTATAGGAGGTGTGCAGTAATAGTGAGTAAATGTTAAATAAAATGCTAAATTGCATGAAAAAACCATATCCAAAGTCCCTGCCATTATGGACCCCCATTGTGGAAACTCTGTTCTGAAAAAAATACCACCATGGGCTGTTAAGGTTTTGATGAAACACCAAAGGTGGAATCAATCTCAAGTAGTCTTCCATATTAACAATTCCAGCTTTAAAATGCCCACTGAATATAAACTGCTGAATGGCTGGTTAGAAAAACAAATTCATCATTTCGAAATACGAACTTCTTACTGAGCTTCCTATGTCCATGTGTGGGGACATTATAAAAGTCTCAGTGATTCAGTTTCAAAATCTAGGAGTATTGCCATCTCCTCTAAAATACAATTTCAACTTTCATTCCTGTCTTAATTCTGCTCCCTTAAGTATGAGGTTCTGAGCAGACAGGCTTGTATGAGCTGTACTGTGAAAGACTCTCGGGAGCACAGAAAGAAGAATTGGTCAGAAGCCATTAAAATATCATAAATTGCACATGAGAACTCAGTCAATCCTATAGTAGCTCTGGAGATAGAGAGGCCCTTCAGAGTTACGCCAAAATGTAACAAGGGTATTGGTCTTTGAACTCTTCCCCTCAAGCACATTACCCTGTTATTGAAGAGGATGTGTAATCTTGTATAAAGGAGCTCTCTTTGGCCAAGGGCTATTCCCAAATAATTCAGCAGCAGGTCACCAGCAGCCAACCATCTTGGGTGCTGGGGGAATGAGAGTCTCTGTCCAGAAGAGGCGTCTGCTATAGTCCATTTCTTCTGTCACATCATGTAGCAAACCCAACTCATCTGGGAAAAAAAAAACCTACAGCATTCTAGTTTTCCTTGTTTCTTGGAGAAACAAAAGAGAAAAAAATTTAATAGTACACACTATAGTCTCTATCACTGTAACCAGCCGGGAGTCCACTAGTGATTATCTTCTCACCCAGTCAAATATCCCACTCAGGGTTCCCCATAATCTTAGCTAGCACCATGCTTGGTCTGTGAGAATTATGTATTGGGGTAACCCAGCCCTCATTCCTGAGGGTTATAAGCCTCTTTCTCAAGGCTTGGGTGGCTGCATTTGTTTATTTATCAAGAAATTGAAGCTTGAAGAAATGTCCTAGAGCAGAGGTAATTACACTGGGTTCCACAGGCAAATCCTGTGACTTTGTAAATAAAGTTATATTAGAACATAATCATGAATCTTCTACAGCTATAGCTGTGACCCACAATGCATGGCCTATATATATTACATAGCTCTTTCTAGAAAAAAATTACCATCTTGTGCCTAGAGGATTTGTTCTCTCCTGTACCCAGTGCATAATAGCAGTTCTTGCACATCCTGATAATCAATACCAACTATCCTGCCATGTGGCCTTGGAAATGTCACAGTGGCAGCCACACCTTAGAGTTCAATTGTGTTCTCCCCAAGTCTTCTGGTTGAGCATTCCTCCCCTGGATCACAGAGCCTAGATTTTGGTAACAGAAAGCAGAAATTCCCCAAGTGGATGGCTGGGAGAGACAAGTTGTGAAAGTCCTAATTCTATACTTTGATGTTCAAACTGATAAATTTCACCTTTAATGGACACAGCTTGAGATAATAGCTTTTGTTATAGGATGCATACTTCATCTTGGAGGATAGCGCCCCATCCTTGCAGAGTAACCCCTCCAGTCTTTCACCTCAGCAATGCCTTCAAAATGGTATATTTCCAGTAGCTCTCAGACCTAGTAGTAAGGCCAGTAGATCCTGGAGGCCTGTGCCCATTGCCATACCTCCTTCAAAGTTTAGCGGTTCTCTCGCTATGAGACAATATTAAACAATACTGTGAAAATATCAGCTTGTGAACCCATGGACAGTGGTGCTAGCCGAAGCCCTGCAGATAGAAAAGGCAAAATGGTAGCTGGATATATGTTGATTCTAGTAAAGATTAATGGCTGCTGCTTCTGGGATGAACGAAGCCTGATGTAACAAATCTACCACCAAGTGGCTGCTTGGTCTCCTTCAGTGCCAGTGCAATACCAGGGTTTCAGCATGTCTGTTGCTGCCATGTTAGACAGGTTACTCAGCAGCAGTTGCTCCTGAGGTTCTCAGGGACCTAAGAAAGGTTTTGACAACAAAATGTATAATATGAGCTTCTCAATGTGTAATGTTAATAATCTTACATCTAGGCAGTGATGATTTATAACCAAATGAGTCAATATGCTGCAGAAGAGTATTCAGGGCTTCCAGGAACACTGTTTTGCCCCTTAGAAAAGAGGTTAATTAGTAAAAACACATACGGTATGTGTGCTGTAATGCTTACATCGGGCAGATGTGGTGCAGATTAACTCCCCATCTTTCTTCACCTTGGTTCCTGAAGATTGTCTATATCAACTACCTCAATGGTTCCTTTCCCATGTATTGCCTTTGGCTGTTTGGGTGCCAATAAAGGAATTTGGAGAAAGGAGGATGAGCTTGGCATATTGATTCTCATACTTCTCTAACTGTGGGACTCCGCAAAGGGCTTTCTCCTTTCAGGTTGCAGGAACCAGCCATTTTGATCCTTCAGTGTAGAATGACAACAGTCCCAGAATTTCTAATATTAATAATTTCTAATATTAAGTTATGTTATTAAGTCTACTTAAGGGCCACTCTAGCTCCTGGGCTACTACCACAAGATTGACTGTACTCTCACTTGCAATGTATGACATTTTAACTCCTTAATATAAGACTTACTATAAATCCCTTGTGGTTTACCTCATCCAAATCTATGTAATTGATCCACTTATTAAAGCCATCTTCAAAATATCCTATTTTTCATGTTCAATCATTTTCCTGTTGGGATCTTGACTGATATATTTTTAAAAATTGGGGTGGAGGCATTTAATAAAAATGAAAACCAAGAGATTATTTCTAAGTAACTAAGAAAATGAATAAAAATTTCTAATGAAAATGTTTTGTTGATAATGAAGTGAGAATCTGGGCAAGTGATAAATCCCAATGGATATAATTAGCTGATAATATGTAATCTCCTGCAAGAAAGGTTTTAAGATGGAAACTCCAGGAATACTAAATCAAAGTTAGATATAATCTGCTTTTACTGATGTTGTTGAACTACTAATTGTGTATATTAATACCAGAAGAGTGATCCAATTAATTTTTCAAGAATAAATCTATACCTTCCTCTACTGCACCCCAAGCAGGCAAATATTTTCACTACTACCCTCTTTGTAATCCCCATCTATCACATCCTGCATCACTTATCTATTGCCACAATAATAATACATAATCGATAAAATAAAACAACTCTGGCTTAAACAATAACTGCTTATTGCTCATGTGTACGGAGGCAGCTGTGACTACACCAAGTGGTTCTGCTGATCTTGGTTGGATTTGCACACATGCTGTCTGGCTGGATGCTGGGTAACTCAGCTATGCTCCACATGGTCTCTCCTCTAGCAGGCTAGCTCTGGCATGTTCTCATGGCAATGGAAGCACAAGATGGCTCATGAGGCCTTCACTTGGAAACCTGCTGTGTCCTCAACCATATGCTGCTCAGCAAAAACTTTACAGGGCCAACCCAGATTCAAGAGATGGGAAATTTCTCTACCCCTTAGGGAGAAGAAAAGCAAAGTTACATGGCAATGGAAGGGACAACATAGAGGCAAAAATATTGGGGTTCTTCACGCACTCAGTCCACCGTGCATGCCTTCTTTCAACCTCATCCTCTATCTCTGCGTCTTTTCCCACCACCCAAAACTCTTATCTTCAAAATAAGCATTTCCGTTTTACATGATTGTAACTGTAGTTCCTTCTCATTTGCAAAGAACAGAGACTGACACAAGGAACATTAAGAAGTTAGAATTTACATTAAAGAGACAGAAAATTGAGCATGAGCCTCAGGAAGAACAGGGCTATATACTAGGTACCAATATAAGGACTTTAAGTTTGGTGCTCAGGTTGTTAAATGCCCAATCCACTCTCCGACTCTTTGCTTCCTATTTAGATCCATGATTACTCTGTTCCTCTCTCCATGCCAAGATATACCATAGAATGCACTTTCCCTAAGTCTAAACTCCCCTCTCCCTTACCCCAGCCCTACTAAGTAAGCTTGACTAAGCAGAGAATAACCTTTGGAGCTTTCCGGAGCAGGATGGTAAGTGGCATTGTAAGTTAAACAGCAGTCAGATGTGGCAAGACTTCTGATAACATCTCTGGTTGTAATACAGATGGTTTTCTCATTATTACTATTATCATCATGAAGACTGCTTTTCCCTTTTTATGACTCAAAAATTGCTGCATGAAATGAGCCATACAAAGAGAAATTATAAATATCTGATGTGACTTTACACTGTGAGGAAATGTCCTCCCTCTACTAAATTGTTACTTACTATAACAATAACAGCCATAATGTTAATAGCATTTACATTCCCTCGTTGATTTACAATTTTTATAACACCGCCACATAACTTGTTTTATTTTTTATCACTGTTCCTAGCTGCAGCTCTTCTATTGCCTGGACACATAAACGTGGGCAAAGTTCTGTCCTGCTCTTGGCCCAGTTTCCAGCAGTGGCCATGTTCCCGACAGAGCCCCTGCAGGGTGGAAGTTTCCATGAGACTCAGATCCATGTCAGCATTTCAAAGGGGGAAAGTCCTGGAGTGGACTAGAGAGTCTGAATCAGAGACAGAGAATTACTACATTTTTTTCTATTCATTATTAATCTCAAACATTATTATCACAGTGCATCTGCTAAAACATGTATTTTATTTTGTATTATTTAAATGTATTAATAGATATGTTTGTATTATTTGAATATTTTTGTGAAAAATTAATGTTTGAAACTGGGCACAGTGGCTCACATCTTTCATTCTTGCACTTTTGGAAGCCAAGGTGGGTAGATTGCTGGAGCTCAGGAGTTTGATACCAGCCTGGGCAACATGGCGAAAAGCCATCTCTACAAAAAATACAAAAAATTAGCCAAGTGTGTTGACATGCACCTGTGTTCCCCACTACTCAGCAAGGTGAGGTGGGAGGATGGCTTGAGTCTGAGAGGTGGAGGCTACAGTGAGCCATGATTGTACCACTGCACTCCAGCCTACGTGACAGAGCCAGACCCTGCCTCAAATAATAATTAGTAATAAAATTTCCACATATTCTTCTCTCAGAGCCTGAGAGTAGAAGCCAGGAAATTTGAAGTTTAGTGAGTATCCTAGGTGATTCTGATGATTCTTTAGTTCTATCCTATTTGATTCATCAGCAGTATCTGTGCTAGTGAAGGTTGTCTTTTTCTCCAGGCCACTACATACTTGAAACTGTAACTGGCCACAAAGGCTAGGTCTCAGTAACTACATCAAAACATCTGAGACAAAAAAGGGCCTCTGCTCCCTTATTTTTCAAAACACACTAAATTTAATATTTATGAACAACAGAACCTACTAAAATATAAATAATTATATCTGTATTTAACTTTGCATACATTTGCCTACAACTTATTTTTCAGCTTCGTATTTACTTTCAGAGATGTTGGTGGGGGAAATCTACAAATTGACAGATTTAATGAGAATGCTTACTTCACGAAGTTCTTCTGAAGTGAAAGGAACTTTATATCCACTGGGCATCTGGTCCACAGGGGGTCATTTCAAAAACATTATCTCATATACAAGCTGCCTGAGTACAGTGGTCAGGAGGCTGGGCTCTGAAGTCATTAGCCTGAATTCATATCCTGTCTTTCCACTATCTGTGTGACTTGGGAAAGTTACTTAATTTCTCTACGTTAATATAATCTCTATAAATAAGGATAGTAAAGTGACTAACCTGATTAGTTTGAAGGGCTATATAAAAAGAATTCAGACAAACAAAACCTGGAGCGTTTTGACATAGTAAACACAAAATAAATACAAGCTACTTTAATTATTTTACAATTACAAACTCTATTCATTATTAATCAGAGGTCTATTTTGATGTATTTTTTTAAATCAAGCTGACTTGTCATCTGGCTTAATTTAAGATGACTCAGTTAAAAAATGCAGTACAGACGTACCTAAATTAAGGTGATTCAACTGATGTTCTGTCAACTTTACAATGGTGCGTACATAATTCAGATTCAGTAGAAACCTTATACATTCAACCCTTTTCACTTTCAATATAGTATTCAATAAATTACATAAGATATTCAATATTTTATTATAAAGCAGGCTCTGTGTAACATGTTTTTGCCCAATGACAGGCTGATTTAAGTGTTCTGAACATAAAGGTAAGCTAGGCTAAGCTATGAAGTTCAGTAGGTTAGGTGTATTAAGCACATTTTTTAACTTATAAAATTTATGATAGGTTTATCAGGACTTAACCCCATCATAAGTCAAAGAGCATCTGTATTAATATAGGGTAAATTTATTTAAGACTGTATTGTAAAATCATAGGCTTTATTACTATTGTCATTCTTTATCATTGATCCTTTGCCTGCATGAGAGGTGAGGCAGCAAGCTGCCATTGCCAGATCCCACCTCATACTTAGAGGCGACAGTGTGCTGGCAGCCCTCCCAGCCCTCGGCACCTCCTCGGCCTAGGCACCCACTCTGGCTGCGCTTGAGGAGCCCTTCAGCCCACCACTGCACTGTGGGAGCCCCTCTCCGGGCTGGCCGAGGCCGGAGTCAGCTCCCTCTGCTTGCAGGGAGATGTGGAGGGAGAGGCACGGGCAGGAAGCGGGGCTGGGCCAGCATGAGTTCCGAGTGGGCTGGGCTCAGTGGGCCGCGCACCTGGAGCGGCCGGCTGGCGCCACCAGCCCCAGGCAGTGAGGGACTTAGCACCCAGACCAGCAGCTGCGGAGGGTGTGCCTGGTCCCCCAGCAGTGCCGGCCTGCCACCGCTGCGCTCAAATTCTCACAGGGCCTCAGCTACCTCCCTGTGGGGCAGGGCTTAGGACCTGCAGCCCGCCATGCCCAAGCCTCCCCCAGCCATGGGCTCCTGCACAGCCCAAGCCTCCCCGACAAGCGCCACCCTCTGCTCTGAGGCGCCTGGTCCCATCAACCGCCCAAGGGCTGAGGAGTGCGGGCGCACGGCACAGGACTGGCAGGCAGCTCCGCCTGCAGCCCCAGCGTGGGATCCACTAGGTGAAGTGAGCTGGGCTCCGGAGTCTAGTGGGGACTTGGAGAACCTTTATGTCTAGCTAAGGGATTGTAAATACACCAATCAGCACTCTGTGTCTAGCTCAAGGTTTGTAAATGCACCAATCAGTGCTCTGTGTCTAGCTAATCTAGTGGCAACTTGGAGAACCTTTATGTCTAGCTAAGGGATTGCAAATACACCAATCAGCACTCTGCGTCTGGCTCAAGGTTTGTAAATGCACCAATCAGCACACTGTATCTAGCTAATCTGATGGGGACTTGGAGAACCTTTATGCCTAGCTAAGGGATTGTAAATACACCAATCAGCACTGTGTGTCTAGCTCAAGGTTTGTAAATGCACCAATCAGTGCTCTGTGTGGACTTGGAGAACTTTTGTGTCTAGCTCAGGGATTGTAAATACACCAATCAGCACTCTGTCTCTGGCTCAAGGTTTGTAAATGCACCAATCAGCACTCTGTACCTAGCTAATCTGGTGGGGACTTGGAAAACCTTTATGTCTAGCTAAGGGATTGTAAATACACCAATCAAAACTCTGTGTCTAGCTCAAGGTTTGTAAATGCACCAATCAGTGCTCTGTGCGGACTTGGAGAACTTTTGTGTCTAGCTCAGGGATTGTAAATGCGCCAACCAGCACCCTGTCAAAATAGACCAAACAGCTCTCTGTAAAACAGACCAATCAGCTCTCTGTAAAATAGACCAATCAGCAGGATGTGGGTGGGGCCAGATAAGGGAACAAAAGCAGGCTGCCTGAGCCAGCAGTGGCAACCTGCTCGGGTCCCCTTCCACAGTGTGGAAGCTTTGTTGTTTCACTCTTTGCAATAAATCTTGCTGCTGCTCACTCTTTGGGTCCCCACTGCCTTTATGAGCTGTAACAGTCACTGTGAAGGTCTGCAGCTTCACTCCTGAGGCCAGCGAGACCACGAACCCACTGGGAGGAATGAACAACTCCAGACGGGAGGAACGAACAACTCCAGATGTGCCACCTTAAGAGCTGTAACACTCACTGCTAAGGTCTGCAGCTTCACTCGTGAAGCCAGCAAGACCACGAACCCACCAGAAGGAAGAAACTTGGAACACATCCAAACATCAGAAGGAACAAACTCTGGACATACTGCCTTTAAGAACTGTCACACTCACTGCGAGGGTCCGCGGCTTCATTCTTGAAGTCAGTGAGACCAAGAACCCACCAATTCCGGACACAGTACTACTGATTCCTCAGAGAACAAGCCCTAAATCCCCAAAACTGTGCAATTTAGAATTCTATAACTGAATTATAGTACTCTTGATTAAAAAGAGAAAATATCTAACAATTTTTCTCTTGCCTTCTCCTGAAAATATTTTTTAATATTAACTTCTTCATGCTTTGATTTCCAGCATTTCACCATAGAATACCTCCAGGGTGAGAGCTATTTTGCATTTTTAGAGGCCTCCTTAACCTTTTCTCTGTGGCATTTGAGGAATTCTGACTGCAGTGATCACACAGGGCAAGCAGTAAGGGAAAGCAAGGGCAGTCCTGCCTTTGTCTCTTATTTGTTGCAGTCTTTAAGGATGAGAGGGAGAAAAGGGCTCTCTGATTAATTTCATGCCTTCAAGTTTCTGCAATCCCATGACATATTGGCGTTCTTTCCTTTTACGATTGCGACTTTGCTCTTGTACTTCTTTGCACACTCCTGCAATGGAAAGCTAACCTTTATGCTTTTACAGCCTGATGTGGCTCGGAGTCAAAGCGAAGTTGACAATCAAAGGCTAGGATGGCATTTGAAAGGAAGACCTTACCAATGGGGCTCACAGTAGGAGCTCTCTAAAGCCCGTAAGTGTACCTTTTGAAACCAGTCTTTTCTGCATATCATTTGTGACTAAAATACTAATACTGTTAGTGTTCAAATTTTATTCCAATTCTCTTTAGACTATGCACGCTGCCATTCTCCGTGTTCACAGACCTGATGTTCAGATCACTGGACAAAGTACTGGGCGTTTATTCTGATTTTATAACCGCTCAATTTCCTTTAGGGTTATTTTACTCATTGATGTGTATTACACAGCCACAAGGTGATTACCCATAATGCATTTTCCTGCTTAAACATACTGACAGTAAGACTAGAGATTATAATGTATTCTACTTCTCTGTGGAGATGACAATGCCAACCCTTAACCTCTGGGACTTTTAGATACGTGGCAGAGATTTGGTTTGTTTGTTTTGCAGTGCACTCATCTCCTCTCTATCTTCCTCTCACCATCAAGTGCACATGTTAGAATGAAGTCACAATATTCAACACTACTTTTATTGGCTTCATACACAGTAATACCAAATCTATTGTAAATCTTTTTGAGGGGGAGGAAAGATGGGCAGAAATAGGATGTAAGACAAACAGAAGTGTGGTTATAGGAGGGCACGATTTTCTCTTTCTTTCTTTATAAGAAAAGGTACTGTTGAGACAGAAAAAAAGGAGAGTTGGCTAGGCTTGGTGGCTCATGCCTGTAATCCCAGCACTTGGGGAGGCCAAGGCAGGAGGACTGCTTCAGCTCAGAATTTTGAAACCAGCCTGGGCAACATTTATGTAAAAAATTTAAAAAAAAATAGCCAGGTGTAATAGCATGTGCTATTACGTTCCCAGCTACTTGGGAGGCTGAGGTGGGAGAATCACTTGAGCCTGGGAGACCAAGGCTGCAGTGAGCTGTGATTGTGCCACTCTACTCCAGCCTTGGCTGGAGCAAGACTGTGTCTTAAAAAAAAAAAAGAGTTATTGCTAATTTAATATCATATTATCTTTATGCTACTGGAAGGGCCATCATTATCATTGCCTATGCTCCACAGTAAAAAATATATATATGATTAACCAAAAGATTTAAGCTTTAAGGAGGAATATTTTTCTCTAGTTTCTGCCTCTCTGAAGGAATTGTGGAGAGCCCAGACCTGCATGCTTTCTTAAGCCAGGAGCTGAGGGCAGAGGGTAAAGCAAAGTGGGAGAAAGTTATCTAGCAAATCCAACATGAGGAGATAAAACACTGACAAAAAAAAGGTATCACTATAGAAAATAACTCTGGTAGAAACAAATACAGAAACATTTTGTACCCTGAGTACTTGGTGTATGTGTGACTGATAGCAATACTCTTGGTCTAACATATTTCATCTCCATGCCTACAGTATACAATGGACCTAATAAAGGGGCAGTTATTTAGAAGCTCATGAGCATAGTGTAGTGGGACAGGCAGTGGTCTGTAGGTTAGAAGACAGGTTTTTTATTTTTTTCTAGGCTTCCACTTACAATTTTGTGAGTTTCAGTAGCTTGTGTCATGAAATTGTTATAATTAGATCCTTCCTGTGTTCTGCAAAGGAAAGATCTATTCAAAATGCTTCTAAAATTCTAACAGTCCTCCACAAGTGGAATCATCATTTGTAAATTAATCCTCACCTTTAACAGAGTGGCTTTTGCCACATACTGCTCTCTACTTAATTGTCATCAATCATTAATTTTAAATTAATCCAGCTCAATATTTTTCAAACTGTAACCATGCAACTTTAGTTCTAACTCTCAGAGCTACGGAAATAAAGCACCAGAAAGCAAATTTTGCCTTCACCGTTCTGCTGAAGACTTCCCTGAAAGAGGTCCCCTATTCAGACCTGCACAATACCACGACTTTAGGGAGATGTGACCTCACATTTAATTCCCTAGAATGGTCCCTTTATCTAATCTGGTCTTGGGCAAAATAATTATTGTACCTTATTGTGAAATGCAGAAAAGCAGAGTCAGTCAGATCCTTGCCTCTAACCAATCCAGGTTTGTTTCTCAGTTTTTCCTGGATATGATCCAAGTTGCCTTAGAGAACTTAAGACTAGATTAAAGAAAATGTGCTTGGCATGCGAGGTGTGTTCTGGAAACTGTGACATTTAAATAGAATCATGTTCAAACTTTCACACCTGGGAGTCCAATCTGGCTGAACTTCAGGGGAGCTGGAGCGGGGAGGAGTGGAATAAAGGTATTTAAGTAATTATTTAATTTTGCCAATGCTGACTGTGGGTACTTAGAGATGGCAATTTAAACACAAATTAAAAACAAATATTATTTTCATTGTTACCTGAAAGTCACTGCCTTCTCTTCCTCACATATATTCCCAGAGGCTGTCTCTACAATTATTTAAATGGATTATGAGACTTGAGAAATACAAAGTAACATAATGAAGTAAGGTCTACCATTTTATCCTAATAATTAAAAGTCTGACTTTTTTAAAGGTTACAATGATATTTGCTGTGAAAATACCCAGCATAACATTATGAAAACAGAGACTCAGAGGACCACTTGGTACTTTGTGGGATCACTTAAAATTAAGGTTTTATTCTACTCTCTGTACTGTTTTTAGGATGCAGATTTGAAGCTATCACCGTAGTCATTTCTTTTAAATGTATGTACTTTAAATTTTAAAAAGAAAATTAGTTCACTTTCAATGATGAATTATTCAGTTGCTTATGCTTAATAGTATTAAATCTTCTGGATTTTGACAAGGTTTTAAGACCATATTAATAATCAACCACTAACAGTTCCATTGCATTTGTACTCTGAATATAAATATTGTACACATTTCTATTTCTTTAAGCTTTTATTTAAAGTGTGTCTTTCTGGCCAAATAAAAAATAATAATTTTCTTATGAATTCAAAGCGAGTGGAATGCCTCTGACATTCATACAGCTCTGCAACTCAAATCAATTTTGTCCATGTACAAAAGCATCATCTAGAATCTTTGTACATTGCATCCTCATCAGCTAACTCAAATCTTCTTTGTACAAGAAGTAGCACTGACATAAACAATTTTCAAAATAAACATTAAAAGATATAGTAAATCTGCTGCATGACTACAAGAAGAGTACAACAGTAAGATATAGTTTTGAAATAAACATGAGATATTATCAGTCAGAATAGGCTAGGCATGCTGCATTAATAAACAACCCAAAATTTCAGTGGCTTAAGCATAACAAAGGATTCTTATTTTCTTGTACTTCATGGCTCTTGTGAGTCATTGATAACTGCTCAGGTCAGTCCCTCAGCATACCAGCTAATGAAGCGCCATCATTTTTTAGATCTCTGCAGAATTACTCCTAGAGTTTTATATAATGGAGAGAGTGCTCCTGGAAACTTGGATCAAAATTAAATGTGCAGGCCAGACATCATGCACAGCATCTCCAGTCTCAACTCATTGGTCAGAAATGGATTTGTTACTTTATGAATCACAAGAAGTCAGAAACTGGGCCAATCCTGTAGTCAACAACTGTGAGAGAAAAAACTGTGCATTTAAATAACCGTAAAGACCAGCATAGTCTACCTATCTGATCAACACATATTTGTTTCACTCTTCAATTCACCAGCAAAATACATTTACAGACTTCCTGAGTGAGACAACATAATTGTTCATCCAGTCATGTCATGGAGGGCAAAGGCTTAGATCTGTGAGTGATTCATGGTGGTGTCTATATCAGGGAGTACACTCATTATTAAACTATGATCTCTCAGCTTGATTCCCATCATTCTATATTCCAATTTATTTTAATTTTTGGCATATAAAAATGTATTACTACTGTGGTTTTACCACAAAAAATTATGATCTTGGTCTTTCCTTCTTGCTTTTGTATAGGACCAAGAGACATTGGCTACTCTGACAACATTAAAGCGGACTACAGGAATGTCAACAACAGTATGACCTTTTTGACAAATTCAGCAACCAGAAATTCATCTTTTCCTCAATAAAGTTCAAGCAACCATCGTTGGGTACAAAGACTATGATTTTCTTGCCATTCTCAATCAGCTGAACTATAGTACACTTCCTGATATTAGAATTTGGCCATTCGGCTTCAACTCCTATTTTTCCAACACAGTTCTCTTTGTATGGGAAACATTTCCAAAAGCGTTGGCCTTCAGGCTGTGCCTAAATGGGCTTTCTTGTACTGTTTGTCATTCCACTTATGTTCCTGTCAGTGAACAGGGAGATTCTTGGTACAAAGTACAAAGTCCACAACATTTGTTCATCCTGCCATTGCCAAAGGCCTGAGCAAAAGAGAAAACCAGCAGCCATACTTCCTTTTATGACACCAACATTCTGCAAACTATGTTTTAACAGCTGACTCCCTGCTAGATTTTGCTATTAGGGGGTTCTATAAGGAGACTGGAAGAAGAAAAATAAAATGCACAATGCTTGCTCTTTGATCCAAACTCACTCCAGTAATAACTCTTCAGTCCACTAGGGGCAGCTATTTGAGTAAGAGCAACTTACAACCTGTAGTTTTTCAACACTCCCAAAAGAGTCTCATTTTGCCCCTTCACAAACAGGAGCATCAGTTTCCTACATACCCCACAACTCCATCTCCAGAGAGCTCTTCCTCCGAATGTACCAGTCTGAAATCCACCAGTCTGAAATGTATCAGTCTGAAATTTACCAGGCTGAATCCCAGCTCTGAGATAATTCTAACTTTTCCTACAGTTTCCAAACTCTAGGAGTGGTATTAACTTTCTTTAGAAAAGAAAGCATCACATACTCTCTATGTGATGTTTCTGTGTTTTATTGCCTTTTCATTTCCCTAATACTACTAAATGATGTTTTATATTAAATTCTCAGTTAAAATAACTGGGGTGTTTTGCGATTATTTTTTTTTTCTTCTGACTAGACCCCGACTGAATTAGTCTATACTTCCAGTTTGGAATTAGTTCCTCTTGATGCAGAGGAGCTAATTGTACACTTGAAGACAAGGTATTTGTCCTCAATCCACCCTGTAAAAAAGCGTGGGTTTGAAACAGGCTATCTTCAATACATGTTTCTATTTAGAAAATAGAAAGAATATGAAATATTAAGCAGTTAACTTTCTGGGTCTGGACAGAAGTTTCTAAGGGAAAAGGAATATTCATTATTATACTCTAATCTTTCTCCTTAGGAGGAAACCTTCAGTCGATTGTTTGTAACCTCTGGAAGTCCTATACTTTCCATCATCCTTTTAGGTCATCTCTGAAGAGAGCATTGGAGAGCACTGGGGAGCATTCCCTCTGGATTGAGTCCTCTGATAAGCAGATGCTAGGAGAGTATTAAACATGAAATAAATTTCTTAGAAAGTAATGCCTGTGAGAAAAAAAAAATGGAAAAGGCACTCAGGGAGGCTGGGGAACCTTCAGATCATGACGCAGGTCTGACCCCAAGAGGAGGAGAGAGAAAAGGAAGCAAGGAAAGAGGGAAGGAAGGAAGGGAGGGCTGAAGTTTCTTAAAATGCAAAGCAAGGCTAAGACAATTTTGGCACAAACATCTGTGAGTTTTGGGGGTTAAGTCACCCAGAAAAGGGGTCTCTTGTCCCAGGAATGAGCCTGGCTTAGGATCCCTGGCATATTCAGGCACAACTGGGAGCAGCCTGTGGGATGGTGGCATCAGCACATACACAGCCACGATTTCAGAGGGCAGCGACTAAGCGCTTGGTCATAGGCTTCTGCAGGTGGCGATCTGAGTTGCACTTCCTCATGGCCGCCACATCTGTTTTGGGACTGAAAAGCTTCCTGAGATTGTCCTCTTCCAATATAAACATGAGGGTTCAAGATTGCATAATGTCCAAAGCAGTACGACTTAAATTAACTTCCTCTTTGCCAGCATAGCTTTCTCAAAAACTTAGTCTTATCTATGTTATTCTAATCAACAGCACATTCCAATAGCTATACACATAGATCTTTCCAAGACTTTAAACTCTCCTTCTCTGGACATAATTGCTGGTACCTGGAGCTTATCAGATATCCATGAGAGGCCATACTCTGGTGTATTTCCTCCTTTAAGTTATTTTGTCCAACTAAAAGGATTAATAGATCTGCACTTAAGCCATTAAAAAGATGAACAACGGATGTGAAAGCCATACTTTTGATTCTTGCCTCTAGGCAGAGGTTTAATCTGATTTTGGTACTCACATAATTTATTTGTCTTTTTCTATTTCGGATAAAACAACAACAACAACAACAAAGAAAAACAGTTACTTCTTCCAAACCTACAAGTATCTGAATATCTGTACCCTCTATTTTCTTTAGTCCTGATTTCAAACCAGTCAATTCTGTTATCTTGCTTTTAGTACTTTCTCAAATGGAGTGGCAAAAACAACTAATGGCATTCTGCTTCCCAAACTCTACCGCTGAAGCAACATGTTTATTACGCATATTATGTGACTTCCAAGTTTATTCAAGCAACAGTTTCACCATATAATTTGTCGCCCTGTAACAATGATTTTTTTTTTTTTCTGAATGACCATGCATTAGAGATTAAATTCTAGTTCTGGAAGGATATGTGTCACCAAAATTACTTACATAATCCCAATAAACCGCACAGGCACGGAAAGGTCATTCCCCACATGTATCTGGAGAAGGAAAGAGGGGAATAATTTAGCAAGCAGTAGGACTTCCATAAAGGTTGTGTTAAAAAAAAAAAAAAAAAAAGTAAAGTATCTGTACCAGGTACACTAAATCTTGCTCATTTCATTCAAATTTATTTTGCTATTAATATACATGTACCTAATTGGTTGAGCATAATTAAACTAGATTTCCAAGATTTAAATAGGATTGCTACTAATAAGCTAGAGATTGCCAGTGACAGCATGAGATATGATTTTCAGGGCATCTGCAGTCTGAGAATTGCCAATGCCATGGCATTTCCTTTAGTACCTCCCTGTTCTACTTGGAATCATGAAAACCTTCAGACATGTAAGGAAAAATCATCTTTTTGGAGCCCTTTAAATATAAGTTATGCCAATCATCTGTTCACCAAACCATTCACTGTTGATATTTCTCTACATGTTAGTGAAACATTTTGCTCCCCTTCTCCACAATCCCCCTCAAACCACAGAGAGGGAAATTTCTACCAATAATTCCATCCTATGTGGGGTATGTTGAGATGGAAGCTTCTGTCCCTCTTTTTGCCCCCTTTCTTTACACCTGCAGATACGTGGTCAAGTGACTAACCTGATGAGTGGAGTTAAGGAAAGCCTGATGTGTGAGCTATAAGCTAAGTAAGCAAATACCACAGTTTAATTGAGAGCATCCAGATTTCAATCTGTATCCTGACATAATTATTAATAGTGCACCCTTTCAGTTTAAAAAGTGTCTCAGTTTTCATAGAAAATTGTGTAGTACCTCTAGTTAAGTGACCCTAATGATACATGGCCTATTCCTTGCTTCCTGTTGGACCTGCCTATGTTCTTGAGGGGCAGATTTGGAGCTCCCACTCCCCATAATTCCTTCTGAGTGAGTTCTCTTGACTTTACAAAGGCCTGTGTGACGGTTAATTTTTATGTCAACTTCACTAAAGTGTGATGCCCAGTTGTTTGGTCAAACACTAGACTAGATGTTACTGTGAAGGTATTTCATAGATGTGGTGAACATCTACAATCTGAGAGATTCATTCTGAGGTGAAACAATGTTTTGTTTTTGTTGTTGTTTTTGGTTGAGATGGAGTCTCACTCTGTCACCCAGGCTGGAGTGCAATAGCACGATCTCAGCTCATGGCTCACAGCAAACTCCGCCTCCTGGGTTCAAGCAATTCTCCTGCCTCAGCTTCCCGAGTAGCTGGGATTACAGGCGCGTGCCACCACACCTAACTAGTTTTGAATTTTTAGTAGAGATGGGGTTTCACCATGTTGGCCAGGCTGGTCTCAAACTCCAAACCTCAGGTGATCCACCTGCCTCGGCTTCCCAAAGTGCTGGATTACAGGCGTGAACCACCGCACCCGGACTGAAACAATATTTTGATGGCAGAGTCAACCAGGTTTCGCATGGGCTAAGGTGACAATATCTTCAGGAAGCATAATCTTATACATTTATCTTTGATTTTATCCAGTTTAGAGTTTATCTATTAAATTTTACTTGGATATATTTTCCTATTTCAATATTCTTTATTGATCATTTTTATATTCACCTATCTTGTTTGTCTCTGCTTTATTTTGCCTTATATATTATTAATTTTTTTATGAATGTTGGGTTGAGATTTCTCTCTCTCATTCTCCTTTCCTCCCCTCGCCCCCACCTTTCTCTACTCCTCTGTGGCCCCAGTTCAGAACCATAACTATTTCAGATAACTGAGGTCTTTGGTGATGTAGGGTTATTGAACATACAGTCATTGTCACTACATCAGAGAGTAACCTCACTTACACTTATGCTATTTTGATACTTTCTTTCTCCCTCATGCCATAGACTATAAGTTGTAACCTTAGAACAATTCTTTTTGCGGAGCAAATAACTCTATTCCACTACTTCTTATGGGGAACTGTTATTCCCATTTTCCCAAGAAGGCTATGGGTGCCGCTGCTCATTTGCTGCTGTCATTCTAATCCCTGAAGCCTCAGAGGGTCCGTTTTGCACAATGTGTTTCATTTTTTGTTATACAAAGATGGCTGTATTAATTTTGTAGTATATACGTGTTCCTTAATGTTCTCCTTTAAATAACAGCCATCGTCATTATGCATTTGGAGCAGGAAGATTCAAAATATGAAGTTCCGTTGCCATCTTGGCTTGAATGCAGCAGGATATTCTCAACACATTCTCGCCTTACCTGTGGCTTCAGGCCATTTCCAATGTTGTTGCTTCCTTCTTTTTGCTTTTATATATTTTCTGACTTTCCTTCAATGACTGCATATTTCTTTTGACAAGAGAAAAGGATGGATTTAAGATCTCAACAAAAGGGAAGGATAATTTGTAAATGTTTAATTTATAGACATTTGATGGGTTTTCTAATATTTATTGGACTATTTCTGTCTAGAAAAAACAGAAAAAATTCTCAAGTAGATAAGAACATCACGCCAGAAGTGGGAACAAAAGGATATTAAGAGAAGGTAGTCAACTACATTTTCTTACTTCATGAAGTTTAAATATTTCCATATAATCAACAATTCTCACTTCTGAGCACAGTACAAGTTAACAGCCATTTTCCAAACAGCACACCTAACTTTAGGTACTGCTTGATAATTTGCTTGCAATCCCCAAGCTAAATACTGAGGTTTGAAAATATTTACTTCTTTGATACCAGTGTGTAGGTTTGGCTTAAATTGTTGATCAAAATCTCAACCAGACATATTTGCATAAAAGAATCCTACTAGAAAAAATGCACTATCAGAAAAAAATGTAATTTTTCTCACATGTTAAAAACAAAGACACTTCAGGGGATGCTTGTCAAATGTCTTAAAGGTAGTTCTATACATGCAACAGTGTATAAGATTTCAGTCTAGAATCTTTCCTTTCACCTCAAATAGGTTTCTGCCTTTAAGTTACAAAATAAAATTTAGTCCTTAATGTCTAAATAACCAACTGTGTCATAGTTTGTTTTGTGCTGCTATAATGGAATACCAGACTGGGTAATTTGTAAAGAACAGAAATTTATTTCTCACAGTTCTGCAGACTGAGAAGTCAAGATTAAGGCACCAGCAGGCTCAGTGTTTGATGAGGGCAGCTCTCTGCTTTCAAGATGGTGCCTTGAGTGTTGCATCCTCAAAAGGGGAGGAATGTAGTGTCCTTATATGACAGAAGTCAGAAGGGCAAAAAAGAGTAAACTCCTTCTATCAAGCCCTTTTATAAGGGCACCTAATCCCATTCATGAGTGAAGCTGTCATAACTGAATCACCTATCAATGTCCACACATCCAAAAACTGTTGCATGGGGGATTAAATTTTAACATGAATTTTAGAGTTGACAAAAGCATTCAAACCACAGCTAACTGTATATTTAAATATTTAAATGGCTGATGTTACCAGTTATAGTATTTTAAATAGCTGAAGGATGTAAGAGGATCAAAAAGTGACTATGTGTAGTAGAAATCATTAATCCCAAACCAAAAGAGATATTGGTATGGAAACCAGTGAATTGGTTTCTTCATATCAATTATCTACTGGGATTCTGAAAATATTTTATCCACTAGTTTTATAATCCTACAGCCATAGAACACCAGTGGAACCCATGCTGGGAAGCCCAATGATCACTGCTTAGTCCTCACCTTATTGGTCCTGTCTAAAGCAAAAATTGCACTAGGAAAAGTTAATCAAACAAGGAAGACTTTATTCAAGAATACTGCAATAGGGAAGAGATGCCAAAATTAAAATCTAAACTCAACTATGCTGAAACAAAATGCAGGGGAATTTTTAATTGTGGAGTGAGATAGTGGCAAAGTACTGGAGAACTTTTGGGGTAAGGATGATTAATAGGATGGGTTGAACACATTGAGTTATTCCTAAGTTTTCACGTGTTTTTTGTTTTGTTTTGTTTTCTTGTGATTAGACCATCTGCATCTTCTATTTGGCATTCCTCAAAGTTAGGATCCCACCCTCTCAAATAAACTGAGGAATAGGAGCTCTACCTTCCTTGATGATTACCTCTCAAAGAGATGGCTCCTAAGTCTTTGTACGAGACATTTCTAGGCTATAAAACTGGTAGAAAGCTTTAAAAAATATTTATATCCCAAGGGAACAAAGAATTTATAATTACACATATTCTAAAGGAAATGGTCTGTGGAGTTCAGGGGTCTTGAATTAGGAAGAAGTCTGTCTTAGCTTTAGTCCAGCTGGATGGCACTTCAAGGCCCTCTTGGTCAGTCCTCTCAGCAGCATTTGACACAATTGATCATTCTCTCCCCAAAACATTGCCTTTACTTAGCTTAAGGGACACGGCCCATGGCCAGTTTTCTCCGCCTCATTAGTGGCTGACTCTGGGCCACTCTTACTAGATTGAGGGCTCTCTTCTGGTATCCGTTTTTGAGGGCTGTCATAACAAAACACCACAGACTGAGTAGCTTTAACAACAGACACTGATTCCTCACAGTTCAGGAGGTAGGAAGTCCAAGATCAAGGTGCCGGCAGAGCTGATTTCTCCTGAAGCCTCTCTCTTTGTAGTGCAGGTGGCTGTCTTCTTGCTGTGTCCTTGCATGGTCTGTCTGCTGTTTGAGTGCTCATTCCTGATGTCTCCACCTCTTCTTCTTCTTTTTTTTTTTTTTTTTTTTTGTTTAGAGGGAGTTTTGCTTCTTGTCACCCAGGCTGGAGTGCAATGGCACAATCTTGGCTGACTGCAACCTCTGCCTACCCACTTCAAGAGATTCTCCTGCCTCAGCCTCCCGAGTAGCTAGGATTACAGTTCCCTGCCACCAGGCCTGGCTAACTTTTTTATTTTTAGTAGAGACTAGGTTTCACTATGTTGGCTAGGCTGGCCTAGAACTCCTGACCTCAGGTGATCCACCCGCCTCAACCTCCCAAAGGGCTGGGATTTCAGCGTGAGCCACCATGCCCGGCTTCACCTCTTCTTATAAGGACACCAGTGCTACTAGATTGGAGCTTCATCCTATGGCTTCATTTAGCCTAATGACCTCTTTTAATGAGGTCTTTAAAGGTTGTTTCTCCAAACACAGTCACACTAGAGGTTAGGGCTGCAACATATGAACTTGGGGGAGGGCACAATTTAGGCCATTGCACTTCATAACCTCTACAAGACAGAGTGCCACAGGCTCAGTTCTCTAGCCCCTTTTTTATTAGCATTTATTCCCTCTGTCACTTCCCAAAGTCTGCTGGATAGAAGTTATATTTTTAAGTTGATAACACACACATTTATATCCTCAGCCTAAACAATCCCTCAAATTCACAAGTCCTTTAACCAAATTCCTATGTAACATCTTCATTCCATATGTAATAGCACCTGAAATGTAATATGTGATATGTACTTTTTATTCCTTTTTAAGCTGCACCTTCTCCATTTTTCTCCAACTCAAGAAATAGTAACTACAGTTCTCAGCTGCTCCACCCAAATAATCTTCTCATCATCTTTTACCTTTCTCATTTTTTCCATCTCAATAAAGTTCATTGCCAATCCTCTCAGACCCACTTGAGAGAAATATATTTTAAATCTCACCTGGGCTGGGCACGGTGGCTCATGCCTGTAATCCCAGCACTTTGGCAGGCTGAGGTGGGTGGATCACGAGGTCAGGAATTCAAGATCAGCCTGGCCAAGGTGGTGAAACCCCATCTCTACTAAAAAAAAAAAAAAAAAAATAGCCAGGCATGGTGGCGGACGCCTTGTAATCCCAGCTACTCAGGAGGCTGAGGCAGGGAATTGCTTGAATCCGGGAGGTAGAGTTTGCAGTGAGCCAAGATCACACCACTGCATTCCAGCCTAGGTGACAGAGGGAGAGACTGTCTCAAACAAACAAAAAACAAACAACAACAACAACAACAAACTCGCCTGATGCCAAAGGGGAAAGGGCTTGACTCCAGGTCTGTGTTTATCAGTTGTGTAGACTTGGGTAATTCCATTAACCATTATGACTTAATTATCTCTTATCTAAAATGGATGTTAACAACATCTACTTCATAGGGTTGTTATAGCACACACAGTGTGGTGCACACAATTGTTTAATAAATGGCAAGCACAATTATATGGTGTACTTTAAGAATTTCTCCCTGTTGGGAAATAACATAAGGTTGATCTGCAGTGCAATAGCTCTATCCTTTTCCTTTTCCTCCCGGTTTCCCATAGGAAACCATGGTCAGCAGTTAGGTACACTCAAACCATATAATGTTTGAGCATAATTGGGTTTACTGTAGAATACTCCTGCACTCTCCACTGTCTTCTTGAAAGTGATACATGACTCATTTTAACTGAGGCAAGGAAACAGCCAAATTTAAATATATGTGCAGTAGCACACTTGAATCATGACGATAGAGCTTGTCTTCTGCCAAATTGAACACTCGGGAAATATCATCTTTAATGCATCAAATCCTTTTGCTTTCCCACCTTCTTCTAGAGTGTCCTTTTATACAGATCACATAGGGACAGTCAGGCTGTAAAAGAGGGCAATCTATGCCAGTCTCCCATGAAGGGCTAACATGCTCAGTTTTCATTCTTTTTTCTTTTGTGCATACTCCTGACAAGCTTTTCAAGGTTCCAAATTCATCAACAAATTTATATTTAGGGATTTTAATTAATAACAAGGTGTATGAAGTTCATAACAAATCCAAAGATATCTAATTGTGTGGTTGTGAAGATGGAGATGCTAAGAAATGAAATGTGAAAAATGCTTTATGAACCATTAGACTGATGAAATGTCAGACACCACTATCTTCAATGAGGTTAGTCTACTCCGATGAAGTTGATGACATTGACCTATTCCATGGTATGTTCTGCCTACGTTTTTTGGTGTCACTCTGGTTGGGTAGGTGTTCTTGTGACTCATTCATTCATTAAAGGAAATTCAACTTTTCACCAGATCATGTAAGAATGAAGGGTATGTAAATGTGTTATTAATTTCTCAAAAACACTCATCTTCTAACCGAGAGTGAGTTAGGGACACTAATAAGAGTGTTAACTGGTGAAAACAGTCCTTCCATTTGTGGATACAAACAGTGGCATCATTTGAGGTTAACTGGTTGAAGTGATTAATAGTCTCTCTCTCTCGGAAACTAAAATCTGAAAATAATTAACTCTTCACTGGGGAAAGGATAAGCAGAAGTAAGATCTTATTGACAGCTCCTTGAACACAGAGAGCCTCAGTTTTTCTCACTTTGTACCATTAACCTAGGGTGTCCCCATAGGCTTATCTCTTTATCTAAATTTCCCCAAGCTGTGCTCAAGTTTCTCATCCTCCCTGAGGCTTCCTGCGTCATCTCCATCCACAAGGTTCTCTCCTACCTCTGGAAGTCTGTAAGACCATGTTGCGCATTAACTTATTTTTATATACTACTTATGATGTAGGTTAATTGTTCACATGTGGAAGCTTTGTCGTTTATATTAGCTGGGGCATTAAGGGAGCAAGTGAAAGCAACTCATTGAAGATTATTTATATTTATATATTTATAATAAAATAGGAAAAAAAAATTCTAGAAAAGAAAAGATTCATGTAGTTCACATGATCAAAGAATGGTCTTCAGGAATCACATTATAGAGACCTTCTGCCACCAAGTGACCTCTCTCTCTTGAGAAGAGATCAGACCTTCAACCATTTGACTTAATGCTACAGATGAACACTCTATGTATGGGAAGGAAAGGAAGTGTCAGTTATATGACATTTCGAATCTCTACATTCAGAAGTCCAGCTGAAGAAATAACATCTTGATTTCAGGATGTGTCTGCTACCATTGGACCCACAGCTATTGCCAGGGAGTTGAGTTTGCCTTGTGCTAGATGCTTTTGTGTAATGTGATGAAGTTCAGTCTTGGAAATGGTAGATCCACCAGAGTCATAAGGTTCCACAAAGTAAAAGATATTGGGAAGAAAAAAAATACACATTTTAGATTTCTATTTCTAGAAATAGAAATCTCCCAAGAGAACAAAACCACTTATTCCAGGTTGTCTCACAGTGGACAGCATGCATCTTGGGAATGGTCAGGAAAGTTATGCAAAGCAGACGGTGTTTGTGAAGGGTCTGTAGGATCACATTTCACCCAATTTCTCTGGCTTCTTATTCTATTGTGTTTCCCATTTCCCTGACTTGAGTTCCACTAACTTTCACTGAGAAATGAGCATTGAAACCTTAAGATTATGGAATTCCCATGAATAATCTGACACCCAACCATTTTGGATGGTAGCCTGCAGACCTGAAAGGTCCTTTCATGTCAGAGTTTCATGTCATTTCTTGTATGCTTCCAAATGCAAGTCCCTTTCTTCAAGTTCTTGATAAAGATAAGTACGATGATAACACTCTAGCATCCTGATTTGTAGCCAAATCACTAAAGCTTCAAATTTGAAGGTTGTATTTTCCAAGTTGCAAGAATTAAGTAACAGTTTAACTCTGTTACCATTTAATAAACATTTCCAATAACCCCAACCACCCCATGACACCACTATTTATATATTTTTAATTTAAATTTATGGAGTACAAGTGTAATTTTTTTACACTGATATATTGTATAATGAAGTCAAGACGTTCACTGTATTCATCACTGGAGTAATATACAGTGTATACATTGGGCTCTGCATTTTAGCATACATCACTTATAACAGATTACTACCAGTATCCATATTTGAATTAAAACTATTTCATTTGCAAATACTTCATAGGAACCTAAAATATCTTAAGCTAAAAGGGAACTTTATTAGTTCATCTATTTGTGATGAACACTTCAAAGAACTAATGAAAACTTGGCATTAGGAACTGGAGGCTGAGTTCGACACCACTGAGACTCTCCTTCTGTTTTTTATTGCTTTTTAAGTTAATTCTAAATCTGTACTCTCTTCCAGGAGTAATACACATGCTTTATATAACCCTTTATTCACATTCTCCTATCTTAGCAGTCCTAGGTAGAGAAAGGTAGATTATCTCCTTATTTTCTTAACAAAGAAGGACTTAATTCACCTGACCTGAGTCATTTAACCACTATTTGTTTGATCACTGTTTCCACAAATATGAGATCCTATAACTAACGAGGATGGGTTCATATTCCCTTCCCTGTGCACTGATGATAGGTGGCCAGCTGTGAGGTGATGCCTCATTAAAATCATATCAAAGAAAGGGGAGAAGCAATCATTTCCAAATGAAGAAATATTAAACAAGTTTTCTGCTACTCCCCACTTGGATTTTCACATATTAAAATGCCTAACGAGAGGGAATTTATGGAGTCCTTTCTAAGTGCAGTCACAATGCTGACTATGAATTATCTTAATTTATTTGAGCAGTAACACTGTGAGGTAGGTACTATGATTATCACCATTTTACAGATGAGGAATGTAAATCATAGTAACGTAAAGTTATCTAAGGATCCAAGGCTAGGACATGATAGGGTCTACATGAACCCCAGGTTTCTCTGATCCTTCAGCATTGTGATGAAGCAACACTGGTGGCATAGCTTGGGGAGCAAAAGTTCATGCTTGGGCATCAAATGGACCTCAATTCACATCTCGGCTCCACCAGTTACTGGCTGTATGATATTTGGCTTAGCCCACTACACTGTACAGACGAACCACAGAAATGTTTATTTCATAAGGAACAGATTTAAGTATTATGATTTTCTATGTTGATACATGCTTATAAATTGAACTATAGCTTCCAAAGTCCCAAGAAAGAGTGAGCATAAAAGAATTAGGTGTCAATCTCTAAAGGCAACATGTGAAATGAAATCTTACCAATCAGGAGGATAGAAAGAAATTTTCTAATTTCTCTTATCTCTTCAGAATGGATATGCCACTTATATTTGTAATTTTTTAACTTCAAAGCTACTTCTCCTGTTATATCTTTTAAAGGTAAATATGTTTTTCATGTTGTTTTCTTTTTCTCACTTTTTTTCAACTTTTAAGTTCAGGGGTAGGTGTGCAGGATGTGCAGGTCTGTTACATAAGTCAACGTGTGCCATGGTGGTTTGCTGCACAGGTAATCCCATCACCCAGGTATGAAGCTCAGTATTCATTAGCTATTCTTCCTGATCTCCTCTCTCCTCCTACCCTCTGCCCTCTGACAGGCCCCAGTGTCTGTTGTTCCACCTCATGTGCCCCTATGTTCTCATCCCTTTAGCTCCCACTTATAAGTGAGAACATGCAGTATTTGGTTTTCCCTTCTTGTATTAGTTTGCTAAGGATAATGGCCTCCAGCTCCATCTATGTCCCTGCAAAGGACATGATCTCATTCCTTTTTATGGCTGCATAGTATTCCATGATGTTTATTTACCACATTTTCTTTATCCAGTCTATCATTGACAGGCATTTAGGTTGATACCACATTTTCTAGGAAGAAATCTCTTATCGATTTAATTATAACTTTGAATCAGGCTCTAGATAAGCTATCTGTCATGTCAATGTAGGGTTTCATTTTCAATTTGGACACAGTATTTTAGTACTAGTTGTGTGCTAATTTGGAATAGATGCAGAAAATTCAGAATGTAATTTAAGAACAAGCCATTTTAAAAATAAACTTGAGAAGATGAGTGAAAAATGACAGTCAGTTGTTTGAGTCCACTACTTGCACAACAGAATTGTGATTTCTTTAAAAGACCAATTTACTAAGTTGATCTATGTGTCATATATGCTAAGGTAGGAAAACAAAAACGAATGGTTAATAAACCCGATTCTTCAGCAGTCTTTTCACTTCCCATTCAGAAAATAAGTCAAGACAAACTAGAGAATCTGCGAAGAATGCCAAGGTGCCACTGCAGAGTCAGCAGATAAGTCATTTTGTTAATTGGATATAACTTTTGACATCTTACATACTTCTTTTCACATTCCTGTTATGTATCAAAGGCAAATGTGGCTAGTCCATCCTTGCCCAGTCACTCAGTTTGGGCTTTTTTATTAATTCCTAGAGCATTACACAATGATGACAAGCTAATTTTTGCCTAGTGATTTACTATTAACAGTACTTCCATGTACCACATTGTACTTGAGTCTCAAAATTACCTATTTTACAAAGAAGAACACAGATGTTTAAAACATGAGTTGTGCAAGGTCATAAGCACACTAGTGAGGAATTATAGAATACTATACCTACTCCATGAATATTGCAGTCATTATTTGGTCTGTCTTATCCTCTCTTCCTTTTTCTCCTCTGACCATCCCTTACTCTTTCTGCATATACAGATAAATGGATATAGAGATAGCAATAAAATTAAAGATATAGATGTCTGTGTGTGTTCTGTATGAGTGTATGCACTTTATTCAATTAAAATGAATAAAGTTGTATAAAAGTAAAAATATACTTTAGGTACTAGTTAAGTTCCATGAAAGGAATTTTTACAGTGTCATACCACTAAAAGTTGCATTTTCATACTATACTTCTGAACTTGAATACAAAAACACAGTATTTGTTACATAAGATATACACAGGTTGGACACAGTGGCTCATATGTATAATTCCAGCATTTTGGGAGGCCAAGGCAAGGGGATCACTTGAAGCCAGGAGTTCAAGACCAGCCTGAGCAGGCCAGGCTCAGTGGCTCACGCCTATAATCACCTGAGGTCAGGAGTTCGAAACTGGCTAACGTGGTGAAACCCTGTTTCTACTAAAAATACAAAAATTAGCCAGGCACGGTGGTGCAGGCCTGTAGTCCCAGCTACTAGGGAGGCTGAGACAGGAGGATCTCTCAAACTCTGGAAATGGAGGTTGGAGTGAGCCGAGATCATGCCACTGCACTCCAGCCTGGGCAACAAACCAAGACCTTGTCTCAATAAAATAATAATAATAAAAAGACCAGCCTGGGCAACAAAGCAAGACCCTAATTCAACAAAATAGAAATGAGGCTCTAATTCTACAAAATTAAAAAAAAATTAACCAGGTATAGTAGCAGGCATCTGTAATCATGGCTACTATAAAGAGGTTGAGGCAGGGGGATCACTTAAGCCCAGGAGTTTGAGGCTGCAGCAAGCTATGATAACACCACTGAACTCCAACCTGAGCTACAGAGCAAGAGTCCTCTCTAAATACACACACACACACACACACACACACACACACACGTATAAAATATATGTATTTATGTTATGCATATATACATATACTTATATATTATTTGAATCAGGCTCCAGATAGGTTTTCTGTCATACAGATGTAGGATTTCACTTTCAATTGGGACACAGTATTTTAGTACTAGTTGTGTGCTAACTTAGAACTGATGCAGAAAATGCAGAATATAATTCAAAGAACAAGTCATTTTTAAAATCGAACTGAGAAGGTAACCAAAAACTAAAGGTCAGTAAATTTACATCTAAGTATATATATATATACATATATATACACACACACACACACACACACACACTTACATTCATATATAAGTATACGTGTGTATTTATACATTTACATATATGTATATTTATATATGTATATGCATACATACATATATGAATGTAAATATACATGTATTGGTGAAAAAAATGATGGTGGTTTTTGCTGGCATCTTTAATGGCAAAAACAATTATTTTTACACCAACCTGATATATGCATATATTTACATATATAAATATTTACATATATTTGTGTAAGTATATTTATATATGCATATACACATATTCATATGTGTATATACACATATATTTGTATATGTATGAATATATGTATACCAATATAGGTATACATATTATATATTATGCAAATACATATCAATATATCATATATTTTATTTATGTATACATATAAATTTATAATATGTATTTATATGTATATTATTATGTATTTATATGTATATTACTGTGTAATATGTATACCTATATTGGTATTCATATATTTATATGTATACAAAAATATATGTGTATATGTACACATATATACATATATGAATATGTGTACATATTTACATACCTATATACATGTGTATATATACATACATACCTATATATACACATGTATACATAGGTATACATATTTATATACCTATATATGTATGTATACACACATATATACATATTTATATACCTATATATGTATGTATACACACATATATACATATTTATATACCTATATATGTATGTATACATACATATATACATATTTGTATACCTATATATAGGCATGTATATATATACACATTTGTATAGCTATATACACATGGGTATATATAGGTATATAAATATGTACACATATACAAGATATATGTATATCTATACATATATGGAATACATGTAAATATGTATACCTATACAGGTTTATACATATAAAAATATGTGTATATTTTATATATACATACATATACCTATATAGCTGTACATATTTATATGTATTCTATACATATATGTATGCATACAGATATATAATACATGTAAATATATTTATATTACAGATATATAATACATGTAAATATATTTATATTTGTGTGTATATTTGTATATGCACCCACATATATGTACAACACTCACATATATAGAGAGAGTGTGATTAATTGTGGAGAATAAATAACCATAACAAAATTCCTAAAGCCCCTATAGTAGACATAACCACAACTCCCACTTAAAAATTTTAAAAGCAATAACACTTTGGCAATGAAGACCAGGCTATGTGGCTTTCCTCTCTTTTGAAAATAGAGGCACATCATCCACCATGTGCATGTACACATCTGTGTATGTTTATTAGTTGGTTTTCACACTGCTATAAGGTCATACCTGTGACTGGGTAATTTATAAAGAAAAAATCTTTAATTGACTCACAGTTCCACGTGGCTGAGGCGGCCTTAGGAAACTTACAATCATGGTGTAAGGGGAGGCAGGCATGTCTTACATGGTGGCATGCAAGAGAGAGAGTGTGTAGGAAGAAAAGGGGGAAGATCCCTTATCAGATCTCATAACTCACTCACTATTAAGAGAACAGCATGGAGGAAACTGCCTTCATGATCCACTCATCTCCCACCAGATCCCTCCCTCAAGGCCTGGGGATTACAATTTGAGATGAGATTTGGGTGAGAACACACAGCCAAACCATACCATTCTGCCCCTGGCCCCTCCCAAATCTCATATCCTGACATTTTACGATCAATCATGCATTCCCAACTATCCCCCAAATTCTTAACTCATTTCAGCATTAATTTGAAAGTCAATAGTCCAAAGTCTCATCTGAGACAAGGCAAGTCTCTTTTGCCTACGAGCCTGTAAAATCAAAAGCAAGTTAGTTACTTCCTAAATACAATGGGGGTACAGGCATTGGGTAAATACTCCCAACCCAAACTGGAGAAATAGGCCAAAACAAAGGGGCTACAGGCCCCATGCAAGTCTGAAATCTTCCAGGACCGTCACTAAATCTTAAAGCTCTGAAATGATCTCCTTTATCTCCATGTTTCACATCCAGGTCATGCTGACGCAAGATGGGGGCTTCCATGGTCTTGGGCAGCTCTGCCCCTGTGGCTTTGCAGGGTACAGTCCCCCTCCCAGCTGCTTCCCCAGGCTGGTTTTGAGTGTCTGTGGCTCTTCCAGGAACATGGTTCAAGCTGTCAGTGGATCTACCATTCTGGCATCTAGAGGAAGGTGGTCCTCTTCTCACAGCTCCACTAGGCAGTGCCCCAGTGGGAACTCTGTGTGAGGGCTCCAACCACACTCCTTATACCAATTAACTGTATTTGTCTGTTTTCACACTGCTATAAAGAAATACCTGAGACTGGATAATTGATAAATAAAATACGTTTAATTGACTCACAGTTCTGCATGGCTGGAGAAGCCTCAGGGAACTTACAATCATGTCAGAAGGAGAAGAAGGCACACCTTACATGGTGGCAGGCAAGAGACAGCGTGTGTCAGAAGTGAAGGGGGAAGAGCCCCTTATAAAACCATCAGATCGCTTGAGAATTCAGTCACTATCACAAGAATGGCATGGAGGAAACCGCCCCCATGATCCAATCACCTCCTACCAGGTCTCTCCTTCAACACCTGGGAATTACAATTTGAGATGAGATTTGAGTAGGAACTCCAAATCAAACCATATCAGTTTATTCTCCATACAGTTCTTCAGTGCTTTATTTCAAGGGTTCTCAAGATCCTCCATTTTCCTTTAGGTATTTGTTATCTTCCCCTCCAGCATGATAAATTTGTTTTATTTATGTATTCCCCCAAATGGGTTTAGCATGGAAATAGAATTTGAAAGCTGACACTCTGCAAATTTGATTTTATAAAAAGTTTGATCTGTAATACCTCCCTCACCTAATGGTTTCATCATGATTCAATGGCCCTCAGTTCTTAGCAGTAAAAATGGGTTACATGGTTTGGTAGTCACTGGTGTTGCAAAATATGTCATCTCTCCCTGACCAGGTACATCGGAGCATTTCCAGCCCTGGCTCATTTTTTAATGGGCAGGGCTACATAACCAGTTCTGGCTAAGAAGTTGTGAGGGATGAAAAAAAAAATTATATAACTTTTGGGCTAAGCATTTTGTTGCTTGATGCATAACCTCCAAGCCTGAATTTTTCCGTGCTGCAGAATCTGGCAAAAGACCAGGTGGTAAAGTGTCCATCACGCAGGGCCCTAAGTGACAGTGTGGAGCACAGCTATCTGCTGACCCACAACGGACACACGGAGGGAATGAGAAGTAAAATGTGATTCTTTTAGGCCACTGAGATTTGAGGGCTGTATGCTATCACAGCACATTTTAGCCCAGCCTAATCAACACAGATGCTATGAATGATGAAAAATACTAATTTTATAAACTATGTGGATATCTCTCTTAGAGCACAAATAAAAATACATCTATTATCTCATCAATACAAAAGTATGTTTATAAAATGGGCTAGAGATGCCCTAATACTTTTCATTACTTTCTGCTTCTATGTTAATACCCAGGATATATCCTTGGTTATCAAAATTCTTTTTTCCCATATTCTCAAATATAAAATTTTCTCTTTGTCAAACATATTTCATATGGAGAAACACCATAACCTATATTTAGTGTGGGGTAAAATCTGTCCAATGTATACTAGCTTGAAAAATGTATGTCAAACCCAATAAACTTTGTAATTCCATTCATGAGGCAATGGTGCTTAATCTTTGCATAATTTGTAATTTTTTTAGTGATACTAAGTCATCCAGAAGGAAAAAAAATAGCCTACTAAATTATTCTGAAACTATACAGTAACTTTTACTTAAATATTTTATAATATTTTTCCTTATCTCAGTTATAGTAAAGAGCATTATGATAGGAAAAAAATATATATCTTGGTGTGGATCTCAATGAGAAATGTTAAAAATTCCTAAGTCATTGAGACAACATACATAATATACAAACAAATATTACTAGCTGCATGAGTTCAGAAGCACCTATTGTACAGTTATATAAATTATATAAGTATATATATTACGTAATTGATTTTATAAAATATATGTAATTGATTTTATAAAAAGTATAATCATACTGTATATTACATATTATATACAGGATATATCTGTATTTATATATTAATATTACATAGAATATACATTGTCGTTGTCATTGTTATTGAGAAGAATTTAAAAGCCATAATTCTTCTTGAAATCATTTAGGTTTCTGTGACGAGCTGGTGGTAAAACAAGAGCCCATTTTAACGCCCTCTGTTTAAATTGCTCTTCCTTTGTATAGCGGAAGCTATGAATTTCTTGTAGAATTTCTTAACAGAAAAAATGTCCCACAAGATGTGTATGTGTTTTCTGAGAAGCAGAAGGAGAATTTATCACCTATGTCAGACAGTAGATGTGAGTAGGTCTCTTGCGGGTAGCTGAGTCTGAGCAAGGGCCTCCCCAAGATGATACCAACCAGAACAGAAAACTTGGCTTTGATGTGGCCCATTGCCAAAGATTGTTCCTTATCCCTGTGAAGCATTCCCTTTTCTCTTCCCCACTCTGACTTTTAAGTAGCATGCTGTCCAGCCTTGATTTGGATCTACCACTTATTTTGCAGTATTTTTTTAAAATACAGAATCACAGAGTTCTGTGCTTTTAGATGCTCCACAAGCAAATCTGATGAAAGAGCACACAGGTTTGGAATAAGACCTTCAATCCAAACAACAATAACTATAATAATATTAATAACTCTCTAATGTGGGGATTTTACTACATTGCTGGCCAGAGAGAAAAATATTTTGGCATTTTTAAATATATGTATGTATATTTTACAGATATTTTGTGATCTTTTAAATAACACTTATGAATGTTCACCTGTCCCTCTGAGAGACCACACCAACCACATACAGAGTGTTATATGAGCATTGGTATTTGTACTAGTGTTAGTGATATTTATTCTGGAAGCAAGGACAGTCTACCTCATTCACTCAATGACATTTTTGTATTCCATAGAAAAATGGTTCTTAAACTTATATTCTTAAGTGTTACCTGTGAACTTTGTTAATATGCAGTGTCAAGGCCACAGCTTCTAGAAAAACTGATTCAGAAGTGTGCAACTAAGTAATTTGCACCTTTGATTACTCCTGAGAAGTTTCTGATCCAAGTGGACCATGACTCCCAATGTTACAGCCAGACACAAGTTCTGAAAAAAGCTATCTGCTATGGGGTGAATGTTCCCTCCAAAACTTGTTGAAATTTAATTGCCATTGTAACAGTATTAAGAGATGGCCTTTAAAGGATGATTAGGTCATGTGGATGAGCCTTCACGAATAGATTAATGCTATTACCACAGGAGTGCGTTAGTTATCTTGGAAGTAGGTTCCTAGTAAAAACATAAGTTCAGCCCCATTTCTCTATGCCTCGAATGGTTGCTTCTTCCTTCTGTCATGGGATAACCCTCACTAGATGCCAGCACCATGGTCTTTGACTTTTCAGCCTCCAGAACTGTGAGCCAAGTAGACATCTACTGTTTATAAATTACCCAGTGCTATTTTGTCATAGCAGCAAAAAATGGACTAGGACACTATCTGATGGTAGTGGTTCTCTCCTTTCAAAAAGAGATGGATCTAGGTGAAGAGTTGTATGAAGTCATATTTCTCTGTCATTATCTGGGCATCCTGGAGAATCTATAATATATGAAAGAGGATAAATAACCTCAATGCATTCAAAGAATAAAAACTCATAGAGTTTAGTGTCAAAGGGACCTAGGCTTATTCTAATTGTTGGAGCTGAAACAAGTTTTTTCACTTTCTGATATTTAGTTTCCTCATTTACAAGATGAAAAAAAATCCTTCAAGTCACAAGAAAACAAAGCTATCTCACAGATTTGTTATAACAATTCAATAAAATACTTTGGTAAGAGGGATGATAATAGTGCCTAGCATGTAGTAGGCATTTTAAAAGTTTCTTTAAATATCTCTCCACTTCTCCTGTCACCTCAACTTTTTCCATTTTAAACCTACACTATTGGTTTAATTCTGATAAAAATTGCTTTCCACTTAATTCTCTTCTGAAGCAGTTCTGAGAAGATTAAAGTTGACACTTTTCCTAGCTGCATGCAATTTTGACTGTCCAGTCAATTAACAGCCAGACTCAATAGTGTATAAATGCTGTTTGCAGTTACATGTTGAGATCTCTAACCCCAGAGGGTGAATGTAACTCTTCTTTTGAAATGCAACATGCGTTCTTTATGTGACGAGGTTCTGATGCTCTGGTTTTTTCCAATGAGCAGAACTGTGATTGCCCTTCATGGATGAAATGTTTTATAGAGTGATATTCTGCTTCCAGGGTATGGTCAGAAAACAAACTATTTAAACTTCCTTTGGAGTCAGGCCCCACGAGAGTTAAGAAAAGCTGACAATCATGGGTATACAGGATAGTGAGTGGCTCAGGGGAATAATTGGTAAGGGGAAACCAAGCCTCTTAGCTCCAGGTCACCAAGTCTCATATCTACCAGGCAAGCAGTGATCAAAGGTGTGAGGTATTTATGTGTTCTTTTTCTGGTTTCTGCTGGATAGAGGGTTTATGTCAGAAAAACATCTATACAAATGGCAGCCTCAGCACAGAAGCCACAATGTAATTGACCTGGAAGAACAGCCATCATTTCATCATTATAGGCTGCCAGCCACAATGAGGGTGAGGCAAATTTCATACAAGTCCCCCACCTGACAAGGACACCTGTTACTGAATGACCAGAGTGGCACTCAGTAAAAGGTCTCAAGTGTGCATAATCCAGCAAGTAGACAGTGAAGTTTGTCCACTTAACAAAGACATTGTTACCAAATGTTTGTACATTCTGCCTTACACGTTTGATCTTTAACACCCATAGTGAAATTGACCAAACATATTTCTGCAGTTGTTAATTATTTCAAGATTCTTAGGTAAAATTTATTCTACCCTCCATGCTCTCCAGTATCAGGCATTATTTAATTCTCCCCACCTAATTTTTTAAGGAATAGTGGTTGCCTGTTTCTCTTGTTATATATTCTCATAAAACAGGAGAATTTGTATAATTTTGGTATTCCTGTGATATTGATCTTAGATAATACACTTGATTACAATATGTCAAATAGAGCTTTCTCCAGTAGGAAAAATATTAATGCTAAGAGGTGGTCATTATGTCATAGAAAGGACATTAAAGACAGACAGGACTGGATTTGAATTTCTACTCAGTATTTACCATCTAATACATGTAGAAACGTATGCAAATTACCCTAACTTTTCTAAGTCTTAGTTTTCTTTGTCAAATGGTCATGAAAATATTCATCTTAAAGGGTCATTGTAAGAATCCAATAAAATAGTATTTAGAAAATGTTTTTGAAAAGATACGTCTCAGCTACTCTTGTCACATACACGCACACACACACAAATAACTATGTCAGATAATGAATGCATTAACTTGCTTCAGTATAGTAACCATTTTACAGTCTATATGTTACTATAGATATCCCATAACATCATGTTGAAAACCTCAAATATACACAATGAAATTTATTTCTTAAAAGGTATGGTTCATTAAAAACACTCAGTAAATATTCATTTCTTTTCTTCCAATATAGAAATAAGAAAATGTGTTTCTGCAGCTTGCTCATGTATTCATCTATTTAAATGTGGAAGGTGTTTTATCAGTGAGTCTTAGACTTCCCTCTTCAGGAGGAATGCAGACCTGTCCAGAAAAGATTTTATCAGTTGAAGGAGAACATTTTCTCATTCGAGGTCACAAAAAAGAAAAGTTGAATAAAGCCCAGTTAGGCACTAAGAAGTAGTTTGTTGAGTTAGCCAAGATCATTTTCTTAGGAATGAAAAGCTTATGACAAGCCCTTAAATTATACATTATTTGCATGTGCTAAATTGGTCATTTTGTCAGCAATCAAGTACATCAGAGGAAACAATTCAAGTAATTGTTGGTTAATTTTCTATGCACGGTGAGGAACAACTACCTTACAATAGCGGGCATCCTGTTATTACCATGTTGGTATCATGGTACCATACATAATGGTAGCCTATTGCATGGCTTCAATGGGCCATTTAAGCTATTTGTGACTAACATATCTGATTCAATAAATAATATTCAGAATCTTTCCATCTATGCTATCTGAATACTTGCTATTAAAAAGAAAGATATAATTCTGATTTTGCTTATTTCCTTGTTTCTATTATTGTAGCAGACTAAATGTTAATATATTTTATATCCTAAGCAGCAATTCAATCATGCAGAAGTAGTGTAATTGAGTTGTTTTATGTTGCATTATTTACTTCATTAATAATATTGCCTAATAATTTTCCATTTTAAAATTGCACACATGTACTAATAGTCACATAAGTAATAGAAAAACATAACTTGATCTGGGCCCAGTGGCTCATGCCTATAATCCCCACACTTTGGGAAGTTGAGGTGGGAAGATTAGCCCAGGAGTTCAAGATCAGCCTGGCCAACATAGTGAGACCCCATCTCAAGAAAAAGAAAAGAAAAAAAGCACAGCTTGATTTTCTAACACCAGCTTGATTTTATAGCACAGACAATACGATTTGATTGCTGCTCACCTGACAAGTAAACCCAATAAATTTGACAAGAAAGTCACTAAGAATAAATACATGCCCCCATATTTATTCTGTTCTTCTGTTCTGACTATAAATACATTTTAAGGAATATAGAACATTTCCCTTGACAACATCCTTGACATTTTAGCTACCAGTTTATAAATCACATAGGAATTTGATAGAGCTATAATATTAAAGTGCCTGTGTAGCATACAGAAATGGAACATTCAAACCAACCTTGAAACTACAGAAAGTTACAATTATATGAAATGGCATTATCATAATTTAGTGGATTTTTTTCCAACATGGGAAACTTCCAGAATCAATCAGTCAGGAACCAGTACTTGTTATCACTCAATGACTTAGATATATATTCTTCCCTTCCTTTCTGTTACATGGTGTGGGCATTTCAATTAATTGAGCACAGTTTTTTTTTTTTCCATAAGTAAGATGTATTGGCTAACACATTCGTTCACTAACCTGTGTTAAGCATCTATATGTAAAACTCTATACTAATCTCTTAAGCATTCTCAAATATAAATTAGACACAGTTCCTTGACTTGAAAAAATTTAGTGCCCAATATTGGCAAACACATACACTATTAATGAACTTTTAGATTCACTACATTTGACAAAAACACCATGCATTGGCCAGCCACCGGGCAGCCACACAAAAATACTTTTTAAAAAATATAATTTCAGAATGGGTAGAGCTACCATGATAAGAAAGAGTGCGTCCTGGTCCAAAGACCAGGTGATAAATTGATTGATCTAAATTCGCTGTGCAATCTCATTTTTGGTTGTCATTGATTAATCTAAAATTAAGCATGTGTTACTGTTCTGACTGATAAAAGAGAAAAATCTGCTGAAGAAACTTGTTCCTGTTAATTCAGAAAGTATGAAGAGTCTTAGACTTTGTCTACTTTCAAGTTAAGTTATCCTTCCACATTTTTGTGTATATTTTTTGACAGAAAAACACAAGACTACTGGGTCAGGGAAACATACCATTTAATGCTCATGTGAAAATGCAGCTGCAGCCTGAGAAGTACCTTGCACCAGTGCCCCATATTCCATTTCTCACAGGCCAATGTAATGAGGATCAGATATTTACATGCATATGAAATTGGCTGTACCACAGAAGAGGAACCCCAAAATTCTGAAACCCGGAGCTTATATAGGACAATTGGCAATCTGCCCATCCTCCAATCAGGAGAGAGAAAAAGAGACCTTATCTTTATTCTGGAATGTAAATACTTCTTCTCTGGAGAGGGGAGGGTGACACCTTTAGGTTAATAGCTCAGAATATAAGCAAATGTGTCCAGATGATGGAGAGAAGGAGGATGACATCTGAGAGGTTCTAGCTTTCAAGACCTTTGTTCTTCAAACACGCCTTTGCTCAGAAGATCCAATAATGCAAACCCAAAATAGTCATGGAGAATTTTTCTCCCAACAGCTTCCAATTCTGCCTAAAAAGATAAAGCCTTCCAAAATGAAGATATTTTAACATTTTTTCCTTTCTGTCTGCAAATTATACATAATGCTTTTAGATACAAATACCAATTGGGGACCATGAAGCAACAAGCATGTTGGCAAAAGTCAGCACGCTAAGGATAGAAGAGAAAGATAGAAGAGTTTTGGCACCTACTTGTGATGCTAAACATCTGAACTAATGATTAATTTCAGAAACTGCCTGCCTTTGGATTCAATGTTCTGTGAGTAAAACAAATGCTTACTTTGTTAAGATATGTTAATTTGGGTTTCCTGTTACTTGCAAATGAAAGCACTTCTAAATTATGTGCACTATATGAAGAGATGAACAGATTAACAAGCCCCTCATCTACCCTGAGCCAACCTGTGGTAAAGTATACAATAATAGTAACATAAGATATTTTCAAATACTTACAACATGATTAATATAAATCCTAGCATTTAATTCTCACATCCCTCTAACATATATAATTTCCCTGGTTCTACAATTGAGGCAATGGAAGCCTAGTAAAATTAGGTAACAGGACTCGGATAAAGATAAAACAGGTAAACATGTAAAGTCCATGGTTTTTCACTTTCTACTATGGACAGGAGCCTCCTGATTCCTTCCTCATAATTTACACATATATAAGTTCATCCTCCTCATGCAATAACCCATGCTCCACGCTTTGTCATAACATCCTCTCTTTAAAATACTCCTTTCTTTATGGTATTGCCTCTAGACTCGCTTCTTCTCTTTTGAATAGCATTTCAACTACTCTGATGTATAGGCCCTTTTGAATGTTTACCCCCTCCAGATAATATATCCAGTAAACACAGTCAACTGGAAGCAAATTACATGACCTAGATGGATGATACAAGTAGCTGGAATGTCGGCCTGGTGGTAGATAGATGTGTGAGTAAATTCACAGGGCTCAAGCAGTCATCCTCTGCCTTTGCACAGAGAAATCTGTTGGTTCTTGTGCACTCAGTGGAGCATTAAATAACCAAAAGGGTTAACCTGCCTCTGAATCATTTAATTTCCCACAGGCACAATCCTGTTACAACAAGCACCTAATCTCTATAGTGTACAAAAGCTTTCCAAATCCCACTAGGCCAATGGCTCACAAATTTCAAATTATTTTCAACACAACAAAATGTCACTGAAACAAGATAATTAATTCTATCAAGGTACACATTGATTAAGCAGATACAGAAGGAGTTAAGGAGATGCTGGAAAAGTTCTGTTTTGCTGAAATGTGTGATGATTGAGGTCATGCAAATAAATAATGGACTTAGAGACTTTAGAGAGGTTTACTGATGGCTGTCTTGGTTATGCAGCATACTGCCACAAATAAATTCTGTCTGGTATGTTCTACTTGAACAGTGTTTGTGTAAGGATCTTTCCTGCATGTTTGTTTTGTTTTGTTCTTAATTTCCATTGTGAACCAATAGTTTCATAAAATACAAAATATAATAAAAATGAATTACTATTAAAATAAAAAAACAGGCCGAGTGCGGTGGCTCACGCCTGTAATCCCAGCACTTTGGGAGGCCGAGGTGGGCGGATCATCTGAGGCCAGGAGTTTGAGACCAGCCTGGCCAACAGGGAGAAACCCCATCTCTACTAAAAATACAAAAGTAGCCGGACGTGGTGGCGCATGTCTGTAATCCCAGCTACTTGAGAGGCTAAGGCAGGAGAATCACTTAAACCCGGGAGGCAGAGGTTGTAGTGAGCTGAGATCGTGCCATTGCACTCCAGCCTGGGCAACAAAGAGCAAAACTTCATCAAAATAAATAAATAAATCAAAACAAAACATATAAATAAGCTCAAATTTTTAAATAGTTTCAATGGACATATTTCAACAAATTTTTCAGTTGAATATTTGAATATTTTGTTGAAATACTTTGTTCAAATATTTCAACAAAAGAAAACAACTTAAAAACCATAACCTTGTTTACTTAAGATGTGCACATGGGCAATTAATAGAACTGTTGTTACACACAAATTTCTGTTACAAAAAAATTGCTGTTACACATACCCGGAAGTTATAAGTGATGTACTAATTACCTGTATCAAATGCCTGGACATACCCTTTGAAGGAATACCAGGCATATCAATGTTTACAGTTTTCAACATAATAAAAAAGCTTGCTTCTTTATCTATATATTCTAAATTAAATTGATCACAAGGCTATTTCTGGGATAATGTATATCAACTCTTTTAACGGCTTTCTTTTAAAAACAAATAAAAACATTATTCATAGAGAATTTGGTTACATAGAGGCATATTGATGAGAAAAGATTTTAAAGCAATTTCTTGGTATAAATTTCAATAAATTAGTCTATAAGATTTGTTTTCAATTTAAATAATCTTTTGATGAAAACAAACCAATTCTGGGTTTCATATGTCAAATTCACTTGAAGATACCACACACAGTAACGAGCTCCTACTGCGTGTGACAACTACAGTTTATGCCATAAGTACCATATAAGAAAAGTTCGACCCACCTGAACCCATCTAGATCTATCTGTTCAAGGAAAAAAATACATTGAACATATGTTTGGATATATTAGTAATATCAAATTCCCTTAAGTTTCTGAAGTCTTACTCTTAAAGCATCTATTTATCTTATCAGTGGACAGCTGCCACTCCCCGAGAAGCACTGAACTAGAGAGTGCAATGGTCTGGCTAGAACGCATATTTCACAGAGACACAGAAGACTCTGGCTGTCACTTAAAGCACCAACAATCTATATTTTTGCACATTCTCCCCTTTTTTCATCAGGAGCTTCTCTCCTTTATTCTCATTTCAATTTGGCCTCATTTCCACTCTACTCCACTAAAACTATTCATTTGCTCTAGTATCTTAAAATGTAAACATTTAGTGTGAGTGAATGTATTTCTATAGGAAATTTGAACTAAAGAAATGGCTCTTATGGACCACTAGGGGCAGTAGACAGAATAGGCAAGATTTGAACGAGCTATTCTCTCCAATTGGGTGAAGCCATCTTGACTTTGACAGGGACTGCCAGGAAAAGGCACCTTTACGTCACCCTGGAGAGGATTTAATTTTCTCAATGGAAATAAGAAAACTACTTTTTTCATTGTTGTTTCTTTTTCTTAATCTGTTATTCTATCTTAAATTAATTCCCCCCTTCTAAATGCTCTAGGTGGAATTTGGGACTAACTTTGGCAGAATTTGAGACATTTACATCCTTTGACCTTTAAGATTAGCTGGGTAATTGAATTGGTGGAGGACTGCACAAAACTGGCTGTGCAAAATAAATAGGTACTTCTTTTATTTATAAGTGATGGAATAGCACTGCTCATAATACTTGCTGCATGGTATATACAACACTCTTAAGCATGTCTTTATTAACTACTAACAGTAGGTCTGAACTACTTGAGTAGCTTAACTCAAGGCAGGCAGTTGTACACCTTGGTTTAGGGTAGGTATGATTTTCAGTTCATTGTTCCTATTTACCTCTTTGAAGTGCACATTCAACAACTGCAGAGCTAAGGTGCGACGTGGAGAGTCTTGGCAGATGGAAAGAGCTGGGTTGTCATGCATGGCAGTCAGAAAACAAAGCCAAGTACCCTGGCAAAGTATGGTGTCTCCATGACCTCACTCTTACCAAAACAGACTGTATCCCTTTGGAATCTCTTCTCTGACCATTGTTTGTTTTCTTTGGAGGGGTTTGGGCTGTTCTGGAGATAATATGATTAATCCTAATTAGCATTGGCTTCAGAAATTAAGCTCATTGGAAGGGAAGACAAGCCTGGTTTACACTCTCCTATAATTATTCCTTCAGGATTCCTTATATTCTGCAACAGCTCTACAAGTCCACCTTTTGCTCCCTATTTATGTGTTATAAAAATTATCATAGTATTTAAAAGACATTCCCATTATCTGACAAAATGTACATTGCTAAAGCCAGCAGATTCTATGGCTCATGATAAGCCAAAGTGTTTTATTTCATTTGTTTCCAGGTTAAAATGCACTGTGAGAGAGATACTTGCCATTATTTTCATGAACAAATTCCCGGAATAAATTACTGCGTATCTATGAAGTGCAGATAGGTTTCCTGGCTTCAAAAGGTTCTTAGAATGCTTCTCTGGTAGCAAATAAATTTAACTTATTTTACATATTATTTCACACAGAGCATTGAATGAAAATATTAGTTACAAAAGTATTATAATTAATGTTCCTATATTTGTTGGGCAGATAATTTTAGTCTTCACAGGAGCAGTTAATAATTCTATCAAGTAAGAACTAATTCCTGCACTTTGTTTAAACTATTTAGTTTTAATCATAACAAGTTTCTTCCATGAAAGGCTATCAGTGTAAAATACTTGAGAGGACAAGTGTATAGTTACTCAATTATAGAAGTATGCGATGTTCTTAAATTAAGCGTTGAAAACACAGGATCCTCTTTCTTATGCTTTAACAAACCTACTAATTTAATGTCCATATTAAATGCTCTATTTACCCAGAATTTCCCATCTCTAAATTACTGAGCAATATTGAACATCAAGACATCTCTCTAATACTTAGAAATAAGTGATAACATGAAATATTGGTTCTCTTTAGAGTAGGACAGAGAAAGCAAAAGGGAATATACATTGATCTTCAATATTAGATATCTCCCAGGCTACAAATTTATACTTCAGCACTTCAAATAAAATGTTTTTACCCCTCTCCTTCTTTATCTTTCATCACTCTACCATTATTCTGCATTAGTCCAAGGGTTTTTTAAAATCAATTTTAATAGGATAAAAAAGAGGAATGGTATAACATAAACTTTTTATCCACAAAGTCAATAAGGTACTGTGGCCAAAGGAAGGAAGATAATTTCAGGTGTAGCAACATTAACAAAATGTGATGAAGTGAAATAGTATTTGGTAAAGGCAAACTCTTTAGGAGAGGATGCTAACACGTTCACATAACACATATCAATTCTCCATGCTGTGAAATGAGTAGAATTCACAAATAAATCAAAAATTTCCATTCACCAAATTGCTTATTTATAAATTTAAAAAATTCATCAAAGGGTTCATTAGTGAACCAATTAATAACTGAGTGATCTATTGATGAACTAGAAATAAAAAACACAGATCAAAATAAATGTGCGTTTATTTTGCAAGCACCTTAGGGAGAAAGAAAAGCTACTCAGGTTGGATGATAACTTTGTGAATATTAATCCAAGCAACATCATTATACAGACAGGGATACTCAGGATAATGATGGCTAAATTCCTAAGTATTAGCAAAGGCAGACCTAGATCACCAACCTATGACTCTTCTTCTGGTCTTTTTTCCTCTGCATTTTGTCTTCTCTTTAAATCTCTGTTCTCCATCAAAATTAAAATGACTAATTCATGGACTTCCCTCAATCATTATTGCTGCCTCTCAACCACGGTTTAACAAGAAAGAGGAGAAAAAATGGATAGTCATTAAACATTACAAGCAGATATTATAGTAGGCACCTTTTTACATACTTTATATCATAAAATTATTACACTGCCCTGTACATTATATATACCCACATTTTATTACTAGAGAAAATAATATGCAATAAAATTACAATGCATTGCCCAAGACCATAAGAGTGGTAAATATTGCATCTGATACTCAATTTGTGGTCTGATTGACTTCAAAATGAATCAGCATTCTACTAAAAAAAAAAAAAAAGAGCGGGCACTAACACATAGATCAGGCTTTGACAATTGATCTGGAATCTAAAAAACTACTTCATGGTACTTCCAAAGAAAAATGTTACTAGTTATAAAGTAGAGATAGAGTATACTGCAACCGGACTTCATCCCTAGTCCCCAGTCCACGGGACAAAAATGTCTAGGTGGGTGTGTCATTGGGTGGGGGAAAGATAGAAATTATTCGGCAAAAATCCCTAACCGAAATACATTCAAGACAATGCAAATGGTTACGTTTCTATTCTGTGTATTTGTCTAAACTGAGTCTCTAATGACTACATATCAATAGAGGACTTCTGGGATTTTTGTCACTTGCCTGCCACATTACCCAGGTCAGATTAAGCCATTATAGTAAAAGTGATTTTCATCAAGTGTTTAAAACAATAAAAAACATAATGGTGCTCAGGTCAATTAGAAAATTATCCATAGATATTTCCATTTTATGGTCTCTAACTATGCCTAGGGCAGACTACATAAAGGAACTATGCTGAGATCACCAACTATAGTCAACAAATATTTTTATTTTCTTTTTGACAGTCACTCGAGTCTTGGAAGGAATTGTGTGATTTTTAAGAAGCAAGTAGGTAAAAGTCTAAAAATCACATCTACAGGGCATAGGAATATCCTTTGAGTGGATTGAATAGCTGACATTATGCATAATTTACATGGTTTTATATTCTTAGTATATGGCACAGAATAATAAATTGACTATAAATAACTGGAGATAATAATATCTTAGCTTTTCCATGAGGTTGAAAGTGTCAAGATTGTTAGTGTTCTCTTTTATAATAATATATTTTATCTAGCAATATGAAAACTGAGAAGGATACAATTAAGCATTAAAAACTGTACTAAAAAAGGCAGGTGGAAAAATTTAACTTGAAAGCAACTTTAGTGTTTTAAGAAAGTAGAACAAGCAAAAGGAAATGCTATTGATAAAATTATTGATTTATTACATTTATTATTTTTTGTGGTAGTATGGGCTGAAAATATAAACATGTTCTAGAAATGTTGAAATAAATGTATGACTTATAGATAAATATAATTTTAAACAGAAAAAGAAAGATGTTTCAGGGCTATTCTCTTCAATTTTTGAGGCAAATTGGCTAGGTGCCGTGGCTCACGCCTGTAATCCCAGCACTTTGGGAGGCCGAGGCAGGTGGATCACCTGAGGTCAGGAGTTCGAGACCAGCCTGGCCAACATGGGGAAACCCCGTCTCTACTAAAAAAAAAAAAAAAAAAAAAAAAAAAAAATACAAAATAAGCTGAGCGCGGTGATGCATGCCTGTAATCCCAGCTACTCGAGAGGTTGCTCGAACCTGGGAGGCAGAGGTTGCAGTGAGCCAAGATCGTGCCACTGCACTCTAGCCTGGGAGACACAGCAAGACTCCATCTCAAAAAAAAAAAAAAAATTGATGCAAATAAAGAAATATTTGGCCAAATTGTGATCTTGATATTTCTTCCAAAGGGGATAGAATAGAAAATGAATCTGACCTTGGATAGCATTTTAAATACATCTATTAAAATACGCTGTTTATTAAAATGATAAAAGACATGTTTAAAGCAAATTCTAAAGTATAATAATGTAATTAGCTGGTGTAATACTTAAAATATTGTCTATAATTTGTTATTGCAGTTTTTTTCCTTAAAGATTTGTTTCAATGTCTTCTGAAGTCACAGAACTTAATCTCTACAGATGATCTCTTAGCTTGCTAATATTTATTTTAGTTATTTACTTTTCTATTTATACCAACTTCAAATTCACAAAGTTGGTAGAGATATGCAATTTGTGTCACAAGTGATTCATGAATATTAAAAACAATTGTTGCAAAAGAATGCCATTAAAATAGCCAAGAGGATAGCCCATTTGATAGAACATTATCTATGATAGAACATCCTCTAATTTTTTATATTACCACTACAATTGTTAGGACAACATTAATTCTCATAAGCATATTGTAGCATTATTAAATTGAAGTCAAATGTATTGGCTTTGCAATTTTAAATAGTATCTAAAATTAAGCTGGAAAAATATTATAAGAACAATTTTATGCAAACAGGCAAAATCTATTATGTGGCCTTCCATGCAATGGTAATTACACCCAAAGCAAGGGCTAACTCAGTGTGAGGAGCCTGAGTCTGTGTATATTGTTGTGAATCTCATCTTTTTTTTCCCCCAAAAGCCATATGTACATCCACATGGCCTGTAAATAATCATATACTAGGTTCTATGGTTTAGTCAGTTATTTTTTTTTAATTGAGGAAGAGAAAAAGATAGAACAGCAGTAGAAAAGAGATAAAAGATTGTGCTTCAAAATTATTGACAAATCAAAATAATCATAGTTGACTGTCAATACATGAATTTATTTCTGGGTTCTTGCTTCTGTTCCATTTGTATATACAAATACCATGGTGTTCTGGTTACTTTAGCTTAGTAGTAAATTTTGAAGTAGTAACTTTTTACTGTTGGCTTAGGATTGCCTTAGATATTTGGAGTCTTTTGTGGTACCATACAAATTTTAGGCATTTTTTTTTCTATTTCTGTGAAGGATACCACTGGTATTTTGATAGGGGTTGCATTGGTCTGCAGATCACTTTGACTATTATGGTCACTTTGACAATATTAATTATTCTAATTCTTGAACTTCAGTTTTTTGAGTCTTCAATTTCTTTCATCAGTGTTTTGTGGTTTTAATTATAGAAGTCTTTTACATCCTTGGTTAAATTAAGTACCAGGTATTTTAATTTTTATAGCTATTGTAAATATCCTGCTTTCTTAATGTCCCTTCAGCTAATTTGTTATTGGTATATAGAAATGCTACTGATTTTTGTATGTTCGTTTTTATCTTGCAACTTTACTGAATTTATCGGTTCCAAAAGACTTGGTGGAGTCTCTAGGTTTTTCTATATATAAGAAAATGTCAGCTGTAACGAAAGACTATATGACCTTCCAATTGTTAATTTGGATGTCCTTTATTTATTCATACTGCCTAATTACTCTGGTTAGGACTTCCAGTACTGTGCTGAATAAGAGTGGTGAAAGTGGGCTTTCTTATCTTTTTCCAGTTCTTAGAGGGAATACTTTCATCTTTTCCCTATTCAGTATGATGTTTACTGTGGGGCTTGTCATGAAGAAGTCATGTTTCCTTGCTTTTTCATGTTTCTTATGTGCCTATGTTAACATCTGTACATCTAATGGAACAGTCATTTAACCCAGTTTTATGGAGTAGCTTTCAGAGGGAAAGACTTTTTCCCCATATAGATTGTCTGTCCTATAGTGTTGGTGGGGTAAAGTGCTTTAACTTTGGTTCTGGCTAGGAACAGTAGTGTAACGTCTATATAAGTTTTTCAGCTTTTTCAACATTAGCAGTCTCTGCAAATAACCCAGTGGTATAGGCAGTTAGTTCTTGTTTGTGGAAGCTGTGGTGTGGCTGTGCTGGAGGCGATGATGCTGGGGAAACTAGTTTCCGGGTCCCTGTGTGGTTGGTGTATGAGGGTGCATGGTGGTTCTACTACAAAGGCAATGGAGTCATGAGTGGTGGCAGCATCAGGCTGTCAGGCTAGTTTTCTTCCCTTGCCCATTTTTTAATAAATTTATTTGTAGTAGTTTTTACATTCTAGTTTTTAATATTTCTGAATATTAACCATTATCAGACATGTGGTTTGTATTTTTTTTTTCTATTCTGTAGGTTACCCTTTCACTGTGCTCTTTATTTTGCTGCATGGAAGTTTAATGTTTTTAGTTTGATACAGTCCCATATATCTATTTGCTTTTGTTACCTGTGCTTTTGGTGTTATTTACAAGAAATGTTTTTTACAAATCCAGTGTCATGAAGGTTTTCTCTACATTTTTTAAGAATTGTTTTTATATCTTGATGTTTTACATAAAGATCTTTAATACATTTTGATTTAATATTTGTATATAGTGGTAGGTAGGGGTCCAATTTTATTCTTTTGCATGTGGATATCGAGTTTTCTGAACCCCATTTGTTTGAAAAGACTATTAGTTCGCTGCTTGGTATTCTTGGCACCCTTATATAAGGTAATATACTGGAGGGCTTATTTCTGGACACTGTCTTTGGTTCCATTGGTCAGTATGTCTTTCTTTATGCCACTATGAGGCTGCTTTGACTTACTGTAGTTTTATAATATGTTTTATAATTAGGACATGTGAGGCTTTCAATTTTGTTTTTCATTCTTGAGATTGCTTTCATATTCAGTGGCCTTTGAGATTCCATGTGAGTTTTAGGATTTTTTTATATTTCTGTAAAACATAGCATTGGGATTTTGTTAGACACTGCATTGAATCTGTAGATGTTATTAAGTAGTATGGCCATTTTAACAATAGTAAGTCTTCCAATATATAACCATGGGATGTCTTTCCATTTATTTGTGACTTCTTTAATTACTTTTAGCAATATTTTGTAGTTTTAAGTGTATGACTCCTTCACCTCATTGGTTAAGTTTATTTCTCAGTATTGTATTCTTTTTGGTGCCATTATAATGTGTTTTCTTAATTTCCAGATTGTTCATTGTGTGTGTATATAAATGCAACTGACTTTTATGTGTTGATTTAACATCCTGCAAATTTGCTAAAGTTATTTTCTGGTTCTAACTTTTTTTAATCTTTAGGATTTTCAACATATAAAATTATGTCATCTGTTAAGAGATAATTTTACTATATCCTTTCCAATTTGGATGAATTTGATTTATTTTTTCTTGCCTGATTGCTTTGGTTATTCAAGTACTATGTTTAATTACCATGGGAATTACATAAAAGATCTTACCATTATAACACCATATGTTAAGCTAAAAACAACTTAAATAGCATACAAAAGCTCTCTATTTATCCCCCTGCTCCACTTAGTTATTAATATCACAAGTTACATCTATTTATATTGTGTACTAATTAACATAGTTTTATTGTAATACTTATTTTTATGCTTTTATATTTACATTCTATCCTAGGATTAAAAGTGATTTGTCTACCATCATTACAGTATCACAGGGTTTTTGATTTGTCTATATATTTACCTTTACCAGACAGCTTTCTGTTTTTATATGCTTTTAGTTGCTACCTGGTGTTCTTCCATTTCAATGTAAAGAACTCCCTTTAGGATTTCTTGTAAGATGTGTCTAGAGCAAATGAATTTTCTTGGCATTTGTTTTTTGGGAAAATCTGTATTTCTTCTCCATTTTTAAATGACAGTTTTGATGGATGTAGTCTTCTTGGTTGGCAGGATGATATGCTTTGACTTTGTCTCCACCCAAATCTCATCTTGAATTGTACCTCCCATAATTACCACGTGTCATGGGAAGGACCTGGTGGGAAGTAATCGAATCATGGGGGTGGTGGGGGGGGTCTTTCCCATGCTGTTCTTGTAATAGTGAATAAGTCTCATGAGATCTGATGGTTTTACAAAGGGGAGTTCCCCTACACAAGCTCTCTTGACTGTTGTCATGTAAGGCTTGACTTTGCTCCTCATTTGCCTTCCGCAATGACTGTGAGGCCTCCCTAGCTATGTTGATCTGTGAGTCAATTAAACCTCTTTCCTTTATAAATTATCCAGTCTTAGGTATGTCTTTATTAGCAGCATGAGAACAGACTAATACACAGAGTTGTTTAAATTTTGTTTTTTGAGTTCTTTTATTTTTGTCCTTTTAGCCTTTAGAATATATTGCCTCATTGTCTTCTGGCCTCTAAGATTTCCATTGAGAAATCCATTGATAATATTAGAGGAACTCCCTTGTAGTTGATGAGTTGCTCTTCTCTTGATGCTTTCAAGATCCTCTTTTTGACTTTTTGACTGTTTGCTAATAACTCAATAAGGGCATTTTTTTTGTTTTATAGTTCGAGTTCATTGTGTCTCTTTTATATGAAAAAAAGAGAATGAGAACAAGAGCAAGACTGAGATCAAGAAAGCAAGAGTGAGAGAGAGAGCAAGAGTGAGAGAGAGACAGCAAGAGTGAGAGAGAGAGCAAGAGTGAGAGAGAGAAGAGCACCATGGCATGAAGGCCAGAAAGCAAAATAAATAAATAAATAAATAAAAACCCCACGTAATTTTAAGTGGTAGGTTTGGAAAATTCATAAAAGAGCTTCAGGCATATTGATATGATGATAATGAAATTGATAAGTAGTAGGCAGTTAAGGTTTGAGAATCATATCCTCCAAAGTATCACCAGCTTAGACCAAAATATACCGTAACTTTCAAGACATAAAATGAATCTTGGGTCCTCATGGCTTATAGACAAGAAGTAAGCTGAAAAAGATTCTCAGATTCCTTGGAGACATTTTCACTTATGCCTTATCACATGAGTCCAGGGGAAATCTGGAGGAAGAGAGGACTTCCTGGAACCATGGAGAACAAGCAAATGGGGAGCTGCTCTCAGTGAAAATAGAACCAGGGCCCATTCAAGGGGAACCTCCCATTGTCATAGTAGGGAATACTCATCACATCTGTGAAGGGGATTTCTGAATTTCTATGGGCCTGTGACTTCTGTGGGGGTCACACTTTTTCCTTCTCTGAATATGAGTGCAATCTTACACTTATTCCCTCATGGTTTAATTCAACTAACTTTCCTTTTGAGACCATAAGTCACTAGATTAAGAAGGGCCACATGCTTATCTGATGTGAGACATTTGCAGATTACTCTGTAATAAAGAGACCTCTGCACATTGTCCAAAGATCCTGTACTTTGAGATTGCTAGCATGACCCGATCAAAATTTTGGATTGTCTTCATTGAAGTGGGAATGAGTGTATCTCTGTGAATGGAAAGGAGAGTAAACAACATGGACAACAGAAGGTAGCCTGCCATTATTCCATTCACCAAATGAAACTGTTCCATTCACCAAATATTTCCACCTTTCATTCTGGGAAAAAAGATAGAATGGCATGTCACAGTTATTTTGGTGTCAGATGTGCCCAGAAGACTAGCAATGTCCCAATAATGTGTGAGCAGATGTACCAGATACTATTTATAGGTGGAAACTCTAAGAGCCAGTGGGGATTTCTTGTACTCTATTCTTCCCTATGATAATAATGTTACAGATGGCAGCTGCTCCCTCATCTGGTGCCCAAAGTAGACCCAAGTGGAGAGGGACCAAGCTGACTATCCTGTAAATCTAGCTGGAATGGAAAAATACATATTTTTTTCTTTTAAGCTAATGAAATGTGTAGGCTGATGTTTCATCAGCATCAGCTAGCTTATCTTTATGAATATATAAAGTTAATTTTAATTTAAAAACTTGTAATTTTTATTTTTTGTTTCTTTCTTTTTTTTTTTTTTTTTTTTTTTTTTTTTACCAACTTTAAGTTTAGGGGTATGTGTGCAGGATGTACAGGTTTGTTACATAGGTAAACGTGTGACATGGCGGTTTGCTGCACAGATTATCCCATCACCTAGATATTAAGCTCAGCATGCATTAGCTATTCTTCCTGATGTTCTCCCTACTCTTTTTCTCCCATCCCTCACTCTCCAACAGGTTCCAGTGTGTGTTGTTCCCCTCGATGTGCCCATGTGTTCTCATCATTCAGCTCCCACTTATAAGTTAGAACATGCAGTATTTGGTTTTCCCTTCCTGCATTTGTTTGCTGAGGCTAACGGCCCCCAGCTCCATCCATGCCTCTGCAAAGGACATGATCTCATTCCTTTTTATAGCTGCATAGTATTTCATGGTGTATATGTACCACATTTTCTTTAAGCAGTCTCATTGCTGGGCTTTTAGGTTGGTTCCATATCTTTGCTATTGTGAAAAGTGCTGCAATGAACATATGGGTGCACGTATCTTTATAATAGAATAATTTGTATTCCCTTGGGTATATACCCAGTAATGGAATTGCTGGATTAAATAGTATTTCTACATCTAGGTCTTTGAGGAATTGCCACATTGTCTTCCACAATGGTTGAACTAATTCACACTCCCACCAACAGTGAAAAAGCATTCCTTTTTCTCCACAATCTTGCCAGCATCTGTTTTATTTTGACTTTTTAATAATAGCCATTCTGACTGGTGTGAGATGGTATCACAAAATACATCATTGTGGTTTTGATTTGCATTTCTCTAATGATCAGTGATGTTGAGCTTTTTTTCATGTTTGTTAGCCACATGCAAAAGCAGGCAAAGGACATAAACAGACACTAATAAACTTTAGTTTTTGAAGCAGTTTTAGGTCTACAGAAAAATTGAGCAGAAAGTAGAGTTGCTAGAAACCCTCTCACTACTTGGTTTTCCCTATTACTAATATCTTGTGTTAGTGTGGTACATTTGATACAATTGATAAGGTAATATTTATACCTTAAAATTAACTGAATTCCATAGTTTACAATAGGGTTCAGGATTTGTGTTGCATATTGTATGCGTGAATGTATGACGTATGACAAATGTATGGCATGTATCTGCTATTTCTTACAGAATAGTTTAGCTGTTCTGAAAATTCCCAGCACTCCACATATTCATCACTTTCTCACCCCTGCCTCCAACCCCTTGGAAACCACTGCTCTTTTTTACAGTCTCCGTAATTTTCCCTTTTCAACATTTAGTGAAAATCATACAGTATGTTGTCATTTCAACTTAGATTTTTCACCTTACATATGCATTTAATGAATACTTTTTATTAAAGTAGAGCCATCCATAATTACCCGACCAAAAAGAAACAAATGGTTTTTAAGATTACCTAGAAATTGTTTGTTTTTTCTTACATAACCAGATTAACAGTTATGAATATTTTCTAATTTCTTAAATCAAAGGAGAGATAGATAGATAGATAGACAGACAGACAGACAACTGTTTTTATCCATTCATTGATCAATGCACACTTAGGTTGGTTCCATATATTTGTAATTGTAAATTGTGCTGCAATAAGTATATGCATGCAGGTGTATTTTTTATATAATGACTTATTTTCCTTTGGGTTTATACCCAGTAATTGGGTTACTGTATCAAATGGTAGAGCTACTTTCAGTTCTTTAAGAAAACTCCATACTGTTTTCCATAGAGTTTGTACTAATCTGCGTTCCCACCAGCAGTGTATAAGCGTTTTCTTTTCACCACATCCATGCCAACATCTGTTGTTTTTTGAGTTTTTAATAGTGGCTATTCTTGCAGTAGTAAGTAGGTATTTTATTGTGATTTTAATTTGTATTTCTCTGATGATTAGTGATGTTGAGAATTTTTTCATATGTCTGTCGGCCATTTTTTTATCTTCTTTTGAGAAATATCTGTTCATGTTACCTGTCCACTTTTTGATGGGATTGTTTTTTTCTTATTGAGTTGCTTGTAGATTCTAGATATTAGTCCTTTTTTGGATGTATAATTTGCAATTATTTTCTCCCATTCTGTGGGCTGTCTGTTTGCCCTGATGATTATTTCTTTTTTTCACTTTTATTTTAAGTTCAGGGGTACAAGTGCAGCTTTGTTACATACATAAACTTTCTTCATGGGGGTTTGTTGAATAGATTATTTCATCACTCAGATATTAAACCTAGTACCCATTAGTTATTTTTCCTGATCCTCTTTCTTCTCTCACCCTCCACCCTCTGAAGGGGACCAGTGAGTGTGTGTTGCTCCCCTCAGTATGTTCATGTGTTCTCATCATTTAGCTCCTACTTATAAGTGAGGACATATGTATTTGTTTTTCTGTTCCTGTGTTACTTTGATAAGGGTAATGGCCTCTAGCTCCATTAAATGCCCCCAAAACAGACACATAGACCAATGGAAGAGAACATAGAACTCAGAAATAAGACTAAACACCTACAACTTTGATCTTCCACAAAGCTGACAAAAACAAGCAATGAGGGAAAGGATTGCTTATTTAATAAATGTTTCTGGGATAACGGGCTAGCCACATGCAGAAGATTAAAACTGGACCCCTTCCTTACACCATATGCAAAAAGCAACTCAAGATGGATTAAACACTTAAATGGAAAACTCAAAACTATAAAAACCCTGGAAGACAACCTAGGCAACACCATTCAGGACATAGGCACGGGCAAAGATTTCATGATGAAGATGCCAAAAGCAATTCCCACAAAAGCAAAAACTGACAAATGGGATCTAGTTAAACTAAAAAGCTTCTGGTTATTATTTCTTTTGCTGTAACGAAGTTTTAATTAGGTACCTTTTATTAATTTTTGTTTTTGGGGGTCTTGGTCATGGTTTCTTTGCCTAGACCAATGGCCAGAAGAGTTTCTACTAGGTTATTTTCAAGAATTTTTACAGTTTCAGGTCTCAGATTTAAGTCTTTGATTTATTTTGAATTGAGTTTTCTATAAGGTGAGAGATACGGATCCAGTTTTAATCTTCTGCATGTGACTAGCCAATTTTCCCAGCTCCATTTATTAAATAGGGTGTCCTTTCCCCAATGTATGTTGTATGCTTTGCCAAAGACTAGTTGATTGTATTTTTGCTCTTTATAAATTACCGACTCTAAGATACTTTGTTATAACAGCTCAAATATATGCTAAAAATGCCTAAAGCATGGATTCACACATACTCGCTATTTATTAAATAAATATAATCATACATCTACAACACAGGTCAACACACAACAGAAGCCCCTATGAGATACTATCACTGGCCTAAATTTTGTATTAATCATTTCCTTTAAAAAATCCCATGGTTATTAATCTCTAAATTATAATGCCCAGTAGTGCATTTTTGCATTTTATATGAATGTAAGTATAATGCTTGTTCTTCAGCAACTTGCTTCTAAACTTGCTTCAATAGTATATTTGTGAAATTCATTCATGTAATTGAATTTAGCTATATATTATTTGTTTTCATTGTTAGGTGATATTTTCTGACTATGTAACTGACATCTTTTAATGCATGTTAAATGCCATTTAGTAGACATTGTCATAAACAGACAAAAAATTCTAAAAAGAAATCTGGACCTGGGAATTACTGACATACAAGCAGTCAATAAAAGCCATGAGTACAGAAAAAATTGCTTGGAAAGAGTGCGTAAAATAAGAGAAGGGTTTGTAGCATTCCCAGGAAACACCAACAGTTATGAAGGAAACAGAAAGATAAACTTGAAAGGGAGCTGTTAGCAAGAAAGAGAGAATATGAAGAAATAGGATATCAAGAAAGTCCATGATAATGTGACCATAGAGAAGTGAAGTAAGGACAAAACTGGTATGATTGTTGAATTAGGAGATGTCCAGGGAGTGACTTCACTGGAGTAATGGAGGTGGGTAATGGCCTAATTTCTGTAGGTTGAGGAGTGTATACAATGACTAGTGAAAATAAGAAGAGATCTATTTTTTTTTGAGAAGCTTGCATGTAAGGAGAAAGAGGAATATAAATTAATAATTGAAGCAGGATATTAAGGTGAGATTTTTTGTTTGTTTGTTTGTTTATAAGATAGAAAAGCCTGGAGCACACTTATGTGCTGGGGAAAAACCCACTAAAGACAACCAACCATTGTTATGAGGTAAAACTGGATGCATTAGTTCTTTGTAGACAGAAACCACAATATAGACTTAAGCCTCAGTCTAACAATCACATAGATTATTATTTATTGTCATTTTCATGGATTACTTTCTAAAAAATTGAGATTTCTTCCAATCTAAATACTAAATAGTCATTTAAATTTTCAGCATTTTGATTTAGTGATCCTCTCCTGCCTTTTAAAAATTTTAAATCAACTTTATTGAATTATCCTTTACATAAGCTAAAATTTATTAATTTTATGTAAAATTAGATGAATTTTGGCAAATATATGTAGTTAATTATGTAATGATATAGAACATTCTCACAACATCAAAAGTTCCCTCTCATCCTTTTCAATCAATCTATCTACTCCCTACCCTACCTGTCCCTACCCAAGACAATTACTGATCTGCTTTTTATCCATATATGTTTATTATTAGAGAATCCCATGTAAATTAAATCATGCAGTATATAGTACATACTCTCTTGTATCTGGCTTCTTTCATTTTCCATGTTGTATGTATCAGCAGTTTGTTCATTATTGATTAGTATGCAATTGAATAAATATGCTGCAGTTCGTTTATCCATTTACCAGTTAGAAGGACTTTTGTCATGTTTCCAGTTTCTAGCTGTTACTAATAAAGCTGGAATTAAAATTCAAACACAAATCTTTGTATGAACATATATTGCTATTGATCTAGGATAAATATTTAGAATTGCTAGGTTGTATGTTAAGTGTCTAATTTCGTTAAAAAGAACAAAATTATTTTTCAAGCATTCCCATATGCAATTTATGAGAATTCTAGTTATTCCATATCCACACCATGTGGCTTTGTCAGTCTTTGTAATTTTAGCCATCTAAAGGTGTATAGGTATGTTGCAGTATATCATTACGGTTTCAATTTTCATTTATATAATGACTAATAATGATGAATGTCTTTCTAAGTGCTTATTTTCCATTGAATATCTTCCTTGGTAAACTTTTTAATTACCCATTTTTATCACGGTGTAGTGGTACAATATTATTTACTAGATATTTTCTTCAGATTTTCTACGTGTTTATATAAACTAATTTATGTTTGTCTATGTGTGTACTGTTCTATGCAATTTTATCACATGTAGATTTATCAAGATATAGAACTGTCTCACCTCCAAAAATTAACTCTTTATGCTATGTCTCCATAAAAACACCCTTCCCAATCTTGGTAATAAACAGTAATTTTCGAGGAGAAAAAAGTTTTAAATTGTTAATTATTTTCTAGTTCATGTTTCTTACACTGTATTTAGAAAACTTCTGCCTAACCCAAGATTACTATAAATTTCCCCTGGGTTTTCTTTGAGAAGTTTTTTTTTATCTTATGATATATATTCTGTAATGCATTTTGAGTTGAATTTTTTCCTCGAGATATCTTACTCATATTTTTAAATTTATCATTGTGTCTTATATTCTTTATGCTATTAAAGTATTTTTTTAAATTCTCAATGTCACATAGGTAGAAAATTTTCCTGCAGCACTATCAGTTGTTCGGGACATTTTACAACAGTGTATTTTCATCTGTAGTGAGTTGAATAGTGTCCTCCCCCTAAATTCCTGTCCTCTGTGAAATTAAGAATGTGACATCTAGGAATTAGGAATAAGGGTCTTTGGAGATGTAAATAAAGATTCTGAGATAAAATCATCCTGGCTTATCTTATCTGGATTCGAAATTCAAAGATGAGTATTTTTATTTGGGAAAGAAGTGAATATACAGAAATACAGAAAAAGAAGGCCATAAAAAGATGGAAGCAGAGTTTGAAGTGATGTAGCTTCAACCTAAGCATTGCCAAGAACTACCGAAGTCCCTAAAAGCTAGGAAAGAGACATAAAGTGGATTTTCCCTTAGACCTTCCCTACAAAAATCAACCCTATTGACCCTTTCATTTCAAACTTCTGCCCTCCAGAACTGTGAGAAAATACATTTATGTTGTTTTAAGACACCCAGTTTGTAATAACTATGTATGGCAGTGCTAAGAAACTAACAAATCATCTAGCTATAGTGGCAATTTCCTAACAACAACACAAATTCTGGGTTGCTGAGAGATAAAAGAGTACACAAGGCCTGGGTTTTTGTTTTGCTTTTTAGAGATAGAGTCTCACTCTCTAGCCCAGGCTGGATTACAGTGACACAATCAGCGCTTACTGCAGCCTTGACCTCCTAGGCCCAAGCAATTCTCCCACTTCAGACTCCTTTCTAGCTGAGACTACAGGGGCACACCACCATGCTTGGCTAATTTAAAAAAAAATTTTTTTTGTAGAGACAGGGTCTCAATATGTTGCCTAGGATACAAGGCTTGCTCTTAAGTTACAATAAAATAAATATCATGAGAGCACAATGGGAAAATTTCAGTCATGTAATAAAAGTGCAACCAGATCTCCTATGTCAAAACTTATAAGGAGGAATTTTATCACCGCAGGATATCTCTCCACTGCAAAGTTAATTAATGATTTGAAATATCCTGAAGGCCTCACTCTTTTCCACCAGGAATGTAAAATAACTTCACATTTCAATGAAGTCAATTTCTCTGTGTTGCTTCTCAAATTCCAATTTTTTCAGGTTTGAAACAAATGCTACTTAATTAGAAGTAGAATTATACATTCTATGAAGCCAGTATCACCCTCATACCAAAACCAGGAAAGGACATAACAAAAAAAGAAAACTAAAGACCAATATCCCTGATGAACACAGATGCAAAAATACTCAACAAAATACCAGCTAAGAAAATCCAACAGCATATCAAAAAGATAATCCACCATGCTCAAGTGGGTTTCATAGCAGGGATGCAGGAATGGTTTAACATATGTAAGTCAATAAATGTGATACACATATAAACAATATTAAAAACAAAAATTACATGATCATCTTGATAGATACAGAAAAATTATTTGACAAAATCTAGTATTCTTTTATGACTAAAGCCCTCAGCAAAATTGGCATAGAAGGAACATATCTTAAGGCAATAAAATCCATCTATGACAAACCCACAGCCAACATTACACTGAATGAGGAAAAACTGAAAGTATTCTCCCTGAGAACTGGAACAAGACAAGGATGCCCAATTTCACCACTTCTATTCAACATAGTACTAGAAGTCCTAGCCAGAACAATCAGACAAGAGAAAGAAATAGAGGGCATCCAAATCAGTAAAGAGGAAATCAAAGTGTTGCCGTTTGCTGGTGATATGATCATATACCTAGAAAACTCAAAAGATTTATCCAAAAAGCTCCTAGAACTGATAAATGAATTCAGCAAAGTTACAGGATACAAAATTAATGTACAGAAATCAGTAGCCCCCATCTCTACTAAAAAATACAAAAAAATAGCCGGGCGTGGTGGTGGGCGCCTGTAGTCCTAGCTACTCGGGAGGCTGAGGCAGGAGGACGGCATGAACCCGGGAGGTGGAGCTTGCAGAGAGTGGAGACTGTGCCACTGCACTCCAGCCTGGGGGACAGAGGGAGACTCTGCCTCAAAAAAAAAAAAAAAAAAAAAAAAGAAGAAAAAAAGAAATCAATAGCCCTGCTATACAACAACAGTGACCAATCTGAGAATCAAATCAATAACTCAACCCTTTCTACAATAGCTGCAAGGAAAATAAAATACTTAGGAATATGCCTAACCAAGGTAGTGAAAGACCTCTCAAGGAAAACTATGCAACACTACTGAAAAATATCATAGATGACATAAACAAATGAAAATAAATCCCATGCTCATGGATGGGTAGAATCAATATTGTGAAAATGACCATGTTGCCAATAGCAATCTATGGATTCAGTGAAATTCCCATCAAAATTCTACCATCATTCTTCACATCGTTAGGAAAAAACAATCTCAAAATTGATAAGGAACCGAAAAAAAAACGAAAAAAAAAGCTCATACAGCCAAAGCAAGACTAAGCAAAAAGAACAAATCTGGAGGCATCAGTTTACCCAACTTCAAACTATACTATATGGCCACTGTCACCAAAACAGCATTGTACAAGTATAAAAATAGGCCTATAGACGAATGGAACAGAATAGAGAAACCAGAAATAAGACCAAATACAGCCAACTGATCTTTGAAAAAGCAAACAAAAACAAGTGGGGAAAGGACACCTTGTTCAACAAATAGGGATGGGATAATTGGCTAGCCACATGTAGAAGAATGAAACTGGATCCTCATCTCTCACCTTATAGAAAAATCAACTCACATGAATAAAAGACTTAAATCTAAGACCTGAAACCATAAAAATTCTAGAAGATAACATTGGAAAAACCCTTCTAGACACTGGCTTAGGCAAAAACTTCATGACCAAGAACCCAAAAGCAAATGCAACAAAAACAAAGATAAATAGATGGGACTTAATTAAAATAAAAAGCTTTCGCACAGAAAAGAAATAATAGCAGAGAAAACAGACAACCCACAGAGTGGTAAGAAATCTTCAAAATCTACTTCTGACAAAGAGCTAATATTTAGAATCTACAAGGAACTCAAACAGACCAGCAAGAAAAAAAACAAAAATCCCATCAAAAAGTGGGCTAAGGAATGAATAGACAATTCTCAAAAGAAGGTATATAAATGGCCAACAAACATATGAGAAAGTGCTCAGTATCACTAATGATCAGGGAAAAAAATGAAATCAAAACCACAGTGCAAAACCATCATACACCTGCAAGAATGGTAATAATCAAAAAATCAAAAAATAATAGATGTTGGCAGGGATGTAGTGAAAACGGAACACTTTTACACTGGTGGTGGGAATGTAAACTAGTACAACCGCTATGGATAACAGTGTGGAGATTCCTTAAAGAACTAAATGTTAATCTACCATTTGACCCAGCAATCCCACTCCTGGGTATCTACCCAGAGGAAAAGAAGTCATTACATGAAAAAGATACATGCACACGCATGTTTACAGCAGCAAAATTCACAATTGAAAGAATATGGAACCAGCCCAAATGCCCATCAATCAACAAGTAGATAAAGAAAATTGTGTGTGTGTATATATGAAATCAACCTGGATGGAACTGGAGACCATTATTCTAAAAGAAGTAACTCAGGAATAGAAAACCAAACATCAAATGTTCTCATTCATAAGTGGGAGATAAGCTATGAGGATGCAGAGGCATAAGAATGATACAATGGACTTGGGAAAGTTCTGGGAAAGGTTGGGAGGGGAGTTAGGATAAAAGACTACACATTGGGTACAGTGTACACTGCTCAGTTGATGGGTGCACCAAAATCTCAGAAATGACCACTGAAGAACTTATTCATGTAACCAAACACCACTTGTTCCCCAAAATCTATAGAAATAAATAAATTGATTAGTTTGTAAAAACTACAATGAGATGTCATCTCATCCTGGTAAAACTGCCTTATAACAAAAATATAGGCAATAACAAATGCTGGTGAGAATGTGGAGAAAAGGTGGCCCTTGCACACTGTTGATGGGAATGGAAATTAGTATAACCACTATGAAGAACAGTTAGGCGATTCCTCAAAAAACTAAAAACTGAGCTACCATGTGATCCATCAATCCCACTGCTGCATATATACCCCAAAGAAAGGAAATCAGTATATTGAAGTGATATCTGCACTCCTATGTTTGTTGCAACACTGTTTATAATAGCTAAAATTTGGAAACAAACCAAGTATTAATCAACAGATGAACGTATAAAGAAAATGCGGTACATATACACAATGGAGGGCTATTCAGCCGTAAAACAGAATGAGATCCTGGGCGACAAAGTGAGACTCCATCTCAAAAAAAAAAAAAAAAAAAAGAAAAAAGAAAAAGAAAAAAAAAACATAGAATGAGATCCCGTCATTTGCAACAACATGGATTGAACTGGAGATCGTTAAGTAAAATAAGCCAGGCCAAGGAAGACAAACATCACATGTTCTCATTTATTTGTAGGGTCTAAAAATCAAAACAATTGACCTCATGGACATGAGAGTAGAAAGATGCTTACTGGAGGCTGGGAAAGGTAGTGCAGGGCTGGTAGGGAGGTGGGGATAGTTAATGCATACAAAAACAATAGTGAGAAAGAATGAATAAGACCTACTATTTGATAGCACAATAGGTTAATAATAGCATAATTGTACATATTAAAATAACTTAAAGAGTGTAATTTGATTGTAACTCAAAGGACAAATGTTTGAGGGGGTAGACACCCCATTTTCCATGATGTGCTTTTTTCACATTGCATGCCTGTATCAAAATATCTCATGTACTCCATAAATACATCCAACCACTATGTATCCACAAAAATGTTTAAAAATTAAAATTAAAAGCAACAGTTTAAAAAATTAGGATTATATTTTACATACCAGCATCATGTTGTCATGTTATGACATCTTTCATCACTGCACATTAAGTTAATTGAATACCTGCCTGTTGGAAACAATTAAAAATCACTCCTTACAAGGACTGTTTTTTAAACTGTAAGATTATTAGAAAGGATAGTTATGATAAAATTATTATTGAAAGATAAAACTGAATACTGCTAATGTATTACTAAAAGTTGATATTGAATCAACTCTTTTTTCAATTATCCTCTTGCTTGCTTTCCTCTTTCTTCACTATTTGGCACCAGAGCAGTCAGGATCCAGTGCAGGCTAACACCAGGGTCCTGAGGCTGCACAAATCCAAATGTGGGTAAAGATTTAAACAGCTATTTTCAGGCCACCAACCTATGGTTGTCAAGTAATAATAATAGGTATTCTGTACCTCAGACCTTCCAAAGTTTGTTCTCTGTACGAGAAAAAAAGGGAAAAGGGAAAAAAGAATAAAGATTATAATAACAAAAATTCAGAACACTAACACCACCAAATCCTGATAATACAAAACAATAGGAACTCTCATTCATTGTTGGTGAGAATAAAAAACAGTGAACACACTTTGGAAGACAGTTTGGTGTGCTCTTATATTAATAAAACAAAATAAACTTTTGTGATATGATTCAGCAATAGCCACCCTTGTTATTTACCTAAGGGAGTTGAAAATTTATATGTCCACACAAAAACCTGAAAATAAATGTTTATGGCAGCTTTGTTCATAATTGCCAAAACTTGAAGCAACCAAGAAACCCTTCAGTAGGTAAATAGATAAGTAAGCCATGATATATTCAGACAATGGGATATTATTCCACCCTAAAAAGAAATGAGCTAACAAGCCATGAAAATACATGAAGAACTTAAATGGATATAAGTGAAAATAATCAATCTGAAAACATCTACTTTCTGTATGATTTCAACTACAGTCATGCATCACTTAATGATGGGCATATTTTATTAGTCCATTCTTGTGCTGCTAATAAAGACATACCTGAGACTGGATAATTTATAAAGGAAAGAGTTTTCCTTTTTCTCACAGTTCAGCACAGTTCACAGTTTAGCATGGCTGGGGAGGCCTCAGTAAACTTACAGTCATGGCAGAAGTAGAAGGAAACACATCCTTCTTCATGTGGCAGCAGCAATAAGTAAAATGAGTCAAAGAGGAAAAGCCACTTATTAAACCATCAGATCTCGTGGGAACTCACTATCGTGACAACAGCATGCAGGTAACTGCCCCCATGATTCAATTACCTCCTACCAGGTCCCTCCCACCACACATGCGGATTATGGGAATTACAATTCAAGATGAGATTTGGGTGGGCACATGGCCAAACTATATCACGTATGTTCTAAGCAATGTGTTATTTGGCAATTTCCTCATCGTGCAAACATGATGCAGCCTACTACATATGATATAGCATACTACACACCTAGGCTATATTGTACAGCCTATTGCTTCCAGGCTACAAACCTACATAGCATGCTACTGCACTGTAGGCAATTGTAATAAATGGTAAGCATACCCATTATCTAAACATAGAAAAGTTACAGTAAAAATACAGTACGACTATATTATAGGACCACTCTCATATATATATGTAGTTCATCATTGACCAAAATGCTGTTTTGCAACTCATGTCTATTCATGGCATTCTGGAAAAGGCAAAACTGTGGAGACAATAAAAAGATCAGTGATTGGCAGAGGATAGAGGTGGGAGGACAGGAATAATTAGGCAGAGCACAGAGGACCTTCAGGACAATGAAAATACTCTTTATGATACTGTAATTGTAGATACATGTCATTATACATTTGTCCAAATCCAAAGAATGTACGACATCAAGAGTGGACCCTAAGTAAACTATAGACTTTGGGTGATAATGAATTATTATTATCATTATTATTTTGAGACACAGTCTCGCTCTGTCGCCCAGGCTGGAGTGTAAAGACCAGATCTCGGCTCCCTGCAACCTCCACTTAATGAGTTCAAGCAATTCTCATGCCTCAGCTTCCCAAATAGCTGGGGCTACAGGCACACACCACCACACCCAGCTATTTTTTGTATTTTTTGTAGAGATAGGGTTTCACCATGTTTCCCAGGCTGGTCTTGAACTCTTGGCCTCAAGCAATCTGCCTACCTCAGGCTCCCCAAGTACTGGGATTACAGGCGTGAAACACCGCAACCAGCAGATAATGAATTTTTTTTTTTCTTTGAGACTGGGTCTGATTCTGTCGCACAGGCTGGAGTGCAGTGGTGCAATCTCCACTCCCTGCAACCTCCGCCTCCAGGTTCAAGCAATTGTCCTGCCTCAGCCTCCCAAGCAGCTGGGATTACAGGCACACACCACTGTGCCTGGCTAATTTTTGTATTTTTAGTAGAGACGGGGTTTCACCATGTTGGCCACACTGGTCTCAAACTCTTGACCTCAGGTGATCCACCTGTCCCAGTCACCCCAAGTGCTGGGATTACAGGTGTGACCCATCACAACCAGCCAATGATGAATTCTTAATGTAGGTTTATCAACTGTAATAAGTGTACCACCTTCATGGAGGATGTTGATAATTTCGGAGCCTATGCATGCCAAAGTGAGGAGGGCAGAAGATATATGGAAAATCTGTATTTTCTGCTCAATATTACTATTAATCTAAAATTGCTTTACAAAATAAAACTTACTAAAAATAAACAAATAAAATGTGTGTTGGGTGAGGGGAGGTGGGGTTGCCACATTGCAAGGAGAGGTTCCTAGGTTTCCTAGAAACTTCCATTTTTCTCCAGTTCCTGATGGGTACCATACTTGCAGGTTGCTAAAGTAATGCTCCTTGGATGACTGCCCAGAAGCTGTGCAGAATCTTTATGTCTCTCACAAAATTCATATATTTCTGCTACTTCTAAGGTTGCCAGGAGCAACCCTTCACAGCACAGGAAGCTTCACCTGTCTTAGGTGGTCATAGAAGAGAAATGCAGGGAACTCCTAGAAACTCTCCATCCTTGGCTAAATTAAGAGCCTTATTCTCCTACATGGTTTTATCAAATATTTTCTAATCAATGCTAGGTACTGCTCTAAGTGCTAGGAATACAACTGATTGAAAGAGTCAAAGTCCCTGATCTGAAGAAGCTACAATTAAGGCCAAGATAGAGAAGAGGAGGAAATTTAAAATAAAAAATACAAAATGATATGATGGTATACGTTGATACATGATATGAACCAGTGAATGGTAATATTAGACGGATAATGGTCTCAATGGTGGAGAAAGTGGGAGACAAGAAGAGGATAAGATATTTGAGCTGAAATCTAAATAAACAGGAGCCAGACATGCAAAAACCTAAGAGAAGAGCAGCCTAGGTGAATTAAAAACAGGGCCAAGGTCTTCTGAGGGTCGGGAGTCAGGGCATGGGGGAAGCTTGGTGATGCTGTCCTCATGTGCAAAGGGGCTTGGGTTTCTTGCTAAGTACAATGAGAAACTATTGAAGGGCTTCAGTGATGGAGTTTCATGGTCTGATTTAAGGTTGCAAATTGTTACTATGATCACTCTGACTTCTCTGTGAAGAAAGATTATAAAGAGGCAGGCAAGGAACAAAGAAGAAGTACGGAGGAGAAATGATGACATGAATCAGGCAGTGGATGGAGAGAAACAACTGGGCCTAACAGGTATTTGAAGATAGAATCAATAAGATTTCTTGATAGATTTGATGGTAGCAGGTGACAAGTGAAGAAGAGATGAGAATCCATGTTAACACCAAGACTGGTCTGAATCTTTGCATCAATATTTTTGCATAAATGGCCTTAGGCTTTTGTTCATATCTGTCTCATGTCAACAATATATTTTGGGCGAACAATTCTCCATGGGTCTCTCATATTTCAGTACATCTTATGGGTATTAAGTTCATCCATTCTGGAGTATCTTTTCAAAAGTTCTTATATAACAAATAGTCTTGGAAGATAGACATGATGTGCCCCTCAGGAACAACAACAAAAAGAGGTACGTTTACCCCTCCACACACACATACAATAAAAACAATGTCTTCCTCAGGGGCCAAATTCAGGAGGCTTACTTCCTCTTATACAAAATTTGGGTTTTTTAACTCAGGGCTCCTCTCTTGTAATGCAATTTATGTGGCCTTGTCATATTATCTGGGAATTGAGGCCCAGGGAACCTATCCAAATGCTATACTCTTCATGCTTCTATTGCTTTGAGCAACAAATTGTGTTTTGTCTTTGACCCGGTAATCTCATGTCTTCTGCTAGCAGCATCCCTGAAACTGTGGCAGGCTAACTTTCTAGCTTGCAAGTCGAGCAAAAGCTGACTGTTTGCGGTCTTTAATAGTTATCAACAGGGAAGTCTTAAGGAGGTAGGAGAAACTCTTTCTTCACTCTTATGTCAGACCCTTGCATTTTTCTAATGGGTTCTTTCCTTATCCCTCACACTTTTCAGAAGCTTTAGTTACCAAGGACCAATAAGACCTCACTTTCAATAAGTTGTTCTCAGCAACTTACTGAAATTATTTTTCCTCTGTTTCCAGCCTGATCTGGCCTAAAAATCAGCTCTCTTTCCCTTTCCTTGTGAGGAGTGAGGTTCCTATTTGTCCCTGTCTCTCCTCTGTGCTATTTTCCACATGCATTCCCTCTTTGTTCCTTCCTAAAGAAAATATTTGTGCAGCCAGAGAGTACAGTGTTGAAAGATTAGGCTACAGATTTAGAGGGTGTGGCTTTGAACATCAGCTTCCTCCCACTGGCAGTCATGTGAACTTGGGAAGCATATTTCACCTCTTTGAAATGTCAGAGAAAAATTGCACCAGACAAGTTAAACAGGCATGACTATTGCAATGAGGGTCAAGATTGTGGTGCAGAGAGAGATGAACTCAATCCTGCTAAGATTAAAAAGGTGGGAGAGTTCTTAAGGTCTGAGGTGAGCAAGTGGGAAAGTAGTGAAGGATGTTAGTGGAGAAGTTGGTCAATGGGATTAAGCCAGCTGTGTTTGCTAATTGGCACTTATTAAAGTTAGGTTCCTACTATCCCTCAGAGATGAGAAAACAGGGAACCTAGCTTTTTTTTTTTTTTTTTTTTTAAGATGGAGTCTCACTGTCACCCAGGCTAGAGTACAGTGGCGTGATCTCAGCTCACTGCAACCTCTGCCTCCCAGATTCAAGTGATTCTCCTGACTCAGCCTCCCTAGTGTAGCTAGGATTACAGGTACCTACCACCATGCCTGGCTAATTTTTGTTATTTTTAGTAGAGACTGTTGGCCAGGCTGGTCTTGAACTCCTGACCTCAGGTGATCCACCAGCCTCAGCCTTCCAAAGTGCTGGGATTACAGGCATGAGCCACCATGCTCGGCCCACCCTATCTTTCTGATGGTCATATTTTAAAGGAATAGCTCCCAGATCCTTCAGAAAAACATTTTCTGAGTTGTAAAACTGACAAGAGGCTGGGAAAAGATTTACATCTCAAAAGAGCAGAGAAAGAATTTACAACTGCAAGTTTTCAAAAGCAAGTGCTCTAAGAAAAGGAAAGGCAGAGCCAGTAGTCAGGTATAAAGCTGTCTAAAGACTAGTCAAGCTGAAGGGACATTAAGGGGCTGTCTTTTTCAAAGCTTCTGTATCATATCCTCTAAACATTACCTCATCACATTGTTGAGGATGTTAAATGAGACATAGAAAGCTCTAACAAAACACACAAAAAAGTTATTTTTTAAAAATCCCATATCTAGATCAATGAGTATGTGTGATAAGGACAGCTTTCAATATTAGAATCTTGATTCAGGAAAAATTTTTTCCGTTTGGCCAAATATTTCCATTTGGCCAAAAAAAAATTATCTGCAGCGTTGCCTATGCAATGAATTATGTATCTTTTTTCCTAATGTATTCTATTTTGTTCTGTATTTGCAGACCACATGTGACTCTAAATATAACAAGGAATCTTGATGATCTAGCAAGATAAAGCATTACATAATTTGATCAGTGAACTATTGTAGACTGAATGAAGGTACACATTGAAGACATGGAAACCAGTATCATTTGAAGGGAAGATGTGAGGTGTTTGAAGGAAGATAAATACAGAGAGGATGTGACAGAATAAGAAAGAGATTAAGATAGAATAAAACTAAGTCAGGTTTAGTTTAGCAGAGTCCAGTATAAATTTGAGACAATCACCGACTGGCTACACCCTCCTGGGGTAACTGAACTTCAAAAGCTCTAGAGAGAAATCTTCAGGTAGTTAAGCACACGTCAAGTGAAAGGCTTGCTGCTTATGTACATATGTATGGTCACAGATTTCTCACATTAGCTATGGGAGAGCAAGTAGCCAATTAAGTACTAGGATGAGAATCTAGATCAAAAGGAGAAATGTGATGTCAGGAAGGTTTCTTAAGTTGGTTTAGCTATTTCAACAGAATGGAATTACACGACGCCACCACTTGCCCAAAGTTAGCCTTTGGGTCAGGGCTTTCCTCACTATAGTCCCTTCCATGGTCAACAGAAAGATGTTACAGGATGGGGGTCCCGATCCAGGCCCCAAGAGAGGGTTCTTGGATCTTGCACAAGAAAAATTCAGGGTGACTCTATAAAGTTAAAGCAAGTTTATTAAAGTAAAGGAATAAAGAATGGCTACTCCATAGGGCAGCCCCAAGGGCTGCTGGTTGCCCACTTTTATAGTTATTTTTTGATGATATGGTAATCAAGGGGCGGATTATTCATGCCTCCCCTTTTTAGACCATATAGAGTAACTTCCTGACATTGCCATGGCACTTATAAACTGTCATGGTGCTGGTGGGAGTGTAGCAGTGAGGACGACCAGAGGTCACTCTCGTGGCCATCTTGGTTTTGGTGGGTTTTGGCAGGTTTTGGCCAGCTTCTTCACCTCAACCTGTTTTATCAGCAAGGTCTTTATGACCTGCATCTTGTGCCACTTCTTATCTCATCCTGTGACTTAGAATGCCTTAACCATCTGGGAATGCAGCCCAGTAGATCTCAGCCTCATTTTACCCAACTCCTGTTCAAGATGGAGTTGCTCTGGTTTCACACACCTCTGACAGAATCTTACTTTTCAGTGAAATATTTTACGAATCCTATCCTCTATGAAATGGCCAGTGTCCTTGGTTTTGTCACTTTCAAAATCATGGGAACTATCATGGAAACAGATGCAAAGATGAGGAAATTGTGCCTAAAGAAAAGGGGACATTATTTTATTAATATTATCCACAACTGGTGTCTCATTATAGTGAAGCTTCATCTGTAAGCTCTTCCTCTGTATTCTAACTTCCTGGAGCTTTAGATACACCTATGAGCTCCCATCATCTTCATATAAGATTAAATTTTCAACATAAAATTAAGAAAGAAATATATATATATTCTGTGTTCACCATCTTTCAATCATAGATTTCCAGCAATATTTTCTGTTTATAGGATTTAAGGAGACTTGTACTATCTCAAGTTCATGCATGTCAAGAAAATTAGGAAAGCCACTATGAGAGGCAAACCACAGTGAGACACCAAGCAAAAGTTTTATAGATGTATAGTCCATTAAATTTTAGCAAAGATCACATTGAGAGATTTTCAACCTTCTGAATTACGAATGACTCATTTTTGTGCCTGACCAAATTCCAAAAAGTAGGTCACATATTCTGACAAGCCTCTTAGGGAGAGTTGATAAATTTTCATTTAATGGTCACATTAAGTGCAATATTACTCATTGCTATATTTCATTTAATTAATTGAGGTTAGTACACGTCTAAGTTTGTCCAAACCTACTTAGCTTGAGTCTATCTGGTCATAGATTTTGAAACCTGTGGTAGGTAGAATTTTAAGATGATCCCTTGACCTTCAGCCCCTACTGCTACTCCTATGATTATGACTGTATTACCTTATATGACAAAAAGAGGGAGATTACCTTAGTGAACCTTTTTTTAACCATATGAGCCCTTTAAAAGCAGAGATTTCTCTGCCTGAGGGAAGAAGAGGAATTTGTAGAGACTGGAAGCACAAGAATAATTCTAGACATTGTTTCTAGCCTTAAAGGTGGAGGGAATCCATGTGCAAGGACCAGTTAGTAATCTCTAGAAGCTGAGAGCAACTTCTGACCTGATTACCAGCATGGAAACAGAGATCGCAACCCTCTATCTGCAAGGTAATAAATGCTGCCAACAATCTTAATGAGCGTGGAAGCAGGTTCCCCCCGACCTCCCAGAGCTTCCAAATAAGAGTTCAGCACAGCTAACTTCTTAATGCTACCCTTGTGAGACCCTAAACAAGAACCCATCTGATGAAAGCTGGACTTCTGATATACAGAACTTGAGATAATAAACTTCTGCCTTTTTAAGATGCTAAGTTTGTAGCAATTTGTTGCTCAGAAATAGAAAGTACAGAACCAGAAGCTTAAATTAAAACAGTGTCTTCCAATAAAATAGACAGTATTCACAAAATGATATTTGATACTTATTTAAAAAGGAATATTTGCTTATTTTGTTAAAGAGGAAACTTTTAAGCATAGTTTTTACCCTGTTCTTATACTGTTTGCCTCACATTTTTTGTTATGCTGTCAACATTTTTCTTTTCTTTTTAGCAAAATCCTGTGTTAGTGAACATCTTAGAAAAAAAATTCTTAATGAACAATGAGGATTGAATTTCCAGCAATACTGCTGTGCTTCCTCACAAAGTATTCATCTCCTCTTTATCTTTGTCATTCTTTGACTCTAAGACCTGATAGAAAAGTTTGTGAAAAATAAAGTTGTTTGGTTTCTATTACAACCAGTCAGGTGACAGTTCCAACCACATAGAGCAGGTGTGTGAGGCTGTGTTGCATAGAAGTAGGTCTCATGGGTTTCTGAGTAGATCTGTCCAGAAGTTATTTAAAAGGTATATTTTAGGTACTTTCTGAAAGTATCATGAATGCTCAGCAAGCTCTATTTTCACAGGAGAGCTACCCAAGGCTAATGGCACTTGATCTAGCCAGCTTCTACCACTCTTAAAACCACAGTCTTTCTCTTGTCATCCCTATTTTTGAGTAATGTCTACCATTTTCCATTAACCAGACTCAAAGCCTCGGGATGATCTGAGGCAAAAGTTTTGACATTGACTATATTTGATTGTCCTCTGATGGATACCATATGTTTCTGTTAAAGTGAGCCACAAAAGATATTTCTATGCAAGATTTGGAGGGTGGACACGAAGCACCAGACTTTTTGGCTCACACAGAATGTTGCCGATCTGTTGTTTCACATCACTGGTATGAAAAACAACCAAGGCTGCCACTGCTTCTTCTTTCCCTGGATTCTACTTTGGCTTCTCCAACTTTGAGACCATGTGTGTGTGTGTTTAGCTTTATGACAAAGAGCCCTGGCTTCTATAGGATACCCATTGCACCTAGGTCAGAGGCCAGAAGAACTGACACGGAAGAACTGGCAGGCTCCAGCTTCTGCTTTGGGTATCAGCTGTTGTTCTCTCCTGCCTCACCCTCAGTTCCCTTCCTCACTGCCTGTTGTGTAGACTTCAGCCTCCAGCAGCAGATTTGCAGAAACCACTTACTGTCAACCATAATTGTTAAGGATGCTGCAGAAGGGAAGGGAATTAACTCTTCTATATGAGGCTGAATAAAAATAAACATTACATAGCGCAAAAGAAGTAAAAGGCTGTGTCTGGACTAGCATCTGGAAAAGCAGTTTCCCTGTGCAGTAGTTTTATAAGGGAGTGAGAAAAAGAAAGAGGAAAGGCTGACACCCTATTCTGGCTGTGCATAGAAAAACAAGCTGGGTAGGGTGGAAGAGGTGTTATCTCCATCACTCATTCCCAACAGCCTGGCAAAATGGCTACTTTAATGAGAGTGAAAAATATGAGCCCATAGGGAACAATAGCAACAAGGTGGAGAGATATATATGCATATTATGTTATTTTATATATGTATTATATATGCATATATGTATATTATAAATACCCACATATATGTATTTTTATATATACATATATACATGTGTGCATATATATGTGTCTATATATATACACGTGTGTGTATATGTGTGTGTATACATAAACACACACACACATATCTATCTCTCTCTCTACATATATAGAGAGAGATATTATCTACCATTTTGGGGATAGATATCTATTCATGTCAACTCCAGAGTAGACAGGTGAACTTGCTTTGACTAAAGACATTTGGACAAAAGTGGCTTACATCATTTCTAGGAAGAAACTGCATCAGCCTGAACATGATTTGTCATTTATCTCTATTCTCTCTAGTACAACAAAAGGTAATTTCCAAGACTTCGAGAATGTTTTCTCTCAACTTTGAAACTCTTCCTCTTCTCTCTTACAGTTAGGCCTCTGACTTGGTCTGTTTGAGGTTTACTATTCAATTGAAGCATGCCTAAGTTACCTAGCATCAGCTCACTCTACATGCCCTCAACTACTGAAATGCACCTTCATCTTCACATTTTTCAAGTAGGAGGGAAAGAGGATGTGAACAGCCCTCACAATGAAGAGGCGAAAACTTGTCTGAAAGGTAGAAAGTTGGCAGTACCAACTGGTTAATTGAAGCTTGAATGCCAAGTTTCAAGTTCTTGAAGGCTAAGAAAGCCTTTCTTATTGGTTAATGGGGAGCAAGTGAGGATAATCCTCAAGGCATCTCAAAATCTGTGCTCATCTGCCATGTCCTCCTGAACTTTTGCCTCTGAGGGTACACAAATAGTCTCTCTCTCTCTCTCTATATATATATATATATACACACACACACACATATACACATATATCTCTATACACATACATATAAATGTCTATATACGTGTATATACACGTGTATATACACGTGTATATACGTGTGTATATACATGTGTATATACACGTGTATATACATACGTGTATATACATACATATGTGTATAGTTGGCTCATGCAATATGCACATATATGTGTATATACCCACATAAACATCTACATAGATATTATATGTATGTGTATATATACACATATATGTATACTATATGTAACATCTATATATGTATATAATATACATATATGTGTATATACATACATATGTGTATATAGACTATTTGTGTACCCTGCCATACTTTCATTACTTTATAGATATGTATATATACAATATACATATTTGTGTATATATACATGTCTATACACACATGTATGTGAGTATATGTGTGTATATATGTGTGTGTGTGTATGTATATGTGTATATATATATATATATATATATATATATATATATATATATATATATATAAAGAGGGGGAGAGAGAGAGAGAGACTATTTGTGTTCCCTCAGAGGCAAAAGTTCAGGAGGACATGGCCGATGAGCACAGATTTTGAGATGCCTCGAGGATGATCCTCACTTATCTCCCTATTAACCAATAAGAAAGGCTTTCTTAACCTTCAAGAACTTGAAACTTGGCATTCAAGCTTCAATTAACCAGTTGGCAATGCCAGCTTTCTACCTTTCAGACAAGTTTTCGCCTCTTCATTGTGAGGGCTGTTCACATCCTCTTTCCCTCCTACTTGAAAAATGTGAAGATGAAGGTGCCTTTCAATAGTTGAGGGCATGTAGAGTGAGCTGATGCTAAGTGACTTAGATATGCTTCCATTGAATAGTAAACCTCAAACAGACCAAGTCAGAGGCCTAACTGTAAGAGAGAAGAGGAAGAGTTTCAAAGTTGAGAGAAAACATTCTCGAAGTCTTGGAAATTACCTTTTGTTGTACTAGAGAGAATAGAGATAAATGACAAATCATGTTCAGGCTGATGCAGTTTCTTCCTAGAAATGATGTAAGCCACTTTTGTCCAAATGTCTTTAGTCAAAGCAAGTTCACCTGTCTACTCTGGAGTTAAAGGGTGCAATAGTATAAAATCGTCCCTCAAGGAGAGGGAATTGCAGGGAAGAAATCAGAATATTTGGTAAAAAAATAGTGAGTTCCCCAGAATCTTACCAAACTGAGAATACAGCAAAGCTACTCCTGTGAAAATGTAAATTAGCCTAACAAATCAATCAGTGAAATTTTTTAAGTAATGAAAGTATGGCAGGAAAACTCTAGAATGGGCTATCGTAGTCATTTTAGTTGATGTCATAAACAAACCTAGAAGACAACATGCCTTTAAGATTACCAAGGCAGGATCTCAACTAAAACCTTCCAGCTTGTGTGTACTAGTCAGGGTACCAAGGGAGACAGATTTAACAGGGTAGGTAGGTTGGTGGGTGGGTGGGTTGGTGGGGATAGGTAGGTAGGTGGGTGGGTGGGTGGGGGTAGGTAGGTAGGTAGGTAGGTAGACAGACAGACAGTCAGTATAATAAGAGGGTATTTTTTAGGGGAGTTGGCTCATGCAATTACAGATGGTGAGAAGTCCCACAACTGACCATCTTCCAGCTGGAGAACTAGGAACTCAGAATCCGGGAAGCAAATGATGTAACTCTCAGTTCAAAACTGAAGGCCTGAGAGCCTGGGTGCTGGCTGGTGCAAGTCTCAGTGTCCAAAGGCTGGAGAACCTGGAGTTCTGATGTCCAAAAGCAAGGAAAAAAGGGTTTCCCAGCTCCAGAAGAGAGGGACAGTAAATTCACCACTCCTCTGCTTTTTTATTCTGTTAAAGTCTCAACAGATTAGGTAATTCCCACCCATATTGGGTGAGAGGAGATCTTTCTTACTCAGTCCGCTGATTCAAATATCAATCTGGAAACACTCCCACAGATGTAACCTGGAAATAATGCTTTACCAGCTATCTGGGCATCCCTTATTCTAACCAAGTTGACACCTAAAATTAACCATCACTTGCTTAAAAGAAGTGGAAAGTCAACAAACTCATTGAAATTGGTGGATGATAGAAAATGGGTACTCAGCAGCTTGAATTAAGAACCCAATCCAACACCTGCTCATGTCTATTGTCTTGAAACTCCAAAAAGCAAGGAAACAACATAAAGCTGGCCTGGGGGCTACCAGTTTGCAATTCCTAGTCTATCAACAACTATTAATACATCAAAATATCCTGGTGATTGACTAGATTATTTTTATCATTATATTTTAATAAAATGAGTAGCTAATGGGTTACCAATGAAGATTAAAAATATGATACAAAGATCCATGGACAAAAAATTGTTATATGACCTTAAGTGAATGATTAAAACCCTCTTTTTTCAGTTTTCAGCTCAATCACACAATAGTATTATGTTTATCGGGCTATATGGTATGGACATATATCATGTTTGGACAGCTCTTTAAATTGAGTACTTATTATTCTATCAGGAGATCAAAACTAGTAAATCATATTATCACTCTACTATTAAGATGATACAGAATACCTAGCTGTTTTTGACCCTAGGGGTAGAGAAAAAAGTGATCAGCTAGCATTAACAGTTAACATGTTAGAGTTGTCATTCAGCACTGTCCTGGGCATTCCCACATGTTCACAGCATTTGATAATGCCCTAGACATACTCCATGCTATCCGGCACATTTTCTTGAGAGACTATCAACAGAATATCCGGGCTTGTATGCATAAGATGTTTCTTTTTTAAATACACATCATAACTTTTTAAAAGATATAATTCATATGTTAGAAAATTCATTCTTTTAGCTTGTAAAATCTGGTCGTTTTTTGATACATTCAGAGTTGAGCAACCATAGCAACTGTCTAATTCCAGAAAATGTTCATCACCACAGACAGATGTCAATGATTAGGAAATTAACATGAATATTAGAGAAAAATTAATACTTAGAATCTAAATAAATTCAGTGACTAACTGAATGCAATAGGCAGAGGGATTTATGTTCTATACGAGGAAATGATTAAAAACCTCCCTGGTACCTAGGAAATCTAGGGAATTATAGCTTCTTGATATTTAATATCATTTTCTGTATGTCTAATGGTTAGATCAACCAAGGAGCTTTTAAAATAACAGAAATCCCACTCATATCCCTTTGGTTAAATGGAGAGAGGTTATGTTGACAACTCCCTCAGGCCCTGATTTGTTCTCTGTTGAACTCAAACTCTATCTACTAGATGCCAGCACACCTAGTTGAAAAGTCAAATTCCAGGTCAGAAATTCCATATCAATAGTGGCTTTTTAAAATTAATTGAGATTTTGTATTATATTATTGTGAGTATATATCTAATGTTTCACTGGGAATAATTCAGGTATTAAAAATATCCTTCAAGCCTTTCTCAAATCCACAAATTAATGTATAGAGATGCTTTTTACTTATAACTCACTTGGGAAAAGTGTTTATTAAAGCCTGACAAGTCATCAGTAATCTCTGTTCCTCAATTATGGGTAGGTGATGACCTTAATTGAAGGAAATAAATGAGTTGTTTTGCAAACAAACCTCTGTTAAGTCCAGGAGTAAATGAAATGAGAATCCCTGGGAGTGGGCAAAGCCTTTTGGGCCATAGCCAAATCATGAGTGAACTCTCATTCAGAATTGCTACAAAGAGAATAAAATACCTAGGAAAACAACTTACAAGGGATGTGAAAGACCTCTTCAAGGAGAACTATAAACCACTGCTCAAGGAAATATGAGAGGATACAAACAAATGGAAAAACATTCCATGCTCATGGATAGGAAGAATCAATATTGTAAAAATGGCCATACTCCCCAAAGTAATTTATAGATTCAATGCTATTTGCATCAAGCTACAATTGACTTTCTTCAAAGAATTTGAAAAAAAAATTCTTTAAATTTCATATGGAATCAAAAAAGGGCCCATATATCCAATACAATCCTAACCAAAAACAAACAAACAAACAAACAAACAAACAAACAAAGCTGGAGGCATCATGCTACCCGACTTCAAACTATACTAAAAGGCTACAGTAACCAAAACAGCGTGGTACCCATACCAAAACAGAAATACAGACCAATGGAACAGAACAGAGACCTAAGAAATAAACACAACATATCTACCACCATCTGATCTTCAACAAACCTGACAAAAACAAGGAATGGGGAAAGGATTCCCTGTTTAACAAATGGTGCTGAGAAAACTGGCTAGCCATATGCAGAAAACTGAAACTGTACCCCTTTCCTTACACTTTATACAAAAATTAACTCAAGATGGATTAAAGACTTTAACGTAAAATCCAAAACTATGAAAACCCTAGAAGAAAATCTAGGCAAGAGCATTCAGGACACAGGCATGGTCAAAGACTTCATGACTGAAACACCAAAAGCAAATGCAACAAAAGCCAAAATTGACAAATGGAATCTAATTAAACTGAAGAGCTTCTGCACGGCAAAAGAAACTATCATCAGAGTGAACAGGCAACCTACAGAACGAGAGAAAATTTTTGCAATCTACCCATCTAACAAAGGAAATATCCAGAATCTACAGAATCTACAAGGAACTTAAATTTACAAGAAAAAAACAACTCCATCAAAAAGTAGGTGAAGGGTATGAACAGACATTTCTCAAAAGACGACATTTATGCAGCTAACAAACATGAAAAAAAACTGTGGAGAAATAGGAACACTTTTACACCGTTGATGGGAGTGTAAATTAGTTCAACCATTGTGGACGACAGTGTGGTGATTCCTCAAGGATCTAGAGCCAGAAATATCATTTGACTCAGCGATCCCATTACTGGGTATACACTCAAAGGATTATAAGTCATTCTACTATAAAGAGACATGCATACATATGTTTACTGCAGCACTTTTTTTTTTTTTTTTTTGAGATGGAGTCTTGCTCTGTTACCCAGGCCGGGGTACAATGGTGTGATCTCAGCTCACCACAACCTCCACCTCCCAGGTTCAAGCGATTCTCCTACCTCAGCTTCCTGACTAGCACCTGCCACCACGCCAAGCTAATTTTTGTATTTTTAGTACAGAAAGTGTTTCGTTGTGTTGGCCAGGCTGGTCTCGAACTCCTGACCTCAAGTGATTCACCTGCCTCTGCCTCACAAAGTGCTGGGATTACAGGCATGAGCCACTGTGCCCAGCCTATTGCAGCACTATTTACAATAGCAAAGACTTGGAACCAACCCAAATGCCCATCACTGACAGACGGGGTAAAGAAAATGTGGCACATATATGCCATGGAATACTATGCAACCATAAAAAAGAATGAGTTCCATGTCCTTTGCAGGGACATGGATGAAGCTGGAAACCATCATTCTCAGCAAACACAGGAACAGAAAACCAAACACCACATATGCCCACTTATAAATGGGAGTTGAACAATGAGAGCACATTGACCCAGGGAGGGAAATATCACACACTGGGGCCTGTAAGGGGTTGGTGGGGGAAGGGGAAGGAGAGCATTAGGACAAATACCTAATGCATGTGGGGCTTAAAATCTAGATGACGGGTTGATAGGTGCAGCAAACCACCAAGGCACATGTATACCTATCTAACAAACCTGCACATTCTGCACATGTATCCCAGAACTTAAAGTAAAATAAAAATAAATTTTTAAAAAAGAAATTCTCATGAGAAGCTAAGGGTTGCCCTCTTTGAACCTAGAGGACCTAGAGGACTCTTCCATATTCTTCTTCCTCATCCTGAAAAATTAAACTGCAAATGTTTGTTTTCAGAGTGCATATGCTGTAATATTCCCTCTCGTTCCTTAGTCACATTGCTCCCTCTCCCTAAAGTTCACCTGTTCTTCACCACTGTGATATTGCCAAAGTATGACTTTTTTATCTAGCAATACCCAATCCGTTCTTCCATTTGTGCAGGACACAGACCCATTCACACTCCAAACCCAATCTGTGGAAAGCTTGCTGGCTCACCTTCAGACAGCAATGTGACCACCTCTCACCCCCTCTCACCCTGCTGCATCCCAGGTCTGAACTTTTAATCATTTCTTGCCATCCGAGTGCAAGTATGTTTCATACTCACATGTAACCGCAAGCTTTAGCAGTTCTGAAACCAGTAACAAAGTTCTACGTTCAAAGTTAGATTACTCTTATTCTAAGCAATTTTATGTTGCTCCAGATTTCTCTAAGATCTTTTCATCTCACTCAAAGAAAAAGCCAAAAACTCCTCCTAACAATGGCCCATGAGATCTCTGATTTCTTCCTCTTACCATTACTTCTCTGGTCACATCCATCCCTACCCTCCCCCCCTTTGGTTTTTCCATTCCAGCCTCCTTGGCTCTCTTGCTATTTCTTAAATTCACACAGCATACCCTTGCATCCAGGTATTTGCATAATCAATTTCTCTTCCCTTAGTATCCTCCCCCAAGATAATCACATGACACACTCCACTTCCTTCAGATTTTCACTAAAATGTTTTCTCTTCAATGAGACCTCCCATAGCCCTTTTCCCCCAAACAAAACTTCCTATCCCCACATTGCAGTCATACTCCATAAAGTCAGGATTTTCCCTCATTCAAAATTTGGTTCCTGTGTTGAGACCAATGATGCCAAACACATGTGAAAAAGGCATGAGAAGGGTTATTACTCACATAATGAGGCTTTTCAGAAAGAGCAATGCTGGTTTGCTGAGCAGGTCAAAAAATAGCTTGTGATAGCAGAGAAAGGAGACCAGCCTGGAGTTTTATTACGGTGGTTAGGGAGTAGGGCTCAATTGAGCATTCATGCATGCAGGCATGGACAAAGGCTTGCAAGGTTTAACTTTCTGCCAGTGTCAAAAAAGGGCATGACTGGCTTTTCTTATCAGCTTTCTCAGATGTAGGCCAGGGATGGAGAGGGGTGAGGAGGGGCTCAAAGCGGTCAGCAATCAAACCTCAAAAATGAAGTCAGGAGCTTTATTATACACTTTTCCATACTTTGCTTTTTCTTTTATCCTCAGCCACCACACTATTTACACATCTCTCTTATTTTATTGTCCATCTCTTCATTCTAGATAAAATATAAGTTCGGTTCACATAGGCAACGATATTTTTCTTTTTGGTCCACACTATGTTAAACCTAGTTCCTAGAAGAGTGTTTGGCACAGAGCAATAAATCAATCAATATTTGTTATATGAATCAATTAATGTTTGTTCCTTCTGCATAAGTATTCTGCACTTGACAATTAGATATTTGTTAAAAGAATGAATAAAATGCAATCATTTTTGACACAGTATGTCAGAATGTATCATCTAAATAAACTTATAAAAATTATATTTATGCTAACCACTTTGATGTCAGTTGACATATAATAAAATCCTTAGAAAAAAGTACATCAAAATATATTATTATTAAAGATAAATTTGCCTGTGAGCTATTTTTTAAAACTCCATAAACCCTATTATTTATACATTTTAATTCAAGTTAATATTATGTCTTATCTCCAAATAAATGGGGCAGTCAATTTGAAATTTTCTATTGTATCTTGGATACTCCCAACCCAGGAACCTTAAGCAAAGTAGAAATTATTTGGCCAGTAGTAATGAGCTCACACTCTTGCCCTAATATATTCTAGGCCAGTAATTATTCCAGAACAGTAATGTGCACAGTAGCATCTTGGTTAATTATTTTATTTTCATCAAACATGTTTTTTAAAAAAAAAATCCACAATAAATAAGACAAAAGAAACGTAGCAATTATATATTTAAAGATTCACCTAGGGATAATTTAAATTCCATGGGAATGTTATTTTGATATTCAATCTACTATTGATTAAAATCCTAGATGTATGCAATTAGCCATTAAATTGTAGATTTTTGTCAGTAGAGGCAAATGTCTTTGGCAGAAGAGAAAACGTGCAAGGTTCTGGTTTTGTTGTCCTATAGGATATTAACCTATAAAGGAAAGGAACATAAAATGGCCTATAGAATAATAATGTTATTCTAACACTCTTTTTCTGTTTTAAATGCCCGTACATATCCAGTTCCTCAAATACTTTTTGAATCGGATTTACAGTCCTGCTGTTTCCCTCATTTACAGATAAAATAGTTTTTGACATATACACATTCTCTATTTCAATGGCAGTTGTTTATATTTTTAACTTTTGAAAAGTATATCCTGACTCATCATTTGAATGCCTAAACAACATAAAAAAAATTTTAGAAGAAAAAAAAACTAACACTGTAGCCACAATTCGAAGAGGTAATTTGAAACCAGCTTTTTCAAAGAGAGAGTATTTAAGATTCCAAGGCAGTCATAAAATCTCAGAATGCCAACCCTAAGTTCCAAAATTTAAATGCAACAGTCCGAGGCTGGCTAGTATCTAATGTAAGGGGCTGAGCACCTCAGTCATTTCTACAACCATAAAAATGTATTTTTTCAGTGAATTATCAGTATTTGACAAATATCATTTAGCTGCCTATGCTAGAGAGGTTTGACTTTCAAATCATAATGCCAGTATATTATAACAATAGACAGTTATAATACTTCCTTTCCTTTAGCAAGTTTTCTGAAAGAATTTTAACCTCACAAATACATCTCATATTTCAGTCCTGGCATAGTCATGCCAGACAGGTAATAGAGATAGGTAATAAACCAAAGAAAGTAATAATCTGAGGTAGGTAATACGGTGCAGCTGGAGCCCATCATCTCACCTATAAGTCACCTCCGCTATGTATATTATTAGATCTTCCCTTCACAGGACCAGCCCCATACTTACTCAGGATCAATCTCCAACAAAACCAACTTTTTTAAAAAAACAATCAGGACCTCATCTCAATTCCATACTGATTTAAATCAGCATGTTGTCAGGGCTCCTGAGCATTTCTAAGCCTTGTCTAACATGTTGAAAGTTTTTCTTATTGAATGTAGTGGGACTTTCCAAGTCACCCTGGGAAGGTGATTTGGAAGCAATTATGAAGCAGGCATTCATAACCTGCTCCATGTCCTCAGACATTCAGCCCTTTACCCTGATATCTCCTCATCCCAGCCTACTTTTACCTCCAAAGTGACTTTAAGCATTTAAGGCATGGTCTATGCTTAATTACATATTCATAAAAATTTAGTTATTTCTCATACTTGATTGCTAAACAACCCTTATATATTCCCTTCCCTGAGGCCTCCTATACTCATTCCCTTATCTCTTTTGCTATGAAATAAATCCTATGTATCATTATTGTCAGGATAACTTTTTACTTTTTATATATGTTTTAATTGACATATAATAGTTGTACATATTTATGAAATATACGGTGATATTTCAATACATGCATACAATGTATAATGATCAAATCAGGATAATTAGCATATCCATTGCCTCAAAACTTTATTGTTTTTTGTATTGGGAACATTCAAATTCCTCTCTTCTTGCTATTTGAAAATACACAATAAATTATTTGTTAATTATAGTCACTCTTCAGTGCTATAGAACTCTAGAACTTATTCCTCCTATTTAGCTGTAATTTTGTATCCATTAACCAGCCTCTTTCCAATCCCTCTTTCCCTACCCTTCCCTGCCTCCAGTAACCACTATTCTATTCTCTACTTATTTCAGACCAACTCTTTTAGCTTCCACATATGAGTGAGAACATGCAGTAATTATCTTTCTGTGTCTGACTTATTTTACTTAATATAATGTCCCCCAGGCTCATCTGTTTTGCTGGGAATAACAGCATTTCATTCTTTTTATGGCTGAATAATATTCTATTGGGTATATGTAAAGTATTTTCTTTCTTTATTCATCTGTTGAGAGACACTTAGGTTGCTTCCATATCTGGCTACTGTGAATAGTCTCACAACAAACATGAAATTGCACACATCTCTGTGCAAAACGATTTCCTTTTTTGGTAGGGAAAGGGGAATATATACCCATCCATGAGATTGGTAGATCATATGGTAGTTCTACTTTTAGCTTTTTGAGGCACCTCCACATTGTCTTCCCTGATTGTACCAATGTATACTTCCACCAATAGTGTATGTGTTCTCTTCTCTGCATCCCTGCCAGCATTTGCTACTTTTTGTCTTTTTGATAATAGCCATGCCAACTGACATGAGATAATATATCACTGTGGTATTGATTTGCATTTCCCTGAATCAAGTAGCCAAAAAGCATATGAAAAAATGCTTGTTGGCCATTTGTATGTTTTCCTTTGAGAAATGTCTATTCAGATGCTTTGTACATTGTTGAATTAGATTATTTGTTTTATTGCTGTTGAGTTGTTTGAGTTCTTGCATGTTCTACATATTAATCTCTTATTGAATGAATAGTTTACAAATATTTTCTCCCATTCTGTAAGCTGTCTCTTGACTCTGTTGACTGTCTCCTTTGCTATGCACAATCTTTTTAGATATAATCCCATTTGTCAATTTTTGCTTTTGTTGCCTGTGCTTTTGAGCTTTTTTATTTTTTATTTTTTGAGACACAGTCTTGCACTGTCGCCCAGGCTGGAGTGCAATGGCGCTATCTCAGCTTACTGCAACCTCTGTCTCCTGCGTTCAAACGATTCTCCTGACTCAGCCTCCCAAGTAGCTAGGATTACAGGTGCATGCCACCACACCCAGCTAACTTTTGTATTTTTAGTAGAGACAGAGTTTCACCATGTTGGCCAGGCTGTTCTTGAACTCCTGACCTCATCATCTGCCCGCCTCGGTAATCCTAGCACTTTTGAGCTCTTAATCATAAAAGCTATGCCTAGATCAAGATCCTGAAGTGTTTCCTCTATGCTTGCTGTTAGCAGTTTTACAGTTTCAGGTCTTACATTCAAGTCTCTAATTCATTTTGAGTTTATTTTTGTGTATGATGGCAGATGGTGATCTAGTTTTATTCTTCTGCCTAAGGATAGCTAGTTTTCTGAGGACCATTCAGTAAAGGGACTGTCCTTCCCCCAGTATATGTTGTTGATACCTTTGTCCAAATTCAGTTAGCTATAAATGTATGGATTTATTTTGGGGTCTCTATTCTCTTCCGTTGGTCCATGTGTCTCTTTTTATGCCAGTACCAACCTGTTTTAATTACTATAGCTTTGTAGTATACTTTGAAATTAGGTTGTACTTTGTTCTTTTTGCTCAAGGTTGTTGGGATATCTTAAGTCCATATGAGATGGGGTGAATATTGGAATTGGGGCTTTCCATGACATTCTGCTTCCCACCTCTTTGTAACACTGTTTAAACTAATCCATGTGGCTCTATGTATGGTATTGATAGTCTATATATGTTATTCAATAGTCACCGTTTCATTTTATCATTCATTGGATAGGAGAGGATAGACATGAAACAGATATTTTGTTCATTTTCTATTGTTCATGTATTCTTTTTATAAGTTCTTCCAACCGAAAAATAGGAAGGATAAAATGTCCTGGGATGTAAAATTAAAAAGAACCAAATGATTTGTAAGGGAACAAAGCAATAATCAGTGGCTCTAAGATTCTTAAACATTAGATTGATAATTGCAGAACATTATCATCTGCCTCATGATGCATTTTTTGCTTTATTCAACTTGATACAAGTTCCTTCTTTTCCATTTTAGGAATCAATAATCCAGAGGTAGGAGTACATAAACTTCAGTTAATTTAGAGTTCTCAAGTTGACTCTTTCTGTTAATTATTATCAATAAAAGACAGTATGGTCATAGTAGCATGGGTTAAGGTGTTACAACTTCTTTAGATAATACAGTAAAATGAAAAGTACACAAAATAATGGTATCTTTGTTTAATAATTGTAAAAACTCAAAACTAGCAGTAAATGCATGATTTGTTCATTTAAAAATTCAATGTATAATAATCTGAATTAACAGAGAAATGATAGCATTATGGCTGATTTTTAAATTAATAAAAATAATTTACTCTAAGTATTATTTAAATAGTCATCTTTGTGTCTGGAAATATTCTCATCTTTGCAGTGAGCTAGCAGAAGAAAAGTGAGACTTATATGTGTTCTTAGCATCATTTTTGGGTTATCCTTGACATGGGTTTCTTTGGCAACATCTTTCTACAAAAGACTGCCTTTGTAGTCAATTTACTTACAAAAATACTGTGTAATGCTGTACTACTGGTTTTATGTCTTTAGCAAGGAACAAATTCCTCCATCTACCCAATTAAAAATCATCTTTCTTTTTTGCTGAAAATCCTGAAAAAATAAAATGGCTTTTTCATTGGCTCTTTTCAAAGTAATGCATCCCAAATGTCCCAGGAAGAAATGCCAGCTATTTAAGGAATTCTGTCATATTTGAAAAATGAGCCTTTGCCTTAGAACCTCAAAGAAAGGGAAGGACTTGTCACCTACCATTGCCCTTTTGTCATGGTGCTTTTGTATTGTTCATCTTGTTTCTTGTCAACTGCTTTTTAAAATAGTTATTGTAATTACCAAATGACAGTTATAGTTTTAAATAAGGGTGTGGAGCATTGAAAGTCTGTTGCTATACATGAATTGAACTTTTTCTGAAAAATGTATAGTGGTTGTGTTTCATACAAGCAAAAGTATGCATGTGAATTTTGCACATTAAATTTGGTTGAAGCATGTTACCAAAAGTCCTTTTTCTATTTACCTATTTCAAATCATGTATGTATTGAGAACTATGTTAATGAATAATGATTAACAAGCTAAAGTATTAAATTGACTTTGTGCTAATGAAAAATGTCTATCAATGATGACTTTTCTAAACCCGTGGAAGAACAGAAGCCTTGGAAGCATGAAGACTGATGTCCAAAGTCTTGCTCTATCGCTTGTTGACTGTATGATTTTCGGCATGTTACACACGAAGCAATAATTTTCTGCCCCTTGTACCAAACTCCAGGAGGGATTCTTTGACTAGCTGTCACCACATAATTATGCAAATACTGATAACTGTAGTCTCCAAAAATTGGCTCATAATGTTGTAGCCTGGTAAAATGCACAAATTGATAGTCCGAAGTTCTTTCAAATGAAGTGAAGGCCCCAATGACCTATTCTTCTCTCTTAAAAATCATTATTTTAAAACTTCAAAAATTTGTGATAATATCTAAAGTTATTATCCTATTTTTTCCTTCCAGACTATTCACACCCTTGAGCTCCCAGTTAAAAGGTCAAAATTCTAAAAAAATCTTTCCTTTATCTCCACCATCCACCAGCCCCCTTCACCTAGGTCCTCCTCCCCAATAGCACCCTTTGTCATTTATTCACAGTACTTATTATAGTTTTAAAATATGTATGTGTATGAGTATTTGACAAATATCTGTACCCTCCTCTACAAGATTATAAGCTACTTAAGGACAAGGATTACATTCTTTTCCTTGGCTTCTTATCACATCTTAAATGCCTTCCAGAGGGCTGGGTGCATTATCAAAATTCAATAAATTTTTCTTGAGTGAGAAAGCAACTGAATGAATTAATGAATAAAAGTCAATAGCCTTTAGTCAAACTTTGAGATATGAAAGTTTGAGTAAATCCTCAATATGCCATCCCAAAGTATGCCACATTGGCATAAAGATTATTTTAAGCTGAAAGCAATTGAGAAGCAGCATATACAAGAAAAACTCTTTCCCCTCTCCATATTTGCCTAAAAGACATAGATTTATAAAGTGCTTCTCCTCTTTATTTACCAAGAAGGGCAAAGGTTGATCACTGAAGATGACTTTAAACTACAACCATAGTAACCTTATTGTGAAATTAACTATCAAAATATTACATGTCATTATAATATATGCACATATTAATAAAATCCTAAAATTTCCTGAATACTAATGCATGCCTATGAAATCACCCAGATTTTAACACCTTACAAGTTACAAGTTAAAGAGATAGCTAAAACACAGATACCTATTGTGGAAGAATAACACTACTTTTCATTATCTATAATTGTTTCAACCTAAGGAATCTATCTTTCTGGTGCAACTTCCAAAATTTGATCCATTCTCAGGTGAAAAAAATTTCTTTCAACTTTATACCATCTCATTGTAATTTAGGCCCCATCAAAATGCCATACCTACTCCAGAATCTGAAAACTGCACAAATTGTAAAGTATGAAATTAAATTTTAAGCAATTGTCTATAACTTCACCTGTTGCTAATGTAAAATAAGTAAGTCCAAAGTTGAAAAATATGCAAATCTTTTTAAAGGTTATTTCAAAGATCCTATTTACATTTGTAAATATCAAACCATGACTATACTACAGAAACTTCAAGGTTCAAAGAGAATGTGTTTCTGCTTCTAGAACATTTTTAAAGGACCAAAAAGAGGTTTACAGCTTATCCAGAAATCATAATTATTAATAAAATGTTATCAAAAACATGAAAACAAAACAAAAATGAATTTGTTTGTAATATTATACTGCTACATGAAAGAGACCCAACCAAATATTATCTAATTCTTTGGGGAATTTTACCAATTTTTGACTTACTATTTACTATAGCCCAGACTATATAAAGTTAGACTTCTCAAATAATCAGTTGTAAATGAGTTTGGCTGATAAAGATGCAATAATTATTTACTGATAGAAAAGGTAACAATAAAGGGTATAATTTTATTGTTCTGCAGGACATTACTATTCATAAGTTCGTGTCTTCCTAGCAACCTTATTCCACCATTATTTATTCTGGTAACCATACATAATCTACCAATTTTCTTCTGAATCAGCTTTCCCATACTGTGGGTTTCTTCATTAATAAATTAAATAACAATTTGACACATGCTTTTGATATGCTTGAATGCAAATCAAAATCATGTGACAAATTGTAATTTGAATGCTTGAATGTAAATTATAGCTTTTGAAACGTATGCCTTAACACAATTACTACAAAATTTATTTACAATTTAGGCAACTCCAGTGAGTCAAACAAATCACATTAGATCTCTGAATCTAGCTGATCACCTTCTCCCTGCACACACTCCTACCCATTACCCTACTATGGAAGAAATATCATAAGAACGCTAAAAATATTCCTCTCAGCTATGCATACTTTTCTGGAAACGATTGTAGCTAAATTGTTTCTTTCTCCTAAATTAAAGCTGTTAATAGAGCAATCAGTGAGTTCTATATGAAATGAGTAACTAGAAGCATGAATATTCTATCCAACAGACAAATTATTATCAGGAGTACAGAATAAGGACCATGACTGCAATGTCAGAAAATGTGTGAGCCAAACAGTACTTGGAATCCTCTAAGTATTTAAGCTCTGGGGAAACAAATTTGAGATTCTGCACTGTTTTTAAAGTTATTCTGTTGTAGTGACATTTTAATGTTATGATATGCATTGGCATTGTAAACTAGTTGAGATAATTAAAACTATATTAATGATGCCATTAATGAGTAATTATAACCTACACTTAGTGAATAAGAGATAATTGATTGGAAGAGTTTACAAATTTGCATGAACGTAGTTTGTTACAAAAATGGAGTTTTGTATAACAAATTTATTTTAGTCTCAAGTTTACAAATCAACAGTCTTTTATCTGCTAAAAAAGATATTTTGTTATTATAAAGAAACCTCACTGTCTTGATTGGTAAACAGTCTCAGAAAGAAATTCAACTCTGTGACGACAAGATATGCAACAAGTACATATAAACATTTCATTTCAATCATATGACCGGTATAAAATATAAGTAACTATTGTAGCTATCTAACAAAATAAAATGACTAACTGAAGGCTTGACTTCAGAAAGCTCCTATGTCAGCAATCCCCCATTTCTTCAATATTATGCATTAATAACCATTAGTCTAGCTGGAAATGATAGACTCTGCTTCCAGTAATTTTCTACCCAAATCAAATTTAAGAATATAGGCATATAATTTTCCAATTCTATAGCTCACTGTTAAAAAATCTGTTTCACATAAAATAACAGACACAGGCACATGTGTGTGTAGGTGTCAAAATGTTACTATCAGGAATGCAACAAAAGAGATACAATCATGGAAAACCACATTGATTTATGAGATAAAACATTTTACAAAATTTAGCACTTCACAAAGCTACTAAGCTTCCAAAAGGAAAAGTCTTATTCTGTTTTTCTACAAATGGGTATTTAGCCAACAGAGCAAGAAATCATATATTTTCTATAATTTCATAAACATTTTATTTCTATATTATCCATATATCAAATATAAATATTATATTACCACACGTACATGTAAGCGTATTCTTTTTACTTGTCTGGATAGAATATCATTTGAAGATAACTCTTGTGAAGACATTCACCTCCCCTCCTTTTCTGCACCAGAAGCTCCTAGCCTAAAATTCTTGCTCTGATTTTTTTTGTCCCTTTCCTAACCCTGCCTATTTCTTTCATGTATCAGTCCTCTACCAATTTCAAAGGAATGTAGATGAATCACTCAGGGAGACAGAGAAGAATGAGAATCAAGTCCAAGGGCACTGAAGAATTTACTGGAATAACAAGTCAAACATGGAAAGAAGAATTAAAACTTTTCTTTTCTTAGCAAGTGTATGGAAGAGACTAAACATGTGCCAGTAGGTACTGTCAAATCTTATTAAAGCAGTCTTAATTAATTTGCTATTTATAGGCAAATAAAGACTAAAAGAAAGTTTACCTTTGCATGACGCCTAAGAAAATGGATTCAACTAGCAAATGAGTAGAATGAACAAGATTAGAAGACATTCAAAAGGCAAACTTCTTTCAAGCACATCAATAACATCTACCTTTTCCTATGATGTTCTTTACCAGTAAGTGCAGCATGCCAATGACCAACCTTGCTAACCTGCTGCTTTGATGTGTAAATCATAAATCAATCACCATTATTCACTCATTAAAGCAGGACCTTAACAAGGCAATCATCTGTTTCCATGTGCTATGGTTTGAATGTGCCCCCTACAGTTTATGTGTTGGAAATTTCACCTTTAACGCAACATGGTTGGGAAGTGGGGCCTAATAAGAGGTGATTAGCTCATGAGGGCCCTGTCCACATGAAATGATTAATGACCTTATCACGGGAGTGGGCTCATTTTCTTGAATGGACTTGTTATGAACATGAAGGCAGCCCCTTCTTGCTTTCTCTCCTTCCCTTGCCCTTTCCACCATGGGATGATGCAGCAAGAAGGCCCTTGCCAGATGTGGGCCCCCTGACCTTGACCTTCCCAGCCTCCAGAACTTTAAGATATAAATTTATTTTATTTAAAAATTACCCAATCTGTGGTATTCTGTTATAGCAAAACAAAACAGATTAAGATACTATGTGATTGTGAGCCCTCATCTAAGTAGTATGCAGTTTAAACTTTTTAAATGATGAGGTCTAAATGCAAAATGCTTTTAATAGAAGTCCTAAGACAATATATTAAACGTTTTGTAAGAGATTTTAGAAATACATTTTTCACAATCTACTATTATAAAAACACTCAAAAATAATTAAAAATATAATAAGAAAGATAAAATCTCGATGAAACTACCTAACCCTGTGGTTTTGGTGATTATCATATTATGTCTTTTCATATACAGGCAAATAATCTGCAATTCTAAAATAAAAAAAATCAAAAACAAAATTTTAATATAACCCATTTGTGATAAATCCTGAAAAGTCCTGACATGAACTTATATATAGTCATCATTTTTTGTTAATGCAAATTAACATTTAATATTTAACAACAGAAATATTAATGTTTTATTATGGTGTGCTGCCCTAAGCACTTCTTGACATGCTAAATTACAAGATTACCTTTCTAAAGTAAAAAATGTACAGAATTTTGAAAAATATTTGGTCCCAGTGATTTCAGATAAGGGATCATGAGATGATATATGATGATCTGATATATAATTTTACATAATTTAAACTTTTTTTATTTTCCAGGGTTATTTATACTTGTCTTAGCTAACTTTTGGAAAGTCTTTATCTAACACAAGAAAATTAAAATTTTAACCCTATGAAAATATATCACTTCAGAATATATTTAAATTTAGTCATTAAAAGTATTTATGTCATTATTATACAATAAAAAAAACATGAGAAGTTTTCAGTGTTAGAAAAATATTTTAACCATAGATCTACAAATATGAACCCTGAATAAACTGGAAATCTAGTAGCAACCCAGTCATTCTTCAGATTAAAATCTAAGACTCCATAAAACACTTGATTATTGCTTTATTTAAAAAACATGGATCAGGATAAAAAAATACAGCAGTTTTTGCAATAATGGTGGCATAAAAAGTTCTGGCAATTTATCCATCAGATGATAATTTTAAAACTTGAGCAGTCACATTAAAAATAGAATTTGAAGGCAATAGAAAATGACCAAAATAGGAAGAAACAAAAGACATTTTATTTTGTTAAGTAAGAATTGTGGGTTTATATCTTTTTAGCCTAAGAGCACTCTACAATTCACTCAGCTGTGACACTGGAAAACTACAGCCTTATCACTTCAATTGAATATTGAATATGATAAAGTTTGTGGCATCAAAGCAGATGAATAAAATGTTTAAGGAATATATTCTAGAAGCAAGAAAATCTCAGAAGAGCTGAGGTAAAAAATCTGGGTACAACCCCACCCACTCTTCCATTTTCACCTCAACCTTCTACCCCTCATCATGATCTTTCTGGCTGAATGTTAAAATATATATTTGCACAGGAAACCCAGAGAGCTTAGCAATAAGGAAGGCAAAAAGACAGGATGGTCAACCCCTTGAAGAGACAGACGTGTTTCTGGTTAGATATGCAAGTTTTTGTGTTTTGGACCCACTGAGATCTCCAATCAGCACACAGCTCAGGCAACAAAGATATGAAGAGGTTCTAGCTTAAGATAAAAAGGACTGAGTGGTAAAGCAATTGGGCCTCTGGGGAGGTCATCCAGAAGCAAGGAAATCACACAAGGAGGTAAGCTTCAATATGTTAAATATGAACTCTGACCAATTTATGGCTCACCCCTGAAGCATCCAGACACAGAAGAGATCCCCCAGGGAGCAGGCTAGCAGAGCAGGACAAGGAAACTAAGAACACTGAGCAGAGACCAACCCTTCTACAGATAGGGGAAGGGGGTGAAGAGGAAGAGCTTTTACAACGTGCATCAAAATAAGATGGCTTTCTTCTAGAAAATCAAAAACTCCTCCAAAGAGCACCACTGAATTCAATTACTGCAATGTGTTTTCTACACAGCCCAGTTTTCAATCAAAAATTAGTAAATGACTAGACATTCAAAAAACACAAAAGCATTATCCATATTCAGGAAAATACCACAAGCTATGAAAACAGACTAATACTGTATCCAACTGTTAGATACAGCAAAGACTTCAGGACAGACTTTATCAATACGTTAAAAGAACTAAAGGAAAATATTGTATTAATGAGCAAACCAATAAGGAATCTAACAGAGAAACTGAAACTATAAAAATAAACAAAATGAAAAATTTTAGAGATGAAAGTACAATATCTGACATGGAAAATTCATAAATACCAAATTTAGATGACAGAATCATCAGTGAACATGAAGATAGATCAATAGAAATTAGCCAATTTAATGAACAGATAGAAGATTTAAAAAAATGGGTCATGTTTCATAAACCTGTTGGAAACTATTGAAACATTAATAAAACACCTAAGTGCAGTCCTATCAGGACAGTATAGAAAAAGAAGTGAAAAAATCTTTTGAAGAAATAATTGTTGCAAATTTTGTAAGTGGAAAACATTATGTTGCTGACTGATGCAAGAAGTGCCATTACCCTCATGTAAGATAAACATACATGCATCCAAACAGACACACACACAAAAACACACTTAGTCACATCATAATCAAAGTGCTAAAAGCTAAATATGAAAAGAAAATCTTGACAGCAGCAAGAGGAAAAACAACTTATTATAGGAAAATAATGACATCCTAATCTGTTGTCTTCTAATTCAAAACAATATAGGCCATAAGATATTGGAATAAAGAAGTCAAAGTGCTAAACAACAACAAAAAAATCAGCCCAGAATTCAATATCCAGTGGAAATGAAGATTAAATGAAAGTATTTTTAATATGAATAAAAACTGGGAAAAATATTTCTAGTAGACCCACACTATAGAAAAGAATGCTAGAAGAAGATTTTTAGGATGAAGAAAAATGACACCAGATGGTCATTCTGATATATAAGAAATAAAACATACCAGAAATAGGAAATATGTGGGTACAAAATAAAGACTCTCTCTCTCTATATATAATATATATTTCATGTATATAATATATAATATACAATATGTATATATATAGTACACAGATATATAATATATAACATATTACCTATGAATGAATATGTAATATTTTATATATTACATATGAACATGTAATATTTTATATATTACATATGAAAAGCATATTAAATGCATATAATATATAATATACATGTAATATATATTATACACGTAATATACATGTAATATATATTATACACGTAATATACATGTAATATATATTATACACGTAATATACATGTAATATATATTATACACGTAATATACATGTAATATATATTATACACGTAATATACATGTAATATATATTATACACGTAATATACATGTAATATATATTATACACGTAATATACATGTAATATATATTATACACGTAATATACATGTAATATATATTATACACGTAATATACATGTAATATATATTATACACGTAATATACATGTAATATATATTATACACGTAATATACATGTAATATATATTATACACGTAATATACATGTAATATATATTATACACGTAATATACATGTAATATATATTATACACGTAATATATATGTAATATATATTATACACGTAATATATATGTAATATATATTATGTATTATATATATTTTATACATTATATTGTATATATTATATACAGGTAATATACTATGTATTTTATATATAATATATAAATATATTACATGTATTATGTATTTTATATATATTTATATATTTATGTCTACAAAGTTGCATAAACAGAGAAATAAAGAAAATAGAATATGAAAAATGATAAAAACAATGAAATAAAGCTGAATGATAAATATTATAAACAACTTTATGATAATTCTATGACTTAGACGAAATGAACTAATTCTTTGAAAGATACAAATTCCTTCAAGGTTCAGTCAGGAAGAAATAGATAACTTAGCCCTATATCTACCAAAAAAAATTTAATTCTTAGGAAAACTCTAGGGCCAAATGAATTATCCGATGAATTTTATCAAATATTTACAGGAGAAGTAATACCGATCTTGTAAAAAAAAAAAAAAAAAAATCTGTCAGAAAAATAGAGGAGGAAGCATTTCCCAATGTATTTTAAGGGGCTAGAATCACTGTGATACCAAAACAGGCAAAGATATCAAAGGTACATAAAACTACAAGCCAGTTTTCTCCAGGAACGGAGATATCAAAATCAACAAAAATCGAATTGAAATCAGCAATACGCACACACACACACACACACACATACAGAAATGTACATATGCAAATGTATACTTATTTATATTTTTGCTTACTTGAAAAATAAAATATTGCCTGATTTTTATATATCAATATATATGGTAATTTATATTACTCTACAGTAGCTAAACACTTTGAACAGAACACTTTATTCCCTGCATTTATGTAGCACTTAGCACATGATCACTACTTAATAACTTGAATTGAGCAATCAAAATCATTTACTGTTCAAATGTCCTTGTCAATATTCTCACCACAAACACTCGCATACAAACATACCTATATACATACAAAGAACTAATATCCTGTGACCTTTGACATCTGCAACCTAAAACATATCTTCAAGATTTTTTTTTTTTTGATAGCCAAGGTTATTTTTAGAAAACTGGTCTGGGAACCATAAAATTTATTCTTATACAATGCTAGCGTCCTTTCTACAATGGTAAAACACAGCCAGTTTTTATAAAGATAAAATGTTTATGTTTTCATTTAATAATACTTAAAATTTAGGCCGGCTCTGGCACCTCATGTCCTTCTAGGTCACAAGAGTGCACTGGTGAGTGGGCACTGGCCCGGTGGGCAGTGAGCCAGGCTCCTGCAGCAGCTGACTCCACAGCAACGCCCTTTTCCTGCTGGTACCAGAACCCAAGCTGTGCATGGTGGTAGATTGCCCACACCCAACTTAGTTCCCCAACCTGCTGAGGATGCCCGGGCCTGTGCCCTTGCACTTTGTGTGGCCATCGTGGCCAGTGCTGCCTCAGAGCCCTGGGAACAAAGCAGCACATGGCATGGAGAGTGGCAGAAGCCTGTTACTGCACTGGCTGTAGTGGACAGACAAGAAGCTCCTGCTGTCAGCCACCCAGGGCATCAAGTTGTGGCACGAGCCGCAGAGACCCATTGTGAAGAGCCTGGTGCCCACCAACTGCTGCCACTCCAGCTGTGTGGTGGAAACCAAGTTGGCAGCATTCAGCAGAAAGCCCTGCCATCTTCCATGAGAACAGGCCCATATTAGCCTACTAGAGGAGGAGATACCACATGAAGAAGAACCCACGTGCTTTAGTTAACAGCCAGCTCACCCTTAGGAGAACCTGCTAGTGCACCAGCAGCTGACCACACATGCCAGAAGGAGCCCAGCTGACACCAGAAGAATAGCCCAACCGAGCCCAGCCTAAATTGCTGACCAGCTCAATCATGAGCTAATATGTTTTAGGTGGGTTGTCATGCGCTAACATGTGTTTTAGGTGGTTTGTTATGCACTAACATGTTTTAGGTGGTTTGTTATGCACTAACACACACATACGTCTACTACAGACAGGATGCCAGGATTCAAAGAAAGGTTGATTCCTAGTTACCCGCGAACAGTAGGCACCCTATAGGTTCTGATTTTCTTTTCCCCTTAAACTTGGATCTCTTGTTAGATGGTGTTGAGTTATATAGAAATGCATGTAGGCATGTATGCATGTGACTGGTGTTTAAATTCACATAATCCCTCACACCACAGAAGGAAACAGGCAACCACAGTTTGACCATTAAGGTCAAGGCCAAATTACAAAATAATAAGTTTGTCTTTCATCTATTCCCTTCGTATCTAAATGTTGGAGGTCAAGGCTGTGGACAGATCTGAAAACACAGGATTCCATCCTCCTGGAGCGCATTGTCATTTGTTCACTGTCTTATCTCCAAAAGAAAGATGGGTAGCAGGTGGGCAGCAGTGGTCTACCTGTGGACACTTCCTGCTTGCAGCCTCCTGCTCTCTCTAGGGTCACTACCTCTCCCAACAAGGGGCCTGAGGAGAGATGTTGGTAGGGAGGAGCTGTTCCCTCACCTCTGGAAGAAAAGGACCTCCCTGAGGCCAGGGGAGTCAGCGTCCTCAGAACTGCACTTTTATGTGGAAGCCACTGGCCATATGTGGCTACTGAGTATATGGAATGTGGCTGGTCTGAACTGAGATGTGCTGGGAAGGTAAAACAGAGCGTGTTTCAAAGTTTTAGCACCAAAAGTTATATATTTCATAAACAATTACATATTGATCATATATTAAAATGACAATACGTTTAGTATATTGGGTTAAATCTATTATAATCAATTTATCAATTTTTTAAAAAATAAAAATTTAAATAAAATAAATACAAAATGAGCAGGCAAGGTGAGAAAGGAAAGCTTAGTTCCCAACTACCCACTCTTCACAGTACTTTCCACTCATCTTTCCCTTGTGGATACTAAGACCTTCAGAGGAAACAGAACTTGAGAGCCTTCAGAGAGGTGATCCATCAGATCTCACAATCTGACTTGGAAAGACAGATCAAGAGAGTTTGGAATACATTAATCGTAAAATTCTGAAATTGCAATATTAGGTATCTCATAATGAACGCAAAGGAGTAGTATTTAATGGTATCTTTTTTCCTTTTTAAAAATGTTCGACTATGTCTTTAGTACATAGAACAGCTCATAGTGTCTAGCTCATGTTGAAAGGATCTACAAGTCTTAGATCCTCATTGAACCTTCTATCTAAATCAGAAGTCCTAATATTCACATGTTATTAAGCCCATTGCTTGTTTCCTTCAGTTTACAAGTTTTTATAACCTCTTTGAGGGCAGGCTTGTATCTCTAGTTTAATTACTGTGTCTCCGGCACCCAGCGCTGTTCCTGAAACAATAGCTCTTTAATAAATATCTAACGTTGAGGGCATTATTAATGTATCCAGAGAAGCTGAATTCTCTAATAAGCACATAAAGGAACTTTGTACCAACAAAGCTGTAAATAACAGGACAAAAATATATAGGTGCTATAATAGCTATGTAAGAAGCAAATAGCATAGAGTTGCAGAAAGTAACTTCTGCAACCAAATGGACATTTTAAAAAACAAAGCATTCTGGAAAAGCAGGATTGTTAATTGACAGAGGGAAAAAAAGGAATGATTTGGTCCCGATTTTGTTTTTATCTTCTCTGATAAGGAAAGTATCCTAAAATGATAACTGAGAGAGTAAAACAAGTATTTGCAAAAGGAAATTAAAACCCCGGATAGCTAAGAAAATTACAACAGAGCTTACTGTTGCTACTTTAAATGAGTTTACATCTCTTGTCTTAAATGAGTTACATTCTTGTTTACTAAGGGACTCTGTAAATGAGATTGCCAGGGAAATATAAAGTTAGAATAACTGGCCAACAATAGATCGGGAAAGTTATTTAAAATGACTAAAGGGCTTGATCTTTATATCAGGTAAATGTATACAATGGAAAATATAAAGGATAGCTTGTGAACACTTACAATGGAAAGCATGGCTTGCTTTAGGCCAACATAGCTTAATAAATGGCATTTAATTGAAGTAGTTACTTTTCCTTATGTTGAAGTATTTTTAAGCAATATAATGCCATTCCACCCCTATGTATTTAGTATGAATCTTTAAATAGAAGGGCATTTTCTTATATGACAGTGCTATTATTGCACTAACAAAATTAATATTGCTTGCTGTATTATTTATTGTCAGTTGACAAATTACCACAAATTTAGTGGCTTAAAAAATACTTATTGTTTTATTTCACGTTTTTTTCTTTTTTGACTTTTATTTGATGTTCAGGGGTACATGTGCTTGTTATATAGGTAAACTGCATGTCATGAGAATTTGGTATACAGATGATTTCATCGCCCAGGTAATAAGAAAAGGACCCTATAGGTATTTTTTCTGATCCTCTCCCTCCTCCCACCCTCTGCTTCCAGTAGGCCCCAGTGTCTGTTGTTCCCTTTTGTGTCTATGTGATCTCCTTATTTAGCTACCACTTATTAAGTGAGAACATGTGATATTTGGTTTTCTGTTCCTCCATTAGTTTGCTTAGGATAACGGCCTCCAGCTCCATCCATGTTGCTGCAAAGGACATGAAGGACGTGATCTCATTTTTTTATGGTTGCTTAGTATTTCATAGTATGTACGTATCATATTTTCTTTATCTAATCTATCATTGATGGGTATTTAGGTCGATTCCATGTCTTTGCTGTAAATAGTGCTGCAGTGAACACATACGTTCTTTATGTGTCTTTATGGTAGAACTATTTACATTCTTCTGGGTATATACACAATAATGAGATTGCTGGGTTGAATGGTAATTTTTTTTTTGAAGTTCTTTGAGGAATTGCCACACGGCATTCCACAATGGCTAAACTAATTTACATTCCCACTGGCAGTGTGTAAGTGTTCCCTTTTCTCTGCAACCTCGCCAACATCTGTTGTTCTTCGATTTTTTAATAATAGCCATTCTGACTGGTATGAGATGGTATCTCATTGTGGTTTTGATTTGCATTTCTCTAATGGTTAGTGATGTTGAGCATTTTTTCACATGCTTGTTGGCCACATGTATATCTTCTTTTGAAAAGTGTCTGTTCATGTCCTTTGCTCATTTTTTAATGGGGTTGTTTGTATTTTTCTTATAAATTTACATTCCTTATCGATTCTAGATATTAGACCTTTGTCAGATACATAGTTTGCAAAAAATTTATCCCATTCTAGAGGTTGTGTGTTTACTCTGTTGATAGTTTTTGCTGTGTAGAGACTGTTTAATTAAGTCCCATTTCTCAATTTTTTTGTGTCTCAGTTTCTAAAGGGCAAAAATCTGTCATGGCTGCTCAGACTCTCATACTCAAGGTGTAGACTGGCTGTGCCCCCACCTGAGGATTTCAGGAAGAACCCACTTCCCAGTTCATTCAGGTTATTGGCAAAATATAGTACCTTGTGTTTGTAGGACTCAGGTTTCATTTCCTGACTGTCAACCAGTATGGACTCTCATTTTCTCAGCCACTCATGGTTCCTTGCTCTGGGTTTCTTCAGATGCCCTCTCCTGGGCTCTCACATCACTGTGATCACCATGGGCATGAATCCCTCTCTTGGATTCCTCTCAACTTCAACTCCCTCTGACTTTTCCCTCTGCTCTGGACCAGAGAAAAGTTCTCTTCTTTTAAGTGGTTTGTGAGATTATGCTAGGCCCACCCAAATCATCTCCTTTTCCTAACATAATGACAGGAGTAACACAAGGAGCAAGGGTCAAGAAGTCATCTTAAAATTCTGCTTCCACACTTGATGATGTCAAATACACACTCTATATCAAATGCTTCCATTTTATTTTTCTGTGAGTTCATTTGAATTGGGATCCAAACAAATTCCATGTACCGTGTTTTGTTGTTAAGTATCTCAAACCTCTTTTAATACAAAGCAGTGCCCTATTTTATCCATACTTCTGACTTGTTAAAGAGATTGGGTCAGGTATTTTCTGGAATATTTTACATTGTAGATTTGCCTGTTTGCTTCCTTATATTTTTAATTGCTATTTGGTTCCAGTATTTCCTATAAATTGAAAGTGAGTTCTAAAAGCTTGATGATACTGTTGTAACCATATTTCAGCTCAGGAGTTACTGTATATTTCATATTGCATCATATCAAGTGGAATCTAACATCTAATCTATGAAAATCAAGATAAACTAGTAGCTTCTAATATGGAAAGCCTGACTCACTCACTGTAAAATTCCCATTAACATTTCACCCAATGATGTATCTGTTGATGGTCAAGGTTAAAGCCAAAATGGTGATTTTCTAATTTGAACATTTCTTCCATATTAGATGAAATTTTTCTGTAAAGAAGACTTTTCCTAATCAACTAAATTATGTTGCCACTCTGACAAACAATTCTTACAGAAAAGTGAAGGCAAATGCTTAAGTTTTTTTTTCATATAATTGCCAAATTTTTAAGCAAAGACTTAGTATTCTTATTACCTCCAATAGTAGCCAATACAATTTTAGTTTCCTTTGTGTGGTTTTTTTTTTTTTTTTTTTTTTTGAGAAGGAGTCTCACTCTGTCACCCAGGCTGGAGTGCAGTGGCGCAATCTCGGCTCACTGCAAGCTCCGCCTCCTGGGTTCACGCCATTCTCCTGCCTCAGCCTCCAGAGTAGCTGGGACTACAGGCGCCCACCACCACACCCGGCTAATTTTTTGTATTTTTAGTAGAGATGGGATTTCACAATGTTAGCCAGGATGGTCTTGAACTCCTGACCTTGTGATCTGCCTGCCTCAGCCTCCCAAAGTGCTGGGATTACAGGCATGAGCCACCACACCCGGCCTTTTAGTTTCCTTTTATTTCGTTTTCCTCTTTATTTTTGAGTATCATTTAATTGTAGAAAGATGTTTTTTCATTTTCTAACAATTGAGTTTTTGCCCCCAATTAATCTTTAATGGAATTCTTCCTTTCTGGCACAACAAAGTACCCTACTGTTCTGGTATAATATGTTTTACCATATTATAGTCTGTGTTCCCTTTTATCTTCAAAAAAATGTTGATATTAGAATGGTTGGAATATTTTCTCCAAATATATGACCCTTATTCCTTTCTTTCTTTAAAAATATTTTCTATCAATTTACCACAACAAATTATTTTTAATGTATCATTATACCACTACCACATTAGTGTTAATGTTTGTGATCATAATCAAAATTAACTTTTTGATTAATTAGCTACAAAGATTAACTACTTGATTCATTAGCTACAAAGGATATATTTTTACTTCCCAGGAATACTTACAATGTAATTTACCAAATTATTATAATTTCTACTTGCTCTGCCACTTATTCTTCAAATTTTGTTATTTCTCTTTTTCTCTGCCTATAGGTCCTATATTAATCTTTCATCTTCATCCCATCATTTAGTTCTGCAGTTAAATATACTAAGTGTTTATCTCCAAAACGTACACCAAAGTTTCTGTTTTCATTTTGTGATTGGCTGAAACTCATTCCAAGTACAGCCCTTGGGATGGTCTCAGATGAAATCCATTGAGTTCTTGTTTGTTTCTTTATGATCTTTATACACAAAGTTTACATTTTGCCTAGATATAAAATCTTTGCTTCACATTTTTTCCCTTTGCATACTGTATTAGTCTGTTCTGACACTGCTACAAAGAGCTACCTGAGACTGGGTAATTTATAAAGAAAACAGGTTTAATTGACTTAAGAGTTCCACATGGCTGGGGGAGCCTCAGGAAACTTACAGTCATGACAGAAGGGGAAATAGAAGCAAGGCACATCTTACATGGTGGCAGGAGAGAGACAAAGTCAGGGGGGAAGTGCTATGCTTTTAAACCATCAGATCTCATGAGAACTCACACACCTTCCATCAAGTCCCTCCCTAACACAAGGGGATTACAATTCAAGAGGATATTTGAGTGAGGATGCAGAGCCAAACCATATCACATACCTTACAAAAGGGTTGCTCTATTTGGTTCTAGCATAGCACTTTTGATATTTTACTTATAAGTTACTCGATTTTGACAGGAAATCTGAAGATTTTTTAAAAAACTATAATGTCCAGTATTTCTCCATATTGATCGGTCTGAAATAATATTCTAAATTACTAGATATCTCTGTCAATATGTAGATTAGATTTTATTTCAGGAAATTTTTCTTGAATTATAGTTTTAAATAATTTTCCTATTTCAGTATTTTACATTTTCTCTTTGGAGTATTCCAAGCATAGATACACTACTCTTTCCCTCTCCTCCATGTCTTTCTTATCCGAGTTTCTTTAGCATTTTTTAATTTTTTTGTTACATTTCCCATTTTCTTCACTTTTTCCATTTCTTTATTACATTTATATTACTGTGATTTTTATAGTCTTTTGATTCTTGTATTCCTTTTCAATCTCCATTTTAGTAATGTTTCTTTTATCTTTCTATTCCTTTCCTGAGTAGTTTTCACATTCCTCTGTAGTCTAATGAAATTACTACCTGTCCTATTTGCAATTTCCATTATCATTATTTCATTTTTTTACTTTAATCTTTTATCTGATTTTGAAATATTGGATTATAATTATTTTGTACCATATTTTTGGGGCAGTTCATAACATCTTGTTATGTTATTTAGTTGTTCTTATTTTTTCTTATAATACTTGTGACTGAAGTTGTGTTATATATGTTTTTTATTTTCTTTAGTTTTGTATATGTAAATAAGATGGATTTTATTGGATTATTAGAGACAGTACAATGATGGACTAAGTGCTTTTCTTAGCTTTCAGGCTCACGTATTCTCCCTTCCCCTATTTTTTTTTGTTTGATTTGTTCTGTTTTTTGTTTGTTTTGGGGTGTTTTGTTTTTGAGATAGGTCTTCCTCTGTCATTCAGGCTGGAGTACAGTGACATGATCATGACTCACTGCAGCCTAATCTCGCTGGGCTCTGATGATCCTCCCATCTCAGCCTCCCAAGTAGCTGGGACTAAAGGCATGTGCTACCACACCCAGCTAATTTTTGTATTTTTTGTAGAGACAGGGTTTTACCATATTGCCCAGGCTGGTGTTGAACTCTTGGCCTCAAGTGATCCCTCCCACCTCAGCCTCCAGTGTGTTTGGGACTATAGGTGTGTGTCACCACACCCAGCCTTATCTGTTTTTTTTTTTTTTTTTTTTTGAAGAATTCAAAGTATGCTCTCTGTATAGTACCTTATCTACCTTTCAGAGAGAAGATTGACTCAAAAGCATTTAATCCCCAAACTTGGGATTTTCAGGCCTCAAAGCATTGACTTCTAGGTAGTACTTATTCCTTGAATGTAGCATTTTATTGATATGAGCTTTTGGGAATCTACTTCTCAATTCCTCTGAAACCTCTTTCATTTGCATAGGGTGTTTTCATTTGCAGAGGTCAATTTGCATTTTGCTCCTCACATTTCCCTATAAGGTGAGGCTCTGTTCTTCTTATAGGGAATATTCCCTAGATTTCTTTTTTCAAACCAGTAATTACTCAATGGTTGTGGCACTGTTTGACACTCTTACTAACCACATATACGAATTATTCATATTTTCCCATTGCCCACATTTTCTCTCAGATGTGACAATTGACAAAAATGTTGTCAAGTACCAAACAGGATGGGTACATTCTAGGTTCATCTCACATAAAGCATCACTTTTTCTTTCCTATTCTGTCTGCTCTTTCCACAAAGTTGCTGATGGACTGCAGATTATTATTATTGGGTGAACCCACGCTAGTTCTGGCATTCCCATGTATGATGATTTTAGAAATATGGCCCAAAATTCCAAAACTCTCATCCAATTGAGAGGTAGGTTTCTAAGTTCCTTAAATTTGGTTGGACTTTGACTGCTTTGACCAACAGAGTGCAGAGGAAGTGATGCCGCATGACTGCTAACCCTAAGTCAGAAAACGCCATGACTTCTAACGCTACGCTACGAAGCTGGAAAGGCCAAGAGTAGGTAAACCAGTTGACTGGTCCAGCTTACCCCAGGTTTGCTTCCATTCCCAGCAAGGAACCCAATGAATAAATGAAGCCATTTTAAATGCTTCAGACCAGCCCATATGCCACCTTTATATCACCAAGCAACTTCTGTTGATGCTACATTAAGTAAGAGTCACCCAGTTGAACCCTGTCCAAATTCTTAACCTAAAAAATGAGACATAAGAAAATGTTATTTAGTGTCACTAAATTTTGGTTTATTGCATAGAAATAGATAATTGAAACATGGTTTTGCACCTGCAAGTAGGGAGCTGCTGTAACAAACTCTCACATGTGTGTCATTGGTTTGGGAACAGTAATGGGTAGAGAAGGAAATGTATTTAATGAACCTGATGATCTAGTTAAGGAGATTTCCAGACAGATTCTTGAAGGTATCACCATCTGGTGCCTTCTAGTTGCCTGTTATATAATGTGAGAAAAAGTACCTAACCAAAAAACAAACTTTTAACTTTTGAATTAACATTTGGAAAAAACGTAGATGTTCTAAGCTAGTCTTCAGTGTTGTTTTTTTTTTTTTTCCTGTATTCAACTTTTAAGTTCCGGGATACATACGTAGGATGTACAGGTTTGTTACATAGGTAAACATGTGCCATAGTGGTTTGCTACACAGATCAACCCATCACCTAGGTATTAAGCCCAACATCCATTAGCTATTCTTCCTGATCCTCTCCCTTCCTGAACCCCACAATAGGCCCCAGCATGGTTGCTCCCCAACATGTGTCCATATATTCTCATTGTTCAAGTCCCAGTCATAAGTGAGAACATGCGATGTTTGGTTTTCTGTTCCTGCATTACTCTATTACTCTGCTAAGGATAATGGCTTCCAACTCCACCCATGTCCCTGTGAAGGACATAATCTCATTCCTTTTTGTGGCTGCATAGTATTCCATGGTGTACATGTACCACATTTTCTTTATCCAATCTATAATTGATGGACATTTGGGTTGATCTCCTGCCTTTGCTGTTGTGATTAGTGCTGCAATGATCATATGGGTGCATGTATCTTTATAATAGATTGATTTATATTCCTTTGGGTACATACCCAGTAATGGGATTGCTGGGTTAAATCATATATCTGCTTCTAGATCTTTGAAGAATCACCACACTGTCTTCCACAATGTTTGAACTAATTTACACTCCCACTGACAGTATAAAAATGTTCCTTTTTATCTACAATCTCACCAGCATCTTTTTTCTTGACTTTTTAATGACCACCATTCTGACTGAAGTGAGACGGCATCTCACTGTGGTTTTGATTTGCATTTCTCTAATGATCAGTAATGTTGAGTTTTCATGTTTGTGGGCCACATAAACGTCTTCACACTGCTCAAGGAAATTAGAGAGGACACAAACAAATGGGAAAACATTCCATGCTCATGGACAGGAAGAATAAAGATCATGAAAATGGCCATACTGCCAAAAGTAATTTATAGATTCAATGCTATTCTCATTAAACTACCATTGATATTTTTCACAGAATTAGAAAGACTATTTTAAAATTCATATGGAACCAAAAAAGAGCCTGAATAGCCAAGACAACCCTAACAAAAAGAACAAAGCTGGAGGCATCATGCTACCCTACTTCAAACTATACTATAAGGCTACAGTAACCAAAACAGCATGGTACTGGTAAGGAAACAAACACAGACCAATGGAACAGAATAGAGACTCAAATAAAACCACACACCTATAATCATCTGATATGTGATGAACCTGATAAAAATAAGCAATGGGGAAAGGACTTCCTATTTAATAAATGGTGCTGGGAAAACTGGCTAGCTAACATGCAGAAAATTGAAACTGGACCCTTTCTTTAAATCTTATACAAAAATTAACTCAAGATGGATTAAAGACTTAAATGTAAAACCCAAAACTATAAAAACCCTAGAAGAAAATCTAGGCAATACCATTCAGGACACAAGCATGGGCAAAGATTTCATGATGAAAACACCAAAAGCAACTGCAACAAAAGCAAAAATTGACAAATGGGATCTAATTAAACTAAAGAGCTTCTGCATAACAAAAGAAACTACCATCAGAGTGAAAAGACAGAATAAGAGAAAATTTTTGCAATCTATCCATCAGACAAAGTCTGATATCCAGAGTCTACAAGGAACTTAAATTTATTAGAAAAAATAACTCCATTAAAAAGTGGACAAATGACATCAACAGTCTATTATACCAGCAAAATAGTTTCAAAAAAATAAATGGCCTCAGAGCAAGACTTCTCAGCCTCATCATCAGTGACATTTTGGGATGGTCAGTTATTTGTTGGTGCAGGGAAGTTATCCCACACATTGTTTATGTTAAACAAAAGTTTTGACTTCTACCCACCAGATGACAATGAAACTGGTCCAATTGTTCCATATAACTGATGTTTATGGTTTCTTTTGAATCAACATAGAAATTGACCCACTCAGTCTTAAAACTTGAGAAACTTACATTTGTCTTATCTGAGTCCTTTTCTCAGGAAACTAACCATCAGTTTTCCCAGATAATCTCAAGGAACTGAATCTTACCAGACAACCACATGTGGACAATGAGATGCCAGATGCCTCACCGTGTCATGATTTACCAACTGGCCACCTGCTGTCTGATGACCAAATCCTCTTTCTTACCTTTCCCAAATTCCTGTTTTCCACACATAGTTACATTTTTTTTCCTGCTATAAGAAAGCCTAATTTTACTTGGTTGAGGTGATGATCTTGAGCCAGACCTTTCATTCTCCTTGGCTGCAGCACCCAAAAAAGCCTTCTTCCTTGGCACTGTCTCAGTGATTGGCTTTCTGTGCATTGAGCAATGGGACCTAGAACTAACCCACAGCATTTCAGTAAACAGCAGCACCTCTCCATTTGTGAAAACTAAAAATGTATCTTGACATTGACAAATGCTGCCTCCATCCATTAAGGACCACTGTCATAGAGCAAATTTAAATCTAACAACTTCCAGAAATACATGGCCCCAGGAAATCTGGGGGATGCCTTTAAGGTACTTTGTTAACATCTCAGAACTATGTAAGGCAGTGTCCCACATACCAACTCAATAAAACAAAAATGCCCCTAAGAACTTTAACCATATGTCTCTTTATCCTTCTTGGATAGACAATGCTGCTTTCAAGACTCTTAAGGGTATTGTCCCACAGTGGCTTCACCAAGAGCTCAAAACATTCCATGCTCATAGATAGGAGGAATCAATATCATTAAAATGGCCATATTGCCTAAAGTAATTTATAGATTCAATGCTATTCCCATTAAAGACAGAGGAGGTCATGCCTGTAAATCCTAGCACTTTGGGAGGCTGAGGCAGGCAGATCATGAAGTCAGGATTTCGAGATCAGCCTGGCCAACATGGTGAAACCCTGTCTCTACCAAAAATAAAAAAATTAGCCAGGCATGGTGGCACGTGCCAGTAGTCCCAGCTACTAAGGAGGCTGAGACAGGAGAATTGCTTGAACCTGGGAGGCGGAGGTTGCAGTGAGCCGAGATTGCACCACTGCACTCCAGCCTGGGTGACAGAGCGAAACTCCATCTCAAAAAAAAAAAAAAAAAAAAAAAAAAAAAGACAGAGGGGGACTTATATCACAGCTATTCCTAATATTGCTTTGGTCTAATGATATGGATTATAAGTTTATATATTTCAAACAATTTATAAAGTGTTTAAAGTAATTGTACCAACTTGGCATGACAGTACAAGATGGAAACAAGGCCTTTGGGTCTGCAAATTTCTTACGATAGCAAGCCAACTAAGGAAACTACTAATTCCATACATGGAAATGGAAGGAATATGTGACCAGTAGCCACAGAATTACAGGGTAAAAGCAAGAGGCCAAAAGACAAAGACAAACACAGAAAATATTTTCCAGGGAGTATTACTGAGCCCAAATCAAGTAACTGGTAACTGTGTCCAACTGGATTTCAGAATTGTTATGGAACAGTAACTTCTTTGTGTGCTGGTTTCCCTCATTTTCACAGGAATTTCTATAGCAATTAACTTTTACCTGCTCCATTATTGTATATTGGGTATGTATATGGGCACAAGGGTGAATACGGTTAGATATCTGATCTCTCAAAAGTTAACTGGTCTCCAGATTAAGAAGGACTGAATCTGACCAACCTTATCTGCACCTGAACCTAATCTATATAAGATCCTTGACCTCAAGTCTGAGCTGAAGCCATACAAGGATGAGACTTTGGAGAGAGCTTGGGAAGAACTGAATGCATTTTGCATTAGGAAGGAATGTAAATAACTATGGCTACAAACAGATTGTTGTGGTTTTTAAACATTATTGAAAATTCATTGAAACTTCTCCCATGCAAAGGTAGGACCTATGGTCCTCCTCTGTAATATGAAAGGACTTGTGAGTACTTCAACCTATAGAGTTGCCATATGACATCTGAAACTGGGTCATAAAAGACCTTGAAGTTTCTACCCAATTCCCTGGTACAATCTCCCGCAACCCTGAGCCACCAGCCAGGATATCTGACTTGGGGCCCTAAGGCTATCCTGCCGGACAGGCACATGTAGTTCTGCCATCAAATGTGCCAGCAAAGCCAAACCCTCAGCCATGCCTGCCAAGAGGAAAGCTATCTTGGACCCTCTGGACCAGCCCATAGGTGAACTGAGTATCACAGAGTATGCTTTGCTGATGCCATGTCCTATTAAAGAAAAAAGGCACTTTCTACCTAAATGTGTGATTCACAAAATGATGACATGTAATGAAGTAGTCAATGCCTTGTGCCACTAAGTTTTGGGGGTGGTTTCTTCAGCAGCTATAAATAATTAGAACACACCTGAGTCCTGTCACGTCTTTATATTGAAGATGTTTTTGCAGAGTTTTTAATTTTGGTATATATTCTGTGGTCATTCTGCTTAGTTTGCAAGAGGAGTTGTGAGAAAATACAAAATTATGTTACCACCAGTTTCCTGGCATAATCTAAATCCTTTACTCTTAAAAATTATTAATGATTTCAGTAGGGATAAAGATGACAAACCATTCAAATCTGCCAATAATCCAAAGCTAGATACAAAGAGTCAATGTACCAAAGACCCTATACACAGGAAGAACCTTATGAAACAAAATGACAGAATTAATCAAATACAATGAAACTCACAAGAAGAAAACTTAGAAAGAAGGCATTAGTCAGCCATTGATGACTTTAAGAACATTATTTTAATAGATGTTAAAATGGTATTACAGAAGCCACATCTCAATGGAAATAAAATTGAAGTTCTCTGCAAACTTTGATTCTTAGACTTTAGTAATTAGAAGTTATTCATTTATTTGGCAAATGAATGTTTTACAATCACAGGAAATATGCACCAGGAACCATATTAAGTGGTTTATATACAGTATTTCGTGTATATATACAAATTCCTTGAGAAGCAAACATTAAGTCATCTCTTTAAAATAAAGCTAATATATCTAAGACTCAGGAAATAAAGGAACCTGCCTATTGTTGTACATTTTGGAAATATTCAAGCAGGACTGAAACTGAAGGTTCATCAGACTCCAAAATACATACTTTTCCTCTCCATACTATTTTATTTCTCTATTCTGGTGACAAAGACACAGTCCTGGCTCCCTAGGGACAGATCACAAAACCAGCCATTACAGAGCAGTATGATGAATGCTGGAGATGAATGTGAGGCTTATACTCTTAAGGTATAGATGATTACACAAATCCATAATTCTGTTTTTCTGGAAATAGTCTCAGAGGAAGTGAAATTTGACCAACTCTAGTAAGACCAGGAAACCTACAGAGCAGGTGGGGAAAGAGGCAGCCGAGGCACCAGGGTTCCCAGCAAGGAGCTGCAATGTGCAAAGCCATCAAGGCCTGAACAAATTTTATTTAGGAAAGCTGTAGGAAAACGAGCTCTTAAAACAGATTTTTCCAAGAGACAGAGGAGGGCAGGGAGTGGGTGGGCAGGAAGCAGGGTAGGGAAGAGAAGAAATCAACAAATTGATCTGGAAAAGTATATCAGATGTTGGTTTACATAGGCCCCATGTGTAGAAGAAAGGTGTTTGAACTTTCTCCAAAAAGCTACGACAAGCCAAGAAGGAATTTAAACAAGGTCAGAGTCAATGAGATGAGTATCTGAGTACTGATACTCTCAGAAAAAAAAAATCACTTTAGTCTCAGACCAGCTTTTGATACAATCATTATAGCCACAGAGATGAGCATGCTAAGAGTCTTCCTGGAGCTAGGGCTAGGGCTGCAGCTAAAGGCAGACCCCAAGAACCATACTGCTATCCAGTGGAAGCAGGTCATTCTTGCGATGGGTCAAGACGGACTAGTGGTTGGGAAAGCCACTGACCACAAAATTCATCACGTATCCACATGGCTGGATTCCAGGTTTTCATTTTTAAATTTTAGATGTCTTTGGTTGAGCAATAAGATTAACAATCTTTCATTGTTAATATTACCAAAACATTTTTTGCTCTGTCAAGTAAATGTATTACGGTTTCCCAGAAAGACATATTCCAATATAAGAACATCTTTATCATTTTAATTTAGAAACAAATATAGAAACCAGTAGTTATACACACATTATTTAGTTAGACATACACACATGTATGAAGTTTAGTACATGTGAAATATTTATTAAGTCACAAATATTAATAACCTTTCAGTGTATTTCAAGGAAATTAAGTCCAAAAGGCACTGAAGCTAAGGATAAAGAAAATGCACTAAATTATAAATGCATATATTTATTAAAATACAATCATATTAAGAAATAAGCTAATTAGGCCGGGCGCGGTGGCTCACGCCTGTAATCCCAGCACTTTGGGAGGCCGAGGCGGGCGGATCACGAGGTCAGGAGATCGAGACCATCCTGGCTAACACGGTGAAACCCCGTCTCTACTAAAAATACAAAAAATTAGCCGGGCGAGGTGGCGGGCGCCTGTAGTCCCAGCTACTCGGGAGGCTGAGGCAGGAGAATGGCGTGAACCCAGGAGGCAGAGCTTGCAGTGAGCCGAGATCGCACCACTGCACTCCAGCCTGGGCGACAGCGAGACTCCGTCTCAAAAAAAAAAAAAAAAAAAAAAAAAGAAATAAGCTAATTGAATTAGAAATGTCATTATTAAGCTTGCTTGCAACAAAAGTTTACTTGACAACTGAGCAAAAACATTAAGGCCTTGCTGGAGGAAAAGCAAAAATAAAAACACTCAATATTTCTTATAGGGTTTATTGTTGGCTGCAGGACACAGCAATTACATAGGTGGGTTACAAATTCTCCTTAGTTGGGGAACTGAAGTGAATGTGATAAGTTATTTTTATATAATATAACAATAGAGAAGGAAGCCTGAGGAACAGTGTTAATCTAGGATAATCTAATGTAAGAGATGGAGGAAAGAAGATAAAATCTTTAACAAGATAAGAGGCGAAAAGACCTTTAACAAAAGACCTGGATGAGAATGGAACATTCTGTCTAGCAAATCTTTCCCCTGCAGAAATTCCCGTCAAAAGATGAAAGGATTACATGGAGTATATACAAACACCCAAGTACTCTCAGCTCTTTTGAGAATCAAAACAATTCTTACGTTCCCTTAGAAGATGGAAAAATTTACCCTTTCAATTGCATAGTGGCAAAATCAGATTATTTCTCCATCTTTATAGAAACGATAAGCCACATGTATGGAGACAATGTGTGGATTAAGTGATAACTGATTTTAGATGACATCCTGCGGACTCACTCAATTTAAATTACCTTCATAAGGAAGCCATCAATTTGATAAGTCTATATTAAAATATGTCTTAGGGAGATTCAACATGCAACACAGGACAGAAACAAAAAAGAAAGAAAAAGAATAGTTTAAATTTAAGTGTTGAGTAAAAGCCCCAAGTCATCTCACAGTATCTGTATGATCTTGGTAGTGTTACTTAATTTTTCTAACTCGGTTCTTCAGTCATACAATGGCGAGAGTCTTCCTCACACCATGGAATTGTTGTGGTTATTAAATGAAGTAACGTTTTGCAGGAACTCTTATCCTACAATACTGGCTTGGTGGGAGTCTTATTAGTTGTGGTATAAAAATGTACTGACTTCTATATTTCCTAATAATTTCCAGCTATCCTCCATCAGTTCCTTCCCACATCCTAAAAGCAAGCTCCACTCATGTAATTTCAAGCTATTTTTACAAACTGTCTCAATAACATTTGCTGTTAAAGCAGCAGTCAGTCCCAAGTCTTCAGTTTCTGTGGTACTAAATTTCTTTCTCCTCATTATATCCCCAGACTCCCATCCATCTGTCCTCAGAGCAGGTGAGATTCTGATGGCTCTGAGAAGTAGTCAATTTCTCTAATAAACCTCCCATCACTCTGGGCATAGTATTTGCCCCTAAAGCACAAGGGAACTCACTATCTATGGTGAATCCTTTCTGTCATACCTGCCGAGCCAGCTAGGTATCAGGTGGAAGACTGCTTCATCTGTTGACAGACTCATCCAAACAGACTGCCTAGACATTGCTCATCCCGTGTAAGACTTACTCATATTCCCTAGCCAGCACCCTGGCTGGAAACCTCCCATTACATTCTCTGATGCGCTTTCCATTTTTGCTCCAAACTGTGTTGCATTTGTGATAGTTAATTTTTTCTGTCCACTTGGTTAGGCTATGGTGACCAGTTCTTTTGTCAAACACCTGCCTAGATGTTGCTGCAAAGGTATATTATTATGTGATTAATATTTAAATCAGTAGACTTTGATTGAAGCATATTACCCTCCATGATGTGGATGGGTTTTATCTAATCATCTGAAGGCTTTGAGAAAAAAGACTGAGATTTCCAGAAGGAGAAGGAATTCTCAATACTACCACATAGATATCCTGCCTGAGTTTCCAGACAGCCTGCTCTACAGATTTTATACTTTCCAGCCCCCACAATCATGTGAGACAATTCCTTAATATTTCTTTATATGTATCTGAGAGAGAGAGAGAAAGTAAGTATGTGTACACATATGTATTTAAACAGACTGCCTAGGCATTGCTTATCCTATGTAAGATTTACTTATATTCTCTAGCCAGGACCCTGGCTGGATACCTCCCTTTACTTCCTCTGATTCACTTGCCCTTTTGCCCCAGGCTGTGTTGCTCCAGGAGAGAGAGAAAGAAATGTCATTTGGGGATTTTAGTATACATGTATCACCTCATACACACACACACACACACACACACACACACACACACACACACACACATACACACACACACACACACACACACACACACATATATATATGAGGTGATTAGTTCATATGCTAGCTCAGGTCCTCCTTCCTCTTCTTATAAAGCTACTCCTTCCCCTTGGATGATGTCCTATTAATCTATTAACCCATTAATTTTTGAATCCACGAATGAATTAAACCATTCATGAGGGAAGATACCACATGAGCCAATCACCTTAAAAGTCTCAGCTTTCCAAACTATCATATTGGGTCTTAAGTTTCATCGTGAGTTGAAACCTCCCCAGCCCACCTCCTCTTGTAGAAGAGGCCATGTCAATCAGTCAATCAAAGTAGTCATATCTGGCAGAGATATCAAATGCAAGATTAGGAAATAGCATGCTTCTTTCCTCTTTTCAGTTATAAGCAAATATTACAAGTCATTTTTTGGTGTCTTTCTTTGGTGAGTGGAAGGCAAGAGAGAATTCTGATCCTGAGCTCTCAGGATGCTGTCTGACACATAGTAGGTGCTCAATGGAAAAGAAGCTATAATTATTCACAGACATTGTACACCTCCAAAAATGAGAGACTAACAAGGGAGGGGAGGGGAAGAATTAGAAGATGGGATGATGGTGGTAAGGCTAGATCTCTCAACTGGCATATTCCTAAGCCTCTTGGGGAAGAAGTTGGCACCATCACCTGTAGTTCTCAGAACTCAATATATGGAATTGTTAGTATCTTTTTCTGAGTGGTCAATTCCCAGTAAAGAGGGTCCCACTCAGCCCCTAACACCATTGGGTTACACTACCACCTTACATAAAAACAGGATTGCGAAAACAGATAGTAAGCATTTGACCACCAAACACTGAAATAATATGCTTTAATCAAAAGATTATTTGGGTTGAGTTCAGCAGTTCTGGCTTCCAGTTCTATCCATAGCCTTGGAAAAATGACCTTGCCATGTTGCTGTGAGGATCAAGTAGATGCCTTATGCCACAGGGCTTTACAAAGTACCATCCAAGTACTATTCCAAGCAATATTTCCCTTCCTCTTACCAAATAAAAGACTAACTTTTTTGTATTGATCAAAAATTGTGCCTGTGAGAAGTTTTATAATTTCAGCATAGATTCAAAGCTATTTGTGCCTTCAAATCCTGTACAGTGACACTGTTCTTCAACCAGACTCAAAATAAGATCAATGTTTTGACAAATAGTATCCCCATTTGAAATCCTGTAAAGCAGGGCTGCCCTATTGCTTACCTCCCCTTCTTCCATATCCGCATTTGAATAACAGATGTTACATGCAATGAGCTGACTGGGTGATTAACTGGCATTTCTTATAAGTAGACAAGCACTGTCTATACCAACGTTACTGTTTAAGTACCAAAGAAAAGGTGCTGCTTTAAGAAGCAATTAAACTCTCCAGCTAAATGTTGGCAGAAAGAACAATTGAGCATCAATTACTTAAACTATGTTTTCATTCTTCAAATTTTTAAAGGGCAGTGTTAAATGGTTCTACAATGAGTCAGTTCGATATGATTAACTCAGTAATGTCAGGAGAATTGCACTAAGTTCCATTCAAAACTAGAAGTTCTTGGATGGACAAGATTTTTGTCATGAATGCTCTTGACTGCTAACATATTCATTTGAATTATTAATACCAAAATCAATGTTTCAAGTGTAGTATGACAGAGAAACATGTACCCATCTCATGTTAGAAACATATTAAAATTACTTTTGTGATTAAAACATATATATATATGTACGTGTGTGTGTGTATATATATGTCCTATTTTGCTCGTAATCTTTGGACCCACTTCTGTATAACATGTGTTACTTTTAAGCAAGAATATTAATAAGGCTCATTAATATTCAAAGTCAATTGCCAATTCTGGGACCCCCACATCTGAAAACTATAACATATGGTGGCTTGTCTCTTTAATAAAAAATCCTGAAATAGCAATAGTTCAAGTGCTTATAAAAGTCAAATATGAGTCTTCAAACTGTGATTTAACACAGCCTTTCTTGATATGTATAATATTAAGACAGAGACATAGAAACTATGCACTTCTATATACTTTCTAAATTATATATCCCTATTAAAATATAAGACACATATTGTCTTACATTTCTTCTCTGGCTCTAATACAGCTTTGTGCCCAACATATTAGTAAAGCCTCAATCACTGTGTGTCAAAATTTCCTCCCCATGCGATCTACCCAAAACTTCTTCCTACCCCTATTGGAAAGAGAGCAATACTAACTTTTCCAGAGCCCAAGAGTTCAAGTCTAAGGTGGACAGATCTTCTTCTACAATGCAGAAGAAAAAGATTAGGAGGTTAGCCCATATGGAGCACATTAGGGAGAACAGTGGGTCAAACTCCAGGAAAACAAATACAAGCTTTGAGACCACACCAAGATAAAAGAAATCAGAGTTGAACTGAGTTAGGATCCAAATGAGATTCAGTTGGGAATAAAGTGAGGAGAAGATAGAAGAGCAAAGAAGCAAGTAGAGTATATTCCCAGTTCTTCCTAGGTGCCAGTCCACAATAGGGGCTCAATAAAATATTGATGAGTGAATGAAGGAATGAATGCATAAGTAAACGAATGGAAGTTCAACTGGTGAAAATTATGATGGTTATTTTCAGCCAGTGCTTTATGCAGCTGGTCATATCTTACAATCATAAAACTGTGAGGAAAAAGTGTCAACATTAGGTGATCACTCTCTGCCTTTCAAATTATTCCTTATGAGTCTCTGGTTGATTGAAATACCCTGGTTTTCACCCTGTACCTATATGACCTTTGCCTGCTTTTAGACTCTCTTCTATGCTTTGTAAAACCAGGGTTATGGCCCAACTGCTAAGTTCTGAAATCTAGCAGGTTTATCCATGGCTTGTGTCCTTGATGTGTAGTACCAAATTAAGACAAGTCACTTCCTGAGTCATCCTGAGTCTCTTCTCCAAAATTTGTGAGCATCTTTTCCTTATTTCCAATGTCCCATCCTACTTATTAAGATTCATTTTCAAGCAGTTTCTCCCTATTGTGAACACTGTTTTGTAAGGACCTGCTAGAAGATCTGTCTGGAGTATACATAAGGGCTAGACCTCTCCAGCCAAACCCTTGCATTCCCCCATTATTGGAAAAGGCAACATTGCAGCTGCTCTTCTGAAAATCAACTGCAGTGCTTCCAGTGAATACCTATTGGCTGTTTTGTGATTTTTCTGTTCCCAAGTCCATCACATGCTGCCTGCTGCTGCTTCTTCCTCCCACAGTTTGCCAACTCCAAGCAGGTCTTGGAGCTATAGGGAATGTCCCCCAGTCACCTATATGTTTATGGAGATGTGCTGTGCAGAGGACAATACTTTTTAAAGATGGCTGCAACCATAACTGTCATTCCACATGGTCACTTTACAATGTGGTTTTGACACCATGCCACTAACAGATGGAATCTGTGTCTTCTCTCCTTGAAACTTGACTGGCTTTTTGGACTGAATCTGTAGAGTATGACAGAAATGCCCCTGGTGACTGCTGTGGCTGGATCTGAGGTGGTGAAGCTTCTGCCTTTCTTGATGGAATACTCTTGAAGTCTTCAGACATACTATAGGCACTCTGACTTTCTAGAGGACATTAGGTTCTGAGGAAGCCCATGAGACATGATCTGGAGATTCCATATGGAGAGATCCTGATAACACATTAAGAGAGGAAGTTACCTGGCCAACCCTGAGCTCCTTCAGCATCTTCTGTTCCTGTTCCAGCCACAGTCTGACTGCAGCATTAGGAAAAATCTAGAGCTGGGACCACCCACCTAAGCCATTTTTTAAATTTTCTATCCCACAGATATCATAGTGATAATATAATGTTATCTTAAGCCACTAAATTTGGGTGTGATTTGTTATGCAGCAATAAATAACCCAAAATTCTTGTCACCTAGCTTTACTATAAATATAGGCCAAGGGTTTTTGGATTTGCTACTGAATTATTCTAGCTGGTTTTATGAAGATTTGGGAAAAATATGCTACCACTACAACTATTTTGCCCGAAACTTTAAGTGGGATTTATTATTATTATTTGCTTGGGTGACACTAATATCCTGCCAAATTTGAGAACCACATGTTTACATAAACTGGATCCAAGACACAATTCTCAACTCTTGGAGTCAGCTTTATATCTGGACTTCCGTCTTGGTTTATGTGGTCAAATTTTACCTAAATGCACCAAGAAATACATGAAATTGAATTGATCAGCAATAGGGTAGATTCTACAAACTTCCTTGCAGTGCTTCTGCAAATTTACATGCTGACAATTTGATTGGCAGTTGTCATAATTTCTGTGGGCATTGATTGACCTCATCTAGTCAGTTTTCTTCCTGACGTTTCCTAGCTGGGTCGGTATCCCAAGTGAATAGGGTGGGGAGAATCCATAAATGATAATCTAAACATTTCTCTTCTACGTACGTATTTAGAGCAGACAGCCTCCTGTCTATGTAAAAATGTTCCACCATTTATTCTATATACATATTTAGAGAGGAGAGCCTCCTGTCTATGGAAAAATGTTTCACATTTAATAAATGAGTTAATTTGTGCAAAATGTTTGTAATCACAACAAAAACATTGACGATAATTAGAGAAAATTGTTATATTTTATAATTCAACCAAGTGTAATAATTTGGGTAATTTTTCTCCAAATATTCACTCCCCTCCCTTTCACACCACAGAGTATACTTTATCATGCTATTCATGTTCAGCTTGGCTATGTGAATTTTAGCCAATTGAATGCTAGTAGACATAAAAACTTGTAGCTCATTCTTGGATCTTCCATTTTTTGAACAACCACAAGCAGAGTGTGTACCAGATAATTACTTCTAGGCCCAAGAAAAAACAACTATGTAGCAGACCTAACTCAATGTGCTGCCTGGAGCTGAGACCAGCCAACCCACAGCCTGAAGCAGAGCTGTTTAGTCTGGCCATCACAGATGAGCCAAACTGTAGTTTCTCTGCAGAGCTTTGAGCATAAGCAATGTTTGTTTTGGGAATCCACTGAACATTTGTGTAGTTTATAAAGAAAATAAGTTTATAGGGAAATTTATTTAGTTAATGGTTCTGCAGGTAGGGAAGTCCAAGGGCATGGTCCTGGCTTCTGGTAAGGGCTTTAGTGCTGTATAACAACATGGCAGAGAAGGTCAGAGGAAAAGCAGACAAGTTCAAAGAGACAAACTTGGAGGCCTTCTTTCTGGCTTAAAACACCCTACTCTCTCAGTAACATTACCTGGAGAACTAATCCAGTCTCCAGAAAGCTCGGAGCCCTTATGACTCAAAAGCTTCCCATTAAGCCCCACCTCTTACCACCACATCAGAGACCAAATGTCAACATGAGCTTTGGTGGGGCCAAACCACAGCATAGATCAAAGGTCAGCAAACTACAACCTACGTGCCAAATCCAGCCTGTGGATAGTTTTTTAAAATAAAGTTTTATTTAGGTATTGTCTCTGGCTGCTTCCATGCACCAATTGCAGAACAGACCAATTGTGGCAAAGATAATATAGTCCACAAAGTTTAAAATAGTGACTGTCTGGTTCTTTACAGAAAACATTGGTCAACCCAACATGGAAGAATGATTCATACAAGTAGTGATTAGAACTAAACACCCATTTAGGCTGCACAGCTGCTAGATGGGACCCCCAGGAGAAGCTGGGGGGAAGTTCACTGTGGCAAAGCCTAGCTCTGATAGATGGAGCTTTGCCCCCAGTTCTGCACTCACCCCTGTATTTACCTTGTCTTCTGACTTTGCAGTTCTTCTCACTAAAGGAGCAAAAAAAATAGTATTTCTTTGACTTTGTTCATCTTTTTCACTTTGTTCATCTTTTTTCTCGCCTATGCCAATAAAATGAAGAGCAAGCGACCAATATCAGAAGTATTAAATCTAAGCCTAGGCCATAAGAGCCCTGCAACGTTCTGCTTGCCTCTGCATCTTTGCTTGAGCAACATCAGGCCTAACTAGCCCATCAGCCTAGGACAGAGGACAAGAGATGCATGTCAGAAAACTGCCCCAGTGAAGGAACCCAAAATGAGCCTAGACCAGACCAACAGACCTCCTCCCCCGACCAACCAACCCACAGATGTGTGAAGCAAATAAATGCAGAGGGTTGCATGCTGCTGAGGGTTTGTGGTGATGTGATAAGCATCACTGAAGCCAGAGTTAACTGATTGTACTAGGTAGAATTTTAAGATGGCACTCAATATTTCCCATTCCCTGGTATATATGACCTATAAAATCCAAGTCTGTGAGTATGATGAATTTTACTTCTACAATTAGGTTATCTTATGTGGCACAGTTAACTCTAAGAAAGGGAAATTATCTGAGTGTCACTAGACTAATCATAAGAGTCCTTTAATTCTGCATCTAGAGGTCAAGAAATGGGAGAAGTCAAATTTGCAGCATGAGAAGGATGTCATGGGCTATTACTGGCTTGGAGATGGAGGGAACCAGATGGCAAAAATTGTAGGTGGCCTCTAGAAGCTGAGAAGGGTCCCAAAGGTGACAAAGAGCAAGGAAACAGAATCTCCATCTTACAACCACAAGGGATTGAATTCTGCCAACACCTGAATGAACTTAGAAGCAGAGTTTTCCCCAGAGCATTGTGATGACGACTCAGCTGAGCCACAAGGATTTCAGCCTTGTGATATCCTAAGCAGAAAATCCAGCCATACCTTGATAGACTTCTGACCTGGAGAACTTTTAGTTGCTAAAAGGAAGTTGTTTTAAGCTACTACATTTGTGGCAATTTTTTACGCAGCAGTAGAAAATGAGCGCTCTGACACAACCTCTCTGTGTCCCATTTTCATCGTCTGTACAATGTGGATTAAAACTGCCTGTGCCTCATAGGATTATTGTGAAGATTAAATAACATAGTTAATTGTATTACAGTGCCAAAAACAAACAACTGAGGTTTTTTATTATTTTTATTGGCACAATTACTAGCTTATAGTCCAATCCAACCATAATCAGTGTTGAGGCAGCCAGTGATGCAATGATAAACTGTAGAATGTGTGAACACTCCAATAAGTATTTGGTGAATAAAAAATTAATGCATCTGTAAAGTAGATTTGAGCCTGAATGAAGCAATAAGTTTTACCTCTGGATAGAAAAATGAATGAAGTGCCTAGAAACTAATCTGTGATTATATAAAATGGGAATATTATTTTATGATCTAGTTAGACTCCATACTCTGGGCAATTAAACTACAAACTTTGACACAACTGTATCTATTATACAAGATACTTCAATTAATGTTTATTCCATAGTAAAAGAACAGTGAATTGTAATGAAAAAGTTTTATTTCTAACATTATACTTACAAGATAGTGTTATGGCCTGAATTTTCTTTCCTCAAAATTTATATGTTGAAGTCTTAATTCCCAGTACTTCAGAATGTCACTGTATTTGGAGATAAGGCCTTTAAAGAGGTGACTAAGTTAAAATGAGGCCTTTAGACTGGCTCTTATCTAATATATCTGTTGTCCTTATAAGAAGAGGGTATGGCCTGAGCATGGTGGCTCACACCTGCAATCCCAGCACTTTGGGAGGCCGAGACGGGTAGATCACTTCAGGTGAGGAGTTTGAGACCAGCCTGGCCAACATGGTGAAATCCCATCCCTACTAAAAATACAAAAATTAGCTGGGTGTGGTGGTGCACCCCTGTAATCCCAGCTACTCAGGCTGAGGCAGGAGAATTGCTTAAACCTGGGAGGCAGAGGTTTCTGTGAGCCAAGATCGTGCCACTGCCTCCAGCCTGGGCTACAGAGCAAGACTCTGTCTCCAAAACAGACAGATAGATAGATAGATAGATAGATAGATAGATAGATAGATAGATATAGATAGATATAGATAGATATAGATTAGATAGATAGATAGATAGATAGATAGATAGATAGATAGATAGATCGATGATAGATAGACAGGTATTAGGACACAGACCAGCACAGAGGGAAGACCATGTGAGGACACGGGGAGAAGGTAGTCATCTCCAAGCCAAGAAGGGAAGCCTCAGAAGAAACCATGCCTACCAACACCTTGATCTGGGACTTTTACCCTCCAGAAATATGAGGAAGCAAATGTTTGTTCTTTAAGCCACCCAGTTCATGGTACTTCGTCATGGCTGCCCCAGAAAACTAATATAGGCAGGAATACAGATTCAATTTGACAGAGTAATAGTTTCATTTGGGAGATTTTTTTACCTGAAAAAAAAAAATCAGCTTTCTATTCTAATATACTGTCTTATTGATCTTTCCCAAGAAGTCCACTTCATATTACTGGAGCTTCTTGTACTGCAACTTGAATATGCCTGAATAGTAAAAACCTCCCCACAGAAATTTTAGGTCTGTTATGTTTAGAGGCATCCAACAACCCCTTGCTGAACATGACCCAGCACAAGAATTCTCAGACTGTTTCAAATATATTCATAATACCTTATTTATTTAAATATATGCATGCATATATTATAGTGGATATTAAAAATGGCACTTGATAGTTATGGATTAAACTAATGCTTTCCATAATTTTTATATAATAGCCACAGAAAATCTGTTTTCCAATCCATGTGTCGTATGATGAGCACACATTTGCAGTCACTTCATTTTGCATTCTGCTACTGAACTACATTTGCCATCTGCTGGCTCACTAAAAAAACTGTCAATCCTTCTCAGCCATCTTGTATTGTGCTTTATCCTTGCTATCACTTTAAAACATTGACAATGTGAATATTATATTTTGAATGCCCTTGAATAAATTATTATGTGGGGTCCCAGGCATTTTGCCAGGTTTGAGATGTTTCACCATATTTCTTGGTAATTTGGAAATACACAACTTTGTATCCAACTCTTAAACAGGCTCCTTGTTGCCCAAGGTCAGTATATTTATTGGTATGACCAAGGCTGAGAAGACACATTTCCTCTATTTCAGGCAAACTTCTCCACTTAAGCCTTGAAACAACAGTGACTTATATAGGGAAAGTGAGGAAGCTGAAACCCAGGAAAGTGATGAGACTCAGTCAAAACCTGAGATAAGAATACAAGGCACAGCTGATGACAACATACACATTGTTTTGCTTTGCTCTGCAACTTCTCTGTCTACAAAATTAGAGATATAGAGATACTGAATTGAGGTCACATCAGTCTAATGCTGGAAAAATTCAGCATTCAGAGAAACAGAACAGTCTCAAAATAAAAACTGCAGATACCCTAAAGGTTTCTGGTCAGTGTAACCTTTATTTTCTTCAGGAATGTGTGGCTCTATCATAATATACTCATTAAGCCCCCACCCTTTGGGGTTAGGCAGTCCTGTATGCAAATCCTCATTCTGTTACTCTGTTATTAGCTGATTTGGGATAAGTTACCAGAACCTCTCCGCCCCAATTTATCTGTAAGACAGGGATGATAATAGTCCATGCTTCATGGTATTATTTGAGAGAATGAAGACAATTTACTTCTAATAAGTGTGCAATAAGTGTTCAATGCTACTGTTGTATAATTACTTTATTATACCTCCTCTTACTAATATTTATGTGAAAGGTCATATACTCAGAGGATTAGGTCTTGTTTAGGCACCATTTTATATGAGATTTTGTTTACCGTTTGTTTCAATTTACTGGTTCAAAAGCCAAAGATTTTACCCAGTTCAGATCTTCTGATAAATAGGACAAAGGGAAATTCCCCTATTGTAGAGCTTATAAAGACAAGAAAGTATTAGTAGAAAATGAAACCATTTTATATAATTCAATATCTTGATGATCTAATCATCCAACATAATTAAGCACAGAGAGATGCAGATACACGCAAGTACATACAATACACACTGTCACAGGAACTATAGCTACACATTACAGCGTGGAGTGGTTTTGCTGTTAATCAATTCCTGATAATTACTTTATTAGAAAGTTCTCATTCATCAGAGGAGTGGGTATAGTCTGTTTTTTGGTTGGTTTCTGCATTATTCTGATTCATTATTGCAACCTACACTAAAACCCCATGAGTCACCTACTACATGCAGAATTAGTCACTTCACAAATCAGAAATTGCACACTACTGCACAGAATCTGTTGCCCCTGGACTTATACATACATATTTCATCAGACTGAATTTGCTGCTTCTAAATAGTTCTCTACTTTCTCTTTCATATGTCATGGAAGCACTGGAATTGGGGGATGGGAGTGGGTCTCTCTCTACCATACTCAAGCTGTGAATTTATTGTCAACATAGCCTACTACAAAAACACTAGGAAAAATATGTCTACTATGTTTTTCTTATTGGCTTTAGACAGCAAAAAGAATAACTTTGAACCCAGGAAATATTAGCACATTACTCCTATAAACTTTGCTTTATGGTGACCCTTTTTTTCCAGGCTCACTTTCACTCAATATCTGAAGGAACTTAGTTTAAGGATTATCCATCGACTGCCAGGGTGGGGATTTTACTCTTTACCTTTTCTGTGGTTAGCTGCACATCAATTATTCTGTACCTCTTTGCAGAGATCTCAGGTCTATGCTTTTCTTCAAATAAAAAAGGTACTCTAAAGTCTAATGATTAGGTCCTAGCTGACACTTTCTATTCAGTGTTTTCAAAGAATTAAATAAATGATGGGTGAGCTTCCTTGCCCTTCTGTGAAAAAACTGTAACACTGATAACTGTCCTTTCAGTCTGACCCAACCTGAACATGACACCCCCAATAGTCTGAAATCTTGCTTGGCTTACAGTTAACTACACCTCTATTGCTTCCCTTTAATATTCTCACCTGGACCACCGCACGATACCAGCTCATTCTATGCTGAGCTATATGAGACACTTGTCAATGTCTCCAGGCTAGGGTAGATAAACAAGGTGGAAACTTTAGTCTTAAAAATCTAGAGGCCAGTTGAAATGATATCTTGCATTTTTTCATTCTCTACTAAAAACAGTATATGCAAGTTAATATATGATTACATTGGTTTTACCCTTTGTATAAGATTCCCATTGCTACTGAACAAATTATCACAGTCTTTTCTGGTTTGTAACAACACAAATGTAGATCTTACAGTTCTGGTAGTCAAATGTCTGAAATGGTTTTCACTAGGCTATAATCAAGATGTTGGCAGGTGCATTCCTTTCTGGAAGCCCAGGGAAAAATCTGTGTCCTTGCCTTTTCCATCTCCTAAGGGCTGCCCTCATTCCCTGGCCCACAGCCCCTTCCTTTATCTTCAAAGCCAGCAACATAGGGCCAAATTCTTCTCAAAATACTGTCTGTAGTTCTTTCTTCCCCTTTTAAGGACTTTGTGTTTATATTTGGACCCACTCAAATAATGCTAGATAATCACTCTATTTTGACATCAGCTGGTTAGCAATCTTAATTCTATCTGCAACTTTAATTCCTCACTTTCCACATAACTTATTTATAGGTTCTGAGGATTAGGACATGAACATCATTGAGGGGGGGCAATATTCTGCCTACCATGTCTCTTATGAATAATTCTTTGAAATTTTAGGTAGTTTTGATAGTCCAGTTCTAGGGAGAAGCAAGCACGAAGTGTTTTATTTACAATGAGCAAATGATTTCAAAAAACAGTGCAGGGAGGGTCTAGCTCCTTTTAGGGAGGTCTCTAGATGGAAATGATTGGCAGAGATGAAGCCAAGTTGTAATTTCATTTCCTCACTGATGGATTCAACAGGCTGATCACTCTCAATAGCAATATTAAGTAGGAAGACATCACAGTATTTTGAAAATGTTTCCTCAAAGGAACTTCACAAATTCATTAGGCTAAAGCAAAATTTATTTTTCTTAAGAAAGTGACAAGAAGATATTTTGTGACTTGAGAACAATAGCTTGCCAAAGCTTATTTCTGCCTTCTTTCAAGAAAAAAATTGTAAAATCCTTTCATGGATGTTTGGTTTCAGGTAGATAGACAATAAAGTACAGTTTGAGGGAGCCTCTGCCAACACATTAGAAGAACATTTAATGTGCATTAAAATTACTACGGTTTACCTGAACTATCACACATATTGTGGCATAAAACCTATTGGCAAAGGCTGACATTTCTAGAAGAAAACATAAGGCACATAACATTTTAAAACCTAACTTATTGGAAAACTTTAATTTTGAAAATAAAAAAGAAATTGCAAATTATATTAAAATACCAAGGATTAGAAGTCTAATTCAAGTCAGAAGCACATGAAATTCAAATATGGCTCTACTCATCACTCTCTGTGCGTATGCATAAAGTGTTTTCAGAAAAACTTCATAGTTTAAAGAGAAACTTAGAAGAATTCAAAATTAAACATACCCTTGAATATTTACCAACTTCCGCCCTGAAGGAATACAATCTGGCTAATGAATTTTTGTTAGTAGTCTGACACTTACTAATACTCCAAAAGTAAAATTAGTAACCTTGATCTCTTATTCAGATCTTGTTCTACGATTTGAAACAAATACAGGAAATATTGCAATGATTTATACTGGAATATTTTCCATATTAAAGTGAAAGTTACAGATGAGTAGATGGCATTTTTTAAGAAACTTATTTCTACTGTTATCATATACATAATGTATGAAGTGATAGTACCTATCGTACCTGTCTCATTTCCTCCTCAAAACCCCTTATTTCTCCATGTCTAATATTTGCCCAAAAGAAATGTATGTCTTTGAATTCAGTATTGTCTTTTAGGAATTTTCCTTCGGTAAAATTCAAGCATTCCTGAGATTCTTATCATTTGTCTTATGATTTTATGATAATGACAATAAATAAATAATAACAATTAAAATGTACTGGTTAACTAGTACTACGCTAGCAATATAGCTGTGTCATCAGATCCTCCCCACAACCCTGCGACAGGTTTTCTTAAGGTTCTTGGTTGCAAGCAAGAGAAGTCAGAAATGATTGCTGTAAGTGTGAATGCAGTGTCCACAGAAAACACTCTAAGAAGAACATGCCTAAATTACTGAGTAAAACCATTAAAAACATGCTTATATTGTTTAGCTGATTGGAAGCAACAATAAAGAACAAATCAGTAGATAATTGATCAGCAGAAGTCAATGTTCATGGCAGAACTTATGGTTATCCCCAATAACAAAAAGATTGCTTGAGAAGGGACACAAAGAACAGGCAACAAAGACTAGAGTCCAAGCAAGGTAAGAGATTGAATAAATGGCTTTTCACTTGCAAAATCCCAGAACCACTAAAGAGTCATGTATTGAAGGGATGCTACATGCTCTGAAATGTATTTTTGTTGTTGTTGTTGTTGGAAAACAAACCCATTTTACAAATGTAGGCAAAATTGTTGCCTTGGCTAGTGAAGATGAGAGATGAAGAAAAATCTTCCATGAGAATCCTAAACCCTAGTCTCTGATCAACCAAACAGGGCTCAAATTTAAATTACACATGTGGCATAAAAACAAAATAAAACAAGAACACTCAGAAATTTTTATTTAAATGTGGGATAAGAGAAGATCAAAGATAACAGGTCTGTAAGACAATCTAGACCTGAAACAAATAGCATATTACTAGAAATAAGATCACGGCTTATCAATAAAAGGTTCAATGCACCAGAAGTTTACTCTATAATATAGCTTTGAATTTAAAAAAAAAAAAAAAAAACTTGAAAAGACTTCAAGGAGAAACTGACTAGTACATTACATTGGGACATTTTAAACATACAGTGTCAATAAATCAAGAAGAAAAATATTTGTAAAATACAGAAAAATATAGAAGTCTTCTACAAAAAACATAATATTGAAAAGACATGAACAATACAAAACTATTACATATGAAATTTAGTGGATACTGGTAGAACAGGGCTTAGAAGAAAATTAATACCTTTAATGCATATTTCTAAAAGAAGAAAAGCAAAATATAAATGAGCAAAGAATAAAATTTTAAGAAATTAGAGAATGGACAATGGGATAAACCAAACAAAATGATCAAAGTAAATCATAAAGTAATGAAATTAAAAGTATAATCTAAAAGACAATAACAGCAAAATTAAAAGAAAATTCTGTCAAATAATAAATTAATAAATTTCTTGTAATATTTATAAAGAAAGAAAAGGTGAGAAATCACAAACAAACTTTAGAAATGAGAAAGAAAATGGTATTAGGATTCTCTACAAAAGGAGCACCAATAGGACATATAGATAGGTATAGATATAAATATACAGCTGTATAAGAGGGGACGGATTATGGGAATTGGCTCAAATGATGCTCAAATGATTATTGAGGGTGAGAAGTCCCATGACTTGCCATCTGCAAGCTGGAAAACCACAGGACTTGGTGGTGTAATTCAGTGTGAGTCTAAAGGGCTGGGAATCAGGGGATCAGCTGCTGTTAAGTCCCAGAGTGTGAAGACTCAAGGACCTGGAGTTCCCATGTCCAAAGGCAGGAAAACATGAATGTCTCAACTCCAGAAGAGAGATAACTCACTTTCCTCTGCCTTTCTGTCCTCAATGGATTAGATGGTGTCCACCTACATTGGGTGAGGGCAGATTTCCTTACTCGGTCCACTGATTCAAATGCCAATATCTTCTGAAAACTCCCTAACAAACATATCCAGAAATAAAGTGTGGCCAGCTGTCTGGGTATCCTTTAACCCTGTCCGCTTGACACTTAAAGTTAACCATCGCAGGGACTAAATGGAGTTGTAGCAAAGATTATAAGGAATATTACAATTGACATCACTATGAAATTCGATTTTTTTAATTGACAAATTTCTAGAAAAAGAATTGCTTAAAAGTGCTCAAGAATTAGGAAAACATTCATAACTCTAGAACCAGTAAAGATACTAAATTATGTCGATATTTAAAAACTTTCTAAAAGAAAACATTAGTTACAGAAGTTTCAATAGTTAGGATCTACCATATATGCAAGGTAAATATAATTGAAAAAACAGAAAAAGAGGAAATATTTCTAAACTCATTTTATAAGGTTAGCATGCTAGAAACCTTATAACAATGAAAATATTTTTAAAAATATAGCAAGTTTAAGAATATTGATGCTAAACCTCAAGGTGAAATATTAGGCAACTGAATGTAGCAATGAATCAAAAGGATAATAAACATATCATGACTAAGACAGATTTAATCCAAAAATGCAAAATTGGTTCACTTTTATAATTCATATTTTTATAATTCCCTCAAAATGTGCAAGAAAAAATATTAGTTTTTAACATAAGAAAATACAAAAACAGGTTCTCACCAGGCTAACTTAAATAGATAAAATTTCTAATATCAGAAATGAAAGGGCGTCACTACAGACCTCATATGCATTAAAATGGTAATAAATCAATGCTATAAACAACTCTATGCCCAAATTTGATAATTTAGATGAAATGAACCAATTCCTTGCAAGACAAAATCCACTAAAACTCGCAAAAGGACAAATAGACAATCTGAATAGGCACATAACAATGAAATAAATTGAATTGATAGCACCAGACCCAGATGGGTTCACTAATTCTAGCAAACATTTAAGGAATGAATTGTACTAATTCTCTACAATCTCTTTCAGAAGATAGAAGATAAGGGAATAGTTCTTAACATTCTATGAGGCCAACTATCAGAGCATCAAAACCAGATGAAGACATTACAAGAAGCTACACACGAATATATCTCATGAACATATATGCAAAAATCCGCAACAAAATATTAGCAAAATTAGTCCAACATTGTATAAAAAATGTACACTATGACCAAATGGGATTGACATCAGATATGCAAGACTGGTTTGACTTTTGAAAATCAATTTGCATAACACATCGCATCAAGAGGTTATAGAAGAAAAACCATATAATCACCTTAATAGATACAGAAAAAGCATTTGACAAAATCTAACGCTGATTCACGATACAAACCAGGAATAAAGGAGAACTTTGTCAACATGATAAATAACTAGAAAAAAAAAACTACAACTTGACTTAATGTCAAGAAACTCAAAGCTTTCTCAGGATATAAAGACAAGAATGTCACTCTCCCCACTCCCTTTCAACATCATACTGGAAGCCCTAGCTAATGCAATAAGACCAGAAGTGGTAATTGTTTTTATGGAAAAAAAACATTTTATGGCCTTAGAACCAGCAAAGATATTATTCTCTTCATCTTTAAGGGAAAAAAGAAATAAAACTGTCTTTGTTTGCAGATGACATAATCATCTTTGTAGAAAATCCTCCAAGATCAATAACAACAAAAAAATCCCTGGAATTAATAAGCAATTATAGCAAGGTTGCAGACACAAAGTTAATATACAAAAGTCAATTATTTTTCTGTATATCAGTATTGAACAAGTTCAATTTGAAATTTAAAACACAGTATCATTTCAATCAGCACTGCAAAAAAATGAAATACTTAGGTATAAATATGGAAAACTACAAAACTCTGATGACAGAAATCAAAGAACAAAACAGAGAGGTATTTCACGTTCATAGATGACTCAATATTGTAATGATGTTCATTCTTCCCAACTTGACCTACAGATTTAATGCAATCCCAATCAATACCCCAGCAAGTTATACTATAGATATCAACAAACTGCTTCTAAAGTGTATATAGAAAAGAAAAAAAACCCAGAATAGCCAACACAATATTAAAGAAGAACAAAGTTGGAGAAGTAACACTACTTTAAGATTTAATAGAAAAGTACAGCAATTAAGACAGCACAGTAGTGGCAAAAGAATAAACAAATTGCTCAGTGGAATAAGATAAAGGGCCCAGAAATAGACTCACATAAATATAATCAAATTATCTTTGACAAAGAAACAAAGGCAATGTAATTTTTTAAAAGTTGTCTTTTCAACAAATGGTGCTGGAAGAAATAGAAATCCAAATGCAAAGAAATGAATCTAGACTTAAACACCTTCTTAAAAATTAATTCAAAACAGATCATAGACCTAAATATAAAACCTTTTAGAAGATAACATAGAAAATCTACATGGCATTGGGCTTGGCAATAACTGTTTAGGTACAACATCACTGGATGATTCAGGAAGGAAAGAAAGAAGTTGAACTTCATCAAAATTAAAAATTTATGCTCTGCAAAAGATAATGTCAAGAGAATAGGTAGATAAGCCACAAACTGGGAGAAGATGTTTGCAAAAGACATATCTGATAAAGGACTGCTATCCAAAATAGACAACTCTGAAAACTCAGCAATAAGAAAACAAACATTCTCATTTAAAAAATGGGTAAAATACATTAACAGATACCTCATCAAAGATATACAGATGACAAACATATGAAAAGATGTTCCACATCATATATCAGGGAAAAGCAAACTAACAAAGAGATAACCACTACACACCTATTAGAATTGCCAAAATCCAGGACACTGACAACACCAAATGCTGGCAAGCATATGGAGCAATAGAAATTCTCATTTCTTACTGGTATGAATGCAAAACAGTACAGCCACTTTAGAAAATAGTTTGCAAGTTCCTTACAAAACTAAACATACTGTTATCATATGTTCCAGCTCTCACATTCCTTGGCTTTTACCGAAAGAAATTGAAAACTTATATCCACACAAAACCTGTACACAGATGTTTAGAGAAGTTTTATTCAAAATTGCCAAAACTTGAAGTAAGATGTCTCGTAAGCGAAGGGATAAATAAATTGTGGTACATACAGATGAAGGAATATATTCAGCACTGAAACGAAATGAGGTATCAAGTCATGAAAGATATGGAGGAGACTTAATTACATATTACTAACTGAAAGAAGACAATCTGAAAAGGCTGCATACTGTATGATTCCAACTCTATGACATTCTGAAAAAGGCAAAATGATGGAGAAAGTGAAAAGATCAGTGGTTCCTAGCGGTTTAGGGTAGAGATGGGTGAACAAATGAAGCACAGAGGATTTTTAGGGCAGTAAAATTATTCTGTACATACATTATTTGTACATAGATTAATTGAACATAATTATGTACAAAATTATGAGCATGATTATGAATATAATTATGTAAATAATTAACATTAATTGTACATAATTATTTGTACATACATTAATTGAAGATACATGTCACAATAGATTGATCCAAACCTAAAGAATATACAACACCACGAGTGAACCCTAATGTAAACTATGGATTTGGGTGATAATGGTGTGTCAACATAAGTTCATCACCTGTAGCAAATGTGCCACTATGGTGACATTGATAATGAGGAAGAGGAAGAGGATGAGACGGGGGTATAGGAAATCACTGTACCTTCTCCTCAAATTTGCTGTGAATCTAAAACTGCTCTAAAAAAAAAAAATAATAAAGTTCGTGTAAACATACACACACAGAAAAAAAAAAGAACCCTGAAAACTAGAAGAAACTAAAAGAAAAAAAAAAGACCCATTTTATGGCCCTGGAGTCAGTAAAGACATTACATTGTTATCTTGATCTTTAAGGGAAGGAAGAAATAAAAGTTTTTGTTTGCAGATGACATGAAATCATCCTTGTAGAAACCTCCTCAACTTGTTACAGACTATGTGAAAAACAAAAGAAAATAAACTATGACAAACATTTCAATTATTTATAAACAATTAAAGCATTTCTTTAAATCCAAAACAGGACAAGGGTGCCAACTATCACCATTTCATTCAACACTGCTCACAACACACAAACACGAGAGCAGGGGACAGTGAACTCGTAAGAAGTATGAGGGGTGCCTAAGAAAAAAGCCACAGTCTTTGAAGTCAGTAAATCCAACACACACTGAAGTGAAGAGAATTCTGCAAAGACATGTAAACCAGGAAAGAAGTGGGGAGACATTTTAGAGGTATAAAAGAAAGGAAGAAAAGAAGAAAGGTAAGAGAAAGAAGAAAGGTATAAGGTTTAAAAAAGAAACATAACATTTATTGGCAGCTGATATAAATGCCTTCACAGAAAACTCAAATTAATCTATGTATTGAAAAATTATTAGAATGAAAAATGTTTTAATAAAGATTTGAAAAGTGACATTCTATCTTTTCAACAAATGGTGCTGAGAAAACTGGATATCCACATGGAAAAGAATGAAGTTACACCTTTACCTAAGACAATATACAAAAATCAACTAAAAATGGTTCAAAAGACATAAATTGAACAGCAAAAATTTTAAAACTCTTAGAAGAAAACATTAGCGTAAATCTTCATCGCATTAGATTTGCAATGATTTTATGATGTAACACCGAAAGCACAGGCAACAAAACAAAAAATAAATGAATTGCACTACACAGAAATGAAACGTGCGCATCAAAGGACACAATCAACAAAGTGTAAAGGCAACCCATGGAATTGGAGATGATACTTACAAATCATTTATCTGTTAAACAGTTAATATCCCTAATACATAAACAAACTCCTACCACTCAACAGCAAAATGTTTTTAAATAAGCAAAAGATTTAAATAGACGTTTCTCCAAAGAAGACATATAAATGGCCAATAAACATATGAAAAGATGCTCAATATCATTAGTCATTAGGGAAATGAAAATCAAAACCACAATGAGATACCACTTTACACATATTAGTATGGCTATAACTTCTTTAAAAATGGTAATAATGTACATAAATAGAAACCCTTATGCATTGCTAGAAGGAGTATAAAATGGTATAAGCCTCTATGGAGAACAGTTTGGTGGTTTCTCAACAAGTTCAGCATAAACCTATAATATGACCCAGCAACTCCATATGGAATATATGGCAGCATTATTCACAAGAGCCAAAAGGTGTATACAATCTAAGTGTTCACTAATACATGAATAGACAAACAAAAGTATGTACATTCAATAGAATATTGTTCATCCATAATAAGAAACAAGGAAGTGATAGCCAGAGCAATCAGGCAAGAGAAACAAAAGGGATCCAAATAGGAAAAAAAAAAATCAAACTATCTCTCTTCACTAGTGATATGATCCTATACCTAGAAAACCCTAAAAACTCCACAAAAAAAGACTCTGGAACAAATAAACAATTTTAGTGATGTTTCTGAATACAAACTCAATGTACAAAATCAGTAGCATTTCTATATACCAATAAGGCTGAGAGTCAAATCAAGAACACAATCCCATTTACAATAGCCACAAATAAAATGAAATACCTAGGAATACAGCTAACCAAGAAGGTGAAAGATCTCTACAAGGAGAACTATAAAACACTACTGAAAGACATCAGAGATGACATAAATGAATGGAAAAACATCCCATGCTCATGGATTGGAAGTATCAATATTGTTAAAATGGCTATAATGCCCAAAGCAATATATAGATTCGACCCTATTCTCAGCAAACTACCAATGTTGTTCTTAACAGAATTGTTTAAAACCATTCAAAAATTCATATGGAATCAAAAACGAACCCTCAAATCCAAAGCAATCCTAAGTTAAAAGAACAAATCCAGAAGTATCACAATACCTGGCTTCAAATTATAAGGCTGTAGTAACCAAAACAGCTTGGTACTGGTACAAAAACAGACACACAGACCAATGGAACAGAATAGAAAACTCAGAGATAAAGTCACACACTTACAACTATCTGATCTTAGACAAGGACAGCAAAAACAAGCAATGGGGAAATGACCGTCTGTTCAATATATGGTGCTGGGATAACTAGCCATATGCAGAAGAATTAAACTGAACCTTTATCTTTCACTATACACAAAAAATTAACTCAAGATTGATTAAAGACTTAAATGTAAGATCTAAAACTGTAAAATCCTAGAATAAAATATAGGAAATACTCTTTTTGACATCAGCCTTAGCAAAGAATTTTTGACTAAGTCCCCAAAAGCAATTGCCAGAAAAAAAAATTGATAAATGGGATCTAATGAAACTGCAGTGCCTCTGCACTGCAAAAGAAACAGAGTAAACAGACAGCTTACAGAATAGGAGAAAATATTCACAAACTATGCATCTGACAAAGGTCTAATATCCAAAATCTTTAAGAAGTGTAAATCAACAAGCAAAAAACAAATAACCTTATTAAAAATGAGCAAAGAATATGAATGTACGCCTCTCAAAAGACAACATAGAAGCAGCCAACAAACATGAACAACTATTCATCACTAATTATCAGAGCGAGATACCATCTTGCACCACTCAGAATGCCTATTATTCAAAAAAAAAAAAAAAAGATGCTGGTGAGGCTACAGAGAAAAGAAAATGCTTACACACTGTTGGTGGGGATGTCAATTGGTTCAGTCACTGTGAAAAGTGAAAAGAGACTGGATATATATCCAAAGGAAAATAGATCACTATATCAAAAAGGCACATGCACACATATGTTCATCACTGTGCTATTCACAATAGCAAAGATATGGTATCAACCTAGGTACCCATCAGTGGTAGACTAGATAAAAATTATGTGGTACATATATACCATTGAATATTACACAGCCACAAAAAAGAATGAAATCATGTCCTTTGCAGCAACAGGGATGGACCTGGAGGCCATAATCCTAAGAAAACTAACACAGGAACAGAAAACCAAATACCCCAAGTTCTCACTTATAAGTGGGAATGAAACATTGAGCACCCATGGAAAAAAACATGGGGACAATAGACACTGTGAACTATTAGAGATGGGACGGAGGGAGTAGAGAGGCATAGGTCAAAAAACTACCGATTGGGTACTAGGTTCACTACTTGTGTGCCATATACCCGTACAACAAACCTGCACAAGTTCCCTATGCATCTAAAAGTTGAAAAGAAAAAAATGAAATTTTGACACAGGCAACAACATGGATATACTTTGAAATATTATGCTAAGTGAACGTAGCCAGATACAGAAGGACATATATTACACGATCCCACTTATATGAGGTACCTAGAATAGGCAAATTCCTAGAGACAGGAAGTAGAACAGAATTATGAAGGGCAGTGAAGAGGGAGGAACGGGGATTTATGTTTAATGACTACAGAGTTTATATTGCGGATAATGAAAAAGTTTTGCAGATAGATGGTGGCAATGGTTAATGCAACATCATGAATGTACTTAATGTCACTGAATTATATATACTTACAAATAGTTAAAATATTAAATACTCTATTATGTATATTTTACAATAAAAATTATATTCTATACCATTAAAGAACTATTCCAACACTAAATTGAAACATCCATTTTACTAACCAAAAAGAAAAAAAATAAATATCTGGAATTAAAAGTATATATACATAAGTATTTTATAGAAATGTTAAGACTTTATTGAAAGACAATAAGGAAGATGAAATGCTTATCACATTCATAGATGGGATGATCCGAATTATAAATTTTCCCTAAATTATTTATAAACTCAATATAGTCCCAATCATAACCACAAAGGGATTTTCCATGGAACTTGGTGAGCTAATTGTCAATCTATTTAGGAAAGCAAAGGCCCAATAACGGTCATGACACAAAAGTGACCTCCACTGATATTAAGAATTGTTAAAATAATCTATTGTTAGTAAAACAATATAATGTTGGCACAGCAAAAGATAAACAGATCAATGGAACAAAATAAACTCAGAACTGGGACAAGTGCTTATCTATAGGGAATAAAAATGAAAGGAAACCTCTAGGTTATGCTACACACACACACACACACACACACACACACACACACACACACACACACACACACAGATTTCAGATGCATTGTGGTCTTAAATATGTAAGAAAAACATAGGTAAATAAGCCCATGACTTTAGGGTAAGGAAAGATTTCTTCAACAAAACATGTTTAAAAGTTAACTTATCAAAGAAAAAGATTATAATTATGACTACATTAAAATGAAGATTTCTGTTTAACCTAAAACACCATGTAGAGAAGGATAACTTTCAAATGGAAAAATCTTCACATACGAAGGCAAATGACTGGTTTCCAGAATATATGAAGAACCAGTCCAAATACATCAAGAGCAAACCTCCCTCCCAATAGAAAAATGGGAAAAGGCATGAATAGGCGTTTCACAGAAAAAACACTACCTCAAATGTCTAAAAGTCACATAATATGATTCACACTTCAGAAGCAATCAGGGAAATATCAAATGTTGGCAAGATGTGGACTGATATGGTTTGGCTGTGCCCCCACCCAATCTCATCTTGAATTGTAGCTCCCATAATCCCCACATGTGATGGGAGGGACCCAGTGGGAGGTAACTGAATCATAGGAGCGAGTTTTTCCCATGCCCTACTCATGGTAGTGAGTAAATCTCATGAGATCTGATGGTTTTATAAATGGGAGTTCCCCTGCACATGCTGTCTTCCTACTGCCATGCAAGGTGTGCCTTTGCTCCTCCTTTGCCTTCCACCATGATTGTGAGGCCTCCCCAGCCATGTGGAACTGTGAGTCTATTAAAGCTTCTTCTTTATAAATTACCCAGTCTCGGGTATGTCTTTATGAGCAGCATAAGAACAGACTAATACATGGAAAATGGGAACTCTCATTTAAAAGTGATTATAACTTAGTAAATTTGAACATACACACAACTTCTATGATCCAGAAAATTTTACTCCTACATATATTACCTACGGGAAATCTGGCATAGGGCCTTAAGGATATATAAGAATATTGATATCAGCATCATCTGTAATAGTAAGAAACTACAAACAACAAAAGAGGAGAAAAGCAAATGTGCTGTAGTTTCACAACAGAATGCCAAATTGCAGGGGGTATTAACTGGAGCTACACATTGGAAGTGGGTAGGAGGCTTTTAAAAATACCCATGACTAGGCCCTACAACAAGAGATAAGAATTTCATTGCTATTTGGTAGAACCAGGCATTAATAGTTTTGAAAATCTTCCCAGTTGATTCAAATGTACATTGATGTTGATTAACCACTGTTATACAACATTGTAAATGAAATAAAACTACACACACAATCATGAATGAGTCTCAAAAAAAAAACAATTGAGAAAAGAAAATTTCTGAAAAATACAAAGATCTCATTTGTGTTAATCAAAAGAAATGGAAAAGAACTTCACGATGTATTGTTTACAGCTATGTACATATGTAATAAAACTATAAAAAATGCTAAATAATAATATAAATATCAAAGAGTGCTTGTATCTGGTGAGAAGGAAGATGATGTAAGTAGGAAAGAATATACAAAGAAATGCATTTTAAAAGCATTTTAAATTTTAAATGCATTTTAAATGAATTCCTTTTTTGTCATGAAAGTAGTGATATTTTAAAAATTTGACACATTGTAATTGTACATATTTATGGGGTACAATTTAGTGTTTGAATACACATGTGTTATAAAATGATAAAATCACAGCATTTAGCATGACCATCATCTCATGCATTTATCATTTCTTTGTGGTAAGGATATTCAAAAGCTTCTCTTCTATTTTATAATACACCATATCTTGCTTAATGTCTTACTTCTGAAGATAATAGTGGTTACTTAGGGATGTGTGTGACTGCTTACCCTTCATTAAATTATGTTTCTAGATATTCTTTAGCATATATAAATGCTTTAAGTTATTTGTAAGGTTAATAAAAACATAATGAGAAGCTCCTAGAATCAGTGTTAACAATGAAGAACCAGATTTGAAAAACTAGCAGAAATTCTGGAAGTCTTGTCTACTGAGAACACACGTGACTGGACACTGAACGTTGCTCAGTAATCACTGCCAGGATAAAGTCTCCATTGACCATCATGCAATTTTGTATCTTTCTCTGTCTCTCCATACTAAGCGCACACACACACACACACACACACACACACACACACACACACACGGAAATCTGAAATCTGACATGCTTATTGCACTGTTACAAGCAGTCTGGGAAACATAAATATCTTTTCAGCTTCAGCAGTGGCAACTGGGCCCTGCCAATATCCCCCAGGCCATCAGGCAACCCTGCTTGATATATAGGCTTATTGAAACTTCAAATAGTTAAGGAATTTGTCTAGTGAATGACAGAATTCAGGCACCACATTTCCTCACTTGTACCTCTGTGTTTCCTGGCAAGAGGATCATTTGGTAAACCTAGGGGTAGAAGCCAAAGAAGAAAAAAGGCTTGCTTGGTTTTTCTTTGTCTTTCACGGAAAAACATCTTTTCATTAGAGCAAAAGACCTGTTTCTTTAAGGAGCAACTTCTACTCCTACATTCACATCTTAAACCAACCCCCGACACATACACATACAGGTGCATGCACACATTTATTTATTGGTTTTGTTTGGTGGGTTGATAGTTTTTATCTTTTCTCTGCCACTATAGAGACATAGCCTTTGGGATACTATTATGTGAAAACATCAGTTTCTTATTTATAATGTTACTTTATATGTACACATTTGAAATTTCAGCAATCATGGAAAACAGAATCCTTTGTATTCTGTATTATGCAGTGTAATATGCATATATACATGTATCTATGTGTGTGTGTGTAGTTACACATATATACACACGTGTGTTATTGGCTCACATTATTGGGCACAAAGTGGTCACCAGTAACTTCTATGGGAGTGTTATCTTGGTGATGGCAGTGAGGTTATCTAGTAAGTATTGTCAGGCTGTAAAAATTGTGTTTTCCTCAACATGAACATGTACGTGGGAGTGCTGGTCCCAGAGAAGAGGAGGCAGAAGGAGCATACGCTTGAGTTAGGGAATGGCAGCAACCCACAGCCTTGGCCTGATTTTTTCTGAGTACCAGGGAAGGAAGCCAAAGCCTTGAGTGGAAATCAATTGCTAAAGTCTCCTGAAACTCAAACTGTACTACAGAAAAATTCATGAGCAAAGACTAATACTTTGTAAAAAGGAACCCGAATCATGACACCAGCATCTTAGTGCAGACAGCTTAGTGAGATGGGAACAATTCGGGCCACATAAAGAAGCATGTTCATGGTCTGTTCTTATCCCCATGAGCTCACAAATGCTCATCGCCAGCTCCCCAGAAAGAAGCTTAACAAAGTCAATAGAACTGACTGCACAGCTTTTGTGTTCCATTGTGCATAAATATGGGCGATAAGGGTGCAGTGTTCAAGGAGAGTGTGAAAAAGCCATTACACATCACAGGAGCAAAGTCTCTTAAAGTGGATTATATTTAATTAGACACAGACATAATAAATAGGCCTTTCTGCTGAGGGTCAATTTAACATCTCTTCACTTAGACTCTGCAACAAATAACCTTTTCAGTCACATAACAGCTAAAACCAAAGCGCATCCTTATTTATGACAATTTCAGAAAGAAAAACTGCACAATATTGGAGTTGTATACACAAGTAAATAAGTTGCATTTGAAGCTAACGTCCCTGGAAATATTTTCAAAATAAATGGAAAAATCAATATTTAAAAAATATTTTCTAAAGAAGGTAATGTAACAACCAGTTATAACAAGTATATTTCAGTTTCTCATTTTTAAAAATTAAAACTGTCACAAGGTAAATTTCTACATAGATATATATCTATAGCAAACTGAAATATACATAAAGCTGTATGTATATTGTACCATTTTGATAGGATCCTAGAAGACTTCATTTGGATAAAAGAATGTCTTCAGTTAAAATAACACTTTTCTTTAAATTACAAAATATAATTGAAACAAAAATCAGAACATATTCACCTTGAGTTCACTTCCGCTTAGCCCGAATATAAATGTGTAAATCTCATTAAATATGTTTTACATATAAACTGAAATTCAGTGTGAATTCATAATGTTTTAAAACTACAATGCTTGTGAGTCTTCCTCACAAATATGGTTTGACTTTCACTGAATTGGTGAAGAGATAAAGGAGAGAACTCACCCTACCCCGTATCTAATTATTTTCAGCAGCCCTGCAGGCGTGTGGCCCAGGAAAATCACAGCAGAGAGGCAGAAAATGAAGTTATACAGACTTGCTCCATCTCACCTGTGCACTGTAGTGAAACATGCTTAGCTGCGTCCCTTCTGGACCCTTACAAAGTAGAGTTGTCTGCTACCTGCTGTGAAGGTCAGCATTTGCTGCTACTCTAGAACATAAGCCCAGCCTTGTTGAAAGTCAAGAGTTGGCCAGTGTCTTATTCATCTATTTCGCAAATAACTCATTGGGTAAGGTAAGGCTGTGAGTGAGTCTAGGTATGGATGGATGAATCAAACCAGAATAGCTCATTCCTTCCTAGCAGAGAAGAAAAGAGCTGACTGTATTATATAATTCTGAAAATTCTGTGCAGTCAGTTCTAAAATTACCTAAGAGAGAGCAGCTTTTATATTACATTTTATATGTGAAATACATGCCAAAAGAGGAAGCAATGACAGAAGGGTGAGACTAGAAGACCCACAGGGTAACCAAGGCATAGTGAGTACAGGAAAGATGGGAGACAGTAGACAGATAGGCAAGAAATCAAGTCACAGAACCTGAGGCTGAAGTGCCACCTCTTGCCAGTGTGTTCTAGTCAATAGTGCGGGCTATCATAAGTGTCTGTTACCAACACTAGTTAAAATTTGTGAATGACTGACATTTAAATTGAAAGCAGACTTCAGTGAATACCTAAAATCTCTTTAATGGACAGCACATTTGGTTGCCCTGTCTCGAAGAGGGAAAAATGGACCCACTGAGAATTGCCAATAGGGGACTGTTCCTCAAAAGTGCATCTGTCATGGGCACTCCATGGAGAAAAACGTTGAGAACTGCTACTTTGCACAACATATACTCTGCCCAGGGCCCTCATGAACTGCTTGCTTATCCTGATATATAACCCCAGAGAGTTGAATTCACGTAGAACTCTATATATGTTTACGGGCTATAGAAGCCACTACACAAACATATGCTGAACCTAGGTAACCATATGCATGTCCACATAATCCTCCAAAATGCATTTCATATGTCAATTCTGGGTGGGAAAAGGGCTATGGGAAGACAGAAGTAAGGTGTCTAAGAAGACAGAAATGTGGAAAGAATAAAATGCAAAGGACCTTAAGGTGATTCAAAGTCAGGCTCAATAGCCTAAAAGGCATGAACAGAGACAGCACATGAGCCTATTAGTGTAAGCCTTTACTAGAGCCTCATGGTACCCTTTGATGCCATGTGCTATAAGAAAATTTGGTTAAAGCAAAACTAAAGGTGTCTCTCCATAGGACTTGCAGATTTGGGGCAGATATGAAAGATGGGAAAAGTAAAAGACACCAATCTGCCCTATCTAGAGGTTTCACATCTTTGGGGAAGCAAAACTCTTATTACACAGGGAATGTGAATCTTTAGAAACACCCATGAATGCCTATGAAAACGGGATGGGAGATTCTAGGTAGAGCACTCTTCCAGGAAAAAGAGAGTGATAGGGCCAGGAAAGAAAGTAGGGTACAATTAAAAAGGTGGGGGTTATGAGGGAAGGATGCTAAACCAGCCAATGAGAATCTTAAGACACTCCCCGGCTCAAGGTCCCAAGGAGTTGTTAATGACTTGGTGGGTTATCTGTGCTTGACATAGTCATTGTCAGAAAGGTAACTGGAGAGAACAGTAATTAATCAAAATAAAGTACACTTGAGTGGTACAATTTAAGGCATGGTGGCTCCTGAGACAAATTTAAATGGACAGAATTCTTTCCAATTTGAGAGCTCCAGGCTGACAATTACCAACCCTCATTATACTTTCATTTACTTTCTTCCCTTCCAATTGTTTTGTTTTTGTAGTTGTTCTCATCAAAGGTCCAATTTCTCTGGATTCATTCTAATTCCTCTGTTCATTACCATTTCTATCACTCTATCGAGAGATTTTAAGGCTTAGCAGCTATTTCCTTATATCAATTTTCTACATCAGTTTTTGGCGTGAGAAGGCAGACAGCAGAGAAACCTAATAACATGAGATTGACTCATAGCTGAATGTTGAAATGGTTTACTTGAACACTGGCCACTTTTGTCATCATTGAAAGGTCACACAAAAAGAAACACATTTTAATTTATTACAAGGGGAAAAGCCTGCTGGCACTGACTCATTCTGGAAAGCTATACCTGTCCAGCAGTTCCAAGGAGTTCGGCAAAACAGAGGGTTCAGGGAAAAGGAGGTCAGATTCCAGATCAGAAAGGACTCTTAGTTGTAAATAAGTTTCTCACTAGTTTCGCTAGTAGACAGAAATTTATTAAGCAATATAGGTAGCACACAGACCTTTCAGGAGGATCAAGAACTACCCTTGGACACTGTACAGCTAGGTTACATGCCCAAGTCCCACTGGCAGGTGGCTGCAGTAAAATCTGGTTGCTGCCATCAGTGGCAGGGACACTTGAGCTTGCATTATTGATGCTGGGTGGGAATCCTCTGTGAGGACTGCTCCAATGGCCAACAAGAAAAGAGAGTATCTCTGCCACATGGATTTCTACTTTTGCAGCTCTCTTGCAAAATGAAATTTTGGTCAGATACATGTGGATGATGAAGCTGAGGTCATATGCTAAGCTCCAGCTGAAAAGGAAGTGGGAAAGTGAGTTCCCAGCTTATATCTTGAGGACGTGGGACTCTTAAGATGGAAAATTCTCACATATGAGAAACATTCAAGAGATGCTAGGTATCTAAAACTATATACTAAATGTCCACTACAGTAGGAGACTTTAGATAACTCAAGGTCTTTAAATACTAATAAAAAAATATCAAAGAGTGTATCACATGTCTGTGCTTACCATCACTAATTGGTTTCTCTGAGAGAACAGTATGCATATTGTTATATTATGATTGTGTGTGTGTGTGTGTGTGTGTACATATATGTGTGTGGGTGGGTAGATAGAGAGAGAAAGAGAGAGAGAGAGGTTTTCATTCCATGGTTCCTGGCTTATAACTCCCACAACCCTTGGTACAAGGGGTGCTTTAGGCCTCAGGAACAGGCCTCAGGAACCAGAATCTCTCCCTCTCTCTCCCTCCTGTCCCTCTTTCACCTGCCCACCTTCTTTAATCTGATTGTGGGTCAACAGACCTTCATTCCAGAGAGAGTTTTGCCCCACACCCTAGAGGAAGGAATGCTTCACAGACAGGACAAGAAAAACCTGAACAGATGGGCCTTGCTGGGTTTAGATCATGTGATTTTTGCCTAATCACACTTTCACATGGTCATCAATCGAGCCTATGTAATGAAGCCTCTGTGAAAACCCCAAGAGGACAGCGTCAGAGAGCTTCCAGATAGCTGAGCATGTGGACCTACCTGGAGGGTGGTGCACCCAAGGAGGGCATGCAAGCTCTGCTCTCCTTCCCCCATACCTCACCTTATGCATCTCTTCACCTGTATCCTTTGTGACATCCTTTATAATAAACCAGTAAACATGTTTCCCTGAGTTCTGTGAGCCACCCCAGCAAATTAACTGAACCCAAAGAAGGGGTCATGGGGACTACAACTTGAAGCTCATTAGTCAGAAGTTCTACAGGCCCATATTTGCTACTGGTGTCTGAAGGTAGGGGGAACAGTCTTGGAAACAATGCTATCAACCTGTGGGATCTGACACTATCACCAGGCAGATAGTGCCAAAATTAAATTGGAGGACACCCAGCTGGTGGTGCCCACTGCTTGGTGTGTGGGGGAAAAAAACCCACACCTTTGGTCAGAGAAGTCCACTTGTGTGTTGATGATTGCTATGGTGGTGTGAGGGCAGAGGAAAAACACAGATTGAGAGAGCTTTTTCCTCAACACATATACATGATGAAATATATGCATATATTCTAGTACCCAGTAACAACGAAACTGGTCATCTCAGAACTCCTGCTTCTTTTAAAGCTATAACTAGGCTTACAGATCCTCTGATTCAGCTACTTCACCTGATTAGTGTGTGGAGACTGGATGAATTGGCAGAGATCACCCAAATTATCAGTGGCAGAACTGGAACGATGCAATTATACGTGCTCAACACGACTTTCATATTTGCATTTCCTGGGAAATCATTGCTGGTTGAATCAGTCTGCCTATTAGAGTCTATTTTCATTTCCATCAGCTCTAGAATTCCAAAATATCCGTTACTTGGATGAATATCCTGCTCAAACCTACCTTTAGCTATACTATTTGCCCCTTGTATGAATAGTTCTTTCTCCAACCAAGTATGATCTGTGCTAGGCCCCAAATTGTCCACACACTGCTATGCTTTTGAACTATCACTTGTGCTGTTCCCTCTGGCTAGAATATTCTTCCACATTTTCTTATTGAAAATAGTCTACTAGTTCTTGGAAGGTAAATCAAGTACAACCTTATGTCTATTCCAACACACCAGACCCAGCTTAGTAAAAATTTGTGTGTTACATTGTATCACTATCATTAATTTACACATACGCCTCCTTCAAAGTATGAGTAACATTGCCTTCTTTGAATCCCTAGTAACTAAAATAGTGTTTTATTTGTAGGGTCCTATGAATGTTTGATGAATGAGTGATGCTATCCCTTAGGTTCATACTGAATGTGAAACACCCTCAGAACAAGACTCTGGATACTATGGAAATACATTAATATTAAATATATTGTGAATGTGATTTTGGAAACATCTTTTTTACTGACCTATTGACATGTCAAGGATTATTAGAATAAGCTTTCAATGTACTTAATTTTGGGGGATATCTTAATTTAAGGCTCCCTTTTAAACATTGCCAATAGTATTGGTTGAAAAATTAAAATATAGTTTATCATGTGAATTTGAGTTCTCTCAAGGCTATATTCTAGTTTATTTTTTGAATAAAACTAGTATATATTCGAAACTCTTGTAGTGGGAATCCAGACATGTATTGTTAAACTGAGGTTTTGTATCCAGGATGTGGATGAGCGAAACGAATGTGTCAGTGGTGCAAGCCTTTGATATAATCTTAATTGGAGAAATTGCCGAGTCAACCTTTCCATTCCAGTTTGACTCTATAATTATATTGCAAAATACAAGGGATTCAATTTCCTAGGCCAAATTAATACTATAAAGAAAGTGACTGATGGAGATGCAAGATGGCTGACTAGAGGCAGCTAGGGTACACCACTCTCACAGAGAGGAAACAAAGTGGTGAGTAAATAGCAGCTATTCAAAAGGAATCATCTAAGGGACCAGTCAGGATTCGCAGAGGAAGTGAGAGGACCCACAGAGAACAGAGAGGAGCCAAACTGGGCAATGGTGCATTGGGGTCTGAAGTGGAGCTAGGAGAAGCTCCCTGGCACAGGCAAAGGGTGAGTGAATGCAGATTCCCAGGGGATCCACACCTCACACACAGATCTTTGCAATCCTGGGAATGGGAGAAGCCCCTAACCTCCCCCTACCATCCCCTGGGCATCCAGATGGACACAGAGAACCTCCTGGAGTTTTTGCAGAGGCAGGGCTGATGCACACGTGGAGCTCTACAGGCTCAAATCCCAGAGCAGCCCTGCGCCAGCTGCCATAGCCCTGATAGCAGCTGCAGCAGGGGTGAGGAAGAGCAGTCAGACTGCCCCTGCTCCTCTATGCCAGGCAAGGCTCAGCTCTGGCATCCAGCACAACAGCCCCACCCCTGCCTGAATTCCATGGGTGGGCACAACCCTGTGTTCCCCTGACTACCTATAGAGCAGACCATGCTCTACTGCTCCAAGCCAGGCAAAGCCAGCTATTCTGGCTTCCAGTGCAGCGAGCCCACTCCCACCTGAACTCTGCGGGCTGGCACAGTTCTGTGTTTCCCTGGAAAATGCCTGGCCGGCAGACCATAGACCTCCACCTCAGCTGCTTCAAGCCAGGCAAGGCTCTGCTCAGGCTTCTAGCACAGAGTCCCTGCCCCAGCCTGAACACTGCAGTGGGTCACAGCTCTACATTCCTCTGGGACAAGACTCCCAATGGTAATAGACAATGCTTGGCACCTTCATGTGCCCCCAACAGTGAAGTTCAGCATTGTTTGAATGGGAAGGAAGTGCAAGGGTGCCACATGCCCCACAGCCACCAGTCTCCATTGCCCCAGCTGAGGGCCCCACCCTCTCCAATGAAAGGCCCACAGCACAGCTGCCCTGCCCACACCCGAACATTTTACCTGTGGCCTAGGGCCCTTCTGAAAACCCAACCCCCACAGTCCTGTGCTATTCTCTCCAACTCCCACCACCTAAGCGTTCTACCTGCTCCTGCCAGAGAGTTTGGTGACCCAGGGACCAGCACCTGAACTCTGGGCCAGCCCAACTCCAGTCGAGCCCTTTCAGGACTCACACATGCTGTCCAGCAGGCCATCTAGGAGCTTAGGAACTGGGGAACTACCCCATCCCAACTCTGCTGGCACCTGACCACTTCCCTCAGGGCCTGAGGTCAGACCAACCCAACTGGCTGACACCAACATGACCAACACCAACTCACATGAGCCCAAAGGTGGAGCCAGCTCCTTTGCAAGAAGTAGCAGCACTGTCACATCAGAACAGGCAAGCCTTAAAGTTATCTGTATCAGGTCAAGTGATGAAGTTATGCCCTGAAATCAGTCCCACAGAGAGTTACAAAACAGGCATTCCTCATAGGTCTCAACCACATTTCAATCTAGAGATACACTACAGTGTGTATCTCAACTAGGAGTCATAAGCCCTGGAACATGGGTGTGACAGAGAAACAGAGTACGTTCTTGCCTATCTAGGATGGAGAACCAGTGCAGCCTCTCACCCCCCCACCACACAGAAACCCCAGTGTACTTCACCAGGAACTCCTCCCAACCACCCTTACCAGGACTGGAGCCTGTGCTTGCCATTGGGATATTCATGAGCAAGCCAGAGTTTCCACCTATGCCCAGCTGTGTCCCACCACCCTGGTAGAACAGGAAGCTCAGAACACCAGGCACCCCACTGTCCAGTTCTTCACCTGAAACAACAAAGAGCACCTCACAGTAAACAAAAATCAAGTTCATAACTACCTGTTTTTGTGTGGCAGCTAGATTTTTACCTGCAACTGCCATCCATTGGCCTGTAGGTCAAACCCCAAAACCCAATACAAAATCTGCTGACAGAAGAGCATAGGACTGTAGAAGCAAGTCAAAAGACCCTATCCAACACAACCCTCTCCATATGAGAAGGAACCAGTGTAAGAATTCTGCCACCATAAAAAATCTGAATGTTGTAACAACAACAAAGGCTCACTCTAGCTCTCCAGCAATGGTCTCAAAATGGAGGCACAAAGATGGTAGATGGAGAAATCAAAGCATGGGTTGCAGGCAAACTCAATGAGATCCAAGGTTGAAATCAACAAAAAGAAATCTGTAAAGCAATCCAGGAAACAAAAGAAGAGGTAAACATCTTTAAAAAGATCAATCAGAGCTATTAAAACTGAAAAACTTAAGAGATTTCAAAATACAATTGAGAGCTTTATCAATAGAGTGGACCAAGCAGAAGGAAGAGTTCCTGGGACTAATGATCAATCTTTCAAGGAAACCCAATCAGACCAATAAAAACAATTTTAAAAAGTCTTTGAGAAACACAGGATTATGTAAAGTGACCAAACCTACAAATTACTGGCATTCCTTAGAGAGAAAGAGCAAAAGTAAACAATTTGGAAAACATATTTGAGGGAATAATTCAAGAAAATTTCTTGAATCTTGCTGAAGAGGTAGACATCCAGATACAAGAAATCCAGTGAATACCTGCTAGATACTATACAAAACAAGCGTCATCAAGGCATATACTCACCAGACTGTCTAAGGTCAATGCTAAAGAAAAAACCTTAAAGGGAGCTGAGAAAAAGGTCAGATTACATACAAAAGAAACAACATCAGGCTAACAGTGGACTTCTCAGCAGAAATCCTACAACCCAAAAGAGACTGAGGGCCTGTTTTTAGCATTATCAAAAAAAAGAAACACCAACCACGAATTTTGTACCCTGCCAAACTAAGCTTCATAAGCAAAGGTGAAATAAAATATCTTGCAGACAAGAAATTGCTAAAGGAATGCATTACCACTAGACCAATCTTATAAAAGATTTTTAAAGGAGTTCTAAACACAGAGGCAAAAGAATATTGGCTTCCACAAAACCATACCTAAGTACACAGCCCACAGAACTCTAAAGAGACTACACAATAGGAACCATAAAACAATCAGTTAATAACTTTGAGATAGGATCAAACCTCAGATTTCAGTATTAACCTTGAATATCAATGGTCTTAACACCCCATTTAAAAGGCACAGAATTGCAAGTTAGTTTTCTTTTTGTTGTTTTTGTTTGTTTGTTTTAAAAAAGCAAGACCCAGCCAGACACAGTGGCTCACGCCTGTAATCCCAGCACTTTGGAAGCCGAGGTGGGTGGATCACAAGGTCAGCAGATCAAGACCATCCTGGCTAACATGGTGAAACCCCGTCTCTACTAAAAATACAAAAAGTTAGCCAGACTTGGTGGCGGGCACCTGTAGTCCCGGCTACATGGGAAGCTGAGGCAGGAGAATGGCGTGAACCCGGGAGGCAGAGCTTACAGTGAGCCGAGATGGTGCCACTGCACTCCAGCCTGGGTGACAGAGCAAGACTCCATCTCCAAAAAAAAAAAAAAAAAAAAAAAAAAGGCTCTCTTAAGAGACCTATCTCACATGTAACAAGCCCCATAGATTCAAGGTAAATGGTTGGAGAAATATCTATAACACAAATGCTAGACAAAAAAGAACAGGGGTCACTATTCTTAGATAAAATAGATTATAAACCAACAACAGTCAAAAAGGACAAGGAAGGGCACTATATAATGATAAAGGGATCAATGAAACAAGGTGACTTAAGTGTCCTAAAGACATATGTACCCAATATTGAAGCACCCAGATTTATGAAACAAGTACTTCTAGACCTTCAAAAAGACTAGAGAGCAACACGATAACAGCGGGAAACTTCAACACCCTCTTGACAATGATAGATCACTGAGGCAGAAAATTAACAAAGAATTCCTGGACTTAAATTTGACACTTGACCTATTGGACATAATAGTCATCTGCACCCATCAACCACAAAATACACATTCTTTTCGTGTATATCACAGAATATACTCTAAGATTAACTATATGCTTGGCCGTAAAGCAGGTCTCAAATTCACAAAAAGTAAAATCATGCCAACCATGTTTTTGGAACACAGTGGAATAAATATGCAAATCAATACCAAGAAGATCCCTCAAAACCACACGATGTGGAAATTAAATAACTTGATTTTGAATGATCTTTGGGTAAACAATGGAATTAAGGCAGAAAAAAAAAACATTTTTTGAAATAAATGAAACAGACACAACATACCAAAATTTCTGGGATACAGCTGAAGCAGTATAAAGAGGAAAGTTTATAGTACTAATGCCTACATCAAGAATTTGGAAAGTTCTCAAATAAACAATCTCATGTAAATTAGAAAAATGAGAAAAAAAACCCCAAAGCTAGCATCAGAAAAAAATAACTAAAATCAGAGTAGAACTGAACACAACTGAGACATAAAAATCCATGAAAAGTTTAACAAAACCAAAAGCTTGTACCTTGAAAGAATCAACAAGATCAATAGCTAGCTAGCTAAATTCAAAAAAAGGGAGAAGATCCAAGAAATGACAAAGCTAACACTACAACCAATCCCACAAAAATACAAAAGATCCTCAGAGACTATTATGAACACAACTATGCATACAAACTAGAAAATGCAGAGGAAATGGACAAATTCCTGGAAACACATGTCAGAAGACTGAATCAGGAAGAAATCAAAACTCTGAACAGACCAATATCAAGTTCTGAAATTGAATCAGTAATATAAAACCCATCAACAAAAAAGAGCTCTTGACCAGATCCATTTACACCTGAACTGTACCACACATACAAAGAAGATCTGGTACCAATACTGCTGAAACCATTCCAGAAAATACAGATTTCTCCCATATTCATTCTATGAAGCCAGAATCACTCTGATACCAAACTCTGGCAAAGACACAACAACAACAAAAAGAAAACTACAGGCCAATATCTTTGATGAACATAGACACAAAAATCCTCAACAAAATACTAGTAAACTAAATCCAGCAGCACATCAAAAAGTCAATTCACCACAATCAAGTAGGCTTTATTCCTAGGATACAGGTCTGGTTCCACATACACAGATCAATAAATGTGATTCACCACATAGAGTTAAAAACAAAAAACATGATTATCTCAATAGATGCAGAAAAAGCCTTTGATAAAATCCAGCATCCCTTCATGATAAAAACTCTCAATGAACTAGGCATAGAAGGAACAAAACTCAAAATAATAAGAGCTATCTAAGATACACCCACAAACAACATTACACTAAACAGACAAAGCTGCAAGCATTCTCCCTAAGAACTGGAAAAGACAAGGATGCCCACTCTTATAAAAGCATCCACTTGGAAAAGAAAAGTCAAATTATTTCTTTTAGTTGATGATATGAATGTATACCTCGAAAGACCTAAAGACTCAATCAAAAGGCTTCCAGGGCTGATAAATGACTTCAGTAAGGTTTCAGGATACAAAATAAATGATATGGTTTGGCTCTGTGTCCCTACCCAAATCTCATCTCCAACTGTAATCCCATGTGTTGGAGGAGGGGCCTGATGAGAGGTGATTAGATCATGGTTTTTTTTCCCATGCTGTTCTCATAATAGTAAGTTATCACAAGATCTGATGGTTTAAAAGTGTGTGAGTTTCCCCTTTATTCTCTCACTTTCTCCTGCCACCATGTAAGATGTGCCTCACTTCCCCTTTGTCTTCCACCATGACTGTAAGTTTCCTGAGGCCTTCCCAGCCATGCTGAGCTGTGAGTCAATTAAACTTCTTTATAAGTTACCCAGTCTCAGGTGGTTCTTTATATCAGCACAAAATGGACTAATACAGAAAATTGGTACTGAGAGAGTGGGGCACTGCTATAAAGATACTGGAAAATGTGGAAGCAACTTTGGAAGTGGGTAACAGGCAGAGGCTGGAACAGTTTGGAGGATTCAGAAGAAGACAAGATATGGGCAAGTTTGAAACTTCCTAGAAACTTGTTGAATCTATTTGACCAGAAATGCTGATAGTGATATGGACAATGAAGTCCAGGCTAAGGTAGTCTCAGATGGAGATGAGGAACTTTTTGGGAACTAGTGTAAAGGTCACTCACTCTTGCTATGCTTTAGCAAAGAGACTGGCAGCATTTTACCCCTGCCCTAGAGATCTGTGGAACTTTGAACTTGAGATAAATGATTTTAACTGGCAGAAGAAATTTCAAAGCAGCAAAGCATTCAAGAGGTGATCTGGTATATTCTAAAACCATATAGTCATATGCATTCACAAAGAGATGGTCTGAAATTGGAAGACATGTCTAAAAGGGAAGCAGAGTATAAAAGATTAGAAAATTTACAGCCTGATCATGTGGTACAGCCTGACCATTTTCTCGGAAGAAATTCAAGCCAGCTGCAGAAATTTGCACAAGCAAAGAGAAGCCAAATGTTAATAGCCAAGACAATGGGAAAAATGACTCCAGGGCATCTCAGAGATCTTGTCAGCCCCTCCCATCACAGGCCCAGAGGGATAGGAGGGAAAATGGTTTTGTGGACCAGGCCCAGGGCCCCATTACTCTGTAGTCTTGGGACATGGTGCCCTCCATCTCAGCTACTCCAGCTCCAGGCATGGCTAAAAGGGGCCAAGGTACAGCTCAGGCCATTGCCTTAGAGGGTGCAAGCTCCAAGCCTTGGCAGCTTCCACATATTATTAGGCCTGCAGGTGTACAGAAGACAAGAGTTCTGCTTTGGGAGCCTCCACCTAGATTTCAGAAGGTGTATGAAAATGCCTGGATGTCCAAGCAGAATCCTGCTGCAGATGCAGAGCCCTCATGGAGAACCTCTACAAGGGAAGTGCAAAGGAGAAATATAGGGTTGGAGCCCCCACACAGAGTCCCCACTGGGGCACTGCCGAGTGGAACTGTGAGAAGAGGGCCACCATCCTTCAGATCCCAGAACGGTAGATCCACCAACAGCTTGCACCACACAACTTGAAAAGCCACAGGCGCTCAATGCCAGCTCATGAAAGCAGCCATGGGAGCTGTATCCTGCAGAGCCACAGAGGTAGAGTTGCCCAAGGTCATGGGAGCCACCCCTTGCATCAGCATGTCCTAGATGTGAGACATGGAGTCAGAGTAGGTTATTTTGAAGCTTTAAGATTTAATGCTGCCCTGCTGGGTTTCAGATTTGCATGGAGCCTGTGCCTCTTTGGTTTTGGCCAGTTTCTCCCTTTTGGAATGTAAGTGTTTACCCAATGCCTGTACACACCTTGTATCTTGGAAGTAACTAACTAGTTTTTGATTTTACAGGTTCATAGGCAGAACGGACTTGTTTTGTCTCAGATGAGACTTTTGACTTGGACTTTTGAGTTAATGCTAGAATGAGTTAAGACTTTGGGGGACTATTGGGAAGGCATGTTTGGTTTCAAAAGGTGAGAAGGACATGAGATTTGGGAGGGGCCAGGGTGGAATGGTATGGTTTGACTCTATAGTCCCCACCCAAATCTTATCTCTAATTGTAATCCCCATGTGTCAGATGAAGGACCCAGTAGGAGGTAACCAAATCATGGAGGCATTTTTCCCATGCTGTTCTCACAACAGTAAGTTCTCACGAGATCTGATGGTTAAAAGTGTCTGGCAATTTCCCCTTCACTCTCTCGCTCTCTCCTGCCACCATGTAAGAAATAAAGCCACACCTACAATTATCTGATCTTTGACGAAGGCAACAATAACAAGCAATGGGGAAAGGACTCCCTAGTCAATAAACAGTGCTGGATAACTGGCTAGGCATATGCAGAAGATTGAAACTGTACCCCTACCTTTCACCATACACAAAAATTAACTCAAGATGGGTTATAATTTAAATGTAAGATCTGTAAGAATCTAAGACTATAAAAATCCTAGAAATCCTAGGAAATCGTAGGAAATAACCTTCTTGATATCAGCAGAAAACTTTTGGCTAAGTCCCCACAAGAAATTGCAACAAAAACAAAAATTGACAAGTGGGACCTCATTAAGCTAAAGAGCTTCTGCACAGCAAAAGAAACTATCAAGAGTAAACAGACAACCTACAGAATGAGAGAAAATATTCGTGTATTAGTCTGTTCTCGTATTGCTATGAAGAAATACCTGAGACTGAGTAATAAGAAAAGGGCTTTAATTGGTTCATGGTTCTGCAGGCTGTACAGGAAGCATGGCATCATCTGCTTCTGGGGAGGCCTTAGGAAGCCTCCAATCACAGCAGAAGGCAAAGGGGGAGCAGGCATCTCACACAGCACGTGCAAGAGAGAGGAGAGGAGAGGTGCTATATACTTTTAAACAACCAGATCTGGTAAGAACTCATTTACTAACACAAGAACACCACCAAGGGATAGTACTAAACCGTTCATGAGAAACCGCCCCCATGATCAAATTAGTTCCCACCAGACCCCCTCCTCCAGTATTGGGGATTACAATTTGACATGAAATTTGGGAAGGGACACAGATTCAACCATATCAATTCACAAACAATGCATCTGAAAAAAGATTTAATATCCAGAATCTATAAGGAACTTAAATCAACAGCAAAAAACAAATAACCTCATTTAAAAATGGACAAAGGAGATGAAGAGACATTTTTCAAAAGAAGACATAGGAGTAGCCAACAAACATGGACATGTGCTCATGATCACTAATCAGAGTGAGATACCCACACCAGTCAGAATGGCTATTACTAAAAATAGAAGAAAAAATAAAACACGTACTAATGAGGCTGTGGAGAAGAGTTTATACACTGTTGTTTTGAATGTAAATTAGTTCAGCCACTGTGGAAAGCAGTTTGGAGATTTCTCAAAGAAGTTAAAATAGAACTACAGTTTGGCCCTGCAATCTCATTATTGAATATATACTAAAAGGAATATAAATCGTTCTTCAATAAAGACTCATGCCTGTGTATATTCATCATAACAGCAAAGACATGGAATCAACCTAAGTGCCCATCAATAGTAGACTAGATAAAGAAAATGCAGTACGTATACACCACTGAATACTACATAGCCATAAGAAAGAATGAAATTATATCCCTTGCAACAACATGGATAAAGCTGGAGGCCATAATCCTAAGTGAATTAACCCAGGAACAGAAATTCAAATATCACATTTTCACTTATAAATCAGTGCTGAACATTGAGCATCCATGGACATAAAGATGGAAATAATCAACACTGGGCACTGGGGACTAAGACGGGGGGAGAGTGAGAGGGTGAGCGGGGTTTGAGGGTTGAAAAAGTACCTATCAGGGACTATGCTCAGTATCTGGGTGACAGAATCATTTGTACACCAAACCTCAGCGACACATAATTTACCCATGTTACAAACCTGCACACATAGCCTCTGAACCTAAAATGAAAATTGGGGAAAAAAAAAAAAAAGAAAATGACTTGTATGTTCCTGGTGTAGAGCTCTCAGAATTAAGATAAATAATAAATATTGTTTAATAAGGTCAACATCTATCAACGGTTGACATTAAAACTTGATGTATAAGAGTATACCAACATCATTAATCTGGAGACCTGAAATCCTGTAAAGAATCTCTCACATCACCTTCTGCACTCTGGTGTAGAATTTAGAGGGTAAGAAGTAAAAATCTATAATGCATAGTACATTCCCGTTAGTTAGGAAATGTGTTAAGGCTTTACCTTGATGCCTTGTACTCAAGAGCTCATTGTTAAATATTTTAGTCGAGCTAGATATTAAACTAATGACTGCATTCATCACACAAAAGTCCTTTTTTCAATTACGTAGAATTCAGCACTGTATGGATTTTTAGAAATATAACCTTCTTATTTCATCTTTCAAGGTAAGGCTTGGGTTTGCCAAAACATGTTAAGCTTTGCTACCTTTCCAATATGAGACAGGAGTCAAGAGGTAAAGGATAAAATACAAATATGAACAAAGGTTCATTCGCTGGAGCAATAGGCTAAGTTTATACACTCAGGAGCCAAAAGTTATTCCTGTGCTTCTGATTGTGTTGTACTTATTTGGGTAACTCTCTTCCCTCCAAAACTTGTACTGGGAACATGAATAAGATTTCATTCCTTGGAAAACTCATGTACAGAAAACAAGTGTCTTCTGCAAAATATGTTCTGAATCCCCTTTATCATTGGTGGGAGAGGCTACCTTTATCAGTGAGTGGCAGCATTCAAGTTACTTTTTATTTCTATTATATTTTGTGTGCTTTGCTACATTTCTAATCTTTATATAAATATATATCTTATTGTAAAAATACAATAACTCAAAAATTGTTTTCAAACTTAGCATGGCTAAAGATCAGATATATTAAGCTCACACTGACCTCACTCAATTATTTTCGATCCCAAAAGAGAATATTTATCCTCTCTGATATCTGACATATCTCCCAATTTCTCCCAGTTGCTGTTGGCCATGAAACAGTTGTTGTGTAGTTGGCATTGTCTTTGAATGCTTGGACTTGACCATAGTGGTTCAATTGTCAATTTGAGTAGTGTTCATTTTGGGTAATAACAGAGTTAGTTTTACACTTACTTAAAATAAAATGTATTCTAAAATATTACTTTATGATTCAACATTGCATCAAAAAGGTACTGTTTATGCAGAAAGGTATGGAAATAGAACTGTGGTTCATACATTCAGTAGTAATAAAACTGATCTAAGGAATGATCACATTCTATACTTTCTCACAAAAAAAGAGTTTTACGGAATCTAAGGAAGGATTGAATCCACAAAAGATAGTTTGTTAAAATTTTATTATCAAGATATGTACAAAAGGACAAGGCTACATCCCTAGAAAGGATAAAATGATATTTTAAAATAATAAGAGACTGGTATGGCCAATTAATCAAGTACTAAAAAGTATTTACAAAAAATATAGAATAAAAAGTCTCAATGAGAAGGCATTATTGTGTCATAGTTTAATTGAAAGGTCTTTTTTTTATTCTTAGTGGGAATGAACTCTCTCTTATAATTGATGGCAGTCCAGATTCAATAAAATACAGTAATTTCAATTTTTTAAAAAGCTACTGAAACATTTTAAGACTAATACTCTTGGAGACTGAAGAGTGTTGTGGAGCAGTATTCGGCAGTGGATTCACCACAATGCCTCAAATTCAACATGTGGAATTCTCCACAAATGCTTCCTCTTCCTGCTCTCCAGTTAGGCTCTCTCACATTTCCCGCTGGCCCGTGATGGAATGTCTACAGTGACTCCCAGTTACATGCATTCAGTATCTATTCACCCTCATGTTATCACCTGCTTTCCAGGACACTTGCTATACCTATTTGTGCTTAAGCATGCCAGACACTGACCTGCAAATGTAAAACTGTCATCTCTGTTCAACCACTATGATTCTCCAGGTGCCTCAAATAAAAATGGAATATTTTCAAGTGGCCAAAAAAGAAAAGGTTAATTTTCAGCTGATGGTCTAAATTTTGAAAATTCACATTTTAGAGAATTCTATATTTCCTCTTCCACTTCCCCTAGCCCTAGAATCCATAATTAATCAAACTATAATTACTTGGAGGGTGGGGATTTTCATCTTTCATGTAGTTTCACATCATCAACAAAAAAATTGCAATTCGTGGCCACTGGTTGCCAAGAACTGTGACTATTTCCTGAAAGAAACGGTGTTACCATTTCTAATTTCTCCTTATCTGGTTTCCAGGTTTGTCTTACAAAGTATACACAGATGTTAAAATTACTGGACTGGGAGAAGAAAGAGGTGAAAAATCCTACATACTACATGTGCACCCTGCACCCTGCCTGGGGATCAAGGGAGACAGTTCACTTAGCAATCAAATGCTTGGCTATAGAATAAGCTTTGTAGCTATCATGGCATGACACTAGAGATCAAATGTTTACCTCAATAACTAGACTTGCAGCCTCAACCTGAATATTTTCTGCACCCACACTTAATCCCCACTCAATCCACTCATCTTAATTACCCCACAGACATTTACTTCTGACATAAAACACTGAAAAGAAAAAGCCCAACCACCTCTAAAATACACATTCCACAAACAAAAATAACAGAAGAGGGAACTCAAAGGAACTAGAAACCCCTTTTCTCATAATGATCAAAGCGTCAAAACACTGGAGGGTTGATTTTTACGTAAATGAAAGCCAAATAATGCAGTCATCCAAATAAGGAGATGATTATTGATGCCGATTTTTATACTGATGAAATTAAATGCTCAAATCAAGTCAATACACTCTTCACTTTATCCCTCCATTTGAATGGCCTTTGTTCTTGGTCAACACCTCTCACCTCTCACTTTAAAGTAAGTCTCTCCAGGACAGGGCAATTGAAAATTTTTACAAATAAGTCAAACTCCAAAAAATCTTAAAGATAAATAACATGATTTATTAGGAAAATGGAGAGAAAGCAAAATTTTATGGAATCCTTTTAAACATGTCTATTTTTTCTCCAAATGATCTGCCTCAGCAGCAGCATCTCTGTTCTTTCTTTCTAACCATGGTTTTTCTCCCCAGGAGCAACCCAACATTTCTCCTCATTTTTGCAAGTTGCTTATTTTTTTGTGCTTTACTGACGGTACTATACACATACAGTCAATGCTCTCAATTCCTTCTGCAGCTACAATATTTGCTCTTGTGGCATTTCTATACAAGGGATTCTTACGTCAGGTCAGAAAGGTTGTTCCCTTGTTAAGTCCATTGATAAAAAGAAAATGGTTAAGAGATCATTACTACTCAAACCTTATAGTGTTTTATAAGGTCAATCTTAGAGTTAGAATATTCTTGTACATAGATAAGCATTACCTAAGGCATTGCATCAAGAGTGTCTACCTCCTCCTCTACTAGCAGTGTTGGCCTTGGGTGGAACTGTCCAGTAGGTAAAGTTTGTCTCCAGAAATGCTGCCTAAAATGTGGTCCATAGACCAGCACCAGTCTCCTGTTATCTATCTCTTAATGTGGTAAGTACAGAAATTGGAGGTGAGAATTTAGATATTTTTACAGCAATTCCATATTGCCTGATATTCTAGTGTATGCTCAGTGGACATATCTCACCGAACAGTGTTAGTAACCACCTTGATGTTGCCCAGCACAAATGATGAGTAACTTTTGGTGTGAACTGATACCAGTGTTGATCTACAGCAAGTTGGAGAAAAATAACTGGTCTTCACCAAAGATAGTTTAAAACATTCATCTAGGGCATGTTCTCACCCTCTTTTCAGGGATCTTTCATCTTACATATTGCCCCAAGCTTCCTGGCCTCACAGAGTCTGTGTTCTGCTGAGAAACTACGCTAAGGAATTAACACCCATAAACGTAAATCTATGTCATAAGTAGATGTTATAGGAACAAAGACACTTGATACAATGCGTTAGATGATGCTTACTTATGCACAAGGATCTTCTAACTCCATACAATTCTTAGACAACACTCTGTGAATGTATATAACAAATGTAAACCTACTGTCCCCACTCCCAGTCTCACCCCAACCATTCATAATTTAGCTATGCTTGTTTACACAAAGCTCTGATAAATATGTCATGTCTAAGTAAAAGCTTCTCCCCTCCCAGGCACACCCACTAGCACCCCCAAACTGTAAACATATCACAGTTGCAGTATCAGTGCTTGAAACTGAGGGGGTTAATCTGAGAAAATAACTTAGATTAATCTCTGGAGGACACCTGGGAGTCTCCTACTCAGATCAGACTCTGAGTGAGGACCATGACTTGCATCAAAGAACAGCCAGCCACCTTGATCATGAACGTCACATCCAGTGCGCGCGCGCGTGCACACACACACACACACACACGCCCTTGCATCAAAGAACAGCCAGCCACCTTGATCATGAACGTCACATCCAGTGCACGCGCGCGCGCACACACACACACACACACACACACACACACGCCCTTGCATCAAAGAACAGCCAGCCACCTTGATCATAAACATCACATCCAGTGTGCACACACACAGACACACATACACACACGCGCACGCCCTTGCATCAAAGAACAGCCAGCCATCTCGATCATGAACATCACACCCAGTGCGCGCGTGCGCGCGCGCGCACACACACACACACGCACACACAGGCACACCATGCAGAAAAGCATGCAGAGAGACATACACAGACAACCATGTTCAGACTGTGGCAAATGTCTTTTGTTTGAAAAGCAATCTACAATGCCACAACCAGCAGACTCAGATTTGGCCTGGGTACTCAATAAAGACAGCAAAATTTCACAAGTTCATTTAGATATTGTCATTCTGGGTTAGAATAGGTATTAAAGTTTTTACCTAAATTGATACAAACATAACCATCTTTAACCCAGAGGCTCTGTGAGAGGTGAACAAACTTTGGACTCATTCCAGTTCCATCACTTTGTAGTGTTTGATCTCCAGCAATTTGTTCAATTTTTCTGAGATTATTTTTTCATCTGTCAAGTGAGGATAACAATACATGCTTCATGGAGTTGTGGGGAGAATTAAATTGTGATAAAATGCTTAACAAGATGTCTAGCATGTAACACATCTATTCAATCAAAATCTCTCTATTCTTTATTCAGTTTTCTTATAAGATGTCTTTTCAGCCAAGACTTCTTTCTTTGAAAGGCCATCTAAGACCTACCTATTCAGATGTGTCTATGACATGTATAACTGGTAAGTTCTTCATTTACAAATATCTGATATTTTCAGTGGGCAGAGTCAAACCACAGACAAGCAAATGGGATGAGAAGAAAGAGGAAAGGACTCTCTGTGTTAAAACCACGGTGGGGAATGGCTGTCTGACCTTTTCCAGATTCTGATAAACTGCCCAGGGACTGAGCCTGCCAATATGTAGGAATTGGAAAGAGTCTGTTCAGTTTGGGACACATCTTACCTTATCCTGTGTCTGGATCCTAGAAAGGAGCAGGTATTTGAAAATTTCTTCAGACAATACCGATGCATTGTCGCCTTTGACAACCACTGACCTGGATGAAGAGATAAAAACATGCAGAATTACTATAACTGACAGTAATGATGCTACAACTAACTGCAAGAGGAGCACAGAGAAAAGAGAGAGAGAGAGAGAGAGAGGATTCCACTTAGGACAGCCACCAAAGTTTCTCGGAGGATGGGCTGAATTTTTGGAGGTGATCAACACAAAAAGATAAACCCAGGGAAGAAGCTCAGACTCACTGAATTTGCCAGGAAAAAAACAAAAAACACAGCCTAGCTAGAAATGAGGCCTCAGAGTTTAGAATATTATTGGTTTATTTGTTTTGCATTGATTTAAGTTTCAAAGATACTAAGAAGACATTAGAAAAGTATTGGCCTCAGGCAAAATGTAAGATACTTTCCTAGACACCTGGCTAAAAGAAGGATCATTTCCACTTACAGCTCTTCATAGGATAACTTTGAGTTTTAACGGTTTCTTTGTTGACTATTGAAAAAGATGAATATTCTTTAATGCGATTATATGCAGGAATTATGCTCTTCCAGAAAAATAATAAATTAACTTAAAAACAAAATTCAGAAATTCTCCATTGGAATGAAAATAGGTGTACATAGGGAACTTCCAACTCACGTAAACATTTCACACTCTAATAAGTTCCATTTTGCAAGAGGAAAGATTGCAATGGAGCTCACACTTCCCCAAATGCATTTTGGTTAGGGCCACAGCTTCATACTGATTGTAGTGCTTTTCTTTTTGCTTTTTTTTTTTTTTAAGGCATATTCTCCCTCTATCATCAAAGCTGGAGTACAGTGGCGTGATCTGGGCTCAGTGCAACCTCTGCCTCCCAGCCTCAAGCAATCCTCCCACCTCAGCCTCCCAGGTAGCTAGGAGTTCAGCTCAGCTAATTTTTTTAGTTTTTTTGTAGAGACAGGGTTTCGCCATGTCACCCAGGCTGGTCTCGAACTCCTCAGCTCAAGTGATCCACCCACTTCGGCCTCCCAAAGTGTTGGGATTACAGGCATGAGCCACTGCACCCAGCCTGCAGTGCTTTTAAATAAGCAAAGAAGTTATTGAAAGGACAAAGAGTTAAGTGCTTTACTGGCTTTATATATATAAACAATGTGGGGTGTTTTAAATTTAGGCTGAATAATACGTAAATAAACACTTAAATCCCTCATCTAGATTGTCTTTGTTCTTAGTAATTATATATATTTTGTACAGTATCTATGCAGTTTCTTTTATCATAAACTACACAATTCATCAGGTTTCACAGCCCTCTCCCACCTATTTGAATTAATATTACCACTCTTATGATCAAATATTTAAGCCCTTAGAGTACAGGATACACACGGACATGATGTCGGCAGCACTGTCGAGAGACAATGTGACAGAGGAAACACAGAAATGCGGAAAAACGGAAAATTCATGAAAAGATACACTTCAAGAGTTTACCTCCTGTGAATGGCTATAATCAAATAGATAGATATTAACAAATGCAGGTGAGGATATAAGGAAATTGAAACCCTCCTACGTGGCTGGTAAAATGGTACAGCTAACTTGAAAACTTTTTGTCAGTTCCTCAAAAGGCTGAACATAGAGTAACCATGTGACAAAGCACTTCCCTTTGTAGCTGCATGGCATGGGCTGAACTGTGCATCCTCTGAAACTCATATGTTGAAGTGCTAACCCCTAGTATCTTCAGAATGTCATCCTTTTTGGAGATAAGATCTCTAAAGAGGTAATAAAGTTAAAATGAGGTCTTTAGGGTGGGCCATAATGCAATATGACTGATATCTGTAGAAGAAGAGATCAGGACACACAGACACCAGGGATGTGCAGGCACAGAGGAAAGGCCATGTGAGGATGCCACAAGAAGGTGGCCATCTACAAGCCAGGGAGAGAGGCCTCAGGAGAAACTAACCCTGCTGACACCTTGATCTTGGACTTCCAGCTTCCAGAATTGAGAGAGAATATATTTGTGGTGTTTAAGCCACCCAGTCTAGGGTATTGGTTATGGCAGCCTTCACAAACTAATACAGTATATATGCAAGATAAATAAAAACATATGTCCACACAAAAAGTTCTAAATGAATGTTCATAACAGCATTATTTGTAATAGCCAAAAATAGAAACAACCCAATTACCTATCAACTGATAAATGGATAAACTATATATGGTATATCTATACAATGGAATATTAGCTACAAAAATTAATGTCCAGAATAGCCAAATCCATAAAAACAGAACCCATAGGTTACTGGTTGCCACGGGCCAGAGTAAGAGGAATAGAGAGTGACTGCTAATGGGTATCATGGCTTATTTGGGGGATGATCAAAATATTCTAGAATTAGTAATAATAGTTACAGAACCTTGTGATACATTTTTTCCAAGTATAACACGTACACTTTAAGGTATGCCACAACATGTACATTTTAAAGGGTAAACTTCATGTTGGCCAGCCTGGTCATGAACTCCTGACCTCAAGTGATACGCCCTCCTCGGCCTCCCAAAGTGCTGGGATTACAGGTGTGAGCCACCACACGTGATGAAAACCCATCTCTACTAAAGACACAAAAATTAGCCAGGCATGGTGGCGTGCGCCTGTAATCACATCTACTCAGGAGGCTGAGGCAGGAGAATCACATGAACCCAGGAGGCGGAGGTTTCAGTGAGCCGAGATCGCACCACTGCACTCCAGCCTGAATGACAGAGTGAGACTCTTAAAAAACAAAACAACAACAACAACAAACCTTTATGGTATATGAAATATATCTCAATAAACTTATAATAAAAAAGAGAAGAGACCAGTCCTGTCTTCTTAAAACTTGATGCAGAAAGAAAGCTCTTTCAAAAGAAATCTTGACGCAGAAAGAAATGTCTTTCAAAAGAAAGAGCTAAAGAAAAAAAAAAAACATTTGAAAGTGAAATGCAAAATTATAATAAATGAGAATATGGCTTTTTACTTTATAAAGCCCTACTTTAAAAATTTTCTTCTTTATGCTTTAACAAAATCCCAAAAGTAAATGGCAACAAGAACAAATGCTAAATGTACTAAAATAAAGCAAAAAAACAAAAACAACTTCACCTCCTGTGAGACTCTGATACTGAATAATTAAATGAATTGAGGGAACTGAGGAAATGGATATTTGGGGTAAAAGAAAAAGCTATGAAAGCTAAGAGAGTATCAGTCAATTATTAGAAGAAATGACAGGATGCTTAACTGGGCTTGCCCTTAACATTACAACACAAATCGGGCATTTGCTTTTACCAAACTGGGGACATCTGCAAAGGCAGTGACTTTGAAGTCATCTGTGAGAGGTTAGCATAGCCGCTAGACATTGTGACTTTGTCCTTAAGGCACCCAGACAAAATCGACTTGTGAACTCTTTGTAGACCCTGAGTGACAGATAGTTCCCAGTCCCTAACCTAGAGAGATCCTTGGCAGAAAACCATCAGTCTCCGTGGTATTCCCACTACCTTGGATCCAGCCAGGGGTCCCAGCTCCCTTCACGTTCTCTCCTGTGCCACAGCTGCCCCAAGTAAGAAGGCCATATTCGGTCTCTTAGTGTGCCTTCTCCAAATTTGACTGCTCTGAATGCCTTCCTTCAAGGCCAACCAGGTCAATTTCCTACCCATTTAGACAACTCTTTTCTAAATGAGGGATGCCTCTTTGGATCACCACTGATTTTCAGGGTCAGTGCTGTCATCTTTGCTTTAGCCACCATCTAACTGAGCCACTCTAAGGAGGCACATGGCATCGCCTTAACTGGGCTGGGTCAGAGCCACTCTCTTCAGTGTTAGCATCACACTCTGGTCCACCAGCTATATTGATATTTCTAGTTCCTGGTCGCCTCTGCCCCAACCCACACCATCCCTTTCAAGGACAATCAGTTTCCCCTGCCTGTGCACATACCTCTTTACCTGGGCCACCCCTCTTACTAGATGATAATTTCCTGCTTCTTCCTGGACTTATGAATGAATGGACTTGTCTCCACTTGCTTTCAGGTCTCAAAAACATTTCTTCCTAATCAGTGATGATGTGTTTGCAAACAGTGAGAAATCTGAAATTGTTTCATAAATCTACACATGGTATTTTTTATCTTCCCAAGATAAATATTTTGTTCTTTACTAAAGACCAATAAAAATTAAATGTATATATCAGGCATCAATGCAAGGTAAATATCATACACAAAGTTTTTAAGAAGTTCACAGGGTATATTTTATGCAGCATATGGTTAAATTGCATCTGTCTTCTTTTTTACTGTGTTATTGATTTCTATTATAAGATGCCAAGGGGTGTTTATGTGATAAGTTGCCCTGTAAATGGCTTTGTACTCAGACAATGAAATGAGAAATGTTCATCTATAACTGTAGTCCAGATGCTTCCTTGAAAAGGTTGCATTTAATGCTGTCAGAAACTTTGTTTTGGAAACGAAACAAAAAAAAACCCAGCTTCCATTTAATTGACATACTTTGTGTTATGAAACCAGTGTCACCCAAACTTTTAAGCTGAGTGAAAGAAAATGTGATTCTTAGAGGGGAAAAAGCTCTAAGGGAAAATTCCAAAATTAAAATGTTTAAACTTCTATATCCTTTTGTAATCAATGGGTGAGATTAAACTCAGTGTTAATACTGTGTAATTTACAGCTGCCAATAAAGATTCTATTTCTAATGCCCAGACCCTATGATGGCCAGATTTAAATTATTTTTTGCTTAATTATTTGGCAGATCTGTTTTTAGAGTTCAGAATTGGATGGGTTGCTTAAGCTGGATGTGCACTGAAAAGATCAAGAAGACTCTAGACCCAGAGCATCCCATAACTTTTAAGATACCCTTCCTCCCACAAAAACAATGATCTCACCATGAAGGACAGAATAGAGAAACTTGCTTGTCATAAAAAGCTTGCTTTCATCTGTGAAAATAACCTAAAGCAGCGAACCATATAGTTACTTGGCTGCTATTTCACTTAAAAATATGTGAAACTCTATTCTTGTTTCCTCTTTTCATGGTCCAGCACACTGAAAGAAGTCTATGCCATGCCTTTGAGGTGCAATGATGAAAAACATTATCCGAACGATTGTCAGAAACATACCAAGTCCTTATTTCTCTCCTAAAATTGCCAACCTTTGTACCGTAGAGAGCTAGATTTCGAACTGATGAAGAAAGGAAAACACTGTAGATCTCTTCATAATCAGACAAGAGAAGAAGGAAGGTGTGACTTCATAAGAGGTGGAGTCATTCTCATAAAAGTAATATGACTTGTGAGGCATAATAATAAAAGTTATATAGTACTTTATATACATAGAGTGCCTTATGTACATTCACTAGTGCATTATTACTTTAATAGGATGAAAATAATGTAAATGAATATACTGAGTGAGCCAGCGGCCAATTTGTGAGAGCATTTTCAACCCCCACACACAGACACATATGCACAGACAAGCTTTAAGGATAGTCACAATAAAACCTAGTTAAAAGTTTATAAATGCAGATGAAGGTCCCTCAAAAGAATCTGCACAGGTACACTGCTTATAAAGACTTTCAAATTTGGTAAGACTTCAATTCATCCAGTGAATCTCTCATGTTACACATTAAAAAACTGAAGTTTCCACAGATTAAGTAGCTTATCCTTAATTTCCAAATTAGTTAATTGCAGAGGCAGTTCAAAAAAATGGTATTTCATGATATTTGAAAGAGAACTAAGATTGCATTTCTTCAGCTATAAACTAGAAAAAACTAAGCTATAAAAATGTTATCTATATGTGTAAATATTAGATTGGTGTGAAAGTGATCAGTTTTTCCCATGACTTTGAATGGGAAAAACAGCAATCACTTTTGCACCAACCTAATCCATGGGTTAATATGCACATTTATATCCCCTCACTTTGTCACCTACTAAGACCTAAAGGCAATGACGTCCTAGTAGCAGTTAGCATGCTAGCACTCAGATGTCAGTGTGTAATACCTTTCTCCAATTAAAGCAGTAGCCACTTGGAGAAAAGGCTGATTCTAGGAGTGGGGAAGGGAATCTAGGAGATGAGCCTGGAGCATCATGTAGGGCCAGAAAGCAAGGAAGTACTAAAAACAATGCCACATTAATGGGGTATGTCAAAGGGACACGGGAGATAACAGAAAGAACACCCAATGGCAAAGCTGACATTAGAGCAAAAATAATTAGAATTATATTCGAGCCAAAAAAATAGCATAGTATTCCATTATAAAACATATACAATAAATATTCATGAGTCCATACAGACATGAATAAGTGATCAAATAATAAATACTGGGGAAGAATAGCTCTCCCATGCAGAATTCTAAATAATTTATGTAGACACTCCAAGGAAGTAGAGCATGTCAATAAATCCCCACTCTAGATGTGTGAGCAGTGCAAAGTGACTGCCATTCAAAGAGTACAGTATGGAAAGGAATACAAAGAATAACTTTGGCGTGGAAAAACCTGACAAACTATCTCAGCCAGGTGATCTAGGTTTTCATCATCAGTGATAAGTCATTTGGCAATATGCATTTTTGATAGGCTGTGATAAGAAGTAACCCCATAAGACTATCAAGGTTAGACAGGCCAAAAAAATGCTATGTAGTTCCACCTTGTTTGTTTAGGATACTTGCTGATGGAATTTAACTACCATGCTGTGACAAAGTTCAAACATGACCACAGGAAAAGACCATATAAAGAGGCCATGTTTATATCATTTCCTCTCTATTAGTGGAGGCAGTGTGAAGTTCTATCCAGGTTGTGGGGAGGGAAATAGTCCCTAGCATTTAGTGAGAGAAGGGTTAAGGTCACATTGTAAGAAATGAGAAATGAGTGTGGGATGGGAGACATCATTGCAACCATTTTTGGAAATTACAACATGCCACAGGTGGCAACTAGAAAGAGAAGTGGAGTTAAGAGTCATGTTTGCTTGCCCTAAATAAGAGTGAAATAAGCAAGCTTGGGACATATTCTATTTAAATGAAAAATGTGAATACACAAGATAAAAATAAGTCAGTAAAGTTCCTGCAAAGGTGGGAGGAGTTGTGATCTGAAGTGGAGCTGGAAGAGATTAGCCTAGGATAGCTCATTTATTGTAACAGGAGTGGGAATACAGAATACTGATGCTGATTGGTGGATACTGGGAGGTTAATCATCTTCAACCTTTTAGTTTTTTCATAATGTACCAGAAAAAGTCAGAAACCAAGTCTAAGTGAATGAGAAGAGGGCACAGGGCAGTTTGGAGACAGAAGCTAATGTTTGAAAGAGGCATGTGAGAAAGTGATCAGGGTTGAGAACACAGTGGAGGTTGTGGCTTATGAATTCAGAGAAAACCACATCTTTCCTGATCTAAGATTTTCTCCAGAAGTACTCTGGTACATGGATGCAGAAGTAAAAACATGAATCATTTTCTCTGTGGTTAGCTTTTTGCTAGCTAGACAAAATTAGAAATCAGAGAAGAGTGTTAACAGCACTGACAAGAATGTTGTTGAAATACTGGCCAATGACATCTAAGAAAGATGACTCTGGAACATGAATAAATTAAAAGAAAGCCAAAGACCCAATGGACCCATGTTGTCAAAGTTGGTAAGTGGTCAAAATGGGAGTAGCTGAACAAAGTGGAAAGAACAGCAGTTATGATCAGAGAATGGGACGCTCCGACAGTTTCAAAGGTGCAGAAGTTATGAGGTCCAGGGAATGGAATTAGGGGATGGACAGGGAATGGCTCAGGTGCAGGGAGATGAACTCCCCATAAATGAGGAGGTCAAGAAACTGAAAGGCTAGGGCATTGGATGGCGATCAGAGACTCAAGCTTGATGGCAGGCCTTGAGGTTAAAGGATTTGTTGGATAATGGACACTGATGAAGGCATTAAGTGATGCATGACAGAGTCAGGGAAGGAGTGGTCTGGCACAAAGGCAAGGCTTCAAGAAGCACACAAACAAGCCTGGAACTATGCCGATGATAGTCCTGAAAAGCCTGAAAGTATAACACATACTTTGGAGATAAAATGGAGCTACTCTCCCAAACTAAAAACAATCTTTAAGCATTCTGTTTACTGCCAAAAAGTAGGTTGGGAATATTATTCCAACAACAACAACAAGAAAAAAAGTATTTTAAATCACAGCATGAGTTTCTAAGACTTTAGGGGGCAGATTTATAGTCACATAATCATTCAATATGATTTTGGCAGATTTTGGAAAGTATAGAGGATTTTCGTGAATTAAAGTTAAAATTCTACTGAAATGTACTAATTGGAAAAAATTTAGAAAGGTTAAAAAATCTGAAGATAATATTCCACAAGAAAAATAATATTAAACAAAGAAAAACATCCAAAGTTAATGTTTCACATATGATTAATTTTTCTAGGTTTGTTTTGGAAATGTAAAGGCATAATAGAAAAAGATTTTGAAATCTAGTATATAGTCCTTATTCCATTATTAAATAAGCGACTTTGGCAAAGTTATTTTTATGCCTTAGCTCTGTTTCCTCATCTTTTAATCAGAAGATAGATGTTCAATCTCCCTACATTATCATTATAATTTTCCAGAACACTACTAATTAATAAATTAGTTAATTCAACAGACACTTAGTGAGTCTTTTTGGCAATTAAAATACAACAGTGAATAAAAACAGACAAACTCCTTATGGATTTTTTAATACTGTAATTAGTGGACACATAAATAAGTGTAATATGTAAGCAAACATGATTTGCTTATACATTATGTTAGCTGGTGATAAAGTGATGCTGTAAGAAAAAAATTGAGGAAGTTCGAAGTGGTAAGGAAGGTGGAGATAGGACAAGGGGTTGCAATTTAAATTTGCCCAGTCAGAAGAGAAAGTCACATTTGAAAAAGACACAGAACTAATGTTTAGTTAGACTGGCTACAAAAAATCAGAACCTGAAAGAACAACATTTTCCTCTTTTAGATGCTTTGAAAAAAAATCAAATGCAAGATAACTGATGAGTAGAATGAAAGCAAAGGAGTTCCCAGCACAACCTTCTGCCCCACATTTCTTTCTATGCTCTGTCCATTGCATGAGAGGAGGTGGAGTGGCTCTGCTCTGCAAATGAAGACCTTATCTAAACACCAGAACCAGATACATAGAAAACCAGGGACTTTATACCGCTTTGGCCTATTCCCTCAGATTCTCCATTGCATGCCCTTAGGACATAAACACCAAGAAAAACTAGTCCAAGGAGTCTCAAAGGTAAAGTAAAACAAAAACATGAAAACTTAGAAAATAGACATGGAGAGTAGAAACTAAGATACAAGATGGAGGAATCAAATTACCTCTTAGTTTATTATTGTGTTTTCCCCTAAAAAAAATATCAGCTTCAAACAACAAATCTTCACTACCTCACCTGTGGAACACAGGTGAGACTGGGCCACTGCCTGTGGCTCAGGGACTCTCACGGCTGCAATCAAGGAAGGTATCAATGAGGACTGCAGTCACCTCCAGGATCTGCCAGGGGAGGATCCTCTTCTAAGCTCATGCACTTGGCCATCACCAGGCCTCAGGTCCTCACTGGCTAGTGACCAAAGACATGAGATTTTTTTTGCCACCTGGGACTCTCCATCCGTTACTCATGACACAGCAGCTTGTTTCTCCCAGAGTAAGTGCTCTCTCTGGGAGAGTGAGAAAGGGCGAAAGGTCTCTCAAGACAGAAGCTACTTTTTTGTGTGTAAATTAATCACAGAAATGATTTTCCATCACTCCTGCTGTAGCCTCTTCATCAGTAAGTGCAGACTGCTCTCAAACGGAGGGGATTACATAAGGTTGTAAATCCCAGGTGTCTGGGATCATTGGGAATCATCTTCCAGTCTGCTTCTCTAAACTTTGCTCTCTTCATCTTTGTTTTAGCTTTTCCATCAGAAATTTAGAAATCAGCTCACTGATTCACACTTAAAGCTGAAAGAGTGTATGCAAATTAGACTGAGTAGAACACATTCACTTAGGATTCATTTTCATCAAAACACCTGGGACTTTGATTCCAACACCTCAGTTTTTCCAGCATTCCTGGTAACAGGAGAGCAGATAGATGTTTCCTGTGCTTCCTTCTTAACTACCATTTAACATAGCATTTCCTCTATTGACTTATTCTGAAACTCCAATTCAGAAAAAGAAAAAAAAAGGAGAGAGAAGGAGAAATAGATCAAGAAAGGGTTAATGAGTTCAGCAACTCTTTTCAGCTGCTCAACCAAAGACTTTTTCACTGTTTTTACAGACCATGAAAAAATAATTACCTGCTTCAAAACTTGTCTCAGAGAAGGGACATTTTTGTATTTTTTGACTTGTATACTTTAGTGTCCAATTTTCCATTTATCATTCCACAGATCTCTGAGAATCCTCTATGTCACGAAAATTTATATGAAATTAGTACATGTTCAAATTTTTTTCGACCAGCTGCATCCTCTCAGGTCCTCAAGGTACCTATCATTAGCACTTTACTGCCTCAAGCACTTATAGACTGGAATAGAGACATTACCATGGCCAATAGCAATTTATTTTATTGGCACCAGAAGAGCTAATTAGTCTTCATGTTCTAGCAACTACTACTCTGGTAACTGTTATTTTTTCTGGTTGTGGCCAGTATTTTTTTTTCCGGTAAGCATTTTTTTAATGATTTACAGTAAAGAGATGACTGAAGAAAGAAAATCTATTAAGTTTTGAAGATAGAACCTGATAATAGCTCTTTCAGAAGCCAACAAAGCAGAGGGGTATATGTTAGCACATAGTCAAAGATTTGTTTGAAAACATGCTGGTGATATATTTCTAAACTTGCTAGTAAATAATTTGCAATTTTGACACAAAACATTCTTTTGGTATAGGCTTCCACTGATAAATTGTTAATTCTAATTAATATATCAGATAAACTTGTGAAATGGGAAAGTTCATTAACTACTGAAGCATTTTAGATGATGAATAGCATGAAAGGTCATGTACCTAAATATATTACGAAGGCAAAAATTTTAATCAGAATATCCTTCCCAATTAATCTTGACCTAATATTTTTTAGTGCTTTTCCATTCTAATCTCTGTAGGCCTTTACCAGTGAGTATAAATGGAGGGAGATAAGGAAAGGCAAGAAAAATGATGTGAAGCAAAGAATATGAAAGAGGAATAAAAAGGTAGTGTGAAAGTAGCAGTGGTAAAAACATTCTACTAATCAAAACCTTTCCACGAGGGGAGAAAAAAAGTGGTTAAAACCCAAGAGAGCTGCATTTTACTTCATTTCTTCTGCAATTTCAAATTCAATTTCAATTTCAAATGTGGCATAATTTCACTCCAAGGTCTATTAGAAATGTCAAAGGCATAGTTATCACTGGCTTACTGCTATCTTGTTTATATTATGTGTCATATAATAGGTGGCCTAGTCCTCCTTCCATTGGTTGCTGTAAAGCTCAAAACAGAATATTCAGCCTACCTCTAACAAATGCACATATTTTGTAGTATTGTTACTGGTATATGTTAGTCTATTCTCATGCTGCTAATAAAGACATACCTGAAACTGGGTCGTCTATAAATCAAAGAAGTTTAATGGACTCCCAGTTCCACACAGCTGAGGGGAACCTCACAGTCATGGCAGAAGACGAAGAAGACCAAACGGACATCTTACCTGGCGGCAGGCAAAAAGGAGTGTGTGTAGGGAGCTTTCATTTATAAAACCATCAGATCTCGTGAGACTTATTCGCTATCACGAGAACAGCATGGGCAAGACCCGCCCCCATGATTCAATTACCTCCCACCGGGTCCCTTCCACAACACTTCGGAATTATGGGAGCTACATTTCAACATGAGATTGTGGGGGGCGGGACACAGCCGAACCATATCACAGTGGTAATCTGCATGGGTCTGCAGCAACCTCAATTCTTGCCTCCTCAGAAGAAAGGATTTGACTGAGGGGCAGAAGGAGAGGCTAAAGTAAGTTTTAAAGCAGGAGTGAAAGTTTATTAAAAAGTTTTACATAAGTGAGGAAAAGAAGAAAAGAAAGGAAGGTACACTTGGAAGAGGGCCTAATGGGTGACTTGAGAGACCAAGTGTGCCGCTTGGCCGCTTGACTTGGGATTTTATATGTTGGCGTAATTCCGGGATCTTGTGTTACTTCTCTCCACTCCTGAGATCTTATTGTGAAGCTGCTGATCAGTTTCAGATGTTTTCTATTAGGAGAATGCCGTTCCCTGGCACCAGCTGTGATCAATTATTACTTTAGGGAGACAGTTAACAACCACCTGACTATCACCTGAGGGTTGCCCAGCACTCCTGGTGTGTGGTGGGGGGGGAAGCCCTCTCCTGCCCTGTTCATACTTGACTAGCTACCTACTGTAACAGTAGGCGTTTTATGTTTTAATTTCTTCCCTGGATTTAGTTTATTTTTCCTATATCTATTTTCATTTTAGTAAATGGTTTTTATCATATGTATTAATTAGCTGTTAGTGCATAACAAACCATGCCAAAACTCATCAACTTAAAACAAGTATTTAATGTCCTCAATAATCTATAGGCCATCTGCTAGTTCTTCTGGTCTAGGCCTGAACTGGGTGATCTCAACTAAGTTTGCCCATGCATCTGAGGTCAGCTGGAATGCTTTGTGGTTTCTGGCTAGAGTACCTGTGGTTTAATATGAAATATATGTGATTTTTGTCCCTGGTTCTTGTCACAGAGCTCCTAACATCCTTGGAATTTCCTGATAGGAGTATCTTTTATATTCACAATAAGCCCCTTTGATAAATCTTGAATTTATGCTAATAAGGTTGCTTTGGGTGGCGCCCCTGGATGGCCCCAAGATGGGGCCAGTCACCATCAGAAAGACCAACTGAAGAGGATTAGAGGGTTGGAACCTTCAGCCCCACCCACTGACCTCTGGATCAAACTCTATACAACTCTGGAGATCAAACTCTGTAAAAATTCTTGAACAAGACGTGACAGCCTTCAAGGTTGGTGAATATATCCACGTGTCCGGAAGTTGATGCACCCCAAATCCACTAAGACAGCAGCTCCTGTGCTTAGGACCCTTCTAGGCCTTGTCATATGCATCTCTTCCTCTGGCTCTTTATTAATATCCTTTGAAATATCCTTTATAAAAAACTGATAAATGAGCAAGAAGGTGCAAAATGCTACTCTCCCACAAACACAAAAAAGGACCAACACAATAAGCAACTACATTTTGACCAGAGTGACTAAAGGAACGTGTCAAAGTATAGCAAGGGAGTGGCAGAAACCCTGTGGAGCACAGAAACTCAGGATAGCCCCAAGGAAAAAGGGAAGGAAACATCCACCTCCTCCACCTGCCTCATTTACCTGGTAGGGATCAGCTCACAACCAGGAGAGACTTCCCCCTGCAGGGAAAAGGTGAGTAGGAGGCTCCTAGCAGCCCCCATTACTGTGAAGGACACCTGCAGTCTTTGCTACTGGAGGATTCTGCAGTCCTCACAGGCCCTGAGCCCAGCTTAGGGAGCTGCCTGAAGTTTTCATGGAAGCAATACTCCAGGGAAGAAGCCTGGATTGTGCCCCATTTCATATGGCCAGATTGTCACTGCTCATGCCGTCTTAAAAGTGGAGCCACTGCTAGAGGGCATCCTGCTCCAGGGGCCACTAGCCACTGATCCCTGCATCTCTGAGGATCTTCCATCGTTGCACCTGCTCACATACACGATGGCGCACCATTCCCCACCTGAGTTGCTGCAGCCAAATTGCCTCAGAGGCACTCTATCTCCCCTAGCACCATTGCAGCTGTGCTCCAACCCACAGCTACTCAAAGCCTCGTACCTGCAGAGCAGCTGCTACTACCAACCCCTGTGCCAGAACCAGCCCCTGCCTAAACCCCACGGGAACTGGAGCTTCAGCCCAGGGAAGCCGTCATGACCCTCATGCCAGAACCCATGCAGCACCCTACCCTCTTGGGACCAAAAGCACCAGCTCCACAGAGCAGCCACACCCATTGGAGCCTGAGTTGACTGGCACACCACTCCTTGGGGAACCAGGAGCTTCAGTCCAGTGGTGCAGTCACAAACCCAGCACCTGAGCCAACATAGTACCCAGCCCCCTTGGGAATCTGAGCTTTGGCCCAGCGAAGCAGCTGCACCCCAGGTGCCCCAGACAACTTGGTGCCCTGTTCCCTGGTGACCAGAAGTACTGGTCTGGTGGAGCACCTTTACCCCAAGCTGATACGGTGCCCCACCCCCAGAGAGGCCGAGCCTTGACTGGGCTGTGCCACCTCACCCTCTGGGCTGAACAACCCCTGGGCCCCAAAACCTGGATTAGCCTTTCCAGAGTCTGAGCTGCTGAGGCACCCCACATCCCTGGGGAATAGAGTCATCATTGTGCTGCTCTCCACCCTCAGATCCCAAGCCACCACTGTGCCTCACTTTTCCTGAGTCCCTGCTACCACTGAATCTAGCCTTGCAGAACCGGGGTATCTGCTGGGCCTCACCTCCCAACATCCAGAGTCATCACAAGGCAACATCTCCTCCCCGGGTGCTCAAGTTACCACTGTGCCGTGTTGGCTCTGAGACCCAAAGCTGTGCCCAGCTCCCCAGGGCCCAATCCTCTGGAACACCCCTTCTTCTCTGGAGCTGTGCTAGTGCTGCTGACTGACTCCCAGGATCAGAGTCACAGCTGTTTCTCTACTCCCCGGGCCCAAGCTACTGGGGAGTGCCTCAGAGTCACATCCCATGGCCTTGTGGGAGAGCTGCATCTACCCATGCCTCAGAGAGTGAACTTGCACCCACAACACAGGTGCCATGGGATACCTAGTTTAACAGGACACCAAGCCCAGGATACCAGCTTCACAGTCGCTCCTATGCCCTGGAATACAGTGTAGCTGTGACCGCTGTGGGTCATGTCAGACCAGACACCAAGAGGGATCTCTCCAACCAAGCCTCCCCACTGGGGAAAGAATGAGAATGAAAGGACAACTAAAGCCCTTGCCACTGAGAACCCTAACAACCGACACTTTCACTATCACTGCCATGAACTTCTACAGCCTTGGCCAGTGAGGTACCCACAGCCATTGCTGACATTGATCACAGTTGAAGAAGCTGAATGGAAGCTATGCTACTGTGCCCACCTAGAATCAGAAACAACACAGACTGCCCTAGTGACACCCCAGGACCCATCTATAGGTAAACATCTTTCCCTATGGAAGCCACTCTAAATTTACAAGTGAATGTCCCACCAGATGTGCAGAGATCAATGGCAAATGAAATAGTGCCCGTTATACAGCAGGTACGAAGGGAGCCAAATCCATATACAGTTTTAGCTGTCTATGGGGACTTTTCTCCTTCCTCATTACCTGATGTACAGCAACAAGCCAGCTCACCTACACCAAGACATTTTGCAGAAAGACAGCAGAGCCTTGGAGCGTTTTTATCACTGTTCCTGGGATTCTCAGTATGCAGATCTTGACCCACCAAAGTATGCATTCTCCACAGCACTGTGCTGGGTCCAGAGGGCCTTTTTTCTATTTCTTTTTACTTGAAAGAGTAAGTAGGTGTTCCCTACCCCCTTGCTGTGGGCTAAATTTTGTCCTCCCCAAAATTCATATGTTGAAGTCCTAACCTCCAGTACCTCAGGAGACAGGATCTTTGAAGAGTTAATTACATTAAAGTGAGGTCATTAGAGTGATCCCAAATTCAATGGGGTTGGTATCCTTATAAGAAGAGGAAATTAGGAAACAGACACAGAGAAAAGATCATGTGCACATACAGGGAACCATCTGCAAACCAAGGATAAAGGCCTCAGGGAAACCAACACTTCCAACGCCTACACCTTGGACTTCTAGTCTCCAAGACTGTGATACAATAAAGTTCTCTTGTTTAAGCCAGACAGTCTGAAATACTTTATTATGGCAGCCCTAGCAAACCAATAGACCCATTTCAGACCAACATCCAAGTGTGGAGCTCACATTAGGAGGGATTTCCTCCCTCTTAAGGTGCTCTTAGCTGCATGTTCAGGCTGCTGGTGTTACAGTAGGTAGCTATAGCTAGTCAGGTATGAGCAGGGCAGGAGAGGGCTCCCCCCACCCACACACACACACCAGAAGTGTTGGGTCACCATCAGGTGATGGGCAGGCGGTTGTTAACTCGTGCTCTTAATTGGTCACAGCTGGTGCCAGGGAAGCAGTCCCCTAATAGATAGAAAACACCTGAATCTGGTGATTAGCAGCTTCCTGATAAGATCTCAGAACTGAAGTAAGGCAAGACCCTGGAAGTATGCCAACGTATAACACCTTGGGTCAAGATGTCAAGCCGCACACTTGGTCTCTCAAGGCACCCGCTTGGCCCTCTTCCAAGTATACTTTCCTTCCTTTCATTTCCTTTTTTTTAAAAAAAATTACTCAGCAAAGCTTTTTAATAAACTTTCACTCCTGACCTAAAACTTGCCTCGGTCTCCCTTCTGCCTTATGCCCCTCAGTCAAATTCTTTCTTCTGAGGAGGCAAGAATTGAGGCTGCTGCAGACCCATGTGGATAACTACCACCACTAACACTGGCACAGACATGACCCTGGGTAACAACTATGAGAGATCCTGCACTCTCTTCTCTCCTTGTAAGTTACCATAACTAATAAACTTAGCTGTTACCAGCATCGTGTATTTTGGGGGCATGGATAATGTTGCATCTTACACAAGATGCTCCATAGATCTCAGCAGGATGGATAGATGGACACAAAAAAAGGTACTGTGTAAAACTGAAAAATGGATGAGGCCATTGTGATTTGTAGAAATTGATAAAGACAATGGATAGAAAATCCATCAGCCCTGCCAAGAGCAATATTTTACTTACTTATTTGAATCTTGATTTGCTCTATCCTGCAAAAAGACATTTTTGATTTATACATTTAATGAAACCTGCACTGAAGCAGGAGAGTAACATCTCTGCATGAATTTTAAACATCTGCTTCCTAGGATGAAATTGAAGGAACTTGAACCCCACATTTATTAGAAAATGATATATAATCCTAATAGATAGTATAATGATACTGAAATAAATAGGGTTCTTTGGAAAAGCACAAATCAGATAAAATGTTTCCCATAAGATTAGTCAGTGAGCTAAGAGTAAGTATTGAATCAAATATATACAATGGACTAGAAGACATAAATTACAGAAGAATATGCATTCACCAAGCTTAATTTTATAGTAGAATATTTTATAGTAGAATAAAAAATTATTATTAGCTATGAGATAAAATAGAAAAATAATAAGGCATTACCGAAAAAACTTTTTAAAAAATACCAGAGAGAACAAAGCAGTATCATTGGCATTCCCCAGGAACAAACTCTGAAATGGAGATTTGCATCAAGGAATTTTATTAAGGAGCGCTCTTGAGAGCAACATCTGTAAGGGAGTAAAGGTAACAGGAATAGGCAGAAAGAAAAATTGAGTTGAGACTAAGTTGCAACAATGTCCTCAGTTGATCCCATTGGGGAATTATGCAACAAGGATGTTCCTTTGAGTTGTTTACCATTGAGAAAAGGAGCCAGAATGTTGATCATCTCATTGACTAGTCATTGCATATAGGCTTGCCCTGGAGAGGTGGCATAATTTTAGGCAGCTTTCTTTGGCTGAGGACAAGTCTTTAGGAGGGACTCAACTTTGAACCTTGAGCAGATATTGCTCTCAGCATCTTGGGGAATGACTGCCTTAGTTCTGATGGGGTGATCTGGGCAGTGCACTTTATCAACCACTACAATACCTCCCTTGCACTATTAATTGCTACTTGCTTCATAAATATGTTGACTTTATCATCAAAGATTCTAATTTGTTTTGTTTTGTTTTTTCCTAGAGAAATTTATAAGAAGCTAGTGGAATAAACTATAAAACCTGTTACTGCTGTCTGCAAGGTTGCAACTAATATTCATCATCTTCCTCCTCTACTATCCATTCTAGACTCACATTCTTCTTTAGCTAACAATGTTCCTGTCTACGTAGCTTACCTGGTGGGTAGATTCAGACCTTTATTCCTGAGAGGTTTGGAGCCACTGATCACCAAGCCCTTATAGGTGAACTTCTCCATATAGAATGGAATTCTCAAGTTTCAGTATATCTGGATGCCAGACACAACCTTTCTGCATTACATAATAACAGCCCTACCAACTTTTCACAGTCAGAGTCACTAACTCCTAAAGGATATTTCTTTTCTTTTAAGCACAAGAAGCTCAAAGAAATGGGTGGCAGATATCACTTAAAATTTAATGGGACACCGTTTTATTAACTAGTAGCAAATTTCCCCCACAGGATAAAGACCTTTTATCCTACAAAGCCAAGAATTATGTGGCTCAGACATACAAACTCCCCCAAGTAGGTCACTAGGAGCAATGAGATGCACGTCCAATCCTATTGCCACTTTGGGTTCTCAGACAATATATTCTGCCTTTTGGAAACACAGCTCCATAGAACTGTAACTAATTTAGTGTGTGTACTGTATTATGGAGGCTCTCACCCCGTTATCACAGGGTAACTGCATCTTCAAAAAATTTACTTCCGATGCCAGTTTCAGAATAGTCCAGTATATAATAGAATGTCTAGATATATCCTCTGCCTCACCTCCTTTGCTACAAATTTCATTCCTTGGTCCAATGTAATATTAAGCAGGATCATATGTCAGAAGATCAAATTCTCTATGAGCTCTCAGAGAGTGGTGCTGGCTCAGGCTCTGTGAGCAGGAGCTCACATATACCTAAAATATATGATGGTTCCATTCAATGTCAACTGTTGTCTCTTCCAGGGCAGAACAGCTACATTGTAATCAACTTGCCACAATGTCCAGTTGGTCTTCTCAAAGAGTAACATCCTATAAGGAGCTCAGCATTGATCTCTAATTCTGGCCAACTGGCATTCAGCAAATGACCAGCCTTGGTGGGTGAAAGCTCACGTCATTGGGCTCATGTGCTGCTCCCTTCTCTGCCACAGTGGCTCATCTGTTCACAAGCCAACTGTGCCACCTCTGGAGTGGATGATAGTAATGCTGCCTGACATATGGCCAAGTCCTCCTATCTATGTTTATACCTATCCTGTGATTAATGCTCTCCAGTGGGCATTAAACATGGGATCCTAAGACCTTCACCCTATGCCCACTCCCATAAATCAATGCACATGGCTTCATAAGGTGTCCCTGTCCTTGACATGCCAATCTTGATCCTTCAAGGTCCATTAACAGCCAGACAAGCCATTCACCACTGCTCTTGAGTCTATATATACTCTAAGCTTGGGCTACTTCTTTTTTCATGCAACGTGAATGATAAAGTGTGCCTCACAAAGTTCTCCCCTTTAATTTTCCTTTATTGCCACTTTTCAGAACTACATCAGACCGAGGCTCCTGGGCAGCAGCAGTCCATTTTCATTTTGTACAAAATTACAGCACCAACCTATCCATAAACAATATTGGGCTATTTTCCTGCCTAGTTAGATGCTCTTAAGACACCCTTCCTGCAGCTCCAGATGTGGGCTAAGCAGGTGAGCTCAGGGAGAAGCACCTGTGCAACAGTGGCAGCTAATATGGGAAATGGGGATCCTTGCACACATACCTCACTTGTGCCTTTTGACATAGCTTGTACATGATTCAGGATGCATTGCTTTGACATTACTCTTATTAATATTTATTGCTACACATGTACAGTCTTAGAACTTGATGAGTTTGATAGAACCCAGTTTATTATGGGCACCTCTAGACAAATGTTCACTCAGTGTCACATGACAAGTTGTTTTAGTTCTACCAGGACTCAGTAGCAAACAAAAAGCTTGGAAGGGTGCATACTTCTCTGATGAGAAATGCAAGGTCCTGCCTTCAGAAATCTATGGATCTATACGCTAGTCCTCCTATTAGTCTTGATATAAACTCCACATGATACTTTTCCCATCAGGGACATATCTGTCAGATCGTATGGTCCCATGGAAAGCCTGCTGGTACTGCAACCTGGAACTGCTGCAGAGCCCATTTTCTTTTATAGTCTCTATTCAGGGATGGTAGCTTCACGTGTCATTGTGTACATTGGTCAAACCAATATTTTTAAGTTGTGGAAAATGCTCCCTCCAGATTCCAAAGATGCCTAGTAGTCATTTTGCTTTTCTTCTTCTATGAATTTTACTTCATAGTGGATGTTTCAACATATCCCAGACAACAGAAGCTCTTGGAAACATCAGTAATGCGGTGGGTCCTTTAATTGTCACAGAGTTTACCTCACTACCTCTGAAGTGAGTGTGTCTTCCTAGGACTTCAAGCACACTTGTCATTTATCTGGATCATAGATTTGTTTTGCTCTAAAACCCATTTGCATTGCTATCTGTTGGTTATGGCCCCATGAAAATCACGTCAACCGAGGAGGAGGAGCCAAGATGGCCGAATAGGAACAGCTCCGGTCTACAGCTCCCAGCGTGAGCAACGCAGAAGACGGGTGATTTCTGCATTTCCATCTGAGGTACCGGGTTCATCTCACTAGGGAGTGCCAGACAGTGGGCGCAGGCCAGTGTGTGTGCGCACCGTGCGCGAGCCGAAGCAGGGCGAGGCATCGCCTCACCTGGGAAGCGCAAGGGGTCAGGGAGTTCCCTTTCCGAGTCAAAGAAAGGGGTGACGGACGCACCTGGAAAATCGGGTCACTCCCACCCGAATATTGCGCTTTTCAGACCGGCTTAAGAAACGGCGCACCACGAGACTATATCCCACACCTGGCTCAGAGGGTCCTACGCCCACGGAATCTCGCTGATTGCTAGCACAGCAGTCTGAGATCAAACTGCAAGGCGGCAGCGAGGCTGGGGGAGGGGCGCCCGCCATTGCCCAGGCTTGCTTAGGTAAACAAAGCAGCCGGGAAGCTCGAACTGGGTGGAGCCCACCACAGCTCAAGGAGGCCTGCCTGCCTCTGTAGGCTCCACCTCTGGGGGCAGGGCACAGACAAACAAAAATACAGCAGTAACCTCTGCAGACTTAAGTGTCCCTGTCTGACAGCTTTGAAGAGAGCAGTGGTTCTCCCAGCACGCAGCTGGAGATCTGAGAACGGGCAGACTGCCTCCTCAAGTGGGTCCCTGACCCCTGACCCCCGAGCAGCCTAACTGGGAGGCACCCCCCAGCAGGGGCACACTGACACCTCACACGGCAGGGTATTCCAACAGACCTGCAGCTGAGGGTCCTGTCTGTTAGAAGGAAAACTAACAACCAGAAAGGACATCTACACCGAAAACCCATCTGTACATCACCATCATCAAAGACCAAAAGTAGATAAAACCACAAAGATGGGGAAAAAACAGAACAGAAAAACTGGAAACTCTAAAACGCAGAGCGCCTCTCCTCCTCCAAAGGAACGCAGTTCCTCACCAGCAACAGAACAAAGCTGGATGGAGAATGATTTTGACGAGCTGAGAGAAGAAGGCTTCAGACGATCAAATTACTCTGAGCTACGGGAGGACATTCAAACCAAAGGCAAAGAAGTTGAAAACTTTGAAAAAAATTTAGAAGAATGTATAACTAGAATAACCAATACAGAGAAGTGCTTAAAGGAGCTGATGGAGCTGAAAACCAAGGCTCCAGAACTACGTGAAGAATGCAGAAGCCTCAGGAGCCGATGCGATCAACTGGAAGAAAGGGTATCAGCAATGGAAGATGAAATGAATGAAATGAAGCAAGAAGGGAAGTTTAGAGAAAAAAGAATAAAAAGAAATGAGCAAAGCCTCCAAGAAATATGGGACTATGTGAAAAGACCAAATCTACGTCTGATTGGTGTACCTGAAAGTGATGTGGAGAATGGAACCAAGTTGGAAAACACTCTGCAGGATATTATCCAGGAGAACTTCCCCAATCTAGCAAGGCAGGCCAACATTCAGATTCAGGAAATACAGAGAACGCCACAAAGATACTCCTCGAGAAGAGCAACTCCAAGACACATAATTGTCAGATTCACCAAAGTTGAAATGAAGGAAAAAATGTTAAGGGCAGCCAGAGAGAAAGGTCGGGTTACCCTCAAAGGAAAGCCCATCAGACTAACAGCGGATCTCTCGGCAGAAACCCTACAAGCCAGAAGAGAGTGGGGGCCAATATTCAACATTCTTAAAGAAAAGAATTTTCAACCCAGAATTTCATATCCAGCCAAACTAAGCTTCATAAGTGAAGGAGAAATAAAATACTTTATAGACAAGCAAATGCTGAGAGATTTTGTCACCACCAGGCCTGCCCTAAAAGAGCTCCTGAAGGAAGCGCTAAACATGGAAAGGAACAACCGGTACCAGCCGCTGCAAAATCATGCCAAAATGTAAAGACCATCGAGACTAGGAAGAAACTGCATCAACTAATGAGCAAAATCACCAGCTAACATCATAATGACAGGATCAAATTCACACATAACAATATTAACTTTAAATATAAATGGACTAAATTCTGCAATTAAAAGACACAGACTGGCAAGTTGGATAAAGAGTCAAGACCCATCAGTGTGCTGTATTCAGGAAACCCTTCTCACGTGCAGGGACACATATAGGCTCAAAATAAAAGGATGGAGGAAGATCTACCAAGCAAATGGAAAACAAAAAAAGGCAGGGTTTGCAATCCTAGTCTCTGATAAAACAGACTTTAAACCAACAAAGATCAAAAGAGACAAAGAAGGCCATTACATAATGGTAAAGGGATCAATTCAACAAGAGGAGCTAACTATCCTAAATATTTATGCACCCAATACAGGAGCACCCAGATTCATAAAGCAAGTCCTGAGTGACCTACAAAGAGACTTAGACTCCCACACATTAATAATGGGAGACTTTAACACCCCACTGTCAACATTAGACAGATCAACGAGACAGAAAGTCAACAAGGATACCCAGGAATTGAACTCAGCTCTGCACCAAGCAGACCTAATAGACATCTACAGAACTCTCCACCCCAAATCAACAGAATATACATTTTTTTCAGCACCACACCACACCTATTCCAAAATTGACCACATAGTTGGAAGTAAAGCTCTCCTCAGCAAATGTAAAAGAACAGAAATTATAACAAACTATCTCTCAGACCACAGTGCAATCAAACTAGAACTCAGGATTAAGAATCTCACTCAAAGCCGCTCAACTACATGGAAACTGAACAACCTGCTCCTGAATGACTACTGGGTACATAACGAAATGAAGGCAGAAATAAAGATGTTCTTTGAAACCAACGAGAACAAAGACACCACATACCAGAATCTCTGGGACGCATTCAAAGCAGTGTGTAGAGGGAAATTTATAGCACTAAATGCCTACAAGAGAAAGCAGGAAAGATCAAAAATTGACACCCTAACATCACAATTAAAAGAACTAGAAAAGCAAGAGCAAACACATTCAAAAGCTAGCAGAAGGCAAGAAATAACTAAAATCAGAGCAGAACTGAAGGAAATAGAGACACAAAAAACCCTTCAAAAAATCAATGAATCCAGGAGCTGGTTTTTTGAAAGGATCAACAAAATTGATAGACCGCTAGCAAGACTAATAAAGAAAAAAAGAGAGAAGAATCAAATAGACACAATAAAAAATGATAAAGGGGATATCACCACCGATCCCACAGAAATACAAACTACCATCAGATAATACTACAAACACCTCTACGCAAATAAACTAGAAAATCTAGAAGAAATGGATACATTCCTCGACACATACACTCTCCCAAGACTAAACCAGGAAGAAGTTGAATCTCTGAATAGACCAATAACAGGCTCTGAAATTGTGGCAATAATCAATAGTTTACCAACCAAAAAGAGTCCAGGACCAGATGGATTCACAGCCGAATTCTACCAGAGGTACAAGGAGGAACTGGTACCATTCCTTCTGAAACTATTCCAATCAATAGAAAAAGAGGGAATCCTCCCTAACTCATTTTATGAGGCCAGCATCATTCTGATACCAAAGCCAGGCAGAGACACAACCAAAAAGGAGAATTTTAGACCGATATCCTTGATGAACATTGATGCAAAAATCCTCAATAAAATACTGGCAAACCAAATCCAGCAGCACATCAAAAAGCTTATCCACCATGATCAAGTGGGCTTCATCCCTGGGATGCAAGGCTGGTTCAATATACGCAAATCAATAAATGTAATCCAGCATATAAACAGAGCCAAAGACAAAAACCACATGATTATCTCAATAGATGCAGAAAAAGCCTTTGACAAAATTCAACAACCCTTCATGCTAAAAACTCTCAATAAATTAGGTATTGATGGGACGTATTTCAAAATAATAAGAGCTATCTATGACAAACCCACAGCCAATATCATACTGAATGGGCAAAAACTGGAAGCATTCCCTTTGAAAACTGGCACAAGACAGGGATGCCCTCTCTCACCGCTCCTATTCAACATAGTGTTGGAAGTTCTGGCCAGGGCAATCAGGCAGGAGAAGGAAATAAAGGGTATTCAATTAGGAAAAGAGGAAGTCAAATTGTCCCTGTTTGCAGACGACATGATTGTTTATCTAGAAAACCCCATCGTCTCAGCCCAAAATCTCCTTAAGCTGATAAGCAACTTCAGCAAAGTCTCAGGATACAAAATCAATGTACAAAAATCACAAGCATTCTTATACACCAACAACAGACAAACAGAGAGCCAAATCATGAGTGCAATCCCATTCACAATTGCTTCAAAGAGAATAAAATACCTAGGAATCCAACTTACAAGGGATGTGAAGGACCTCTTCAAGGAGAACTACAAACCACTGCTCAAGGAAATAAAAGAGGACACAAACAAATGGAAAAACATTCCATGCTCATGGGTAGGAAGAATCAATATCGTGAAAATGGCCATACTGCCCAAGGTAATTTATAGATTCAATGCCATCCCCATCAAGCTACCAATGACTTTCTTCACAGAATTGGAAAAAACTACTTTAAAGTTCATATGGAACCAAAAAAGAGCCCGCATCGCCAAGTCAATCCTAAGCCAAAAGAACAAAGCTGGAGGCATCACACTACCTGACTTCAAACTATACTACAAGGCTACAGTAACCAAAACAGCCTGGTACTGGTACCAAAACAGAGATATAGATCAATGGAACAGAACAGAGCCCTCAGAAATAATGCCGCATATCTACAACTATCTGATCTTTGACAAACCTGAGAAAAACAAGCAATGGGGAAAGGATTCCCTATTTAATAAATGGTGCTGGGAAAACTGGCTAGCCATATGTAGAAAGCTGAAACTGGATCCCTTCCTTACACCTTATACAAAAATCAATTCAAGATGGATTAAAGATTTAAATGTTAGACCTAAAACCATAAAAACCCTAGAAGAAAACCTAGGCATTACCATTCAGGACATAGGCGTGGGCAAGGACTTCATGTCCAAAACACCAAAAGCAATGGCAACAAAAGCCAAAATTGACAAATGGGATCTAATTCAACTAAAGAGCTTCTGCACAGCAAAAGAAACTACCATCAGAGTGAACAGGCAACCTACAACATGGGAGAAAATTTTCGCAACCTACTCATCTGACAAAGGGCTAATATCCAGAATCTACAATGAACTCAAACAAATTTACAAGAAAAAAACAAACCCCATCAAAAAGTGGGCGAAGGACATGAACAGACACTTCTCAAAAGAAGACATTTATGCAGCCAAAAAACACATGAAGAAATGCTCATCATCACTGGCCATCAGAGAAATGCAAATCAAAACCACTATGAGATATCATCTCACACCAGTTAGAATGGCAATCATTAAAAAGTCAGGAAACAACAGGTGCTGGAGAGGATGTGGAGAAATAGGAACACTTTTACACTGTTGGTGGGACTGTAAACTAGTTCAACCATTGTGGAAGTCAGTGTGGCGATTCCTCAGGGATCTAGAACTAGAAATACCATTTGACCCAGCCATCCTATTACTGGGTATATACCCAAAGGACTATAAATCATGCTGCTATAAAGACACATGCACACGTATGTTTATTGCGGCACTATTCACAATAGCAAAGACTTGGAACCAACCCAAATGTCCAACAATGATAGACTGGATTAAGAAAATGTGGCACATATACGCCATGGAATACTATGCAGCCATAAAAAATGATGAGTTCATGTCCTTTGTAGGGACATGGATGAAATTGGAAACCATCATTCTCAGTAAACTATCGCAAGAACAAAAAACCAAACACCGCATATTCTCACTCATAGGTGGGAATTGAACAATGAGATCACATGGACACAGGAAGGGGAATATCACACTCTGGGGACTGTGGTGGGGTCGGGGGAGGGGGGAGGGATAGCATTGGGAGATATACCTAATGCTAAATGACACGTTAGTGGGTGCAGCGCACCAGCATGGCACATGTATACATATGTAACTAACCTGCACAATGTGCACATGTACCCTAAAACTTAGAGTATAATAAAAAAAAAAAATTAAAAAAAAAAAAAAAAAGAAAATTAAAAAGTAAAAAAAAAAAAAAAAAAAAAAAACTGTAGATCCAGAAATATTTAAGAAAGATAAATAAATTAGAAAAATAGCACAAACAGAAAAGACAAAAATAAGTCATAATATATAATCTTAATAATAAATATAAATGAATCAATGCTCTAGTTACAAAAAAAATTTGCTAAAAAAAAAAAAAAAAAAAAGAAAATCACGTCAACCTTGTCCTTTGGGTTGTAATTATGTCTACCTTGTTTTGGATGGTTAAGGTATGCCATCTGTCTCCTCTTATTTTCCTATCATCCTTTCATCCCCATTGCTATTAGGGAACCCTGTTCTGTAAGACTAGTTCTACTATTAACCCAAGTGTTCCAAGTACAGCCACTATTGGGCTCCTTCTCACCAACACATTTATTTTTGCTTTGAGAAATTAGAGTGTCTTCCTTGCCATCCCATGGAGCATAGGTAGCTGGTGGGTGTTCCAGTTTTTCATAGCATATCATCTCTAGAAGATCCAATTATCTCAGTTTTTTTTCCCTTTCTTCCGGCATCTGCCAGGAAGTCTAGCATTCCTACTTACTATGGGCCATAGCTTTCTCCAAGCTTTGAACAGCCAATCTAGAATTTGTTACCATCTCCTGGTTTCTTTTCAGGTAGTTAAATCTTATATCATGGGAATGTTCTCTCGTATCAATAAATTTTCCCTTATCCAACTTTATATTCTATTCCTCTCAGCCTCTCAGCACCCAGCCCCATACATATACTCCTGGCTAATATACATTGGCCAAGTCTTACAGAACCATTCAAGGTAGAGTCTGTTTCTTCTTATGGCATGTCCAGCACTTGCCTTACTGGCTTATACTGTGGCTTAACCTTTGTTATTTATCTGACAGCTAGAAAGGATGTGGAAGTAGATACAAATAGATGGTAGGAAGGACATATGTTGTCTTACGAGGCATAGGCACTTGCATCGTCTTCAAACAATGCAGAAATGCTAGCTCTTAACACGAAGAGGGGGGCCACTTCTGCAGACCCAGGACATTCAGAGAAAACTAGGGATTCAAGACTGTCAAATGAATAAACCCAGATGTCTCCCATCTCAAATCTCAGGGTGCCATACTTATCCAACCTGCTAATTTTAGCATAGCTGATTTTATGAGGTTGAAAATTTAGACATTTTATATGCCTAGCAGCCTTATAATTAAGTTCTGGACCTGATTCTCAGCTTTTTCTGCCCTTCAATTCAATAGGTGTGATTTTCTGTGTTTCCAAGGAGGCTATACACACTTCAATCTCCAGCCAAAATGGGTAATGAATTGCCCTAAGTGTTTCATGTCTTTCTTTAAGACATAATAGCACTCAGCGTGAGCCACTCTATTCCATAGTCTAGTAATTACTAATTGTCCCAAACTTCTCAAATACCTGATATAGCCCCAACCACTGCATTCTCTTTAACTGCCTCCCATCCCAATTCAATGGAAGTGTTACTATTCAGTGCTACTGCATGGCAATCACAGTGGAGGCCTCAGCCCATCCTGTGGAAAGCTGTGAAGTTGGTTTGGCGTGGAGAGATATCTTAATTTAAAGAAAGACAGCCAGGTCTTTGAATCCCTTCTATCATTGAGCCATTCCATGAGAACTTCCTCTTAGAAGTGCACTTAATCTCCGTGAGCCTTAATATTTGGTTGAAAGCAATCCTGAGTACAAGGGACTCAGTGTGAGCCATCAGTAAGCAACACTTTGGCAGCCAGGAGAGAAAATGCCTTGGAATCCGGGTATTCACTACACAAGATTAGCAGTAAATAGGCATGGGACTAAAATCCACAATGAAGCAAAATTAATTTAGCACTGCAATGAAATAAGTAAATCTGCATTCAATAGAAAAAAAGTTATAAAACCCATTTGGAACAATGGCAATATTAATACTAACCAGAAAAAATTTATATAATAGATTTATGGATTTCTGTAAGGTCATACAAGATATTGAAACAGACTATATTAGACTTTAAAGGATAGCCTGTTGAGAGAAATCTTATGTGGTCATAAAAAGAAATTCAACAATTTCTCAGAAGAAATGAAGGGGTAAAGAAGTCTTTTTAAAAATCTTTATTTTATAATTAAACTCTATCAATTTATCTCAGTTCTACTCTGGAATAGATTTTTCACAAAGGGTGAATTAATCCTCTGCCCAAAGGGCCATTAATTTTTTATGGTGGCAATCAAAGGAAAATATTACAAAAGAAAATTACTTACGTCAAAATGCAAAGAAATTGAAAACCTGTGCCATATGTACAAGTATATAACAGGCAATGATACCATGCATGCCATAGATGTGCATAGATTTCCGGTTCTTTGAAAGCAGGGACTCCACCTTATTCATCTTTATATACCAAATGTCTGCCACAATGCTTTGCAAGCAAAAAAGTTTTACAAATATTTTATGAGTGAGAGAGTCAATTAATTCAAAAATAGATTAATATAAATTCTATGGCTACACTCAAATTTCATTTCATTTGTCTAGTAAGTAATTTGTCTAATGTTTACTGAGACATGTTTTAAATAAAGATTTGAACATTAAAATTATCCTTATAGACTTTTGTCATGGGAATTATATAGTTTACTAAAGACAATGGAGAGTTCTCTTTCTAAAAAGTGATATATTTAATATCCTGTGTTATTCAATAAATACTATTAAAACCAGCATATGCTGATTGATGATGGATTATATGGCAGGATGCTGACAGGTGCTGGGAAGGAAGAAAAATCATCCAAAATTTCTTCCTACAAGAAACATAGAGTTTGTAGTGATGGTAGCATTCATGTGAAAATTAACTATGATCAGACGAGATAATGTAAGAATTAAGTAGAAGAATTAAGATTGCTAATTAATTAAAATTGAGATTGATCATTCTCTACTGAGCTATCATTTATCCATCCTCAAGCAATGGAACCCAAATTTTAGCTGGATATATAACTCCAGAATAACTGTTTCTCAGCCTCCTTTGCAGCTGCGGTAGCCATGCGACCAACCTCTGGTAGAGTGTAAGCAAGCATTCTGCAAGAATTCCAAGAAAGTCTCTTTAAAGGAGGTGACTTCTTCCCTACTGCTTAATCCTTAGAATGGGACCATTATAATCAGATTTCCAAAAACCATCTTGGACCAGGAGGTAATTTTGAGCAAGAAAGCCACGTGCTGAGAATAGTAAATGGCAAACCATCTGAGTCCCTGGGGATAATGGAGCAAACTTACTATCAGAGGAAAGAAAGAAACCTCTATCTTACTTAAGCCACTTTATCCTATTTATATTTGTTTTTATACCTTACTAAATAAAGGCAAACCTAAGTCCAGTTGATACTATAAGCATGAAAAAGCAGTCATTTAATTTTATAGGAGGACTGAAAGTTTGAGGGAGGAGGTGTCTTTTGAGTTAGAACTAAGATGAGGAAATTCTGAACCTCAACTTTTATCATTAGTCTGAAAAAAAGACATGGTAAAATATTTTGCATGCTATATTTGTGTAGAATCAATTCCACAAAAGAGTCAATAATGACAGCTCTATTTTTTAAGGTTCAGTTGTTCCAGTCTTCCTATTCTGCTTTGATTATATTTAAATTTTTTCTTTGAATCCCGTAAGTGAATGCCGTAATTTATTTCCCTGAGAAAAGACAATTGTAGTTTATAAACACACTTTTAAAATATACATAGGTGCCAATTATGCTTTCAAAACAACTAATCTTGAAAGCAGAATTCTATATGTATATATTTTCATGTATATGTGAAAATGACTTATTTGATATCATTAAATACAGAGTGCATTATTTTGTTCTCAGACTGAGTGTATAATAAGGTGTGGAATAGGGCATTCTGAGGATACCAATGCAAAATCAGTCGAAAAGTATACGAAAACCCTTTTCACTCTGTTGACACTTCATTATTTGTAGACTGCAGTAATATCTGCAAAGTAGGTTATTGTCTTCCTTGACATACATTTCTAAATAGATGGATATATAGCTTAGCATACATTCCTGGAAAGAGTGCATGTGGGGTTTGGAGGGAGGTGGAAGAAGTATATTGAGGAACTTTTGCAAATCACATAATATTGTAACTAAACTAAATAGTTATTAAAAGAAATTTTTTGGCAAAGCAAAGAATATGTCTATAATTTTTTGAAATTGCTTGTCAAAACCCATTTGACAAACTGTGAAGAGCCTGAGATTTATCCTACTTGCAAGCTAGCAGGTTAGTCAGCCACAGTTTCACTGATGCTGGCAGAAGACCCTAGACTCCTAGGTCAGAGACAGAGGGTTTTATTATTCATGGCCTGCAAGCAGCAGGAGCTTGATGCTCATGTACCTTCCGCTAGCCCCCAAATCCCATGAAGGCAATGTAGAAAGGCACATGTGGATACTACACATACAGTGGGCTGTTGGCACAGAACACAAATTATCTTAAATAGGCTGCAAGCAAACTCTCCTGACATTTGTCAAAAAGGACTACATTATCTTTATTATAATGGACAATAAACAAATCTGCTCTTTGCTACAGAAGGAGAGATTATCTCTACCTTCTAAGACTTTTGCTATACAAACATCCTTGAGAAGATAGGAAGTGCTTCTGATCACAATTTCAAGATGTGAAGTGCATCCTTGAGAAGACTGGACATGCAGAAACATGAGAAACCCATGAAGAAATGTCCTTCAATAATATATTTCTCCCTCTGGACCAGTGCTAAAAGAACTTTCTGTGGGGCCGGGCGTGGTGGCTCACGCCTGTAATCCCAGCACTTTGGGAGGCCGAGGTGGGTGAATCACGAGGTCAGGAGATCGAGACCATCCTGGCTAACACGGTGAAACCCTGTCTCTACTAAAAGCACAAGAAGAAATTAGCCGGGCGTGGTGGCGGGCCCCTGTAGTCCCAACTACTCGGGAGGCTGAGGCAGGAGAATGGCGTGAACCTGGGAGGCGGAGCTTGCAGTGAGCCCAGATTGCGCCACTGCACTCCAGCCTGGGTGACAGAGTGAGACTCTGTCTCAAAAAAAAAAAAGAAAGAAAGAAAGAAAGAAAGAAAGAAAGAAAGAAAGAAAGAAAGAAAGAAAGAAAGAAAGAAAGAAAGAAAGAACTTTCTGTGATGACAGAAATGTTCCATGTCTACACTATCTAGTTGGTATCCACCAGCCACTTGTGGCTACTGAGGAGTTGAAGTGTGGCTACTGCAATAGTAAACTGAATTTAGTTTTAATAATATAAATTTAAATGTAAATAGGCACAAGTGGGTAATGCCTACGGTAATGGGCAGCACATATCTAAACAATATACTTCTTGATAGTGATGTCTTCACCCAGACATTCTCCACAGAGTTTCTTACAGTCATAGACACACTGAAAGAATTTTAAATGAATTTGTAGATTAAAAAGGTAGTCAAAATTACACCCTAATTGAAAGGTTATCTAAATAGTTTTAAGGGCATAGCCGTACCTCCTGGTTCTAAGACATAAAAAATAATAAAGTCAGCAATGTAAGCTTCTCAAAGGCCAATAAACATTCCTTATGCATTAAACACACGCATTCAGCAAACATTCATTGAGTCGCTAAGAGATAAAATCAAGAATGATGGTGTTTTTGTTTCCTCTTGCTAAAACTTAGAAAATTAACAAATTTAGCACATTTAGTAAATTAACAAAATTTAGTGGACTAAAATTACAGTTCTGGAGGGAGCAGTTCAAAATCAGCTTTGGGGAGCTAACAATCCAGATGCTGGCAGGGCTGTGTCTCCTCTGAAGGCCCTAAGGGTGAATCTGTTTCTTGTACTTTTCCAGCTTTCAGAGACCAACTGCACTCTTCAGTTCATGGCCCCACATCATTTCGACCTCTGCTTCCATCATCACAACTCCTCTCTTTTTTGCTTTTTTTTTTCCACATCACCTTGTCTTCCTCTGACTTTCTCGCCTCCTTCTCATAAGGGCCTTTGTGTTTACCTTGAGTCCACTCAGGTAATTCAGGATATTCCCGCATTTCAAGGTCCATAACCTTAACCACATCTGCAAAGTCTCCTCTGCCATGTATGGTAATATATCACATATTCCAGGGATAAGGACATGGACGTTTTTTGGGGTGTCATTATTCAGCATACCACAGATGCCTAGGGTTTTGTTGAAGAGCAATTCTAAGAATTTCAGAAGAGAAACAGATAAAAAGACATGGTTTCTATCCTTCTGTAGGTTACACTTTAGTAGGGAGAGACAGATTATAAGGAAATTAAAAGCTACATACAAAATATAAATTCAGGTTTGATAAGTGCAATGAAGAAAATAAGTAGAGAGAGGTGATGATTGCTTGGGAAGGCAGCAACTTTAGATAAAGTGGTTAGGAATGACTTTTCTGAGAAAATGACATTTGAGGTAAATTATGAAGGGTGAGGAAAGGCTCAAGGAGAAATCAGAGAAGCGCATTCCCCACTGGAGCAGCACAGTGAAAGCCAAGTCTCCGGGAGAGGAATGAGGCCGACAAGAAGGAGGAACTGAAAGGAGGCCAGGAGATCTGCATATGAAACAAGGTAAGGAGTGAGAGAGTATAGATTAAGATGAGGTCAGAGAGAGAAGCAAAAGGTGGATCATAATGGGAATTTAAGCCATGAGAAGAAAGTCCATTTTATGCTGAAGACAAAGGGAAATCACTGAATATTTTCAAGTAAGGGAGGATCACGGTCTGAAATGAAATTTACTTTTTATTTATTCATTTATTTTTGAGACATAGTCTTTCTCTGTCACCCAGGCTGTATTGCAATGCCATGATCATGGCTCACTACAACCCTCTGCCTCCCGGGTTCAAGAGATTCTCCTGCCTCAGCCTCCCGTGTAGCTGGGATTACAGGCGTGCACCACCACCACACCCACCTAATTTTTGTATTTTTAGTAGAGATGGGGTTTTGCCATGTTGGCCAGGCTTGTCTCGAATACCTGACCTCAAGTGATCTGCCCGCCTCAGCCTCCCGAAGGGCTGAAATTACAGATATAAGCCATCACACCTAGACTTACGTTGTTTAAATATTACATTAGCTGCTGTGCTGGGAATGCATTAGACAGGAGGAGCAAAGGGAACAAGAATAGCAGCAGGCTGACCAGTTCTGAAGGCAAAAGATGGTGGAGACAAAGGCCAGCATGACTCTGGTGGAGATGGCAAGATGTGTGTGATGTGTCTATTTTGAAGATGGAAGTGATGGGACTTAGTGATGGATTGGGTTTGGAGCATTAACTAAGAGAAATAAATCAAGAATGATGCTTAGTTGTTTGCCTTGATAAAATATTGTAGATCATAATGACTTTCACTTAAGTGAGGAAAAGAACAGAAAAGAACAGTGATCTTGGAGGAGATGATGGGAATTTGAGGTATTAAGTGGGAATTCCTGTAACATTTTAAATTACAATTATTAGATGGGAAGTTGGATGTATAAGACAGATTAGAGGCTAAATTTGGACAGGATATATATATATATATATATATATATATACACATATATGACATATGTAATATGATATGCAAAGTCATAGAAATAAATGAAGACACTATATAAGGAAAATAATAGGGAATGGATCCCTGTTGCAAGAAGATCCAACATGATTAAATAGGATAGAATAGGTGGAAAACAAGATGAACATGAGAAAGGGCCACTGATTAAGAAAACAGAAATATAAGAGTGTTGGTCAAAGGGTACAATGTTTCATTTAGAAAAGAGGATTAAGTGTTAGTGATTTATTGCACAGCATAGTGACCATAGTTAATAATAATGTACCATATATTTCAAAATTGCTAAAAGAGCAGATTTTAAATGTTCCCAACCAAAAAAATGATAAGTACATGAGGTGCTAGATATGTGAATTCACTTGATTTAATCATTGAACAATGTGTGTAGATACATCAAAACATTATATTCTCCATAAATATATAAAATTTTTATTTGTCAATTAAAAACAAAAATATGCCATGTTTAATAGAAGTGGTGAGAGAGGGCATCCTTGTCTTGTGCCAGTTTTCAAGGGAAATGCTTCCAGCTTTTGCTTAGTCAGTATGATGTTGGGCGTGGGTTTTGTCATAGATGGCTCTTACTATTTTGTGGTATGTTCCTTTAACACCTAGTATATTGAGAGTTTTTAACATGAAGGTGTGTTGAATTTTATCAGAAGCCTTATCTGTATCTGTTGAGGTAATCATGTGTTTTTTTTCTTTAGTTCTATTTATGTGATGAATTATATTTATTAATTTTTGTATGTTGAACCAAACTTGCATCTCAGGGATAAAGCCTAATTGATCATGTTGAATAAGCTTTTGGATGTGCTGATGGACTTGGTTTGCAAGTATTTTGTTGAGGATCTTTGCATCAATGTATGCCAAGGATATCAGCCTGAAGTTTTATTTTCTTGTGTTTCTTCCAGGTTTTGGCATCAGGATGATGCTGGCCTCATAGAATGAGTTAGGGAGGAGTCCCTCCTCCTCAATTTTTTGGAATAGTTTCAGCAGGGATAGTAGCAGCTCTTCTTGGTACAACTGGTAGAATTCAGCTGTGCATCTACCTGGTTCCTGGCTTTTTTGGATAGTAAGATTTTTATTATTGACTCAATTTCAGAGCTTCTTATTAGTCTGTGCAGGGATTCAGTTTCTTCCTGGTGCAGTTTTGGGAAGGTATATGTGTCCAGGAACTTACAGAGAAAGAAATAAAAGTATCCAACTAGAAACTGTCCCTGTTTGCAGACGACATGATCCTACATCTAGACAACTCCGTAGTCTCAGCCCAAAAGCTCCTTAAGCTGATAAACAACATCAATGAAGTCTCAGGATACAAAATCGATGGCAAAAATCACGAACATTCCTATACACCAGTAAGAGTCAAACCAAGAACCAAAGCAGGAATGTGATTTCATTCACAATTGCCACACACACACAAATAAAATACCGAGGAATACAGCTAACCAGGTAGGTGACAAATCTCTACAAGGATAACTATAAAACACTGCTCAAAGAAATCAGATATGACACAAACAAATGGAAAAACATCTTGTGCTCATGGATAGGAAAAATCAGTATCATTGAAATGGCCGTACTACCCAAAGCAACTTATAGATTCAATGCTATTTCTATTAAACTAGTGCTGACGTTCTTCACAGAACTAGAAAAATTTTAAAATTCAAATAGGGCCAAACACAGTGGCTCACTCCTGTAATACCAGCACTTTGAGAGGCTGAAGTGGGCGGATTGCTTGAGTCCATGAGTTTGAGACCAGCCTGGCTAATATGGTGAAACCCTGTCTTTACTAAAAATACAAAAATTAGCCTGGCATGATGGCATGAGCCTGTAGGCCCAGCTACTGGAGAGGCTGAGGCACAAGAACCACTTGAACCCAGGAGGCAGTCACAATGAGCTGAGATCATGTCACTGAACTCTTGAGACTCTGTCTCAATAAATAAATAAATAAAATTCTATGGAATCAAGAAAGAACCCAAATAGACAAGGAAATTCTAAACAAAAAGGACAAAGCTGGGGAATTCATGTTACCCAACTTCAAACTATGCTACAAGGCTATAATAACAAAAATAGCATGTTACTGTTACAAAAACAGACACATAGACGAATGGAACAGAATAGAGAGCCCAGAAATAATGCCACGTACCTACAACCATCTAATCTTCAACAAAATCGACAAAAGCAAACAATGGGGAAAAGACTCCCTATATTCAATAAATGATGCTGGAATAACTGGCTAGCCATATGCAGAAGATTGAAACTGGACCCCTTCTGTACACCGTATACAAAAACCAACTCAAGATGGATGAAAGATTTAAATATAAAAGCTAAAATTACAAAAACCCTGGAAGATAACCTAGGAAATACCATTCTGAACTTAGAACCTGGCAAAGATTTCATGACAAAGACACCAAAAGCTATGGCAAGTAAAACAAAAATTAACAATTGGGACCTAGTTAAACTAAAGAATTTCTTCACAGCAAAAGAAATTATCAATAAACAAACAACCTAAAGAATGCAAGAAAATCTTTGCAAACTATGCACCTGACAAAGGTCTAATATCCAGAATGCATAAGGAACTTAAATTAGCAAGCAAAAACAAACCACCCCATTAAAAAGTGGGCAAAGGACATGAACAGACACTTTTCAAAAGAAGACATACAAGTAGCCCACAAACATATGAAAATATGCTCAACATCACTAATCATTAGAGAAATGCAAAACCATGCCACATGAGATATTAAAAACTGCACTCACACTGGTCAGAATAATTATTATTAAAAAGTAAAAAAATAACAGATGTTGGTGAGGTTGTAGAGAAAAGGGAACACTTACACACTGCTAGGGGGAATGTAAATTAGTTCAGCCATATGGAAAGCAGTGCAGCAATTCCTCAAAGAACTTAACACAGAATTACCATTCAAACCAGCAATCCAATTATTGGGTATGTACCCAAAGGAATATAAATCATTCTACCATAAAGACACATGCACTTGTATGTTCATCACAGCACTACTGACAATAGCAAAGACATAGAATCAACCTAAATGCCCATCAGTGGTAGACTGGATAAAGCAAATGCAGTACATATACACCATAGAATACTACACAACCATAAAAAAGAATGAGATCATGTCCCTTGTAGCAACATGGATGGAACTGGAGGCCAATATCCTAAGCAAACTAATGTAGAAATAAACAACTAAATATCACATCTTCTCACTTATAAGTAAAAGCTAAACATTGAGAAGACATGCACACAAAGGAAAAAACAACAGACACTGGGGTCTGCTTGCAGATGGAGATGGGAGGAGAGAGAATCAAAAAACGACCTGACAGGCCAGGCTCAGTGGCTCATGCCTGTAATCCCAGCACTTTGGGAGGTCAAGGCAGATGGATCACCCAAGGTCATGAGTTCGAGACCAGCCTGGCCAACATGAAGAAACCCCGTCTCTACTAAAAAAATTCAAAAATTAGTCAGACAGGTGCATCCCTGTTGTCGCAGCTACCTGGGAGGCTGAGGCAGGAGAATCGCTTGAACCCGGGAGGCAAAGGTTGCAGAGCCAAGATCGTGCCACTGCACTCCAGCCTGGGCAACAGAGCAAGACTGACACACAGTTTACCTACATAACAAGCCTGCATATGTACTCCTGAACCTAAAATAAATGATTAAAAAACTATAAATAATCACACTCTATCAATAATATTGTGGCATGATAATGGTATCCAAATGATGAAAATAGAAGTTTCTCATAAATGCTGTTGTATGTCCTATCTATGTGAAATATATCACACTTAGTAATATATGCGTGTGTATATATATACATAAATATATGTGTACATATATATGTAAACTAAATAAAGAAAATAAATTCAAGATAGCTTTGGTGCCATGGAATCAGAGAAAATAGTATTTAAAGAGCTGTGTCAAGGGCTTCTGAGAAGTCAGGTACCACAACGGCAGAGAAATGCCCAGTAGATTCAGCAGCATGACGTTTTTTTGATGACCTGGGCAGGGGTGGTTTTACTGGCAGCCAAAGCCAAATTAAGAGTCGATTGAAGAGGGAATCATAGATGAATAGATGAGAAGTGAAGAATGGTGAGGCTGATAACTCCCTCCTGCAGGTCTGTGCTGACACAGAGCAGTGAAACAGGGCTAGACGAGGATATGAGGTCAAATAATTTGTTTTTAATGGGAAGAGGTAGAGCATATTTTTATATTATTGAGAAAGATCTGGAAGAGACTGTGATGCTGGCTCACCAAGCAGAGGTCAGTCTTTGGAAAGGCACAGAGGACAAGTGGAGAAATTTATATTCCAAGGATCAGAGGCAATTCTCCTATAAAATAGGAAGGCAAATATAAAATCAGTGCATAGGGCAAATTATATTTGTAGTTTTAGCACAAAGAGGAAAGAGTTCTACTCTAATGAAACTTCTATTTTCTCAATAAAATACATTCCCTGTATCTTTCTCAGTGAAGTGTCTTATTTTCCCAGTGAAAAAATGGAGGGCATGAGCTGAATGTTTGGGTGAGGGGGAGACAGGCCAGGTGGAGGGACTGAGAAAAGAAAGGGAAAGTCAACCTAAGAGCAGGAACAATTCTTTTACGAGGTTATGATTTTGTTTGTTTTTACAGAAGGAAAGAAACTGTGCAATTCTAAGAAGGTTGTTACTAGAGGGATACTAGATAGAATATGGAAAATATATCCAAAGTGGGCAGTAGCAAGGAAAAGAGTGGGATAAGGGTTGTGGATACAAAGCCTTACTACAGTATGCTAGGTGCCAAAGGTATATTATTTTAGTACTCACAAATTATGAGGAAGGTGCAATTTTTTCCATTTTACAGTTGAGGAGACCAAAGCTCAGAGATGTGAAGCAGTTTTCTTTAAGGCTAACCACAACAATTAAATAGCAGAATTTAGAATCAAGATCAAGTCTGACACAAAAGCTCATGTTCTCCCCTTAGCAGTGGGAAGCCATTAGAGATCTTAATTCAAGGAAATATGTGATCTGTTTCAGGAAGACAATTTGATAAAAGTAGATAAATTGGAAGAGAAGAGATTATTAGAGGTGGCAACAGGCTTTGAGAGTGCCGCAGTTGGCCAGATCCTTGATAAAGACCATAAGTGAGCCAACGGTGGAAGAGTAGAAACTAGATACATGTCAGTATGTTAGGTAAATATTGAGGTAATAGACCCAACATCTAACTGATCTGTCCCTCTCTGCTGTATTCATTCACTTCTATTCTGCTATGCATGGCTCAAAAAGGAGACATTAATTCCATTTCTCTCCCTCTTTCCTTATCACCATTCCTCCAACTTCAGAGTAAGGGACAAAGTGGTAGAGGCAGGGAGATGAAATTAGAGGACGTACAACGCTCTAAGGAAAGCTCAGTTGCATCGTCTCAAAAAGATTCAGGGATAAGTTAGCAGGAGTAGCATGAATAAATGCTCAGTATCAGGACAGAGCTTGCTAGTGCCCCCAGAACCCTGGCAAGGCCACTTTATTTCAAAACCAGCCTCCTTGTAGGCCGGGGTTGCTTAAAAATACACCTTCCCCTTTCACTTTTTTTTACTTTGCATATGAGGAACATGGAAAACTGAAAAGGGCAATATTTGAAGGCAAATGATCCAGTATTAATTTAAAAACAATTGCCTTCTGTGGACATGGCCTCAATGTTCACCAAATGTTAGTAATAAGCAGAAACATTCTCCTAACAGGTGCAGTTGCCGCAATGAATGTCGCAGCAGGCACACGCACACAGCGTTTTATCTACAGTTGGGTCATTGAAACTAAGTGCAGAATAATGTAAATATATGACTGCTCAGATGTATTTGGAGAAAGTCATTTGCCCAATGGTAACTGATGCTTATTGAGGACTGGGGAGCACAATGAAAGTGTTGCAAATCACCCCATATTTCTGTTGCCACCTGTATAAGCACTCAACAGGCAGAACAGAATAAAATGTGAATTTGTCTTTGGGGCAGTATATAATTCCACCTATTTTTTCCGTCTTGGGTATCCTTTCATTCCTTTTTCACACAACAGCTTTCTTTGATTTTTAAAAAATGTGCCATGTAGTATACATTTATTTCTCTTTGCTCCCCCTCATGTTGTGGGGGGAAAAAAATCCCTGAACAGATGTTGTGTTACGATTGCCAAACTAATTTTGCTTTTGATGTTCCGTGCTCAAAGCTACTTTTTGGAGAACACATTGGTTAAATGTACTCCTTGTTGTGTACTGTACATTTAATAGCAGGAAGACAGTTGGAAAAGGATTATAACGCAGTTCCTGAAAATGCGAGTGTCGAGTATTCAAAGATAAGCAGAAAGAAAAATCTGGCAGAGTCCACATGATGAGACACAAAGGTTGCAGTTACAAGTCTGTTAGCTATTAAAAACAATGTTACATTTTTATGAGGTATACATAGCAATGAAATGCTCAGGGCAGGGAAGAATTTAGCAACATCCCAAAGATGCAACTTGATAAACATTAGAAATTAGAATAAAATGAATGAAAATATTCAAAATTAACAACAAACAATTCTCAGGAAAACTGCTCCTAAAAGCAGTTGGCAGTGAATCTGCAAAGGTTAGGCTCTCATCTTCCGAAACAAAAACACATACGCATATTTTTTTTCTAGCCAATATCCTTTGTAGTGAAAAGTGGAAGATTACAATCAAGTTTTATTGAAACACAGTGTATCCTTAAAAGAAGTTGCTGCCAGCTTGGCCATTTTCAACTGGAGAAATACTGAAATGATGGACAGAGAGATGAGTGAGATACAGAGGTAGATGAACGTGCTTGAGGTTTTATGAGGAAATGCAATACACAGGAAACAAAAAAATACATAGAAATAAAAGATGATTATGGAATGTGGATCCATTGATTGCTTTTGAGAGAGAACACAATAAAAAATGGTGTTCATGGGCACTGTATTCGCTTACTAGGGCTGCCATAACAAAGTAGTATGACTGGGTGGATTAAACAACAGAAACTTAGTTTTTCACAATTCTGGAGGCCACAAGTCTGAGATGAATGCGTTGGCAGAGTTAGTTTCATTCTGAGGCTTCTCTCCTTGGCTCATGGGTGTCTGCCTCCTCCCTGTTTCCACACGGTGTTCCTCCTGTATCTGTATCTGTATCCTAGTCTCCGTTTCTTATAGGAACATCAGTCATATAGGATGAGGGCTGGTCAATGACCTCATTTAACCTTAATTACCTCTTTAAAGACCTAGTCTCAGCACAGTGTCTCACGCGTGTAATCCCAGCACTTTGGGAGGCTGAGATGGGTGCATCACAAGGTCAGGAGTTTGAGACCAGCCTGACCAACATGGTGAAACCCCATCTCTACTAAAAATACAAAAATTAGCCAGGCATGGTGGCGGGCACCTGTAATCCCAGCTACTCAGGAGGCTGAGGCAGGAGAATCACTAGAATCCAGGAGGCGGAGCTTGCAGTGAGCCAAGATTGCGCCATTGCACTCCAGCCTGGGGGACAGGGCGAGACTCAGTTACAAAAAAAAAACCTAGTCTCCAAATGCAGTCACATTATGGGGTACTGGGGATTATGACTTCAACATATGAATTTGAAAGTGAGAGGGATAATTCAGTTTAAAATATGCACCAATGATAGACTGGATTAAGAAAATGTGGCACATATATACCATGGAATACTATGTAGCCATAAAAAATGATGAGTTCATGTCCTTTGTAGGGACATGGATGAAGTTGGAAATCATCATTCTCAGTAAACTATCACAAGAACAAAAAACCAAACACTGCATATTCTCACTCATAGGTGGGAATTGAACAATGAGAACACATGGACAGGAAGGGGAACATCACACTCTGGGGACTGTTGTGGGGTGGGGGGAGGGGGGAGGGATAGCATTGGGAGATATACCTAATGCTAGATGACGCGTTAGTGGGTGCAGCGCACCAGCATGGCACATGTATACATATGTAACTAACCTGTACATTGTGCACATGTACCCTAAAACTTAAAGTATAATAATTTAAAAATATATATATATGCACCAAATACATGACCTAACATTGAACACCTGTTCAGCATCCAGAACTGAGCTACATGTCAGGGTTACACAGAAGTGGTCTCTGGTTCTTGTCCTCAAGGACAGGAGCTTGCAAACAAGTGTGACAGATAATGCATATAGATCTCTATACTAAAGCATTTAAAACACCCTTCATAGAGCACTAGAACATATATGTTTAAAAAAATACAAATGATTGTATAAGTTAATGAAATTGAGGAATATATGCAGAACCCGTGACATTTGAGCTGTGACTTGAAAAATAGACAGGAACTCAGTAGAGAGCAGTTCTAAAGGGTATGTCAGGGAGGAACCATGGCAGCCCAGCCAAGGCACAGACATGTTAGAGGGACTTAGTGAAGGCTTATAGCACGCCCAAGGAGCCATCAAAGCACCAACAAATGAATCAATACAAAAGTCATTAAAATGCTCTAAGAGATGTAGTAATATATTCTAGACAATTAAGGGAAAACTTAAATTATATGTAAAATCCAACTTTAAGGTTGGGTCTCCATGAATTTTTGACCAAACTGTTGCTCCAACTTTAGAATCCAAAAACAATTCTAAAGAGTACATTAGAAATTCCTGATCCTCCTGGTATTTGGAGCAGAGGTAGATTGCAAGTTAGAATGAAAATCAAGCTAACACATTTGCACAGGTATATGGACGTGATTTTATGTACATAAGGTATCTATCAGGGACTCACCATATTGAAATGTTCAGAAAAGTTAATGCTATTTTCATTCTCATTCATCTTAAGAGAAAACTCAAGATTGTACTATCTCAGATAACCAAAAAGATAATTCTTCTAGTAAAGATGGTGAATATAACCTCTTGTGTGACTGTGTAAACTTTGTAAACTCATCAACTGAGAACATAGTCATCTTTTGACAAGTGGATCTATTCCAACTCAGTTTATTTTTCTGATCAAGGTAAAAAACATAGTCCTTGGAATGTTATTCATGCAGCTTAAATGGAATTCAGGGAAGTCAAAAAGCACAGGGCTTCACATTGATAAGTGATTTCCATCTGATTCCTGAATTAATTATGCATATTAATTCCCACATTCTATCTCAACCTCTCAAACACCACAATATTTATTTGTAGCATACCCCATTTCAAAACACCCAGAGGAAGGAAAAGGGCCTTGTTATTCACTCCAGACAGGGAGCAACGTAATTATCTATCTATCCTGAGGCATGCAGCTCCCCAATTATGTGCCTATTCTTGTGCGAGTTCAATCTACAGATAGTAATAACTACAAAGGTCCTAAAACCAGGTCTCAATGAGTTGACATACAACAGGTTGAGAATAACTGAAACCACACTTCTCCAGGAAGATCTGAACACAAGAAACCATTAAGGATATATGGTAGATCTGACAGGAATGTCCAGGCTCTCTTCTTTAAAAAATAAAAATAAAAAAATTGTGAAGAAGGAAAGCATTTTGATGCTGAGTGTCTTCTGTTTTCCTGATCCCATGCTGTCTAGGTCGAATGCAACCCTCTTGCTTCAGAGCCATTATGCAACCCTCTTGCTTCAGAGCCATTTACTGCACTCTTGGAATTTGAAACTACACTTGCTCAAAGTGTAAATTTTTAACGATTGGATGTTTATAAACTGATATCTTCAGGATAATGTGTCCTTATTTAATAAATTCTAAAAATTAATATGTGTGATGCTGTGACACTGATGCTCTCTCTCACCCAGCCCACTGGATCTGGATTTCCTGGACCTGGCAAGGAAGGATACAAGAAGAATACAGAGAATTTGTAGTAATGAAGGTCCAAGGAAGGGGCTGCTGTAGACTATCTTTAAGACCTCCGGCATTTCCTTTGTGGCTTATTAAACATGTCACCAGAAGGATTACACCAGGACTTTAGTGTTTCATTGTTTTTCTCCATCTATCCAAGACCAAGACTTAGTATGTTATATTCAGTAAAACATAGACTGATCTTTTTAATTTTGGATATGAGACTTGATGCCATCCACAAACAGAAGCATTCCAAATAGTCTCCATATTAGCACAGCATCCCACCACCACTCAGGCCTGTCTCTAATTATTTTGTCCAAACACAGGACATTTTAAAATGCTAACACAAATGTTAATGAGTATTTCATATGCAATATAAATATTGTACACATATCTATATGCAAACAGATGATCATAATGTATTTTTAAACAGTGATAATAGTTGTTTTACTGATTGAAAAAAATAATTATATCCTGCTAACTAACGAAATTTTAGAAATATATAGTTTTTTTCCAAAAATTCACAAACTTACTAAAAATAATAAAAGATAAGTGCTATCTAACCATTAAGTATTCAGATGAACTCTTTGAGAATATGGAATAGAAAATGTAATAACATCTCAATTACCTAAGCAAATGGCCTTCTGATTTGTGCTATTATCTATTTTTGGCAACCATTATTCCAAAACTGCATTCCCACTTAAAAAATAAAAGAAGAAAAATGTGCAGACGTGTAAATGGAATTGAAGGCTACAGTGACAGGGGAGTTTCTAGTTGCTAGGGAAACCAGATGCTTTGTGTGCCACATTTAAATGGCTTACTCATTGGCAAACTAAACATGGCCTTGTGACTTTCTGTGAAAAATAAAAGTTAAAATTATATAAAAATATATGTATTAAATGAACAGCAAAAAATTGTTCTTACAACCTATGAGCATTTCTATTCAGTCAGCACATTGACTGAAATATCTCACTGTTGTTGAGAAATAAAAATAATACTAGTGGACATTATAGATAATGCCAGTGAGCAGAGCTGAAAATATCAAAGCATTATTAGCTGTTATGTTTATACTGTAAATGGATAAAAATTATTTTTTAATCAACAAACATTTGAGTACCTACACTGTGCAGGCACAGAATTACTGTGATGTTTGTGGTTAATGCTGCACTTTGAAGGGATCTTCTTACACCAGCTACTCGCTATCAAATAAAATACAACATAGAAGAATCCAGGGCCACGTAAAGTTATTATGAACACCGCCCACCAAAGCACGATTAGGTATCATCATGCTTATTAAGCAGGCATTGAAGCAAATGTTCAGAGGGATTAAATAACATAACCAAGTGTCCTTCTAATCATTTTTTGTGTGTAGATATATTTCCAACTAGAATGCATGACTTTTGAGGGTATGAAGAATGAATTACACTAAAAAGGGAAAAAAACAATAAAAGACATCCCATTGACATTCAATGTGTGTGTTAATTGAATTATGACTTGTAAGTTATATCTTCTGACTGTCTCATCTGACTCTTGGATCACAGATTCAGTCTTCTCCATGCAAGAATGTATCTGGCCTTTGTCTGTTGCTTCTTTTCCTCCTGTAAATCCCCTTTAACATATCCCATGTATATTATCAACTCCATCCCTTTTGACTTGAATACATGACTCATACTTAGCATTGTTTTCCCTATTTTCCTTTAAAGGCAATCAAAAGTAGAGTTTCACATTTATTAGGTTTGTCTTCAGAGGTTTCAAGCACTGGATAATTCCCTCCTCAGGTTCACTCCCCATTGTACCTTCCCATTGGCCTTAAGATTTTTCATTCTTAGGGCAATGCATCATCTGCCTATTCCACAAAATGTTGTTTTCCAAGCCAAAGATGACCTTCACTTGATTTCTTTATTCGAGATAAGTATTGTTTACACTTATAATTTATAATTTCTTATAAAGAAAAAATATTTATGTAATTTAGGAGTTATTATTTTTACACTCTGTTCAAATAAGATTTCACAATTGATGATTTGGGAGGAAAAATAATAATGGTCCACTTAGAACAGAATTATTGGGGCCTATTTGAATGACATATTTATTAGAAAACTAAAGGTTTGGTTCAAATATGCTCAAAGTTTTTATTTGTGAAGGATAAGTCATCTCTATCTGAGAAGAAAAGAATAAAAACAAAAGAAAATATAAAGATAAAAGAGAGGCAAATAATAGAGGAAAAAGCCAGCCATGGGTAATTCACAGGGAAAATATTGGCCTTATGTGGTAGGATTATTTTCCTCTTTTTGCTCTGTGACTTGGTAAAAACAGAAGAAGGAGTTGTGAACAAAGAATTTAAAGGAAAATGAGAAATCTTTCTATGAATATCTTTCAATCAGGAAATTTCCATGTTTTTCTCCATGTACGGGAGGATCTTTTACACTGACATATTACATAGGTCTGCAGAAGAATTTGAACAGAAATACGAAATATCAAGATAAGTCGAAGCTTTCAAACCCGGGAGGAAAATTGAGAAAATAAACTTGTATTAAGCAGCAATTTACTAGAGTATAATCTGTAATAGTAATGTATTTAAGTGTGTTTGCCTTTCTATACGATTCTCTGTAACTGTTTAATTTTTCTTATGTCAGTATTTTAATAATATGTTTATTGCTTAAATAATTATGATGTTTTTACAAACCATAATTAAGCAGTTAATTACTATATTTCTGTTAAGAGTTACTGTGAGAGTTTCATTGCTTTACCAGGATGTTTTGGTAAAAAGTGTAATGTCCAATTCTTGACAGCAAACCCCAATTATGAAAAATCAGAATGGCCTTGCACTGCCTCAAGGGTACAAATTATTCAAATGCAAGACTATGGAGAAAGAACATTACACAGATCGAGTCCAGTTCTAAAGCTGAAAATGTACACAGTGAAGAAAAATCTGGATGCAATACCTAAGAGCAAGAGGAGATGCAGGGCGTTTCTGGCCTCAGAAGGCACCATATTGCTGCACCTGGAGCAGGTCACCTGTCAGAGAGTTAGAGCCTCAAGGTCAAGTTATGAGAGATCTCTTCCTACAGCTATTAATGCCTAGTAAATGTCCAAAAAAACTGGAATTACTTGTACAGAATATTTTCTCATAATAAGAGTTACTGTCTGTTATGAGCCAGGAAATATTTTGCACATAAATTACAACTAATAGTAACAACAGTCCATGTATAATTATCCTTAGTTTACAGATGTGGAAACTTCCCTGGGTGTTCATGTAGCTGGGAAAGTGACATCATAAGACAAAATTACAGACAAAGAGTTGCTTGATGTGGGATATGAAGAAATGGTTATTGATGCTGGAGACTCACAAGAATATATTAATATTTTCATTATTCTTAGAATTAAGTGCCTTGGACAGAAACATATTGCCATTTGATGGGATTCTTGTGTTGTCAGCAACATCTTCAGGAATTCATTAAGACTACCACAGAAAATGAAATGCTATTTTGCTCCTGAAATTTTACCAGTAATTTTATTTCTGATAAAAAGAAAATGAGTATAGAGTTATATAGACTGGTGTGCTGTTCGTGCTTTCCCATTTACTACCTAACAAACATCAGGAAGGTTAGCTAACATCTCTAAGGTTGAGTCTCAGCATCTGTGAAATGATTCTTTCCTCACAGGATTGGTGAGTGTTAATTGAGGTATGATACATGGAAGAGTCTAGTGTGGGAACTGCCATACCCTTTTCATAATACATAAGTGGTTTATCAATTAATATTGTATTATATCTTTTTGGCTAATCTTACTGTTCCAAATGGATTGCAAGTTCATGGAGAATAACCCATATCTGAACATTCTTCAATATCTCTGGGGAGACCTAGGATACTGCTGGATATAACGTAGGCACGAAAAACTCCCAGTGATCAGAAAGTTCAAAGAAAAGACATCATAACAACTCTTAGTCTGCCCTAATAACTCTTGTATGCCACATTCCTCCTTCTACATCCCATCCATCGACTCCTAGGAAATTACAGAAAGAAGTTACAGGGCCATGTATATGTCTCAAGGGCAACTCGGAAACGGGGGATTGGGAGAGTTGTAGTATTCAACAGGCCAGGCTGACATTGTAGCTCCTGGAGGAATGATGAAAAGAAATCAGGTGTCTTAAGGCCTTCAAGGCTGGAGAAGGTGGTGAAAGGGCTCCCCAGGGTTATACTTTGAATATTACATGCATGCACCCATGCAACCTCCACCCTGCTACAGCAGGCTTTGCAGGGCACAAAATGACAGATTCTTTCCCCAGAAACTCGCTTTTTCTTATGCATAACCTTCCCCAATTATTCTCTTAAAGCCAGTAATAGTAGTCACTTTTCAAGAGATAGTTGATATTCATGGCACGATATTTTAAAGGAAATGAAGAATTTGAGGCACCCTGGTGTTGCTTTCCTTCTTCAAGCTCACTGAACAGTTGAGACTAGAACCCAGAAAGCTTCACATTTCTAGGTCAAATTTCTCTTAATCCACTTAAGTATAAGGTATTATTTGTTGACATATATACGTACCCACATATATACATACTCATGCATATATATTTATACATATATACACATATATACATATAAGCATATGTATTAGTATATATACACATGTAAGCATTTATATATACATACACACATATTTACACACACACACATAGATAATTTGGAGGGAATCAATTATCCTCAGAATGAGTTTTCACAGTAAACATAAATTCAAATATAGGAAAATAATTGACACTCTAAATCATATGCTGTAAATATTCATTAGTGTTGTGTTACTTAAATTCCAGCAAGCTATTTCATAGCAAGTATACTTCATCCGTTCAATATTTGTGTATCTATTTGAAAAATAAGTTTAAAAAGGGAAAAGTATTATCAAATAAATTATAAAATATTTTTATATTAAAAACACAAAAACAAAAAATGGGTTTTAATTTTGTTAGCTGTTTTATGGAAAGCTTTCTGTATTTTAGTTTAGAAGCAATCAAATTTATAGCAAACCACCCCTAGTAAACTTGTGAATATAACAAGTTTATATAACAAGTAATATAACATACATGGATAATTGTTATGTGACATATTTAAAATCACCTTTCAATAATACTTCTTGCTTCTTTAAATAGAAAAAATTATAAAGTATACGAATCATAAGTCATCAGTATAAATTATAATTTCTCTTGGAAATTAAAGATTTTCCATCTTTTTCACTTTTTTACCCCGGGGAGTGGCCGACATAAATAGGAGAAATGGCTGTCCCTGACAGTTTGAAAGGTAGAGAGAATCAAAGACAGAAGAAGTGAAGAAAGAGGAGGCTGGAATTATACCTTCTACTTGGTGGAAGGCCTGATGACTCTGAACTTGCGCCTCCTCCTCAGCTCACCTCTGCCCACACCACCACTGTGTCTTTCAGGGCCTCTGGCTCCTGTAGGTACATAATTATCAAGCCTCCTAGCTTAGATCTTTCCCAAAACGGTAACCTACAATTGACTGACTAGGGCCATGACAAGTTAATTAACCATTGTGGGCCACTTCAAAAAAAGTTCCAGAGGAATTAAGAGTAAGGGAAGTGCAGGCTAGGTAAATCAATGCCCTAACATTTCTCCAATCCTTGAAAATCTCTTGTTCTTAATTGAAGACAGAGCCAATCTCTGCATATAATCATTTGCCTCTGATTCAAGGAAAATCAAGAGAAACTTTGTTAGCAGATGCTCTGTTGTTAGAAATTCATTGCAAAAATAACTAAAACCTTTAAAAAAAATGCAGAAAACCTGCTGCTTCTAAGAAGACATCTGAAGGCAAAGAGAAGTCTTCATTCATTTGGAAAAATTCCAATCACCAAAAGACGTTTATTCTAATGAGTTGTCATGAAGTGTTAAGCGATATAGAGATCTGTGCATTGCCAAAATTTGCCCTTCTTCATCCATGACTCTCCCTCCTTCCAGAGCTGGTCCTGATGGGGATAAGAGCTCTTCCTTCTAGTGCTATTGTTCTTCATCTTGTTTTGGTGAGTATAAAAACAAACCAAAATTTGCCCTTCTTCCTCCATGACTCTCCCTCCTTCCAGAGCTGGTGCTGATGGGGATAAGAGCTCTTTCTTCTAGTGCTGTTGTTCTTCATCTTGTTTTGGTGAGTATAAAAACAAACTAAACAAAAAACACACTCCCCCAAGAAAAAAATGTGCATGTCAAAATCTATACCTTGGCCACAAAAATCTCAAATTTCCACTCTAAAGTTCTTTTGCATAAAATTTACTTCTACCTTTCCTTTCATGCTCTGAAAAATAAATTGTATGACCAACCATCTCCATTGCCCATGTGAAAAATCAGACTTTCGATTAAGATCCCGGTGAAAGTGAACTATATTCCTTGTGATTAATTCCTGGAATTGGCTTGAATTTTACCCATATCATTCTCACCCTTGGTTCTTTAAACTCACTCAACAATATTTATAAAAATCCTAGGATGTATAAAGCACTGGGAAGAGGCAGGGAATGCCTGTTGTGGGGTGGGGGTAGCGGGGAGGGATAGCATTAGGAGATATACCTAATGGTAAATGATGAGTTAATGGGTGCAGCACACCAACATGGCACATGTATACATATGTAACTAACCTGCATGTTGTGCACATGTACTCTAAAACTTAAAGAATAATAAAAAAAAAAGAGAGAAAGGTGAATCTTGCAGACAACTATTGAGATAAATCCAAGAGCACAAAAGAAACACTTACCTGGGATGAAGTTGCCTCCACACTCCTCCCTCTCCTTAACCCTCACAGCACCTCCACCACTCTATGCCTTGGACCAACTAGACTAGTCTAATTGTTTGCTTGTACCTCCTCATCCCGGTCATCACATGAGACCCATGACTCCAAGATCATTCCTCTTCCCCTGGATATTAACCTTCATATGTCTCCAGAGGCTGCCTTGTCTGATCCCATCCCCAACCCCCCATCTCCTGACATCTTTTCTTTCACCTAGATGAAACTCTAGGCAAATTATCAACCCTAACCCTTAGACTCAGCATCTTCTCTGAAAGTCTCCATCACCTTCTAAACTTGACTGAAACCTGGCTCTCCCTGAGTACAGGGATTCCTTTCCAGACCTCTTGAGCAGTGGCTGTTTAGTCCTCCACTCCCTGTGTGCTATGGGGTCTGGGGCTGGAATGAGTGACTCTCCTGTTTACCATTTCTAGAACACTTTTCCTCTCTTCCCCATCAAAAATCCCAGCATTGAATCATCCTGTGCTTTGCCTCCTTGGCCTTCTTGCTGCGGTCACCTCCCGCGCCTCTCCCAGAAGAGTTCAGCTGCTGACTACTGACACTCTTTCCCAATACTTTCCTATTCTGCCACACTTCCCATCCTTCCAACAATCTGGCCTCTCCATTCTTTCTTCAAAAGATCTTCCCCTTAGCCCCACCTTGGCCACTTATTCCCATGGTCATACATTATTTTTATCTGAATTTCAATAATCCCACACATCATCACTATCTTTTAACTTTTCAACCCACACTGCCTATAAACACAAATCTTGGGTTATGGACTGAATGTTTGAAAATTTATGTCATTTTCTTCAATTTTTATTTTAAGTTCAGGGGTACACTGCATGATGTGCAGTTTTGTCACATAGATAAATGTGTGACATGGTGGTTTGCTGCACAGATCATTCCATCACCTGCGTATTAAGCTCAGAGGCCATTAGCTTTTCTTCCTGATGCCCTCCTTCCCCCTACACCCACTCTGACTAGCGCCAGTGTGTGTTGTTCCCCCTCATGTGTCCATGTCTTCTCATGATTTAACTCCCACTTACAAAGGAGAACGTGCGGTGTTTGGTTTTCTGTTCCTGCTTTTGTTTGCTGAGGAGAATGGCTTCCAATCCCATCCATGTTCCTGCAAACATGATCTTGTTCTGCTTTATGGTGGCATAGTATCCCATGGTGTATATGTAGCACACCAAAATTCATATCTTGAAGCTCTAACCCCTAATGTGAGGATGTTTGGAGGTGTTGCCTTTGGGAAGTGATTAGGTTTAGATGAGGTCATGAGGGTGGGGCCCCATGGTGGGGCTAGTGTCCTGAAAAGAAGAGAAATAAAGGGCAGAGCATGCTCCCTCTCTCTCTCTCTCTCTCTCTCTCTCTCTCTCTCTATCCACCCCCATCCCTCTGTCTTTCTGCCATATGAGGACACAGCAAGAAAGTGACCAGGAAGAGGGCTTTCACCAGGAACTCAATCTTCTAGCACCCTGATTTTAGACTTCCCAACTTCCAGAACCATGAGAAGTATATTAGTCAGGACTCTCTAAAGGGACAGAACTAATAGGATAGATGTATATATGAAGGGGAGTTTATTAGAAGAATTGACTCACACAATCACAAGGTGAAATCTCACAATAGGCTGTCTGCAAGCTGAGGAGCAAGGAAGCCAGTTCCAGTCCCAAAACCTCAAAAGTAGGGAAGCCGACAGTGTAGCCTTCAGTCTGTGGCTGAAGTCCCGAGAAGCCCTGGCAAATCACTGGTGTAAATCCAAGAGTCCAAAAGCATAAGAACTCAGTGTCTGATGTTCAAGGGTAGGAAGCATCCAACACAGGAGAAAGATAACAACTGGAAGATCCAGCAAGTCTGCTCATTCCACTTTCTTCTGCCTTCTTTATTCTAGGCACCCTGGCAGCTGCTCAGATGGTGCCCAATCAGATTCAGGGTGGGTCTGCCTCTCCCAATCCACTGACTCAAATGTTAATCTCCTTTGACAACACCCTTACCAGCACATCCAGGAACAATACTTTGCATCCTTCAATCCAATCAAGTTGACACTCCATATTAACCATCACAAGAGGTAAACTTCTGTTGTTTAAGCCTCCTAGTTAATGGCATTTTGTTATAGCAGCCCAAGCCAACTGAGAAACTGAACAATTCTTTAAACCCACCCAGACCTACAATCTATTGATCAACCACCTTTTTAACTTTTACTCGTCCAAAACATCTTCTTCTTCCCTTATCCAGCTCACATCAAACATTCAATTACCATAATTACTCATCTGCGTGCAACTTCATCTCCCTCACTTGTCTCTTGCTTGTTTCACCAATTTCCTCCTTCCATTCTTTCTTGGACCCATTTCCATCATGTTTTTGCCTCCACAACTTTATAGAAACTGTCTTTCTTCAGGTCACCATTCATCATCATCATCACCATCATCATCTTAAATCTAATGGTCATTACCTGCCATGACCTATCAGCAGATTTCACAGGACTGATCCTCACTTTTTCCTCCAAAGACTTTGTTCTCTTGGCTTCCAGGATGCCTAATCTGCTTTGTTGTCCTCATATCTCTCTCAGTCTCCTTTGCTGGCTTTTCCAATATCCAGTCTCAAAGACTGGAGTTCCCCAGAGCTTATTTGTTGGATTTCTTCTATTTTCATTCTACACTCACTCCCTAGTTGATCTCATTTGCCCTTATAGTTTTAAGTGCCCTCTATCTGCTGAGTGTTCTCCAACTCTCTCTTTATATCTCCAGCTCCAACTTTTTCCCATGCCCACATCTCCAATTAGCTTCTTGATTTTTCCCAGGACACTTAGTAGACATATCAAAATGTACTTGCTCAAAATGAGCTTCTAATATTTTGCCAAAATCAGCTCCTCCTGCAGCCTTCCCCCAATCTGTTAGTAGCTCCATTCTTCCAGTACACAAGTCAAAAACAGGTAGCTGTATTAGACAGCTTTTTTTCCTTCACATCCCCTGTCCAATCTGTCTGAAACTCGTTTATGTTCTACCGTCAACTTATAACCAGAGTTTGACCATTAATCATATCTTGCCATGTACCTAGTTCATGCCACCATAATTTCTAGCCTGGTTTACTTCAGTAGCCTCCTATTTGATCTGATTTCATCCACCCTTTCTCCAAGGTAATCGATTTTCAGTACAGTATCAAGAGTAGTCTTATTAAAGCTACAGCAGACCAGGTCTTCCATTTACTCAGAACCCTCAAATGTCTTCACATCTAATCAGAGTAACAACAAAATTCTTATCACCCACAAATTCATACCTTATCTGGCTCCCTATTACCTCTCTCACTTTTTCTTCAACTCTTCTCTTCCTTACTTGCTCACTTCAGCTATGAGGGCCCCTTGATGTTCCTTAGACATACTTGGCACTGTCCTATCTCAAGGACTTTGTGCTTGCTTTTCCACCTGCTAGAAAGCCTCTTATCCTAAGTATCTTCCTGGATGGTTCCCTCACTTCCTTTCTTCAAAGTCACATCTCAGGGAGGTCTTTCCTGGCCATCTTCTGGAAGTTTCAATGATGCTCCATATTTGCTTGTGTGCCACCCCAGATTGGGGCACTTGCCTTGCTTTGCATTGGAGCAACCCTGATAATGCTAGGCCATTCCCACAGCTATGGATCCAGGTTACCATCATTGCCATAGATTGAGGAACCCCCTGTGGCTCCCAGTCGCTCCTGTTGCTCGTGGTTACTGAGCATCAATGTCTTGCCTCTTGCCTTCCCCATGTATCTCTCCCTGAGACTTTCTTGCAGCCACTAAGTCAGAGACCAAAGGACCTAGCCAGTATCCCTGCAGACACAACCTGAAGCCATCAGTTCACCTCCTCTGCTCTCCATCTCCTCCCTAACACTCTGCTCAGTGACACAGCTGCTTTACATCCCTCTCAGAAGAGGTCCATCCACAAACCAACCAACAGTGGTGACTTTGATAAAACGCCTTCTTATCTTTGCTTCCCTTTAGTATCAATATTATATTCCAAAAGTACCACTCTTAATATGTTGCTCTCCTGGTTTAAAACCCTCCCACAGTTCCCCCTTGCCTGCAGAATAAACCAGCATGTCCTTAAAGTGCCACTGAAATTTGGCAATAATCTCCAGTCTTTTCTTTTACTTGCCCTATATTCCAGCCAAAATAAACCAGTCACTATTCCTACACCATATCCATAAGTTTTCTAGCAGTGTTTCTTGTTTCATAATTTTATATCTTCCAGAAGAATCCTAAGACCCTCATTTCTTCTGATAAAATATTTCTATACTTTTCTGATCCAGATCAAATGCTCCTTCTTTTATGAAGACTTCCTTGATTCTCATTTCCCTGTGTGATAACTTGTAATGTGTTTCCCAGTATTATCAGTTACCTACTCATTTAAATGTCTCTCTTAAATTCTAAGCTCCTTGAGGGTAAAGGCAGTATGATCTATCTCTACCACCTTTGCAGTACAAAGTTAAATTAGATGAACACATTATATTTGCTCAGAAATGTTAACTCTAATCAAACAGCACAGCAAGCTATCTGGTAACACTCAGAGAGGCTGCGGTGTTCTACAGTTTGTGAGGCTCACGAATACTGCACAGAATCAGAAAAGAGCAAGAGGCCTGGGGTCAGGTTGATTGAGTTCTGATGCTGCTATTTAACACCTCTGTGGTTTGCAGCAAATATTTTTTCCACAAGTCTCTGGTCCTTCCTAGGTTCTGCATAAAAATAACAGTGTCTACCACATATGATTGTGTTGAGAATTGTGTACCATTTAAAATATCTGGCCCAGGACCCAAAACCTCATGTCCTGAGTTTGCATTCTAAACCTCCAAGGCCCGGGCCTCCCTGTGTTATTTCTGATGCAGCAGCCTTAGGTCTCACGGTCACAAGGACTATGACACTTGTAAGCTATTGGAAATGAAGCGTACCCTGCTGGTGAGACTATGGGCTGTGTCTCTTCTCCACATCCTTAAGAGCCTCAGGCCAAAGGACTTACCAGCTATATCAAATGATGGCTTGGGCATGAAAAGCCCTTCTCATCTCTCCTCATTTAGTTCTACATAGAAACGTTATAGCTTAATATACTTGAAGCCGGAAAGAGAAGATGTGCCTTTTTAAACAATCAACTTAGCAGAGAGTGTGGAAAACAAAACCTCAAAGGAACTTCACAGTGTTTTTCATATTTATTTCCCTCACAATGGCTAAACAGTATTACAGAATTGTGCAGAATTTCTGAGACACAAAAAGAAACAGAATAATCCTAGCTCAGAGCATGAAGTAGGATGAAAAGGGGAAGGAATTATTTTCTTGTCTATAAAAAAATCACATTAGAACTTCTTGTGCTTCCAGTAATAATTTTAACATGCCGATATAAATGCATCCTGTCTTCAAGCTTGAGATTTTGTGTCATAGTAATAGAGGTTTAAACTGTGTTTATAATTATATGAAATTGCATGGCTGGGAGTGGAAAAGAACTCAGGCAGACTTCATCAACAACACAGAAGAGGTGAAAACTCAGAAACAATGTATTAGAAATAAATACAATCCCTTGTAAAATATAGCATTTCACACACAGAATCATAAACCCAGCCCACTGATAACATTAGCTATTAATGCCATGGCAAAGGAATTAATTTCGTTTTGAGTAAAAACATCACTTCTGTGACTAAACTTCAAAGATGTCATTTTAAATGAAGAGAACACTGTATTAAAGTAACTCAAGCTGACACTAAAATTTATTTCTCAAAACAAACATTTTACTGGAAGCCCATACATTTCCAAAATTACTTTGCTTTGTAAGAAAAGTGGCTGACCTTGAGATTATGCTACATTCACTCAAAAAACCTGAAGTTGTTGCCCATGAATAATGTTTAAGTAGAGAGGGAATCCTAAACACATATTTTTATTATATTACACTTACACATACACATATATATGTACTTGCATATACAAATATATTTTTACATATGTGTATGTGTAGGTATATTTACACCTAAGACTCCCTCAACCATTGACTGATACCACACAATTTATGTTCTATTTATCTTAGAACGTCAGCATTTGGTTCAGTACCTTGAATGTAGTAAGTGATCCATAAATTTGTTCTGTTGACCTGCAATCTTTACAGGTTGAGTTGCCTCTAGGGATTTAACAGATTCAAATATGTCAAATGTCTTAATGAAATAAGGTCAGAAATTTAGAAAGCTGACCATACCAAGTAGACAAGTATTCTATTATTACATTTCTCAAAAGAACAAAATCTTATCAGAGAGGTGGGTAAAAAGAGATTCTTTTTTTTTTAATTTATTATTATTATACTTTAAGTTTTAGGGTACATGTGCACAATATGCAGGTTAGTTACATATGTATACATGTGCCATGCTGGTGCGCTGCACCCACTAACTCGTCATCTAGCATTAGGTATATCTCCCAATGCTATCCCTCCCCGCTCCCCCCACCCCACAACAGTCTCCAGCATAAGCATGGTTCTCATCTACCAATTCTTCATCGAATGAAGACCAGCAACCAGAAAGTATGATTTTTGTTCTCTGAAGATAATCTAGATTAATTGTTGAGGAAACAAAGAGACAGAAGCCACATACTGAGGCCTTTGGTCAGTGTGCTGAGACCTGGAACAGGGAATCCAGGGGGACAGCAACAGCAGTGATCCCTCCACTGACTGGCAGAAGAGGACTCCCAGGTGTAGTCACATTAGTGAATGGTTATGCAAGCAAAATATTAATTCATGGTTCCATTTTTGCATATCTACTATGTTCCCTATGGAATGTATTTGTAAACAAAATAGGCAAAAATCTGTCATTAGACTCTCTTGGGGAGAGATAGACAATGAAATGTAAACAATAAATAATTATATAGTGAGTTTGGAGGTGGTGGTTTCTATGGCAAATAGAGCTGGGAAAGTAGAACCAGAAGGGCAGAGGGTGATTGCAAATGTCAATAGTGTGGCCAAGTCAATCTGCAGAAGGCAACCCATGGGACAAGCACATAAAAGTTCTAGGGATGAACACATCTAGAGATGAACTTAAGCCCTAAAGGAAAACTATTAACTAGAAGAGAGATGACCATTTGTATCTAGACATACAAGCATAGGTGGAGGAAATAAACAGGAATAGAAGAAATAGAGAAGAAAATAGAGAGTACTGTAATAGTGAGGCTCAGAGCTGGGTCTTCCTAAACAAAGAGCTTTCTTGGGTTGAACGTCATAAAGGGGGTGGTTAAATAGTTCTGTATTTCCCCCAATCAAGCTCCCAAGACAGAGGACAAGGCACTGCAGGGGCCACCTGGAACTTTCCTTTGTCTTATACTTGCACTATTAATTGAACGCTTTGAAAAGTATTGCTGGGCTGACTAATGAATATTTCAGGAAGCCCAGATATATCTGTGCATTACAGTAATTAAAAGAGGAGGAATAAAACACATATTCATCAGAAAATTAATATTGCTGAAGGCTGATTCTTCTGAAGAAATGCCAGGTGACCTTGGGGCCTAAGGGTTTCAGGCCCCTGGGCTTCAGTGGATTTTTTATACATTTTCATCTGTGTCCTTGGGAGCAAGCAGGAGTACACCACCTCATTCAGCCCTGCCTCGGTCAGCGTTCTCCAGCACTGCTCTATCAGCATTCAGACTTTCATTCCGTGCCGAACGTTGTAACATTCAATGACAGTGCATGGTGATCCCTAGCAGTTACTGTTTTTAATTGTCAGTGTTGTCACCACAGAGAAGGCAAGAAGATGAAGACAGCGTCTGAGAGGACCTGGAATCTAAATCTTGTTTGTGAGGCTCACTTAAGACTACCTACAAAATCACAAGGGCTGACAGATAAAATGAAGGAAGGGTATATGCTGAGGTTGCTCTTAATTTTTGACTAGCCACTTTCAGGAGCTAAGGGACAGATATGCAAATAGTATCAGACAGCTGACTCACATGTAATGCATTTGAGGAAGGAATGAATTTTCAGAGCTCATCTCTAAGTGGAAAGTTAAGACACAGATCCATTCTTGATGTATCACAGTCCAATGAGAGAGTTAAGAGTTAACATGCACATATGAGTACAAAAATGATTATAAAGCTACGAAGAACACAACATGATGTGTACAGAGAACATCTTCAGATCATAAATGGAGAAAGCTGTAACCTGATGAAGGACAAGGGAGATAAAATAATCCCGATTCAGAAGATGGTCTTTACAGGGCTTCAAGAATAACTAATTCAGAAGATGGTCTTTAAAGGGCTTGAAGAATAACTAGTTCACAAGGCAAATAGAGGAGAAAATTCCAGACGTGTGTGTGTGTGTTTGTGTGCACGTGCGCGTGTGTGTGTTTAGAATGAAGTGGGAAGGTTGCAAGTACAAAGACCAGAAAATATATGACTAGAGAAAAGTTAAAGGGTTTGGTAAAATCATTTTCTATGCTTAATCTTGTTTCATATGTATTATATAAAGGGTTTTGCATATATAGGTGTTTACAATTTATTTTTAAACCATTAAAATATTTTCATGAATGTTTAAAGACATTTCATTCAACTGTTAATAACATGTTTCTCCAAAGTGAGTAAACTTGCAGAATTTGGGACAATGTTTAGCACTGAAGATTTCTATCTCAGAGAGCCCTAGCTAGTTATAGAATGAACTCTGCTCCAGTCTATCTTGTCTCCCACTTAGTCTGGTTGATAAAGGCAAGACATCAATCAGGAAAGAGCATAACTATCTAGTGCTTTAGGGAGAAATATGGACACCTTAGCAAGAACATGAAACTGTTATGGAATAATTTGAGTTTGGATGAACATAGATCAAAAACATAACTTCTTGGAAAATGTCACTGTCATAGAAATCAGACCTTACACTGAAGGGATGTAGTTTCCTTAAAAGTTTCGAACTTGATTCCTTTTAACAAACACTAAAATGTTAAACATACCCTTAAAAGCCATGATATTTAAATGCACAAAATCTAAATGTTCAATAAAAACAAATTTTAGTTACATAAATACATGCGTGACACATCCAACTGCTCTGTCAACATTCTCTTTCTCTGTAAATGGTACCAACATTCATCCTGTTAATCAAGGTGACCTCCAACAGTGCTGAATCATAGCTCTTCCTCCTATAACCCTCTTTCCTCCAGCAAAAATCTTTCCTCCTTTCCATTCCTTTTCATAGCTCATCCCCAAATAAGCAAAGTATGTAGCTGATATGGAAGACAGGTGGCTAAAAGCTGTGTTTCTGGATAGTGTAGATGGGGACTTCAATCTTGATCTGCTACTCACCTGCCATACGACCTTGAAAATGACTAATTCACCCTTCTGAGTCTTTTTTTTTATTTCTTGAAATGCGGTTTCACTCTGTCACCAAGGCTGGAGTGCAGTGGCACAATCTCAGCTCACTGCAACCTTGTCTCCCAGGTTCAAGTGATCCTCCCACCTCAGCCTCCCAAGTATCTGGGATTACAGGCATGCACCACCACACCTGGCTAATTTTTGTATTTTTAGTAGAAACCAGGTTTCATCATGTTGGCCAGGCTGATCTCGAACTCCTGACCTCAAGTAATATGCCCGCCTTGGCCTCCCAATGTTCTGGGATTTCAGGTGTGAGCCACCACGCTGGGCCACCCTTCTGAGTCTAAATGTGCTCATCTGAACTGGAGATAAAAATAAAACTTACTTCATACTTTTGTGATAATTAACTAAAATAACATACATAATGCATTTGGCAATGAAGTATTAAATAAAATTTAAATATTATTATTGAACTTATTATTACTACTAGATAATGGGCTAGCAGGGAGTCACAAAGAGCACATGTGAACTCATGTGAAAAAAATATTAAATAGGCTGCTCCATAATTGCATTGTAATATCTAAAAGCTACAGCAAAAATACATATTTATGTTTTCCTGCCTTCTGTACGAATAAAATGTTTTGACACCTAAAAACAATTGACTTTTTAGGTTTGGGCAAGCAATTGAACACTACGTGACTGTCCAGACAATGCATGCCACTTTGCTTCATGTTTCACTGAACTTTCATTGACATTTGTTTTAACATGGACCAAAGATGTATGAAGAAGGATAGAAGCAGACCCAGTTGGGAAGGCTGGGCATGAGTTCATAATGTGATATTTGCATGACACGGCATTACTTGTCCCTCACTTCTTGTCTGGAAAAAAAAAACCACCACAAAATGTAAACTACCAATGCATTCTTCTACTCCCAAAAAACCTATGCCTCCATCAGAGTTATCTCTCTAAAATGCAGAAAGAAATTTAATCCCCAATTGCAGATACATTCCCTGCCTCTGTAGAATTTAGCACAGCAACCAAGGCCATTCACCAGCCAATACTATGCCAGGCTAATCTATTGCTGTTTCTAATCGCAAATCCAAGACTCCAACCACCCCTTACTAATCAGAGCTCCCAATCGAGTGTGTCATACAATCTCATATCATGGTTTATGCTTCTCAATCTATTGAAAATACCCAAAAAGACTGTTTCTTGACCTAGTAAAATCCACACCATCTTTCTCCTCCTCTGTACCATATCAAGTTGTATTGGATTTTGTCACCTCTTTATGGGTCTGGCTAACAGAGTATTAGGGTGAAAAGTAGAACAAAATATTTCTTGCTTCGAGGCTTTGTGGTGCAGACCAAAGGGAAAATAACAAAATGTGGTGCCTGAGAATGAGAATGAAATTTAAATGTGGGGAGTCCAATCTGCTTTTTCCTATACCAATAGTTATAAATTACCAAATACAACTACATAAATAAGATACAGAAGAGAAAAGATGAGGGGAGGTACTGGTGGGAGTCACAGAGCTAAAAATACAAAACAGATGCAGGCAATAGGAGGCCGTCTGATTGTCCTGGGATAGTATTGAGATAGAAATGGGGATGTGCCCCCCAGATTCCCCTTCAAGGAAGAATCTTTGTCTACCTATCAGCAGATAAGCTTCTGACTACCAGCTCCTTCAGTCTTCCTCTCAGCCGCAAAGAGCTTCCTTGTCTAAGGGACTTTGGAATCATCTTTGACTCCTATCTATTGTAGTCCACACTCAATTGGCTGGCAAATACAGTTGGCTCTGCCTTTAAGCTTCTCATCATCACCTCTACCATTGCGATCTTAGTCTCAGTCAGTGGCTGTCACTGGGAATGGTTTTGCCTCCTAAGGGATATTTGGCAATGTCTGAAGATACTTCTTTCTTTTCATAAGTGCTGCAATGCTATTGGCATCTATTTGGCTCTCTACTCATTGATGAAGCCAATGATGCTGCTAAACATTCTACCATAAACAGGATGGCCTCCTACAAGAAAAATGATCTGGGATCAAAAGTCAACAGTGCTGAGACTGAGAAATGCTAATCTGAGCCACCATCGCCTCTTACCTGGGTGACGTCAGTACCTTCCTCTAGACTCCTCTGTTACCTTTTTCAGCCAGGGTTATCTTTCAAAAATATTAACTGGTTCACAGCACCCTACTCTCAATTCTTTAAGGTTCCTCATCACATTAAGAATAAAATTTAGAACTCTTGCCTTGCCCCCAAGGCCTGTTTGAGTTGGCCTCTGACTACTGCTCTGACCCATCTTTCTACTTCTCCTTCTATTCTCCCTGGATCACTATTTCCACGTCTCATTGGCCTTTTGGCGTTCCTCCAAAATGGTAGGCCCTCCTGGCTCAAGACGTGCATTCTCCCTTCATGTTTTTTCTGGGCCACTTTCTTCAGCTGTATGTTCAAGTGGCCCCTTTTCAGAGAGGCCTGCCATGACCACTGTATCTAAATTGCATCCTTCCCTTCATTGCCCATCACCCTTGTCCTGCTGTACTTTTCTTCACAGCACATATCATAATTCTAGATTGTATTTGTTTATCATTTATCTGCCACACTAGACAGCAAAGAACTTGGTCTTCTTTGGTCTCCACTATATCCCCAACACCTCAAACAATTCTGGACATAATAGGTCCTGAATAAATATTTGTTAAATGAATGAATGTATGAAGCTACTCACAACAGCTTTCTAAACATTTGTGTGGGTGAGTGGCTTAGTTTCAAGAGTAGCAGGGAGGGCATGGTGGACTGTTAGAATATAAGTTTCCCCCATAGACTCCTAGATCATTTCCGATATGGCATTAAACTATTTGTTCATTTATATTTCTTTCTACCATTAAATAATATAACATATTACCCACAACTGGGAACAATTCTGTATTTTCCTATTAGTTCTTATATTCCAGGTAATGAACTTGAGCTTATTTCCTGATCAGAATTATGGTTAAAGCATGACTGCCAGGCATCTCCTAGTGTTGTGAATATATAATGCCATGTTCTCCATCTGTAATCTCCTTAAAGCTTCTTCAGCCTTCGCTGTCTTTCCTAAATCTTTCTATCACTATGAACTTTGTTGCTTCAATTCCAGAACATGTAGAGTTTCAAACAAAAAACTCACACCAGAAAAAAGTTAAACGAGCAAGGAAAATTTTATTCAAGCTACTGCAATAGAGGAGATAAACTAACTGAACTCAACTTTACTGAAACACTAGGCAGGAGTGTTTTTAAGTACTGGGGCGAGCAAGTGGAAAAGTACTAGAGGACATTAGGGGTGAGATTAATTGATGGACATGTTGAGGACATTGAGTTATTTCTGAATTTGCAAATGTCTTCTTTTTCTCTGTGATTAAACCATCTGCATTTGTTAATTGACTTCCATCAAAATTAGACTCCTATCCTCCCACAAAGAATGGAGATGGCACAGGGCACCATCTTCTTTGATGTTTACACTTCAGAGATGGTTTCCAGGCCCTTAAGAAAGATATTTTCTTGGCTATAAAATTGGCAAAAGTCTGGAAATCGATTTACATATCAAAAGGACAGAGAAAGTATTTATAATTGTATTTTTCTAAAATTAATGCTCTAAGAAAAAGGGAAATCAGGGCCTATGGTCAAGAAGAAACCTGTCTAAAGTTTAGCCAACCCGAAAGGAACATTAAGTCGGCAGGGGTCAAGATTGCATTATTAGAACCGCTGCAGATGCATTCATTTTAGTCATTACAGTTGTTGACTAGAAGTCTCCATTATTGAATTCCTATCCCCATTTCCACGAAATCAATCATCTATTATAACACATGTGTGCTTATGTGTTGTGTGTGTCTTTATAAAGGACCTTTGGGGACTTAGAAAGGGTTCTTGTTGTTTTCCCTGCTTACAATAGACTCAATGTTTGTGTCCTTGCAAAATTAATATGTTGAAACATTAATCACAATGTGATGTTATTAGAGATAGGGCCTTTGGACAGTACTTAGATCATGAGAATGGAGTCATCATTAATGGTTATCAGTATCCTTAGAATAAGAGGCCAGAAATCTAGGTAGCTCTCTTTCAGCCATATGGGGATACAATGAGAAGTCAGCAAGCTTGCAACCTGGAAGGAGGCCCTCACCAGAAAATGACCATGCTAGCACCTTGATCTTGGGCTTCCCAAACTACAGAACTGTGAGAATTAAGTGTTTGTTGTTTATGCCATTTAGTGTATGATATTTTGTTATGACAGCCTGAGCTGGCTAAGACATTGCTATGGGCTCTATTTATAAGCAAGATTATCTCCCACATTAACTTCAATATAATCATTGATATTATCATTAATTTTTTCAACAAGTGAGGTTCTATAGTGGACTTCCAGACCTGGCCTGGCAATTGCCAAAAGCAGAAATTTCAAGGACAGCAAGAAACCCTCACTAGATTCCCTCATCTTTGTGGCCTCCGTAGAAAATGTGCTGGGGCTATGTCTGAGCATGTTGATTGTAAATTCTCAATGGAATTTCAGAAAATTACCCTGGAGCTTCACAGGTCTTGCAGCTCATAAGACTACATTCAAACAGCTTTCTCAAATTAAAAAGTCACTATTAATTCTGTGATTCAAGTAATTGAGTGCCTGAGGAAAGAAAGCCGCTGCAATGGAGAAGGAATGCAGACCTTCAAGCTGCTGTCTTGCTTTGGCTCAGCGGATGCTCCAAAGTTGAGATAATAGTGATGTATGCCCCCATGCTTCTCCAGAGCACTGAGCAAGAGTATGATCCCTGAGTTTGAGAATAGAGCCTCTTGGGTTCATGGGGCACAGAACTAAGTCAGCTAAGACTTCCATTGCTGACCTCATTTTCTACCCGCTCAGCAGAAAAAGTAATATATTCTGTTCTTCCAAATTAATCTTCTAAGTCACTTAAAAAAATAAATCTCATGCAAGTGGATCTTCCATGTAATAACAAAATTAATTGGATAAGGTTGTTGGAGAGGGAGGCCTTCAAGATCATGAGAAAGAAATGAAAGGCAGTATGCAAGAAGCAGAAAAATACATATATATTAAATATATATATATATATAACCTCAGCTCATATTCAATGGTGATTAACACAGAGAAAGAGAGCACTTTGCACACATTAGCTTATTAATTTTCACTATAATGCTTTTTTCATTACCACTGTAGTAGATTGGAATATTGCCCCAATTCTTCACTACCTTATTATAAATTACAGAGACAACCACCGCCCCCCGCCAACAATTTCCACCTGCCCACATGTAAATAAAGCTCGGTGTTCAAAACACGTTCTTAAAATGTTGAGAGCTGGAAACTGAATTAAACATTTATGTTTCTGCCTGCTTATGGAAAATTCGTATTTCCATTTTACAATGTTTTCTGGAATTGGACTTTCTCAAAGCTTTCTTTTACAAAATGGAGAAAAATGCACACAAACTGAGATGATCTCATGCCACTAAGAAATGAGCTGTTTAACAATAATGTGAAGGATTTCACTGAATATAGAATTCCAATAAGACTTATATTTATATTTCTCCTCTTTATGAAAATAGTAACAAGCCAGTAGCTTGTCCATAAAATTAAGTATACAAATGCTCTATTTTCTTGCTAGTTCTCTTCCCCAATAGTAACAGTATAGCACTTACACATCAATTGTCCCATAACCTTAAATGAAGCAATAGTTATAGTCAGCAAGGTCAGAACAGACATACATCAGGTGGAGCTTTGAGAGTAAATATTTCACCTCACCTAAAAACTATTACTTCAGATAATATGTACTGACTATTGTAAAGTACCAGCTATTATACTAAGCATGGAGCATTATGTAATTTATGCAAAGCTATATAAGTCTGCCTGGGCTACTTAAGTTAGTTTCTATTCTAAGTCATAAACTTTATATTAAATGGTATATACCTTTTAAAGAAAGAGTACATTTATATGATTCAAAAATTAAAACTTATATATATATATACACACACACATATAGTGTCCTTCCAACCCTTGTCCAAATCCACCCAATTTTCACCACCATCTTGTATCATGACAGATGATTAAAATTTGTCATCTTTTGTGTATCATACCAAAGTTCTTTTTGCATATCTCTATTTATTTTAGTTTAATAAATAATTCTCAGCCTAAAAAGCTTGTGTAAAAGAGAATAAAGCAATATTTCAATAAAAGCAAAAACTAGTTTGATGATAAAATACTTTTTACTGAAATATATACATTTTTCTATATCACCTTTTCTTAATACAGCTGAAGTTTTATAATTCTCATATTTCACTACTTCATTTTTAGCTAGGGGTTCAATCCAGAAACGTGCCCATTTGTCTCAAACAGGTTTGGCAAATAATTGTGAATTAAACCTAAAGGGGAATCTAATTTCTAAATAGCAAGCATAAATAGAAATGAATTTGCAATGTTATTCTCAAATTTAGTGTTGATGTTTCACAGGTATGCTAATTAATTAGAGGATCAGACCTTATCAGACCTGAAAGGCCCTTTGAGAATTCATGTCAAAATAGAGTTCTAACTTTCTCTGTTACATTAGTAACTGAGATTGCCACTGCAAAGGAAGGAAAGAGATTACCGGTAATTATTATCCAAACTGAAATAAGAAGCAGAATTGCCAAAAATGAAAGTAGGACAAGTTCATACCTTACTATCAGGAAAATTTTATTGGACCTTGATTTGATGTCCTATATTTAACTTCATCTTTCAAATAATATTATCTCTGACTTCCAAAGAGTGACAATGTAGATAAATGCTTGAAAGGCTAAAATTAGTACAAAAGTCTCATAACAACTTGTCAAGATTAAAATATGTGTCATAAGAACATTGTTGTGTTTCTCAGTTGGTGATCATTTTAGTTGAATGTTGCTGTAATAACCTTGTATAACAAAGCACACCCAAATCCAGTGGCTTGTAACAACAAACTTTCATTTTTCTCCCCCATACTTTTGCAGGTTGGTTATGATGGCTCAACTCAGGCTATGGGTCAGCTGGACTTGGCTCTAGGCTACATATGGACTTCAAATCTGTGTCATTCATCTCTACCTTGTCATTGAGCAAACCCAGAGCATGTTCTTCTCAAAGGGAATGGCAAAAGCACAAGAAAGCAAGGCAAAATAACATCAGCATATTTAAGCCTGCAGTTTGTGTCTCATCTCACGCAATGATACAACTCACATGGCCACACCCAATATGGAGCATATGCTGTGCCTACAGTGGGAGGGTACTTCAAATCTCTGTGGAAAAAGTGAATAATTTATAGAAGATAGTGAAGAATTGGGGCAATATTCCAATCTACTACAATGGTAAAGAAAATAAGCATGATAGTTTCAGAGGTTAGAGTCTTTGGCAAAACTTTGGCATATCTTGACTGTCTAGCTGTAGAAAAATACCAAGAATTGTGTATAGAAAGCCAAAGCCAGATAATAGGTTAAATGCTAGCTTTAGTCTGCAGTTATATTTATAAATTTATTCAGGCATTGGTTCTTCTAAAAAATATCAAATGGTTCCTGATTGCTCTTCCAAAAACTACCAAATGCTGTGTAATTTTCAAACGCATTATCTAAATGTGACAATGGAGACACATTTGTGAGAAACAATTAAGCCGTGTCCCAATAGATGTCACACCTAGTAGTGAAAGACACTTAGAATGTGTAAGTAAAAATGCTTTGAATGTTAGAAAACAGAATTATCTATTGTTATGCAAGCATTAAATACAAGACCTTAATGTAGTCTATACAGTGTCATCACCAGATTTGATGTTTGTAAATATCACTCTGTCTTGTATTGTAGTGAATAAATTAAAGGTAGTCACAGATCAGGAATGGATAGGGTAGACAAATTAAGAAATCACAGGAGTAGCTTAAGAGAATAATATTAATAGCTTGGACTAGGATGGTTGCAGGCAAGAAAAAGAATGAAAAGTTTAGGAAATAGATCCAACATATTTGATATTGGATTAATGAATGTGGAGGTGAGAGAGTTAGGGAACTCAAAGGTAGCGCCAAGGCTCTCACTTAGGTATTGAAACAGATGACATGCTTTGCTTGGATGTGAACAGCAGTGGAGGAAAAATAGATAAGGAAGATTGTAAGTATTGTGTAAGACGTAAATGTGAAGTGTACATTTGGGATATACAATGGAAGGTATATAGTACACATTTGAAAATGTGGTCTGAAGTTCAGAAGAGATCTCTGGTCTAGAGACGTAAATGTAAAAGTTATATGCATAAAAACGGTGATTGAAGACATAGGAGTAATGAGATTGCCTAAATATGGATTTAAAAGAAAAAAAAGGAGCCTTAAAATAAATGCTGAGGAACACCAATATTCAATGGTCTGGCAGAGGAGGTTGAACCTGAAAAGTCATTTTAGGAGGAGATAACAGAGAAACACATTTAGGAAAATACAAGTGACAAAGCCAAGGAGGAAAAATTGTTTCTAAAAGGAGGAAGTGGTCAGAAGTATATAGTGCTGCTGAGAAGGAAATATGTCAGGTGAGAAGCACCCACTGGATTTCATGACCTGGAAGTAATTGGTGACCTATACAGCAGCTTTAGATGAGATGAGGCATAGAAAGTAGTGTAATATAATAGAAATGAGAAGATGGTGGGGAGAGTACATAGCAAGTGTAGAAATTCATTTTGTGGATGAAATCAAATATAGACCCAGAGGCCATGTGGAGTTTAGAGAAGACACTGAGCATGTTTAAATTATGATGGGACTGAGGCAGTAATGAGGCAGACTTTGCAGATAAGAAGACAAGGTGCATAATCAATAAAGCGGAGCACTTGTAAGGCTCAGGAATGAGATCCAGGGTGCAAGTGGAGATAATGGTCTGAGTAGAAAGGAAGATCATGACCTCCATTGAATTAGGAGAAACAGATTGATGTAGGTAGAAGCAGGTTTATACATTTTGTTGTCAGAAGTAGACATATTTCTCTTCTAAGACTAATATTATATTTAATTCATAGTAGATCAGGTCAGTTCCTGGGGATGAAGAATGACCACTAATAATTACAGTTACTACTTGCTGAGGATATACCATGTGCCAGCCATTGTTTAATAGAGGCCAGGAGGGGCCACTTAGTCACTAGAAGACAGAAGTATTCAATTACCATAATTGTCAGCAAAATCTGAGCACAGGTCAAGGGGACTTACTAAAAGTAACACTATGCCTGCCGAGAGGCAAAAAATAAATGGGCAGCCATTCAGAAAAAATAGACAAAACTGGGGGAACATTGAGAGATGTCAGTGAGGATAGTGGAGTACAAAGCTCTGAAAATATTTTATTTATTAAAAAAAATGAGAATATTGGCAAAAAAATGCAAATTAAATTTTTCACGACTCTGACAATTAATCAAAGACTTGCAACAATCCAGAGAGCACTTCTTTGAAAAAATTACTGAATCTTGCTAAGAGAAGTAAGTCCTGGTATTTTAACTTACGCTATTCCTATTCCTATTCCCATCTCCCCAGTTCTGTGGGAGCCTCGAAAACCAGCAATATCACAATCACAATGAAAACCAGAAGACTAGCAACCACTGGAAGGGTTCAATGTGTTTGACTCTCTTCTCTCCTCTCCTCTTAAACCCCAGTTTCCAGGAAAATGTCATTATTTGATCTCTCTGGAAGTTCCCTGGGAAACTCCATTTGCAGAGCTTGTCTTTATTTGACCTGACTCAGAGTTTACCTGATGCAAACAGCCTTTTTTCTCATGAGTGTTTGTAAAAAAAAAAAAAAAAAAAAAAAAAAAAAAAAAGAAAGAAAGAAGGAAAGAAAACAGTACAATTGTTTAACATCATTGTTGACTGTGGCAGTGATAACAATGGGGCAAAAAATAAGCTGATCCAAAGAAATTTTAAAAGAACAGCTTGTGAATTAGGGGTCCATAGAAGACTTTGAAAAGCTTCAACATATTTCAGGGAATCTGAAAGGCCATGCACTGGCATAGGGCTATGTGTATGCTCAGGAAACCTCAGAAAAGGCTGTAAATTATCATCCCCCGCTGATTTTAAGGCTCTTTGCAAGAAGGAAGTTAAGGCTAAGAGTTGTAAACTGACTGACAGAGATGTGCCAGCACACATAGAGAAACCCTCAGCAAGGCTCAGAGACATTGATTCCAAGAATTTGGGTAAATCATCATTAGCTGACCACTTAGCTAACCAAGCAGAGGCTTTATTAGCCACACATCACCAAGAAAGCAGACTTTAAAAAAAATAAATTCCGGCTGGGTGCGGTGGCTCACGCCTGTAATCCCAGCACTTTGGGAGGCTGAGGCGGGTGGGTCACGAGGTCAGGAGATAGAGACAATCCTGGCTAAAATGGTGAAACCCTGTCTCTACTAAAAATGCAGAAAATTAGCCGGGCGTGGTGCCAGAGCTTGCAGTGAGCCGAGATCGCACCGCTGCACTCCGGCCTGGGCGACGAGAGAGACTCTGTCTCAAAAAAATAAATAAATAAATTCAGAAAAGTGACCAAACAAAGCAACAACAGTAGAATAATAGCAGCAAACAGCAGCAATAGTAAACTCTGAAGTGACTAACAAAGCAATGGCAACAGAATAGCAGCCAACAACAGCAATAAACCCTGAAGGAGCAGGGAGAATCTGATTTCCAGAGCTGCTACTTTATATATTTTAAATGTCCAGATTTAGCCAAAAATTTAAGGTACATACAATGAAACAAGAAAACTATTGCCCATACATAGAGGGAAAAAAAAAGCAGTCAATGGAAACTTCTTGAGTAAATTTAGACTTTCGATTTACTAGACAAACATTTAAAATCAGCTTTTTACAAATTATTTTTATTTTACTTTAAGTTCTGGGATACACGTGCAGAACGTGCAGGTTTGCTACATAGGTGTACATGTGCCGTAGTGATTTGCTGCACCTATCAACCCATCATCTAGGTTTTAAGACACGCACGCATTAGGTATTTGTCCTAACGCTCTCCCTCCTCTTGCCCCCAGCCCCCAACAGGCCCTGGTGTGTGATGTTCCCCTCTCTGTATCCATGTGTTCTCATTGTTCAACTCCCACTTATGACTTAGAACATGCAGTGTTTGGTTTTCTGTTCCTGTGTTGGTTTGCTGAGGATGATGGTTTCCAGTTTCATCCACGTCCCTGCAAAGGACATGAACTCACTCTTTTTTATGGCTGCATAGTATGCCATGGTGTATATGTGCCACATTTTCTTTATCCAGTCTATCATTGATGGGCATTTGTGTTGGTTCCAAGTCTTTGCTACTGTAAATAGTGCTTCAATAAACATACATGTGTATGTGTCTTTGTAGTAGAACGATTTATAATCCTTGGGGTATATACCAAGAATGGGATTGCTGGGTCAAATGGTATTTCTGTAAAACCAGCTATTTTTAATATGCTAAAAAAACAACAAAAAAAAGTCTTAAAAACAGTGAAAGAAACATATGAGAATAATGTATTGACAGATAATATCAGTAGAAATATAAATTATTAAAATATAGAAATTATGAAGTTGAAAAGTACAATAACATGTTAAAATTTTGCTAGAGAAGCCCAATAACTGAATAGAGCTGGCAGAAGAAAGAATCAGCAAACTTGAAGAAGAATGCTCAATTGAGATTACCCAGCTTGACAAACAGAAAGAAAAAGAAAAATAAATAGAGCCTCAGAGACCTATGAGGTGCCATCAGCATACCAACCTACATAAAATGGGAGTCCAAGATTGAGAGTTGAGAGAAAAGGGGGCTGAAACAAAATTTCAAAAAATGATGACCAAAAACTCCCCAAATTTGATGAAAAGTAGTATTCTACACATTCAAGAAACATAATGAACTCCAAATAATATAAACTCAAAGATATTCACACTAGACATGTCATAAACAAATGTCAGAAAACAAAGATAAAATCTTGAAAGCAGCAAAGAGAAGCAATTCATCATATGAAAGGGATCCTCAATAAGGTTAAAATCGGTTTCTCTTCAGGAGTCATGGAGGAGAGCATACAGTGGGAAGCCATACCCTACGTGCTAGAAAATAGACTGTCAACAAAGAATTCTGTAATCAGAAAAAAATCCTCAAAACTAAAGGAGAAATGAAGACATTCCCAGATAAACAATTCCTTGCCCACTTCCCAAAACTGAATCCGTTTAGACTCAGAAACTGTTGCTTAAAAAGGTGGTCAGGTCCCCAGGAAGAAGGTCCCTGCAGCATCACAGCATGTGTAAAATGTAATGATTCCCCTACTCCTTCCACAAAGAGGCCTATAACCATTTACCTAGATAACTGCACTGAGGAAAGAGAAATAGTCAGATACTTTGAGAGCTACTAGACACACGCTCTATGTTGGTAGTACCTGGATTCTTAAAAGCATTGTCATAGCTCCCCTATTAGAGTATGGTGATGTAGGGGCCATGCTATAAGACCTTATGAAAATTTTGGCTTACAGTGTATTTAGAGTCTATGAACTCACTCTGTGGTTATTTCCCCAGTTTCCTCATGTATAATTGAGACTGACATATGTATTGGTCCATTCTCACACTGCTATAAAGATACTACCCAAGACTGGGTAATTTATAAGCAAAAGAGGTTTAATTGACTCACAGTTCTGCATGGCTGGGGAAGCCTCAGGAAACTTACAATCATGGTGGAAGGCAAAGGGGAAGCAGGCACTTTCTTCACGAGGCAGCAGGAGACAGAGAGCACGCAAGGGAAACTGCCACTTTAAAACCCATCAGATCTCATGGAACTCCCTCACTATCACAAGAACAGCATGGGGGAAACCACCTCCATGATCCAATCACCTCCCATCATGTCCCTCCCTTGACATGTGGGGATTACAATTCAAGATGAGATTTGGGTGGGGACACAGAGCCAAGCAATATCAACATACTTGGATGCTGAAGTAACCCACACATTGGATTTTTGGTCTCTGAAATCAAACCTCTCACACTGGGGCCAGTTCATCAGAGGCCTTTGAAACTGAACCGTCCAGAAGAAGCTGGTCTGATATGGCACTGGAATTCCTATTGCAGGTGTCACTAAAGTATCATCTCAGAGGCAAAACTATACAAGGAGTGGGTGCCATCCTCTAAGATGCAGTATCACATTGAATCAGAGCCCTCTATCTGGTGTCACATTCCCCATATGAAAAATGCATGGGTCCAGGAACCAAAGGATGAAAGCAGGAATGATCTCACTTCCCAATAATCCACTGGGGATTTTGTGCTCCCCATCTCTGCAACACTGGACTCTCTATGGTTAGAGATCCTAGACTCATTGGGGGTTGGGATGTGCCCATTTGCTGGAGGATACAGGAAGGGTCCTATTGAATTAAAATTAGTGGCTGTTGCCAGGGAACTTGGACTTCTTGTGTCCAAGGACTAACATGAAAGACAGACAGTCTCTTTCAGAGACAAATGACCTTGAAAGGTGGAAAGAGCTATAACTTCTATCACGCAGTGCAGCAAGGAGGAATATGTGTGTGAAACTCAAGTGATTCCATTTGGGCGCCCTTTTGTAATCTTGCCCGATTGTGACTGTAAGTAAATATATACAAAAACCCAAGCATGAGAAAGTGACACTTACTAGAAGTTCAGGTCTGTCAGAAATAAGGATTTGTATCATATCACCATGACAGCCACTGAAATCAGCAGAGGAGCAAATGGAAGGCAATGGGAATTTAGAAATAAATTTAGTAAAGGAGGGAAGAAGTGAGTACCAGTTTTAACCCTCAGACCAACTGCGGGAAACAAGACCACGTATCTCTTGTCAAGATGAGACTCCTTCACAGGCAGTCATTGTACCAAAGCTCCTCGTTGAGCTGGCTGAGACTTCCTGAGAGCTGCATTACAGTCTGAGGCTCTTCCTACCCAATCTTCCTTCATTCTCACCCTCCTCTCACAGATATAATACCTGCATCACAACCTAAAGCCTTTCTCTGTTCACTCTCCTATTTATTTCCCCCACATTCAACGTCCGGCATTTCTAACCTACCTTGGCATCTACTTCCCAGAAAACCCAACTCTCTCACCATAAAAGGGTGTCGAGAGCCACAGGGCATTATCACAGATGGTCAGTTGAGTCATGTAGACAGGGTAAAGAGACTGAAACAGGAAGATCACTAAGCCCATTTTTACTAAATATAAAGAAAATTCCTGTAAAACTTTTTTAATGTTTGTCTTCATTCTTTAGTCTTCAAGAGAATATCAAAGTTTAAATCTGGGTATGGGAAAATTTTTTATTAAATTATGTTATGCCTCTTTCCCCTTAAGGGAAATTTAAAAACTGCAGTAGTTTAGGTTTAGACATTGGAGAATTACTGGTCTCAATTATACAAGAAATTTGAGGCAATGTTATGTTTGTTAGTAGAACCTAGCCACATGAATGTCATAATTCCTGTCAATTAAGATAAAGTCATTGAGCCAATAATAACCAGATCCTCTTCTGACTGGGTCTTAGGAGGAAATGTCAAAGTGGAATAATCACTTCCTCTGGTTTAACAGTCTTCAATGAAGACCACTCAGGATCAAGCCTGCTTCTAATGGATATAGCAGAGAGGTGGTAGATGACAGTACAGTGAGTGATAGAGGGCCAGGGAAGGTCTCCAGCTAGACACTCCATTTGCTTATTCAGATAATACTCTGGATCCTAATTTAAACCTAATGACTTTCCTGTATGAATAATTCAAGCAACAAAAACAGAAAAATCTCTGCAGCCATGGTGCCAGGGTCTGTTAATATCACATCCATCTCCAGCCACAACCATTTTAAGAGAAGATTCCTACATCATGCAAATAACCTACAGTAGCCCAGGAGTAGAAGAAGGAGACAAAAGCTCAGGTCAAATAGCTAAATCAGTCCCACTCAGCCTCTGTGAAATGAAGAGTGGGGGGAGTAAAACCAAAAACTGCTGGGCCACATATGAATGGGTAACTATTGTCCTTCATATCTTTTCCTTCTCTATCCACAATGCTCCCAAATATTCCTTTTTCTTTTCAAAAAATAAATAAGTAGTTGGTTATGAAACTGTAGATACACTGGGGTGAATTTAGGTAAGCCTAACGTAAAAAGCTATTGTTTAAATGATACTATTCCACTAATTGAATGAAGCTTGAACTCTATCAGATTAAGTTAGTTGTGTGGCATAGAAGATGAAAAATAGGACTTTAGTGGCAAATAAATTTACTGTTACATGCATTACAAAGTCATTTCTTTGTCAAGCTGCCTGTCACCTTTAAGAGTCATTCAAAAAACATCTGTGTAGTAATTGTCACTTAATCTTAGCCTTGGGAAATGTGTAAGGTTTGAATGGGTGGATAGAAAGATTGACATTTCATATGAAAAGAAGAATATTTCACATGAAAAGCAAATTTGCAGTCAGGAAGCTATTAATCAGTGGATAATTGCATAGAGATGAGGAATGATTGATAAGACAGAAGATTTTAGATGGAAACAGATTTTTTATTTTTTAAATGTTGAGATTTTTAACAAATATCCTATTTATTTTTTTTATTCCTCACAACTAAGGTAAGCCATATCATCTCCATTCTGCAGATAAGAAAACTAGGATTTCAAGAGACTATCTAGTTCAAGATCACACTACTAGAAGGTTGACAGGCTAGAGATAAAAGTTCAGGTCAAACAGCTAAATCATCCCCACTTAGCCTCCATGAAATAAAGAGTAGTGGGGAGGCGAATGATACCAGAAAATCCTGGGCCCCTTAAGAGAGATTTTTTCATTGCTGGATGAAGATAGTGAAATTTATCCTGCAGGCAAAAGAGCTGCAGCACACTTTTGTGTTTCAGACATGATGTTGAAAGTGGATTGTTATTCTAGTGGAAAGTAGGGTGATTAGTTGGGGATGAAATGGTGGTCCAAAGGTGGGAGGACTTTGCGAGAACTCCAGTGCCCACTGCTTGTCTCCTTGGCTCAGCCTGCTCTCTTTATCTTTGTGGGGCTAATGGAAGTGCCCTCAAAGATGAAGTTCACAGATACATTTTAATTCTTACAACTACCATTTTTCTTCTTCAATTAAGCAAAGGATAACTTGTGACTATACTTTTTGTCTTATTTCCTCACTCCCTTTACATTTAGAGCCTTTCTAGAGCAAGGTATTTTGCACAAATTTCTAAATAGTAGTTTGTAGGCTAGCAACTTCAAAGTCTTATAGGATCTCCAAAAGGGGTGCTAACTGTTATTTGTCCCCTGAGCATTGGAACATTTTTTCGTAAGCTTGCACATTTGTGCATAAGAGAACCCAAAGAACATACCCATGCTCATAGCAGCAGTATTCATAATAGCCAAAAGGTAGAAGTAACACAAATGTCCATCAGTAGATGAAATGAAGAAAATGTGGTATATACCTAATGGAATATTATTCAAACTTAAAAGGGAAGGAAATCCTGCCTCATGCTACAACATGGATGAACCTTGAGAACATGATACTAAATAAAATAAGCCAGTTAGACAGACATATACTATGTGATTTCACTTATATGAGTTATCTAAAGCAGTCAAATTAACAGAAGAAAAAAGAATGGCAGTTGCTGGGGCTGTGGGGAGGGGAAATGGGGAATTGTTGTTCAGTTGGCATAGAGTTTTAGTTCTGCAAGATTAAAAAGTTATAGCAATCTGTTGCACAACAATATGAATTTACTTACCACCACTGAACTGTACAATTTAAAATGGTTAAGATGGTAAATGTTATGCTTAGTATTTTTACCATAATTAAAAATAAAAAATATTAAAATAGAAAAACATACTTATTCACAACAGTATATCCTTGAATAAAACATTTGATGATTAAACATCATGCGAAGTAGGATAATAAAAAGTACTTATTGAGCACAAAAATAAAAATAAGAACCCAAAAGAGCTGTTGATGGAGCAGAGCTTTGTACTTCCCTTGGGTCCAGAAGACACCTAATGACAACCACAGGTGTGAAGAAGGCAAAGACTGAAACCCAGGGTTCCAGGGAGAGGTTAACATTCATTGAGTTTACGGATACATCAAGCGAGGCTCCGCACTTTTATTTGCTTTATTGCTTTTTTCCTCTCCCTAGACCCTGGGCCTAAACGCAGACATGATGGATGCTCTTGTCATATTGTGTGCTGATAACTGTCAGCCTTCCCCTCCCATTCTCACTATAATTTCCTTTAGGAGGTTTGACTTGCTACTGGCTGAGTTCGGAGAAAGCCATTCTTGTCAGACTTAGGAGAAAAGAGAGAGAAGAAATATGGATTTGTGAGTCCAGTTTAAATGAAAAGGTAGCACTTTCCCTGGAAATATTAAATTGGAGGCCATGATTCAGGCTTTCGGGTTTCACTCTAGTTATTCAGCTTTCACTTAAAAAACAGGACTTGGAAGAAAAATATAATCTCAATATTTATCAAAAACATTCAGGGAAAATCATCCCAGTGCTCCCTTGAGAATTAATAAGAAATAACAATTAATAACATATTTTATTTCACAGATGCCAAGTATTTCGGGTGCCCAAGATCTTAGGAATTGTTCATTGTATGCATGGCCCTTTGAGGAGGACTATGTGAGCTATGTGGCCTGTTTGGCCAATCAGGAAGCAACAGGGAATGTCATAGAGGGGATAATTGATGGGATTAAATATAATGCCACGTGTTGGAGGCAGATCAATCCATCTCGTTGATAAATGAAGGGCCACCCTGACAGCCAGTATCTAACTGACACAATAGGGAAGACAAACGTGAATTTGTTTCTAATCTTAAGGTATTCTGAAAGCAACTGATTGAATGGTATTCAACATCAGTGCTTACAATTTGATGTACAGATGCTACTATAGACATGTCTGAGAAAAGTTAACAAATATAGAAGCTAAGTAAATGGTCACCCCAATTCAATAATAATATGATTTGGCTACGGCCCCACCCAAATCTCAATTTGAATTCCTGCATGTTGTGGGAGGGACCTGGTGGGAGATAATTGAATCATGGGGGCAAGTCTTTCCCATGCTGTTCTCATAATAGTGAATAAGTCTCATGAGGTCTGATGGTTTTATAAAGAGGAGTTCCCCTGCACAAGCTCTCTCTCTTTGCCGGCCACCATCCACGTAAAAAGTGACTTGCTCCTCCTTGCCTTCCACCATGATTGTGAGTCCTCCCCAGCCATGTGGAACTGTAAGCCCAATTAAACCTCTTCTTTTGTAAATTGCCCAGTCTCTGGTATGTCTTTATCAGCCCCATAAAAATGAACTCATGCAGTAAATTGGTACCAGTAGAGTGGGACATTGCTGAAAAGATGCCTGAAAATGTGGAAGTGACTTTGGTACTAGGTAAGAAGCAGAGGCTGGAACAGTTTGGAGGGTTCAGAGGAAAACAGGAAAATGTGGGAAAGTTTGGAACTTACTAGAGACTTGTTGAATGGCTTTGACCAGAAGCCTGATAGCATATGGACAATAAGGTCCAGGCTGAGGTGGTCTCAGATGGAGATGAGGAACTTGTTGAGAACTGGAGCAAAGGTGACTCTTGTGATGTTATAGCAAAGAGACTGGCGGTATTTTACCCCTTCCCTAGAGATTTGTGGAACTTTGAACTTGAGAGTGATGATTTAGGGTATATCTGGTGGAAGAAATTTCTAAGCAGCAAAGCATTCAAGATGTGACTTGGGTATTGTTAAAGGTATTCAGTTTTAAAACAGAAGCAGAGCATAAAAGTTTGAAAAATTTCAAGCCCACTGCAGAAATTTGCATAAGTAATAAGGAACCTAACGCTAATCTCCAAGACAAAGGGGAAAATGTCTCCAGGGCATGTCAGAGGTCTTCACATCAGCCCCTCCCATCACAGGCCCAGAGGCCTAGGAGAAAATTGTTTTGTGGGCCGGGCCCAAGGTCCCCATGCTGCGCGCAGCCTAGGGACTTGGTGCTCTGCCTCCCAACTGCTCTAGCCATGGCTGAAAGGTGCCAACATAACGCTCAGGCCATGGCTTCAGAGGGTGCAAGCCCCAAGCCTTGGCAGCTTCCACGTGGTGTTGAGCTTGCAACTGCACAGAAGTCAAGAATTGGGGTTTGGGAACCTCCATCTAGATTTCAGAAGATGTATGGAAACACCTGGATGCCCAGACAGAATTTTGCTGTAGAGGCAGGGCACTAATGGAGAATCTCTGCTAGGGCATTTTTGTGGAAGGGAAATGTGGGGTTGAAGCCCCCACCCAGAGTCCCTACTGGGAAACCACCTAGTGGAGCTGTGAGAAGAAGGCCACCATCCTCCAGATCCCAGAATCGTAGATCCACCGACAGCTTGCATTGTGTGCCTGGAAAAGCCACAGAAACTCAATGCCATCCCATGAAAGCAGCCAGGAGGTAGGTGGTACCCTGCAAAGCCAAAGGGGCAGAGATGTCCAAGACCATGAGAACCCACCTCTTGCATCAGCATGACCTGGATGTGAGACATGGAGTCAAAGGAGATAATTCTGGAGCTTTAAGATTTGACTGCCCTGCTGGATTTTGGACTTGCATGGGGCCTGTACCCACTTTGTTTTGGCCAATTTCTCCCATTTGGAATGGCTGTATTACCCAATGCCTGTACCCCTGTTGTGTCTAGGAAGTAACTAACTTGCTTTTGATTTTACAGGCTCATAGGTGGAAGGGACTTGCCTTGTCTCAGATGAGACACTGGACTGTGGACTTTTGAGTTAATGCTGAAATGAGTTAAGACCATGGAAGACTGTTGGGAAGGCATGATTGGTTTTTAAATGTGAGGACATGAGATTTGGGAGGGGCCAGGGTGGAATGATATGGTCTGGCTGTGTCCCCACCCAAATCTCATCTTGAATTCCCATGTGTTGTGGGAGGAACCTGGTGGGATGTAATTGAATCATGGGGGGCAAGTCTTTCCCATGCTGTTCTCATGATAGTGAATAAGTCTCATGAGATCTGATGGTTTTATAAAGAGGAGTTCCCCTACTCTCCCTTTGCCTGCCACCATCCATGTAAGATGTGACTGGCTCCTCCTTGCCTTCCACCATGATTGTGAGGCCTCATTAGCCATGTGAAACTGTAAGTCCAATTAAACCTCTTTCTCTTGTAAATTGCCCAGTCTCAGGTACGTCCTTATCGGCAGCATGAAAACAGACTAATACAAATAATATCAGAGGAGCCCCCGATTTAAAACCTCAACATATCTTGTCAGCTTCCCAATAACCAAGGCAGAATATGTTGATCTTTTTCAAGGGGTAATTCCAAAAAGTTCAGAGACTTAGCACAGGGAAGCTCCACTGGGAACCATCTCAATCCCTTTGGAGGAACAAAACTAGGCTGCAAACCTCAACCAAAGGAAAAAATCCCGTGAGACAACCTTTTATTTTTTTCAGACCTTCAGTTTCCTAAAATTTTATAGATTTTAATTCAGTGTGGACATAAAACATTGATATCAAATTTAATTTCTTGGAAAATAAAAGTTTGCTTTCATTTCTTTTTTTCCCTGGTATATTGCTACACAAGTCAAAGTTAAAGATGCTATAGAAAACCTAGGCAGCAATTTTATTACAGCTGGCTTTTGAAAGTTCACAGAAGGCTGCAATCATAAATGTCATTTTCATTAGAATAATGTGAAAGGTTACATGCCGCACAGAATAAGACAAGGCTCAGCCGTGGTTTACCATCTTTGAGTTTCCTGGTGTACAAATGATCCCTCGGGCATTACAGCCACAACACCTCACAGGCAAACCAAAGTGAATACATATAAAATAAAACTCTACTGGAAAGAATGCATGAGGTCCTGGCAGTGAAAATTCTATAGAAGTTAAACATTTTCTCATTTAACATACCCCCTCAAAAAAAAAAAAAAAAAAAAAAAAAACTTACCCAATGCTCAGCATTATCCCCGGGAATGCACTTCTAAATCTGCACTGTTTGGAGCTAAATGATAAAGGAACAGCAAGAGCTCTCTTTCAGAACACATAAGCTTATTTAAGACCACAGAAAAGACCATCTCCGGAAGGAAAAGGAAGTGTGTGTGTGTGTGTGTGTGTGTGTGTGTGTATGCATGTGCACACGTGCACACACACATGCATAGTCAGGTGTGTCTTGTGCATTTATGAGTATTCCTGAACAATTTTAACTTCTAAAATGTCACAAGAGTTTGGCTTCTTGTTTATCATTTAAAAAAACCAACTAGATACATTGATCCAGGATGCCAGGATGAAATTTAACTTTCCATGGCACTACCAAAGTAAGTGGACAATGCTGCGGGCTGCTGGTCACCAGTATCTGCATGCCCCCTCTTCATCTTCACTTGGGTCTCTGCTCAAATCCATCACCTCCTCAGAAGCTCACCTACGACTCTCTGATGAGGGAACACACACTCCCCCTGGCCAGGTTAATTTGATGAGTCAACCTGGCTCGGCTACAGTGCCCAATTGTTTGGTCAAATACTAATGACGATGTTGGTGGGAATGTATCCTGTAGATGTGATTAACATCTATAGAGGACTTTAGATAAAGATTACCCTTGATAATGTGTGTGGGACTTATGAAATCAGTTGAAGTTCTTAAGAGCAAAAACTGAGGTTTTCCCAAGAAGGAATTTTGCCTCAAGACTGCAACATAGAAGTAGTGCATTACATCAGCACCATGTGGGAAAGAAAAAAAAATAAAAAGGAGTAGTAGTACTTAGGTTTCCAACCCACCTAGTCTACCCTACAGATCATGGACTTGGCAGCCCGCACAATAACAACCACATGAATCACTTCCTTACAATGTCCGTCTCTCCCTCTCTCCTTCTCTCGAAATACATATATACTTTACTGGTGCTGTTTCTCTGGGGAATACTGACTGATACAGCCTGCTATTCTGTAAGTTTTCCATCTGACCACAGATCTGTCTGTAAGGCAAGGTCACTATATTGAATTGACCTAATCCAATTTGGCCCATCAAGAATGGTCAGATACATTTGATAAATATCACTTGTCTCCAGCAATTAAAGTTACATGGAAGTTTTAAGCCTTCTCTTCTACTACCTGGTTACCAGGGAGTTGTTACAATGAAAATGTGTTTTAGATGAAATAAATATTTTTAAAGCAAACTTTAAACAAAATAAACAGATTTTAGCCTACGTATAGACATACATTCTATTGGTTCTGTTTTTCTGCAGAAGTCTTACTGATACATCCCCTTTCTCTAATTCATCATTCTTCCTAACAATTGTCAGCACCAGCTAAAATACATATGTGGATGTTTATATTTTACTGGTACCTAGGACAGTGTCTGGGACCTAGAAGTCATCCAACTTATACCCATTTATGGGATGCATGGATGAGATGCTGACTTTCCCCAGTCACTGAAATGCTTTACATGAATTAATTCATTCAACCCTTCCTTCCAGCTAGCTCCTTATGAGGCTGATGTCACGTTTTGCTTCCATTTTTCAGGTGCTGAAACTTGGTTGTAGCGAGGTAGAGGGACCCCCCCCAAAAGTCACATAGCTAGCACAGGCGAAGGTGGCCATTAAACCAGGAAGCTGGTCCCCGGAGCCCACGCTCTCAAACACCACATTCTAAATCCCCTTGTGGGAGTTTTCAGCTTCAACAGGATATTGTTTAGAGAGACAATCTTTTTTTTTTAAGTTAAAACCACTAATCACATGTATTAATAAGGTTAAAATATTCTGTTAATTCTGTGATCTTGGGAATCTCACATGATTTGGAGGCACTCTGTTAGACTAGAAATGAGAAATTTTTAATTTAAAGGTGAAAAGAGGAAAAGGGAGTTGAAAAAAAGGAACATTCAATATCATCAGATGTTAAATAGACTTCAGTAAAAATAGTTTCCAAAAAATTAAAATAGAGCAAATTGGCTCACTGCAAAGATTCTAAAAGTAAACAGAGCTGAAAGATCATGGGAGATGTTTGAAAATGAAATATTTCTATCTTCACAAATTATCCTAGTGAGGAAGAAACCAATAAATAAGGTAGCAAAATCTAACAAGAAGGAGGCAGAGGCACAGGGTGATTCTCTAGCAAGCCCCAGAATATGATGCACGATAGAAATAGCGGCCACAATTAAACATTTTCCCTCTGGCCACACCTTCCACCGGGTCGCAGCTTCTGGTTCTGAGTCTCCAAGCCTGCTTAAAAACTGACCCAGAGTTTCTGGAACTCTGTCCCCACCTAGAGGCCTAACAGTAAATAAGAATGAAGGAATTGTAAAATGCAGAGCCGCAGTGCCCAGCGTGTGGCAAGCTCAGTAAACATAGCTATAATCATCACTGATAAAACAGCCTTTAATTATTCTGTAAGCACTTATGAAAGGAAGGGAGCATGCCTAGGAGCCAATAGCAAGTATGTCAGCCATGGAGCTTTCTCTTGGGATACTGCGTCTTGATGTCAGCAACATTTTTGACAAAAATTGCATGGATAGGTTTGTGGTCATCATCAAAAAAAAAAAAAAAGTATGCTGGGTTGTATGGTTAGTTAGCCTGATAGCTGAATAAGCAATGGTGTCCAAACATTGTGGATCTCACATAATACCTGACAACGAGTTTCCATGGTACTGGCTGGCAAGCGACAGATACTGCAAGGCTGGCATAGGTCTGCCCATACCTGATTGGAAGGCAGGTATCTTTATCATTAATAGCTTCTCACTCTAAATGTTTTTCCCCCTCTCTTTACTCTCCTCCTAGGCTTATGTCTAAACTTATTTTGCTACTGGGATAAAGGGGAGAGGAGTCAGCCTCTGTAACAGAGGCAAAGTTACATGTCCAAACTACATACACATCTGACAAAGGCCAGCTGCAGAGACCAGAGGGGCCAGAGCTGGTATTTGCAGATGGCAGCGTGGCCTCAGGCCCCCAAGTGAGCACTGCCTATAAAACTGTCTGACCTTGGAGGTGTACAGGGTTGGTGTGCTATGGTCAACTCCTCACCCCCAGCAAGGGGTCTACCCCAAAGTCTTTGTGTGGAATTCCTTTGTCTTTGGGGAGATTCTTTGGGGGCTGCCTAGAAATCAAGACCTTCCCTAGCTACATATGTTGCCACAGAAAAGTCGGATTTCCTGTCCTACCAACCTAATCCCCACAGGAAATGGGTCGGACTTAAGGTTCTGGAGATGGCCATGATCTTCTCCCAACCAGCTCTGCCATGTTTCTATCTTCTATAAGACTTCCCTGGTGCCATTGGAGCTTGTCTACGGGTACTGCCACGGAACAACCACCAGATGAAATTAAGTCTCAGGCCCCAAGTTCAGAAACACCACAATCTTTAGGGGAAATATGTCGAGTGGCCCTTTATCCAGTGATAAGAGAAAGAGCCACTGCTCTCTGAAGACCCTCAAAAACATTCTGTTCCTAAAGACCCCTCATTTCCCTTCCAAATCTCTGTGAAGTCATCTCCTTAGAGTGTAGGGGGGAGACACAGTGAGGCTGTCAGGTCCTTCCGTAGTTCTGGCTCAGGTTGTTAAGGTCTCCGTTGAGCCCGGACATTCACAGTCAGTGCGAGACTGGAAAGCAGCATTTAATGTGTCAAGTTATTGCTACAGAAAACACTGTATATGACCACATTACACCTGCTTAATACAAGTAAACAGTGGGATGTGGCTGCCATTAGCTATATGCTATAAAGATAGTGAACTGTTTATTGTCACCCAGGCCCTCTGCTCCCTGGCCCACCTAAAGCACTGTGCTGGGCGGACCAAAATGCCTTCTCCTTGAAAAAGAGTTTGAGAAAGCAGAGACCCGTTCGGGATTGAGTGCTGTCAGGAAGGAAGGGGGAGGCAATTCAGAGCTCTGATCTGTCATTTTTCCCTAGGAGTAGGGAGGATTTAAGAGCCCACTGCTGTTAAATCACATAGCACAAGCCCAAGTCTTATACTCTGCCTCTCCTAACTGCCTCTTACTTAGAGGCCCCATGTTTCCTCTGATGCTTATTTTCCCACATTGACACAAGTTTAATAAACCTAACTTTGACTCTAGTGAATTTATGGCAATCTTTGGCTAATGCAAATGGAAAACCAGACACTGTTGATTGCAATGTATTGTTTGAAGAGGATCCCTTGTCTTCTCAAATTTCACTGTGCATATAAATCAAATTGCGGTCTTGTTAAAATGCATACTCAGATTCAACAGGATGACGGGGGTGGGGCCTGAGAGCTTGCATCTCAAGCATGCTCCAGGTGATGCCCTTGCTCCTGGCCTGAGGCACACACTGAGTAGCAAGGATCTGGTACACTGGATCTCAAACCAGATATTTTTTTAAATCACCTGGAGAGCTGCAAAAAAATTACTGAAATTTGGATCTCACTCCCAGAGATTCTGATGTAATTGCCACCATCAAGGCAGATGATTCCAATATGCAGCAAAATCTGGGAAATATTTTCTACTATCTTATCATAGAGTGTGGAAGGCATTGAGGAGCTAAAATAGCAATTGCAAAGAAAACTGTACAGATAAACCAGGGCATGAGAAGGAAGAGAGAAAAGATGGAGAATTTAGAAGCATTTTGCATTTCTGGGATCGCAGAAGTAAGAAAGTTGAGCCAGGAATAGTGGGATGCTAAGTAAGGTTATAGGTCTGGCTAGAGTGTGCTTAGTGCATTCTGTGTTACGCTGGTAATAGGGCTCTTACCCTGTGATAATGATGATAATGTGCAATCTACATGTAAATTAAATAAATAGTAATAAAAGACAAGAGTTCTGGGAGTATGGTCAGCTCCACCATGAAGAAAGGTCAGGTAGGACAATAGAGGTTTTGAGCCACAGAGAAGAATGAAGACACAAAGAGGAAGAACATAAATTATGCATAAAAGAGCTAAGCAACCTATGTTCTTCTAGGGCTTCTGGGTCCTGCTGACCTATAGCTTCTCTCACTGCCCTAGGTCAAATCAATATATGTAATAAATTATGCATTTACTTCCCTCATCTTTCTACTCTTCAATTATCACTTCTGGAAAGTGAAAGGCATATGCCTTCCCTACAATGCCCAGAATAAATCTGCTCCTTGACTTACTGACTCAAGCATCACCATGGTCCAGGGCATTGGGTTTATCCAGAAGAGGGATCAGAATCATAAGTCAAGAGAACTGCCAAGAAATATGGTGATGAATCCTCTCTGCCATGCACCTACACCTGCTCATGCGAGAGCCCAGCTGCTGTGGAATTTTCAACACCAGTAGTTTCCATGAAGGATGGCTGTCTTTGCTTTGAGATGCCTCTGCAGAAGCTACCAAGGTGAACTTATCACTCTCCAAGGAGTCTTGTGTTTGAACAATGCCATCCCAAGCATACTCCCCAATTTCAGTAAAGATCTATACTCTGCTGAACCAGATAAATGAACTGCTGTAAATACGAGGAGAACATTTTTATGTTTAATATCAGATTCCAATAGGTAAGGATGGTAGCCTTCAGCCTATTGCCTTCTATGAGTTTTAAATGTGACCCTAGCCAGTCCTAAAGATGTGCCTTTTCCTCAAGCAAAGTAACATGTCTGAATGAGAATAGTCCCTCCTTAGAACATCAAAAGCCCTCACTTGCTCTCACAGTGGAGCAGGATGCAGCTAAATAATTTATGAATACCTCAGCTATATAAAGGAAATTAAAGATGACACTTTTATTCTTTAATATTCTTCTATTCTCCAATGCTCATTTTCTCTACTGATTATGTATAAAATCCTGAGGATAATTCCCACAGCACACAGAGCTCTGATCATGACTACTAAGATCAAGAATTACTTGTCTTTGTGATCCTACCTGCAGGAATTGGCCAGGATGACAAGACCAGCCTCACTCGGGGAGTGGGCACAGATAGTGTCTGTCTGGGGGCTCAGATTCTAGAGCACCCAGGCTACCCAGCTCCTTTTGGTTGATCTCTTAAATTTCACTCTTGAGTGACTGTCCCTTGATCACATTTGAGAGCTCACATTTGTGCCGTGTTTAATTGTGAATTAAACATCTGAGCCTGCGTTCTTATTGCAGCTCAGGAAAAGCTGAAAGAAAGCTGAGCAGATGAAGACAGTCAGGGGAGTGGAAGAATGACTTCCCCTCTCTCTCAAAGACCCAGTTCAAGCTTCTCCCATTGCTCTGTGCACCTCTCACCTCCTTTCTCCCTTGTCCCCCCCCACTCCCTTGCCTAGCCAGACAGGAAGGAAGCTGAAGGCCAGCAGGGACCCCAGGCTCCCGGAGAGGAATAGCGCCCAAAAGGATCACCTGGTGGAGGTCACAATTTGAACGGATGCGTGGATGCTCCCAGCTTTTGCAAAAGACAGTGCTTCAAAGTACACTGATTTGCTCTTTCTTCCTCTCATTAATCTTGATGCTTGGTGTTGCTAAAAAGAGGAAAAGCCTTCAGAGTCTAATCAGAAGTGAGAGCTTCAGCAGCTTCTACTCCTCAACACATACTCCCCCTGGGTCCTCTCCCACCTTTCTGTTCCCACCTTGTTCACAAAGCACGCCTTTCCAGAAGAGAACCAATAAAAATAGCAGCAGTTGTAAAACAATGTTTTATGTGTTGTTTCAGGTAAATATCTGTCTCACAGTAGGGAAAGCATTTCCAAGCATAGAAATAAAGAAAAGAGAACATAAAGTAAAAGTTTGATGGGTTCGATCACATAAAAATTTAAAATGTTTATGCAACAAAAGCTTCCAAAAGCAAAATCTCAAAAACACAAACTAGAAGGAAATTGGGACACCATAAATAACAGACAATGGGTCATTATTCCTAATACATAAAATGCTCTTACACAGTAGAAAGAGATGAATATGCCACTAGGAAAATTGGCAAAATGGGAAAGGCTGATGCACAAGATAAAAAAATACATATGGACAATAAAAATATTTCTTCAAGTTCAACTTATGGTCAAATCAAAGGACTTTAAATGCTGGGCTCATTTTTAACACATCATATAAGCAATTGTTTTACAATAATACTCATTATTAGTGAGGTTATAAGACAGTGGATATTTATATGTCACTAGTGAGAATGTTACCTGTTACATCCTTTTTAATAGGTAATTTATCAATATTCATCAAAATTCTTAAAAATTTTCTATAATGTTTGACTTACTAACTCTAATTCTATGAATTTACTGTGAGGAAACAGTCAAAGATATAAACAATTATTTATTAATAAAGATGTTAAACACAGGGTCAGTTATAAAGAAGAGAAACAACTTATATGTATGACAGCCTAAATCTTAAACATAAGTGGTATGTAATATCCAGAACAAGAAATATTGGTCATTCACTAAAATCTATATTTTAAAATGATATTTGATGACATGGATAAATATTCACATTTTTAAAAATGACTTAAAAGTTATAACAGTATGGTCTATAAACCTGTTTCTATTTATTTGTGAATGTGTGTAGGAGTATGTGTATCCCTTGAAGCAGTGACACATACACAGTGGGGATCCAGGAGTAATGTGACCACTCAAGACTAAAGTTTCTCAGGGAGCTTTATTTTTCTGTATTCCTCCAATCTATGATTAATATATAAATATCTTCAGAAAAAAATAAAATTTTTAGAAATTGTACATGTTTTAATTGATCAAAATGTCATTATCCATTATACTCTGCAACAGAATATCCAATCTACTTTTTAATTGCATTCCTATCAAAATGCCCATCAAAGGAGCTGTGGCCCTGGAAGAAAAGAATATTTCTACATGACAAACCCAGCAAACACTGTGCCCTCCGCATTTGATCATACTAACAGACAACTCTTCTAATAATGTTTGAATCCGTTACCAGCCCACAGAAAACAGGCAATCCCCAAACTCCAAATTAAGGTCTTAGACACTTTAGGCTGCTGCAACAAATTACCATAGACTAGGTGGCTTAAACAACACTGACTTATTTCTCACAGTTCTGGGGGCTGGGAAGTTCAAGATCAAGGTGAAGGCAGATTCAGTTTCCACATGGCCATCTTCTCATTGTATGGCCAAGAGCAAGAAGCAGCTCTGGAGTTTCTTAGGTGCTTCAGAGAGCACCTACATGAGGGCTCCACCCTCATGACCTAATTACCTCCCAAATACCTCACTTCCTAATACCATCACGTGCGGGAAAATGCAAACATTCAATCTATAACAAGGTTTATAAACAACCATTATAAAGATCTCATATATTTTGGAACAGTGCCTATTTCAAAGTATGCTATAAATATAAAGCTTTTGGGGCCAAGCATTGTGGTTCATGCCTGTACATCCCAGCACTTTAGGAGGCTGAGGTGGGCAGATCGCTTGAGCCCAGAAGTTTAAGACCAGCCTGGGCAACATGGCCAAACCCTGTCTCTACAAAAAATACAAAACCTAGCTAGCTGGCACATGCTTGTAGCCCCAGCTACTTGGGAGGTTGAAGTGGGAGAATCACTTAAGCCCAGGAGGACTAGGCTGCAGTGCGTTGTGATCTTGCCACTCCAGCCTGGGTGACAGGGCAAGACCATGTCTCAAAAAAAAAAAATGCAAACATATATATATATATATATATATATATATATATATATATGGCAAAAAGTTTGTAAAAATTGCAAGACTTAAAAACCACATTGAATTCTATGGAATGAAATTACTCAATGTAATCGAATTTTTATGTCATTGTATTTCTTCACCTTTATCTAGAATTTTTCTCCTAGAATTGTCAGATTTAGAGTGGTTTGGATATTTGGTCCTCAGTGGGATGGGAAAGTACACTGTGAGGAGAGTTCTGTACACATGGCATCCCTAAGCAGCCTATGACCAAGCTCAAATATGGCATTTTTGTATGTCCTAATCCAACTGAAAAATAGGCATTATAAAATATTTCTCCATCTGGTGATGGCACATTTTCCACATGGAATTCTCCATCAAATGTTATAAGACATAAGCTCCCAATTGATCTAATTTGGTCTACATTTTCTGCTCATCTTTTGTTCTTTTGAGAAATGGCAGTGCCTTTACAGTTTGTCTTTTATGGTAAGCTGCATCTTTTCCAAAGTGCAGTGATGCGTGGTTCCCAAGATGTGTTAATCCTGGTGAGATTTACCCTTCTCCCCTAGAGATTTCACTAAGCACCAACCCGCTCCTGGTGTTTATCATTTTAATGAGGCTCCTTAAAGAGCATCTCCTCAAAACAGACTTTCAGGTAGTCTCCTAAAAAAGCTAATGTGAATTCACTGATCCTTCAATATTTAAAAATATTTCACTAGGAAGGATTTCTTGAGCCATCTCTAAAGCAAATGTAAGAGTTCTGATTTCTGTCTCACCTTGGCAATAACAGGGTTAATTTAGTCAAGTCACAATCTCTCTAACACTTGATTACTTTTTCTGAAAAATAGAGAGAGGTATGCATGTGTGTGTCATGTGTGTGTTATGTGTTCATCATATGGAATACAGCCTAGAAGGATGCACACCAAAATGTTAACAGTGGTCACCTCTGAGCAAAGAGATGATGGGTGGTATTTTTAATACGCTTTTCACAAATACATGAAATTTGCAAGGAACTAAATAGTAGTAAAAAAAAAAACAAACTCTAGTTTTACCTGATCTACCCTAGATCATAGCCTATTAAAATTATTGCTGAATATTAAATATACTTATAAATAAAAACAAAAATATTGATTTTTTGAGATGCTTTTAAAAGTCTAAGATTTAGTAAAATAATAGTTTTCATACAGTTTTATAATCTGGGAACAATACAATATTGTAACTAGGATTATGAACTAGTTCCTCTATGTAAAAGTAAGAGTTCTGAATTAAGAAGTAAAAACATGTAGGCTGGGCTGAGATTTTAAAAATTATAATTATTCACATTGTTCAGAAAAGACAAAGAAAATATCTTCTTTTTTTCTTTTTAATATCTTTTGTATAAATTTACAGAATGTCATCTTAAAGTAAAAGCTGGGAAAAGAAAATTTATGTACTCCTTGGGATTTTTCAGATTCGAGGGGATTTGATAAATTCTACCCCTCTTTCTCGGCAAGTTATAACTCAATTTAAAACTAAGATAAAATAGTAAAGCAAATAGAGAATCAAACTAGTTCCAATATTGCTGCTAAAGCTGATATTGGAGAATGCAGCATATGTCTGGTACAAGCAATTTTCTGATGCTGAATCCCCCAGTTGGACTGACTGACACCCTGTCATTGCTGTAGTACTGGACCATGCAGCACTGAACCACAGGGACAGGCCTCACTGCTAAGCTAACTCATGACAGCAACTAATGGAGAACATTTGCAATAGACTGAAGGTTTGTGTACCACCAAAAATCCATACATTAAAATTCTACCCCCCAATATGATGGAGGAAGGGCCTTTGGGAGGAGGTGCCTTTGAGAAGTGATCATCTCATAATAACAGAGCTCTCATGAATAAAATGAGTTCTCTTATAAAAGAGGCCCCTTTCTGCCATGTGAGGGCACACTGAGAAGACACTCTATGAGCCAGAAAGTGGACCCTCACCAGACACTGAATCTACCAGTATCTTGATCCTGCACTTCTATCCTCCAGAGCTGTGAGGAATAAATCCCTGTTATTTAGAAGACACCCAGTCTATGGTATTTTGTTGTAGCAGCCCAAATGAACTAAGACAACAATTGATATCAGTGAATAGAACAACTCCCAAGAGGAAGGGGAGATAAAGCCACAGACATAAATAAATTCCCTTCTTGTACTAAATTGTCCATTAGGTACACTTGCAGAAGGAATGAGTTAGGGGGTGAAGACCTGTCAGTCAAGAATATTGCATGGGCAATCATTCAGCAAGGATTAATAAGTGTCTCCTGCCAATCAAAGCAGGCATCTTTGTTCAGTACCTTGACACCACTGGTGATTAAAATATTCCACATCCATGAATTTATTTTTGATCTTAAATTTTCTTTAATTCAGAAATATTTCTTTTTTATTTATTTTTTAACTGACAAGTAAAAATTGTATATATTTATGGTATACAACATGTGATATATATCTACATTGTGGAATAGCTAAATCAAGCTATTTAACATGTACATTTCTTTCATATGCTTATTTTTTGTGGTGAGGACGCCTAAAATCTAATAGCTTAACAATTTTTAAATATATAATACACTGTTATCTTTAGTTGTCATGATGTACAATGGAGCTCTTAAGTTATTCCTTCTGTCTAACTGAAATTTTTTGTCTTTTGGCAAGGATTGCCCCAGTGCCTCTATCCCAAGCCTTGGGTAACTGCAATTTTACTCCCTATTTCTATAAGTTAGAATCTTTTACATTCCACATATAAGTGAGATAATGAGGTCTCTGTCGTTCTGTGCCCGGCCATTTGCTATGGTTTGAATGCGCCCTCCAAAACTCATTTGGAAACTTAATGCCCAATGTGGCAGTATTGAGAGATAGGGCCTTTAAGAGGAGAGTGGATCATAAGGGTTCTGCCCTCATTAATGGATTAATTCATTCGTGTTTTAATAGATTAATGGGTTAATGGATTAACAGGTTATCATTCAAGGAGAACTGGTGGCCTTGTAAGAAAAAGAAAAGAGACCCGAGTGTTAGTGTGCTCAGCCCCGTTACCATGTGATCCCCCGTACTGGCTTGGGACTCTCCAGAGAGTCTCCATCAGCAAGAAGGCTCTCACTAGAGGTGACTCCTCAACATTGGACTTCTCAGCCTCCACAATTTTAAGAAATACATTTATTTTCTTTATAAATTACCCACTTTCAGGTATTCTGTTATAAGCAACAAAAAATGGACCAAGACAGTATTTCTCTTAACATAATATCCTCCAGGTTTATCTATTTTATAACAAATGACAGGATTTTGTTTTGTTTTGTTTTGTTTTTTTACTTCTTTCTAACTTTCAGTTTCAGTTTGGGGATACGTGTGCAGGTTTGTTACATGAGTAGATTCCATGTCACACGGGTTTGGTGTACAGATTACTTTTTCACCCCAGTAATAAACATAGTACCCCCAATAGGTAGTTTTTCAATCGTCATCCTCCTCCCATTCTCCACCCTCAAGTAGGCGCCAGTGCTTATTGTTCCCTTCATTGTGTCTATGTGTACTCAATTTTTAGCTCTCACTTGTAAGTTAGGACATGTACTATTTGGTTTTCTGTTCCTGTATTAATTCACTTAGGATAATGGTCTGTAGTTCCATATGCGGTGCTGCAAATCACATGATCTTATTCTTTTTATGGCTGCATAGTATTCCATGGTGTATATGTACCGTATTTTCTCTATCGAGTCCACCATTGATGGGCATGTATGCTGATTCCATGTCTTTGATACTGTGAATAGTGCTGCAATGAACATATGCAAGCATGTGTCTTTATGGCAGAATAACTTATGTTCCTTTGGGTATATACCCAGTAGCAAGATTGCTGAGTTGAATGAATTGCTGCTGTAAGTTATTTGAGATATCTCCAAATTGCTTTCCACAGTGACTGAACTAATTTACATTCCCACCATCAGTGTATAAGCATTCCCTTTTCTCTGCAACCTCACCATCATCTGTTATTTTTTGACTTTTTTCTTTTTTTCTTTTTTCTTTTTTTTTTGAGATGGAGTTTCACTCTTGTTGCCCAGGCTTCAGTGCAGTGGCACAATCTTGGCTCACTGTCACGGATTCAAGCAATTTTCCTGCCTCAGCCTCCTGAGTAGCTGGGACTACAGGCACCTGCCACCACGCCTAGCTAATTTTTTTGTATTTTTAGTAGAGATGGGGTTTTGCCATGTTGGGCAGGCTGATCTCAAACTCTTGACCTCAGGTGATTCACCCACCTCGGCCTCCCAAAGTGCTGGGATTACAGGTGTGAGCCATCACGCCCAGCCATTTTTTGACTTTTTAATAACAGCCATTCTGACTGGTGTGAGATGTTATCTCATTGTAGATTTGATTTGCATTTCATTAATGATTAGTGATTTTGAGCATTTTTCCATAAGCTTGTTGGTTATGTATATCTTCTTTTGAGAAATGTCCAAGTTCTTTGCCCATTTTTTAATGGAGTTATTTGTTGCTTGTTCATTTTTTAAAATTCCTTATAGATTCCAGATATTAGACCTTTCTCAGATGCATAGTTTACAAATATTTTCTCCCATTCTGTAGGTTGTCTCTTTACTCCATTGATAATTGTTTTTGCTGTGCAGAAGAAGTTTTTCATGGGAGCTATAATCAACAAGGTCCCATTTGTCAATTTTTGTTTTAGTTGCAATTTCTTTTGGAGTATTTATCATGAAATCTTTGCCAGGACCTATGTCCAGAATGGTACTTTCTAGATTTTCTTCTAGGGTTTTCATAATTTTAACTTTTACATTTAAGTATTTAATTCATCTTGGGTTGATTTTTTTATATGGTGTAAGGAAGGGTCAAGTTTCAATCTTCTGCATACGGCTAGGCAGTTATCCCAACATGATTTATTGAATAAGGAGTCCTTTCCCACTGCTTGTTTTTGTCAACTTTGTTGGAGATCAGATGGCTGTAGGAGTGCAGCTTTATTTCTTGGTTGTCTCACCTATCCCGTTGGTCTATGTGTCTGTTTCTGTACCAGTATCATGCTGTTTTGCTTTAGCCTTATAGTACAGTTTGAAGTCAAGTAGTATGATGCCTCTGGCTTTGATCTTTCTGCTTAGGACAGCACTAAACTTTTAGGCTCTTTCTTGCTTCCATATAGATTTTAGAACAGTTTTTTTTTTTCCAATTCTGTGAAACATGTCATTGGTAGTTTGATAGGAATAGCACTGAATTTGTTCACTGCTTTGGACAGTATGGCCATTTTAATTATATCAATTCTTCCTATCCATGAGTATGAAATGTTTTTCCATTTGTTTGTGTAATCTGTAACTTCTTTCAGCAGTGTTTTGTAATTATCGTTGTAGAGGTCTTCTCCCTGTTTAGCTGTATTTCTAGTTATTGTATTCTTTTTGTGGCTATTATGAATGAGATTGCATTCATGATTTGGCTCTCAGCTTGGATGTTGTTGATGTATAAAAATGCTGATTTTTGTACATTGATTTTGTATTCTGAAAGTTTTCTAAAGTTGTTTATCAGATCTAGGAGCTTTTGGGCAGAGACTATGGGGTTTTCTAGGTACAGAATAATATCATTTGTGAAGAGAGACAGTTTTTCTCTCGTTTTTCTACTTCTTCCAGGTGTAATCTTAGATTGTTAATTTGAGATGTTTCTGATTTTTTGATGTTGGCGCTTAGTGCTATAAACTTCCATCTTAACACTGCTTTAATTGCGCCCCAGAGATTCTAGTATGTTATATGTTTGTTTTCAACAGTTTCCAAGAATTTCTTGACTTCTGCCTTAATTTCATTGTTTAACCAAAAGTCATTCAGGAGCAGGTTGTTTAATTTCTATGTAATTGTATGGTTTTGAGATATCTTCTTGGTATTGATATCTATTTTTACTGCACTGTAGTCTGAGAGTGTGGCTGTTATAATTTTAGTTTTGTGAATTCATGGAGAATTGATTGAGGGCCAAACATATGTTTTATGTTAGAGTATGTGCCATGTGCAAATAAGAGGAATGTATATTCTGTTGGGTGTAGTGTCCTGTATCTCCATGTCTATTAGGTCCATTTGGTCAAGTGTTGAGTTTAGGTCATGAATATCTTTGTTAGCTTTGTGCCTCAATGATTTATCCAATATCCTCTGTGGGGTGTTGAAGTTTCCCACTATTATTGTATGGTACTCTAAGCCTCTTTGTAGGTGCCTAAGAAATTGTCTTATGAATCTCAGTGCTCCAGTGTTGGGTGCATATATATATTTAGGATAGTTAAGTCTTCTTGTTGAATTGAACCCTTTATCTTTATGTAACGCACTTCTTTGTCCTTTTGTATCATTGTTGGTGTAAGGTCTGTTTTGTCTGAAATAAAGATAGCAACTTCTGCTCTTTTTTGTTTTTAATTTGTTTAATAGATTTTTCTCATCCTTTTACTTTGAGCCTATGTGTGTCATTACATTTGAGATGGGTCTGTTGTACAGAGCATACAGTTGTGTTTTGCTTTTTTATCAAACTTATTATTTTGTGCCTCTTAAAGTGGGGCATTTAGCCCATGTACATTCAAGATTAATATTGATATGTGTGGATTTGGTCCTGTCCTTGCATTGTTAGCTCATTGTTACATAGACTTGATTATGTAGAGTTTTACAATGTCTATGGTCTATGTACTTAAGTGTGTTTTTGTGGTGGCTGTTAACAGTCTTTAGTTTCCGGCCAGGCATGGTGGCTCATGCCTGTAATCCCAGCACTTTGCGGGGCCAAGACAGGTGGATCACGAGGTCAGGAGATCAAGACCATCCTGGCTAACACGGTGAAACCCTGTCTGTACTAAAAATACAAAAAATTAGCCAGGCATGGTGGCAGGCGCCTGTAGTCCCAGCTACTCGGGAGGCTGAGGCAGGAGAATGGCGTGAACCTGGGAGGCGGAGCTTGCAGCGAGCCAAGATTGTGCCATTGCACTCCTGCCTGGGGACAGAGTGAGACTCCATCTCAAAAAAAGTTTCTATGTTTAGCACTCCTTTAAGGACCTCATGTAAGGGAGGTCTGGTGGTAACAAATTCTCTTAGCATTTGCTTCTCTGAAAATAATGTTATTTCTCCTTCCCTTATGAAACTCAGTTTGGCCGGATATAAAATTCTCAGTTGGCATTCCTTTTCTTTAAAAATGCTGAATATAGGCCACCAATCTCTTTTGGTATATAGAGTTTCTGTCGAAAGGTCTGCTATTAGCATAATGGGCTTATCTTTGTAGGTGACCTGCCCTTTCTCTCTATCTGTCTTTAATATTTTTCTTTCACATTGACTTTGGAGAATATGATGACTACGTGTATTGGGGATGGTCATCTTGGATAGTATCTCACAGGAGTTCTCTGAATTTCCTGAATTTGAATGTTCACCTCTCTAGCAAGGTTAGGGAAATTTTCATGGATGATATTCTCAAATATGTTTTCAAGGTTGCTCACTCTCTCTCTTTCAGAGATGCCAATGAATCGTAGGTTTGGGTATCTTTACATAATCCCATATTTATTGTAGGTTTTCTTCATTCTGTTTTATTCTTTCTTCTTTATTTTTGTCTGACCGAGTTGATTTGAAGAACCAATCTTCGAGCTCTGAAGTTCTTTCCTTAGCTTGGTCTATTCTACTGTTAATATTTGAGACAGTACGAGGAAAGACTTCTAGTAACTTTTTAATCTCTATCAGATTAGGCTGGTTCTTTACTACTGTTAATACTTGAGACAGTATGAAGAAAGACTTCTCGTAACTTTTTCATCTCTATCAGATCAGGCTGGTTCTTTCTCAAAATGACTGTTTTGTCTTTCAGCCCTCGTAAAGTTTTACTGGATTCCTTAGATTCTTTGGATTCAGTTTCAACTTTCTCCTGGATCTTGATGATCATTGCCATCCAGGTTCTGAATTCTTGTTTCTGTTATTTCAGCCATTTCAACCTGGTTAAGAACCATTGCTGGAGAGCTAGTGTAGTTGTTTGGAAGTAAAAAGACATTCTGACTTTTTAAGTTGCCGGAGTTCTTATACTGGTTCTTTCTCATCTGTGTGGACTGATGTTTCATTAATCTTTGTAGTTGCTGTTCTTTGGATGGAGCTTTTCACTTTTATATTCTTTGATACCCTTCAGAGTTTGACTGTGGCATAATTTGGGTTCAGTCAACTGGCTTCACTCTGGATAATTTCAGGGAGCCAAGTCTCAGCTCAGCACTCCTGGGCTGTATGCTCTAACCCTGAAGGGTTGGGACTAGGCCCATGGATTTGTCCTTTGGTCCCTCAAGGTTAAGCACCTATTGTGCTGGTGGGGCTGAGGTGTTCCCAGTCCTCTGGTAACAACAATCCAATTGGAGATGCCAGCAAAAGCGCTTCATCAGGGCAGTAAAGTTCAAGCATACATGCTTGTGCTGGCAGCAGCTGGGAGACATTAGTTCCATGCACATGTTTGCAGGCTGGCAAAGCAGTGAGGAGAGGCTGTGGGTAACACTGTGCTGGTGGGGATCCATCTGCAGAAGCACTCCAACAGTTAGATGGGTTTTGCCAGTGAAGGAGCTATTGTAGTGCCCAGTTGGGCATCGGAGCTGTGTTGCAAGTGGGCGGGGCCAGGCAGGGACCCCAGGAGAGGCTGGCAGACAGAGGATGCTCAGATCAGACTGGTCTTGTCCCTTGGGAAAGACAGCCCTGCTTTGTGCAGGTCTGACAGTCAAGAAAAGCCAAAGCCACATGGCTTTGGAACATGGTGAGCCTTAGGGAATGCGTGTCTTTGGCTGTGCCCCACTACAGCTATTCACATGCCAGACCCTCTGGGCTCTATACAGGCTGGAGTCCTGTCTCTGCCAGCTCTCCTTGCAGATCTCGCCACTAGCTCAAATCTCTGTGGAGTCACGAGGTCTCTTGCAGCTAGGATTCTGGGGGTCTATGGCAAGAGTGGGCCACTCCATGACCATTCCGCCCACTCCTTCCCCTGGAGTTACTCAGGGCCAGGAACAAGTTCTGGTGCTCAGCCACCTTATTTATGCAGGGTTCCCAGACTCCACTTCCTTCAGTCCAGGATCTGCATCCTCCATCTGTCCACTCTCAATGTCTTCCTCCTGAAGACGTGCTTGGAGTGCACAGGTCTTTTTGACAGTCTGGTCTCAGTGAGAGAAACTCTTCCCTGATGAATCAGGTCAGCCATCTTGGTCCCAACCCCACGATTTCTATCTTAAGGCTGATTAGTATTCCATTTTGAATATACACCACATTTTCTGTATCAATTTATCTGTTGATGGACACTTAGATTGATTCTGTATCTTGGCTATTGTGAATAAATATGGGAGTGCAGATACCTTCTCAACATACTGATTTTATATGATTTGGGTGCATACCCAGTAGTAAGATTGCTGGACCATATGGTAGTTCTATTTTTATTTTGTTAAGAAAATTTCATACTGTTTTTCATAATGGTTATATTAATTTACCTTCCCACCAACTTGTGCAAAAGTGACTTTTTCTCCACATCTTTGTCAACATTTGTCTTTCCTTTTTTAGATAGTAATCATTCCAACAGGTGTCAGTGTCAGTTGGTATATTATTGCAGTTTTATTTGCATTTCTCTGATGACTAATGATTTTGAGCAGTTTTTCATATACCTGTCAGACATTTGCATGTCTTCTTTGAAAAATAGCTATTTAGGCCCTTTGCCCGTTTTTTAATTGTGTTACTTTATATCAGTCTGTTTTCATGCTGCTGATAAAGACACACCCAAGACTGGGAAGACAAAGAGGTTTCATTGGACTTACAGCTCCACATGGCTGGGGAAGTCTCAGAATCATGGTGGGAGGGGAAAGGCACTTTTTAAATCGCATTGCGGCAGCAAGAGAAAATAAGGAAGAAGTAAAAGCAGAAACCCCTGATAAACCCATCAGATCTCATAAGACTTAGTCACTATCATGAGAATAGTACAAGCAAGACTGGCCCCCCTGGTTTAATTACCTGCCCTTGGGTACCTCCCACAACACATGGGAATTCTGGTACAATTCAAGTTGAGATTTGAATGGGGACACAGCCAAACCATATCATTCTGCCCCTGCGGATTTTGAGTTGTTTGAGTCCCTCATATATTTTAGATATTAACTCTTTATCAGATGTATGTCTTGCAAATATATTCTTCCATTCCATGGGTTGTCTTTGCAAGCTGTTGTTTTCTCTGCTGTGCAGAAGCTTTTTAGTTTAATGCAATCCTATTTGCCTATTTTCACTTTTGTTGCCTATGCTTTTGGGGTCTTAGCCAAGAAATCATTGCCCAAACCAATGTCCTGGAACTCTCTCCTTATGTTTTCCTCTAGTGATTTTACAGTATTGGGTCTTATATTTAAGTCTTCAATCTACTTTGGGTTGATTTTTCACATAGAGTGAAATAATGGTTTAATCTCATTCTTCTGCATGTGGATATCCAGTTTTCCCAGCATAATTTAATAAACTGTTTTTTCTGCCATTGTGTGTTCTTGGTAACTTTGTCAAAGATCAATTGATTGTAAATGTGTGGACCTTTTTCTGAGCTCTCCATTCTCTATCCCATTGGACTGTGTGTCTGTTTTTATGCCACTGTTTTAATTACTATAGCTATGTAGTAGATGTTGAAATCAGGTAGTATGATTCCTCTGGCTTTGTACTTTTTGTTCATGATGGCTTTGGTCATTCAGGGTCTTATGCGGTTTCATACAAATTTTAGAATTATTGTTTCTATTTCTGAAAAATGTCATTGGAATTTTCATAGAAATTGCATTGAATCTGTGGATTGCTTTGGGTAGTATAAGTGTTTTAACAATACCAATTCTTCCAATCCATGAACACAAGATATCTTTCCATTTATTTATGTCCTCTTTAACTTTTTTCATTAGTATTTCATAGTTTTCAGTATACAATTTTTCAACTCCTTGCTTAAATTTATTTGTAAGTTGATTGTTGGTTTTTGTTGTTGTTTTGTAGCTACTGTGAAGGGTATTGTTTCCTTTATTTCCTTTATGGATAACTCATTGTGTAGAGAAATATGAAAAATTTTTATGTTGGTTTTGAATCCTGCAACTTTACTGCATTCATTTATTAGTTGTAATAGTTTCCTGTGGAGTCTTTATGGTTTTCTATTTATAAGAGTATGTCATTTGCAAACAGAAAAACAACTTACTTTCTTCTTTCCAATTTAGATGCCTTTTATTTCCTTCTTTTACCTAATTGCTTCAGCTAGGGCTTCCAGTATTATGTTAAATAGAAGTGGTAAAAGTGGACATCCTTATCTTGTTTTTGATCTTAAAGGAAAAGCTTTCAACTTTTTACTGTTGAGTACGATGTTAGCTACAGGCTTGTCATATATGGCCTATATCGTGCTGAGCTAAATTCCTTCCATACCTAATTTCTTAAGAGTTTTTAGCATGAAAGATCTTGTGTTTTGTCAAATGCCTTTTCTGCCTCTGTGAGATGATTACATGGTTTTGTCCTTAATTTTGTTAATGTGGTGTATCACATTTATTGATTTGCATATGTTGAACTTGTCCTTGCATCCCAGGAATGAATTTCACTTGATAATTTTAAATGATCTTTTTAAGGTGTTGTTGAGCTCACTTCGCTAGTATTTTGTAAATAACTTTTGTATCTATATTCATTAGGAATATCAGCCTGCAATTTTTGTTTCTTTTGCTGTCTTTGCCTGGCTTTGGTATCAGGATAATGTTGTCCTCTTGAAACAAGTTTGGAAGTATTTCCTTCTCTTCAGTTTTTTGGAAGAGTTTGAGAAGAATTGCTTTCTTTAAGTATTTGGGATAATTCAGCAGTGAACCTATCAAGCCCTGGGCTTTTTCTTTGACGGAAGACCTTCTATTATTTTATTATTTTATTATTTTATTTTATTTTATTTTATTTTTTTGAGACGGAGTCTCGCTCTGTCGCCCAGGTTGGAGTGCAGTGGCGCGATCTTGGCTCACTGCAAGCTCCGCCTCCTGGGTTCGCGCCATTCCTGCCTCAGCCTCCGAGTAGCTGGGACTACAGGCGCCCACTATGGCGCCTGGCTAATTTTTTTGGAAGACATTTTATTATTAATTCTGTCTCCTTACTCATTATTAGTCTGTTCAGATGTCTATTTATTTATGATTTAGTCTTGTTAAGTAGCATGTGTCTAAAAAGGTATCTCTATTCCTTCTAGGTTATACAATGTATTAGTGTATAACTGTTCATAGTAGCCTCGTGATCTTTTGTGCTTCCATGGTATCAGTTATAATGTTTCCTCTTTTATTTCTGATTTTATTTATTTGAGTCTTCCCTTTCTTCTTAATCTAGCTGAGGATTTGTTCATTGTGTTTCTCTCAAAAAAAACCAGCTTTTACTTGTGTTGATCTTTTCTATTGATTTTCTAGTCTCTATTACATTTATTTCTGCTCCAATCTTTATTATTTCCTTCTATTAATTTTGGACTTAGTTTGTTATTCCTCTTCTAGTTCATTGAGATATAGTACTAGATTGTTTATTTGGTATTTTTCTTCTGTTTTGATGTAGGGGTTCATTGCTATAAGCTTCCCTCTTAGAAATGCTTTTGCTGGGTCCCATAAGTTTTGTTATGTTATGTTTCCATTTTCATTTATCTAAAGATACTTTTAATCTACCTTTGATTTTTGTCTTTGACTTGTTAAAATAAAGATAATAAGTCTGATGGAATGGACTCTTTGTGGTCATAAGATAACAAATTGTAAATAAGACCTAAGGCTATGCCAAGCAAAGGTTGTTACAAACCCTTACATTTAAAGAATAAACTGTGTTCTAACTGCCATAAGACTTTTTCTTTTTCTCTAGCAGCTAAGCAAGCAATGGCCTCAAGATAAACAGTACAAAATAATTGCCACTCATTGATCACCAGATACGACTGACCAATCCCATTCAATTTCACAAGTTATAACTACAGCCTTGATTGGACAAGAAACTGATTTTAGTAACTTTCTCCTGCAAAAACACCACAGAAAGTTTTGGCCAGCAGCCAAAGTCTGCACATAGACTTTTCTTATGTCCTGCAAAAGACCTCCTGAGGTAAAAGCCAAATTCCACCTATTTTATTGTTAAAACTCCACCCCAAAGTGAACATGGCTTTTATGTATGTTTCCTAAATGTTTTCTCACTATGCAAATATTTGCTCACCTTTATAAATATTCCTAAACTCCCCACTCCTAGCTGACTATGTGTACTAAGCAAATCTTGCAAGGCATAAAGTTCAGATTTTCCCCCATTTTTGGTGGAGCATATACTCTTGGTTTCTCCCAGGTCAAGTTATCCAGATTTGTGAATCATATTTTATTGAAAAATAAAGTTTCTCTTTGCCTCCTCTGTAGATCTCATGATATTTTTGATAACAGGCCCATTGATTCTTTGAGAACCTGTTGTTTAATTTCTACATAATTATGTATTTTCTGAAATTTCTTTTATTACTGATCTCTAGGTTTATACCATTGCATTCAGAAAAAGATATTTGATATTATTTACATCTTCTTAAATTTGTTAAAACTTGTTTTGTGACCTTACATATGATCTGTCATGGATTTTTCATTTAGCTGAATCTTATTTAATAACCAAATAAATGGTCGTGAGAAAGTTCTAAAATATGGTTTACCCTTTCCTGCTTTCTTAAATGGAGTTAGCAAGCATAATGGTAAATTATTCTTTTCTGCATCCACCCCTTGTCAGTATCCGCCACCACACTCAAGTTCCTGTGTACTCTAGCCAAATGGCTGTCTTAACTCTAGAGGATTTACCAAATGCTATGATTTTAATGTCCCCTCTAAATCTCATGTTGAAATTTAATTGCCATTGTTGCAGTATTAGGCAGTGGAGCCTTTAAGAGGTGATTAGGCCATGAGGGCTCCCCCCGCCCATGGGTAGGTTTAATTCCTCTAAAAGGGAGGCTTTGGGGAGTAGATTCTCTTTTGCCCTCATGCACTGTATTGGTCTGTTCTAACACTGCTATGAAGAAACACCCCAAACTGGATAAATTATAAAGTAAAGAGGTTTAATTGACTCACAGTTCAGCATGACTGGGAGGCCTCAGGAAACTTACAATCATGATGGAAGACAAAAAAGAAGCAGGCACATTCTTCACAGGGCAGCAGGACAGAGTGAGTGCGAGCAGAGGAAATGTCAGACGCTTATAAAATCATCAGATCTTGTGAGACTAACTCATTATCAGGAGAACAGCATGGGGGAAGCTGCACCCATGATTCAATTACCTCCACCTGGTCCTACCATTGACACTTGGGGATTATGGGAATTATAATTCAAGGTGAGATTTGGGTGGGGACACAGAGCCAAACCGTATCCCGCACCCTTGCCCTTTGGCCATGTTAGGACACAGCAAGCAGGTGCCAAGCAGGTGACAGCACCGTGTTCTTGGACTTTTCATCCTCCAAAACTATGAGCCAAATAAATCTCTATTGTTTATAAATTACCTAGTTTGTGGTATTCTGTTATATCAGCAGACTAGGAGAACAGACTAAGAGAAAACTAGTACTGAGTGTTGGGATTATTACAGTAACAGACACCTGAAAATGTGGAAAGACCTTCGGAACAGAGGCTGGAAGAGTTTGCAGGAGCAGACTAGAAAAAGCCTATATTGTTATAAATGGAGCATTAAGGGTGATTCAGATGAGGGCTCAGAAGAGGAGAGAGGTGTAGGAAGAGTCTGAACTTCTTAGAGATTACTTAAGTGGCATGGTCAGAATTTTGGTAGCAATATGTACAGAAAAGGCCATTCTGATGAGGAAGAAGATATTGAAAGCTGAAATAAAGGCCATCCTCATTATACAATTGCACAAAAACCTGGGTGAATTGTGTCCATGCCCAAGGACTTCATGAAATGCAGAACTTAAGAGTGATGAATTAGGATTTCTGGTAGAAGAAATATGTATGCAGCAAAGTACAGTGGCTACTTTTATCCACATACAATAAAATGTGACTAGAAGGAAATGGCTTAAAGATGGAACAAAACAATTTGGAAAATCCACAGCCTAGCTATTTAAAGAGTGAAAAGGCACATTTAGGAGAGCAAACTAAGGGTGTGGTCAAGCCACCATTTGCCAAAGAGACTAGTATTGATAGAAGGCAGACAGGTGCTATTCATTAAGACAATAAAAGGAAGACCTCTAAGTCGTTTCAAAGATCTTCAAGGCTATACCTCCCATCACAGGCCCAGAGCTCTAGCAGGGCAGGCTGGTTTTGGGAGAAGAATCCAGGATACCCTCCATGGACTCACTGCCCAGGGCCACTTCAAGGCTGCTTCCAACATTTCAGTGCACATTCTTCAGCTACTCTAGCCATGGCCCAAGTATGCACATGTGTGGCTTGACCCACCACTTGGAAGGTATAAGCAGTAAGACTTGGAAGCATCTATGTGGTGCTAATTCTACAGACGCACAGAATGCAAGAGCTGTAGGGGCATGGCTGTCTCCATCTACATTGCAAAGGACATTGTAGACAGCCTGGGGGTTTAGGCAGAGACTTGTGGCAGAGATAGAGCCACTGCAGAGAGCCCCTGCTAGAGCAATGCCAAGCAGAAATACAGGGTCAGAGTCAACATAGAGAATCCCCACTAGGGCACTGCCTAGTGGAGTTGTGGGAATAAGGCTACCTCAGAGACTCCAGAGCTGTTAGGCTAGCAGCATACAGTGCCAGCCTGGAAGAGATGCAGGCACGAGACACAAACCTGTGAGAGCTGCTGGGTGGGAGGAGTCCAGCAAAGCCACAGGGACAGGGCTGCTGAAGTCCTTGGGGGCGGACCCCCACCAGCTATGCCCAGGATGTGAGACATGGAGTCACAGACATTATTTTAGAGCCTTAAAATGTAATGTTGGTCACCCCATTGGGTTTTGGACTTAACTGGGACCAGTTATCCCTCCTTTCTTGCCTCCTTTTCCTTTTTGGATTGATAATGTCTATCCTATGCCTATCCCATCATTGTATTTTGCAAGTAGATAACTTGTTTTGATTTCATAAGCTCACAGCTGGAGGAAATTTGCCTCAGGATGAATCATGCCTTGAGTCTTATCTGTATCTTATTTAGACAAGACTTTGGGCTTTTTTTTTTTTTTTTTTTTCTGAGATGGAGTTTCACTCTCGTTGCCCATGCTGGAGTGCAATGGCGCCATCTCTGCTCACTGCAACCTCTGCCTCCCAGATTCAAGTGATTCTCCTGCTTCAGCCTCTGGAGTAGCTGGGACTACAGGCACGTGCCACCACGCCAGGCTATTTTGTTTGTATTTTTAGTAGAGACGAGGTTTCACCATGTTGGCCAGGCTGGTCTCGAATGCCTGACCTCAGGTGATCCACCCACCTTGGCCTCCCAAAGTGCTGGGATTACAGGTGTGAGCCACAGCGCCCAGCCTGACTTTGGGCTTTTGAGTTGGTGCTTAAATAAGTTAAGACTTTGTGGGCTATTGGGATAGAATGAATGTATTTTGTATGTGAGAAGAACATGAGTTTTAAGAGTCCAAGGGAAAAATGCTATAGTTTTAATGCCCCTTCTAAAATTCATGTTGATATTAATTGCCATTGTGACAGTAGTAAGAGATGAAGCCTTTACAAGGTGATTAGGCCATGGGGGCTCTGTCTACGTGTGTGGGTTTAATGCCTTTAAATGGGTACTCTCTTGCTCTTGAGTGCACTCTCTTGTCCTTCTGCCATATATTAATGCAGGAAGAAGGCCCTCACAAGACGCTGAGCAGATGCTGGGATCCTGTTCTTGGATTTTCCAGCCTGCAGAACTGTGAGCCAAATAAATTTCTATTGTTTATAAATGACCCAGTCTATGGTATTCTGTTAGAGCCACAGAAAATAGACTGAGGAACCTACCATAGTGGCATGGACTGGCCAATGCAGAAACTTACAATTCATCTTTACATAGAACTCAGAGACTTAGGTGGAACAAGATTTCTAAAGCCTATTCCATAGAGCTTATTCTAATCTGGTCTTAGTCTTCTAGCTTCTGCTTCCTTTGTGGAAGATAAACCCAGCACAAAATTGGGTCCCTATCTAATCTTGCCAACTAAAATTAGAGCAAAAACTAAGAGAAGACACCTCTCCCAAGCCCACTCACTGGGAAGAAAACTTTCCAATAAACTTGCCTCCTCCAAGACTGTTAGATTCATATCATTTAACTGCTCTAGTCAGGAATCTCATACCCATGCACCTAGAAAAAAAAATGGGGAGCTTCCTGTATTTCCTTGATAGTGAAATTTTTCTTTCTTCTAATTTTTATGTCTATTGTAGCTCCATTCTTTCCTTTGTTACCTACCAGGATCCCTCCCTTCTGTGGGAGTGGGAGAAAGAGGAGAAGTTATAGAGCCGAGGGCTTGCTGTTATTTTAAGACCACTCTTATAACCATCAATTACTGCAATGGGTTAAGCCAGACAAACCTGGATTCAAATTCTTGCTCCACAAGTGATGTAAGGATTTGACCCAGATCATGATAGTTCATTTCTTTAAGACTTTGTTTCCTCTTTCACAAAATGGCAAATAATGCCTCCATCATAGCACATTAAATGACTTAGCATGGTACCTGGCACAAAAGTAGCTCCCTTCTTCTCTCCCTGTTTCTTTTAATGGGTATTGAAATAAACAGGCTGACTGCTCCCACACACGATATCCTCAGCAGTACTCAGCTTTTAAATTCTTGCCTCCTCTTTTGTTGCCAGCTGATACTTCTTGCTGCCTGTCTCTTCAGCTTCTAAACAGCTGCTACACTTTTTAGAGCATTTTTTGACTGCTGGCTAAGGGTGCCTCAGCCCTCCTCCCTTGGCGTAGAGTGCAGAGGCTTTGTTACAGATTATCAGTTTGTAGTGGATGTTTGTCATATCTGTTGCTGTCCAGCACCTTTTGAACACTTTTCCTGTGTTTCATTAACCACCCCCTACCCCTGAGGCCAGTTACTAAGCTAGTGTCTTAACACAAACCAATCGTTCTATATTCTGTTTTATGATGCTGGACTAGGAGTCTGTAAACCAGCATCTGCTTTCTTGGCTGCTTCCTGTTGGATTATTTCAAAGGGAATCTAGAAAGAGACTGCAAGCTTTGAGGAATAAAAAGAGACACTGTCCTTCTCTGTGACTTCTGCTCCTATCAGCATCACTCAAGCAAATCTCCTTCACCCTGGCAGTGGCACTTCATTCTGGTAGTAGCAGTTGGTTCCAGTTTGCAATTTTTCCATTTGCACAATTAGTCCCATTGGTCCCCAGCAGAGTCAGTACCAACCAGCCAAGTAGCTCTCCCTTCTCAGGACTCTTGAGTCCCAGCCCAATGGCACCACTCATCTAAGCATCTAAATTTTAGTAACTCCAACTTCTTCCTTTTATTCCCAAGCCCCAGGGATGCTGTCTGTTTCTTGCAGGTGCTACTCTATATACTACTCTATATTTGGGGGCGGGGGGGGTTGCCTTTTCAGTTTCCTAGTCAACAATTCCGTATTAATGCAATTCTTTGCATTAAAATCTCTCTTTAAAAATTGGTCTGAGTATTCAACCCTGACAAGATCCTGACTAAAAATCCCTATTACAAGTCCCACCACTCTGAACTCACTTGCCTAGTGACCATGATGACTAAGGCACAGGCCTTTGCCAGAGTGCCCAACTGGTACTAGTTTGTCTGGGACATCCCTGGTTTTAGCACCAAAAGTCCCAAACCAGACAGTTGGTCAACCTTCCTGTGGCCCATGTGTCAACCATCAGATATATCTCACAATATTCAGAAGAGAGCCATCCAGGGATTTCATTTGTAATTTTTTTTTGGTTTAGAATTAAGATATACAGAAAAAGTCTGTCATATCTTAGTGTTCAACAAATAAGCATATTACTCTTGGAATTCTATAAGTATATTAAATCTGTGACATACGGTCATTGAGAGTACAACTCATATACGGTATGTACTTTCTATCCCCAACATGATTATATTAGTCTTGCTTGGGGTGTATTTTGCCATAGAAAATACCACAGATGGGGTGTCTTAAACACCAGAAATTTATTTTCTCACAGTTCTGGAGACTGGAAGTCCAAGATCAAGGTGCTGGCAGGGTTGGTTTCCCGTGAGGCTTCTCCTCCTATCTTGCAGACAGCTGCCTTCTTGCTGTGTCTTCACATGGTGGAGAGAGAGAGAGCTCTCCGGTGTCTCTTCCTCTTTTAAAGACACTAGTTCTATTGGTTAGGGAGCTACCCTTACCTACCCTATCCCTTTAAAGGTTTTATCTCTCAATACGGCCCCACTGGGGATTAGGGCTCTATATATAAATTTTGAGGGGACACAATCTGGTTCCTAACAATGATCATAAATGAGTTGGGGGTATAAGTGTTGTCCAAAATCTGTGGAATCTGTTTTTAAATTAATAAAAATAAAATAACTAAGAGCAATTCTTATTTTCAAAATAGTTTATTTTTTATTAGTTTAAGCATATTATACCTGTATTCCCTTGCCAATTGAATACCCAATAAATTTTTTCTTTAGAGATTCATATGGGATCCATTTCACTGACATATGAGTTGACATCATTTGTCTGAAAGAGTGATGCAGTTTTTGAAAGATTGAATATGAAGTGTTTCCCATATCCTTTCAGCAGGTGAGAAGTAAAATTTAATGGCCTGATGTAATTTACAATCCTCATACCATGTGTTTGAAATGAACAGCATGGTTTGCCTAGTCTGGCTGTGAATACCTGTCTTGAACCATTTCTGAAATTACTGAAAAGTACCACTGTCTATTGTGGGAAATGCATTAGTATGATTAAGCTCTACTTTAGATGCCATTATGTAATATTTTGTCAATGTGAAATGTCTCATTAATTAATTCTTTTTGGGTTTTCAAACAGGTGCTAAGGGATGCCATCAGCAGGAGAAAGGAAAACAACTTAACCCAAGTAAAATGGGGATAATTCCCACCCCTGCCAGTTTCACAAAGCTTGAAATGAGAATGTGGACATGCTAAAAGCATTGGCACATTTAAATTGAAAAAAAAAAATCTTGTGGTGTATATTTTGCAGGTAAAAAGTGTGACAAAATTGCATTTCTGGCAAAGCAGGAGAAGGAATGATGGCTTAATCTTATTAATCTTGTTTTTCTCAAAGTTTAGGCCTTTTTCCCCATTATGGTAAGGTTGCCATGACAATCCAAGACAATTGAGTCTCCCCAGGACAGAATGATTCATTAAGGTGAGGACAGAGAATGAAGGTAATTATCACATCTAAATCACTGCCCCAGGGCCTTACCAAGTAGGAGATGTGACTTGCCAGTGTGTTACCAACAGAAAATTTTGACCACTATAAATGTCACCAATTTCATAGCTCTTGTCCCGGCAGGGACAATTGCAACTCAATGATCAGACATACAATATTATGAGTCAGTTAAACAATTTCCTTAGCTGAAGATTAGTAAAAAGTAGGCATTAAATATTAATTAAGATAAGAGAGGAGTAATGCAAAAAATCACATTCAGATTTTTAGTTAGCTCGGCTTCCCTGCCTTCTCTTAGTCACAGCATACCCAAAGGTCCATGCCTCTCTTAACATGGTTAACTACTATTCAACATTAAATTCTCAGTTAAGATTTTGCATTCTCTAAAAAGATGATTCTGGCAACCAAAATCTAAGGGCAGCATGGAGTTCCATAATCCCCTGTCCCATTCTTATTAAGGATCTTCCCATGCTATTTCACTACTGACTTCTCTGAATCACCCCAGTGGACTATAAGGTTATAAGGAAAAGAAATGTATTTTTCTTTCCTCATTCATTCATTCATTTATATATTCAGACAATCAACAAATATTTATTGAATACCTGCTGCATGCCACCTACTCTTATAGAAACAGGGACATCACAGTGACAAAATGGGAATGTCCCTGACTCGCAAAGATTGCATTCTAGTAGAAGAGTCAAATAATAAATTAATGCATGTGCAAAATAGTGTCAGGCAGTCACACTGTGGCTCCTAGCAACCTACAACAGAGGAGAGAGAATCAGGAGGGCATTATCTTATTTAGGGCGGGTGGTCAGGTAGGGCCATGCTGAGGAAGTGGGAGAGATGTATGCAATTACCTCAAGGATTTGCTTTCCAGGCAGAGTGAAAAGCAAGTGCAACAGTGCTAAGATAGAAGCAGGCTCTGCTGGTTGAAGACATAGCAAGAAGGCCAGTGTGGCAAAGCAAGAAGTGAGTAACTGTAGAAAATATGGGAGAGAGAAGGTCAGGAAACAGACTCCATGGGGCTTTAGAACCATAATAAAGATATGAGAATTTAAAACTCCGGAGGAGATAAGAAACCTTGATGGTGTTTTACTGGCTGGGGATTAGGTTAAGAGTGGAAGAAAGGAGAGCCCTTAAGAAGCTACTGAAGGAGTTCAGGCAAGAGGGGATTATGTCTTGGAGTAGAGGCGTAGAAGCAGCGACTGTGACAGGCAGTTTGATTTAGGATGTATTTTAAAGGTAGAGTCAATGGTGCTGCTGATAAATTGGTGAAGGAATGTTACAAAAAGCAAAAAATAAAGATGACTCCTTTGGGCTTGAGCAACTGGATGGGACAAAGATGCCATTTAGCCAGGTGAGAAATGCTAGGGAGGGAGCAGATTTGCACAGGGAGGAGGGAATCAGAAATTCTGTCTTAGGAATGTTAGGTTTGAGAGTGGTATGAATAATATCCGAGTAGAGATATCAAGTAGGAAATTAGATATACACAGCTGGAGCCTGTGTTACACATTTATGGATTGCTGGAATTTAAAGGGTGTTAAAGCATAGGATTGAGATTACTTAGATTGGGGTCCATGAACTATGGCTTGCAGCCAAATCAGGGCACCTTCCTGTTTTTGTTCAAATGCTGTATTGGAACACAGCCACATGTATTCATTGAGACGTTGTCTGTGGATGCTTTTGTGCTACCCTGGCAGAGCTGAGTAATTGGTGACAGAGACTGTGCACCTAGCAAAAGCCTAAAATATTTACTGTGGTCATTTACAGAAAAAAAAAAAATATGCCAACTCCTGACGTAGAGATAAAGAAGAGAGGAGGTCTGAGGACTGGGCCATGGGATGATCCAACATCTCAGAAGTCAGGGAGAGAAGGAGGACACAGATAAAACAATACAGAAGGAGCAGGAGTGAGACAGCAGGAAAAGATTTTTTTTCACACTTGTACTCTTCAGTCCTAGAACAGAGGCCACACAGAGAAGATGCTCAACAAATATTGATGAGATGTCCAATTAAGGAATAAATAAGTAAATCAAGTATTAAAAAATTTAAGCAGCCAGGTGCAGTGGCTCACGCCTATAATCCAAGCACTTTCGGAGGCCAAGGTGGGTGGATCACGAGGTCAGGAGATCGAGACCATCCTGGCTAACACAGTGAAACCCCGTCTCTACTAAAAAAATTAGCCGGGCTTGGTGGTGGGCACCTGTAGTCCCAGCTACTCAGGAGGCTGAGGCAGGAGAATCACTTGAACCCGGGAGGTGGAGGTTGCAGTGAGCCAAGATCGTGCCACTGCACTCCAGCCTAGGTGACAGAGTGAGACTCTGTCTCAAAAAATAATAATAATAATTAATTAAAAAACAAAAATTAAGCAGCTGGAAATGTTTTGTATTCCAGTCTGCCAATATGGTAGTCTTCAATATGGTCCTTTAATATGATCCAGTCTTCAATATGATCCTTTGACAAAATATACTGAGGCTACCATGAGGTTTTCAGAGAGAAAAATGATATTTTTAAACTCATGTATTGGTAAGATGAAAACAGCAAACTCCAGACTCAACTTTTGATCTTCCAGATTTCCCTTTTCATCCCAAAAATAGCTTCTGTGTACTTATATTGCAGGATCCACAACAGAGAAGGAATGAATTAAAATGAAAGGGCACACATTCACGCTGCTCTTCACGGTCTACCGGTGCAGAAGATGGGCGCTTCAAAAGCCAATTTGTGTAGTGTAATTTATTCTAGCTGCCCAGTGGAAGTAAGTCATACCCTTGGGCCCTCTCATAATGCAGGTTATTTTATTTTTTAAGTTGGATGAGCATTTCTCACATCATTCAGGTGCACTAGGTATCTAAGAGAAAAATCTCTCACCCTGGGGGTTATATGTACTCTGCTTCCCAGGACTCAGGCTTACTACCAGATGGACTATGCAGCAGTTGACCCCTTTCCCTGCATTCAGCTGAGAACCTTCCTGAACAAGAAGCCTTCATGAGAGAAAGGATGAACAGGAAAGCAGTTCCCAGTCAGGAACCCCTTTGATATTTTACAGGATATCTCTATCTCCAACATATTCCATAATGCCAAACTTTCTATAAGATGTTAAGGAAGTACATTCAATGTCAATGGTAATAAGCATGAGCCTGCACTGAGAACCTGCTTTGCTACATTGTCTTAGGAAATCCTCACAACAGACTTTGGAAGAAGAGTTATTTTCTTTCTATACAGAAGGTCACTTGAGCTCAGTGAGGCGTGGTAGACTTACTCACTATTACCCAACTTGTAATGTGAAGAGCCAGATTGTTACCCCAAATCTTTGTGATTCTTTTTTCACATCACCCCATGCTTCTTCAAGGCACACTACTGAACTATAAATGGAATAGAAAATAAATAACGTTTCTCAGGACTGAGTTAAACCATTTCTTTGTCCACTCAAAGCATAGATCCATTTTCCTCCTGACTTGCTTGGGTGGAGATAAAGTCAGCCTCAAATCAAAAGATCTAATGCCAATAAATATTATTGTAATTAACGTAGGTAGTTTTTGAGACCCAGATAAGCTATCAATTCAGCTTGATTGGGTAAGATCACGTAGCAGCGCCTAATTTAGAAATCATGCATGGTTATACTGATAAGTTTTTATTTCTGCCGAACTTTATGCCAAGTAAATGCTATCTACCAAGAAACTTCAGGGTGCATTTCCTTAATCTTTACTAATTATTCTGTTGACTAAGTGAAAATTAAAATTCTTATCCAGAACAAGCACTTTCTAAGAACTATCTTGTGCCCTGAGGCATCTTTCATGTGAGGTAGCAGATGTCTCACCTGACAGTCTTTGGCAAAACTTTTCATCTTTAATCTGCAGGTTTAAATTCTGCCATGCTGTTTTTTAATCATCATTTAACTTCTGTTCTTACTGTTTCATTTATCCTGCAGTTCCGAGTGGAGCTGTGTGATTCTGGAAATAATATTCTCTAGTGTAAGTGTGCTCATTTTAAAAAGTAGAAAAAAATACTTTCTCACATACTTCAAACTTATAAACTATTCCAAGGTATCTACTTTCCCCTCAGCCCTGCAAAACACCATTTAATACATCTGTCTTTTAACACAATTCATTTTTCTCTATTTCTTATTTATTCATCAGTTCCCACTTAACAATGGTTAAAAGAAATGGGGTGATGGGTCTTTTCTCTCTACCATATTCTCTTAGATTTTTGTTAAATTCATTATACTTTTATAACAGTTTATCAGGAATCTATTATATGCTTTGTACAAGGATAGATAATTTGGTGAATAAGAAATATATATTTTATATATCTGCATAAATACATACTCACATATATAAAACAATAGATTATAATTTCAGATTGTAATAGAGATGCTGAACTACTTCTACAAACTTGGTTAAAAGACTGTTTACTTTTCTGAATAGTCATCCTCTTTGAAGTTATTAGCTGAGGGTAGAAGAGGCCACTTACTATCAATTCATATCCATACTGGTAGACAGATTATCGGGCCCACAAAGATGTCCACACCATAATTCCTGGAAACTGTCTATGCAGATGTGATTACCTAGAAGACCTTAGAGTGGGAAGATTATTGTGGGTTATCCTGGTGGACCAAATGCCTTCTCAAGAGTCCATATGAGAGGAAGGCAGGAGGGTCAGAGTCAAGGAAATGTGATGATGTGAGCTGAGTGGGGAAAAGGCAACAAAGCAAAAAGAGAGAGAGATTGGAAGATGTTGTGCTGCTAACTCTGAAGATGAGAGAATGAGCCACAAGCCAAGGAGTACTGGCAGCCTCTAGATGCCAGAAAAGGCAAGGATTGGATTCTCCCCTGGAGTCATCAGAAGCATCACAGCCCTGCCAACCCTTTTTAGATTTCTAACCTATGGAACTCTATAATAAATTTGGTCGTTTTGAGCCACTAAAGTTGGTGGTAACTTTTATAGCAGCAATAGGAAACTAATGCATCTACCAAATCAATTCTGACAAAGAATAAAATGACAACTGTCATAGTCAGGTTGCCTTGACACTGGAGTTTGTGCAATCAAGACTTGTGCATAAGAGAGAACGAACCTTCACTGATGTCCATGGCTGTAGGCCAGTGCCTCGTGATCCTTATGGTCATTGTGTTACACAGTAGTATCAACCTTTTGTGGTTTTGCAAGTCTCAGTCTGTCTCAGAAGGCAGAGCATATGTGTTTACCATAAAGGAGAAATCATTCTCAGTGTCAGTCATGTGAATAGAGGCACGTCTTCAAAGCTGTGAGTCCAAGAAAGGGAATTCAGTGCCTCCCCTTTGATCTGGACGCTGAGGTGACTAACCAGAGCAGAAGGGATCAAAGCAAGCTTTATCCTGTAGAATCATGCCAGGAACCAGCAAAACAGGACCTTGGAAGTCTGTGATTTTCCTCTGGAATCCAGGCTAGCATGCCTGGTCTACAATCCTAAGGGACTGACTATATTTTATAAATGCATTTATTTTCATCTCTTACTTGTTAGTAAACTAGGAAAAAGGTTCCATTTTTTGCGACTTTAAAAAATGCATTTTCTCAGGGAATCTGTAGGATATTTATGCAGGAATTGTAAAAGATATTTATATAAGGGGTCATCTTTCCACATTTGAGCCAGTATTTTATAGGAAAGGCCAGCATGACTGCAGCAACAGCAATTAGAGAATAATCCCAAGTGATTTTCAGGGATCTAGTCTAGGACGGGGACTGGATGTTCTTTTCCACCAGCTCATTCTCTTTTTTCTGATAATCTTGAGGATGCCAGTTTTATTTTTATTGAGAAAAGCTGCATTTCAGGGCAGCATGGTGAGTGCGGTGGGAAAGCAGGAGCACACTCACATGGATTGGAAAACTTAAGGGCAGCAGGGAGACAGGAGCCAAGTCTTAAAAGGTAAAAGGATCTGAATAGGTAAAAAGGAGGAAGGAGAATGCACTGGGCAGAGAGACGACTGTGAATGTAGGGAAGGCAGCAGGAATAAACCCCACTGTATCCCTAGAGCCCCAGGTGCTGACTGGAGCGGGAATTAAGGCAGGACCAGGTAGGACTGTAAACTATTACTAATGGGGTGTACAGCAGGAAGCCATTCTCTCTCCAGGAAGTGAAACAACATGATGACATTAGTGTGCCAGGAAGACAGGTGGCAGTAAAGAAAGACAGCATGATGGGAATATTGACCAATCACAAGAAAAGGCTGGTGTGCAAGGACCACCTATGCAAGCATGGTAGGCACAGGGATAGAGAGGAAGATGGGATGAGCCTGATAATACATGGAGGAAAACATGCCAAAGCTTAGAAGTACATTGGATATAAGAAAAATGGAAATAGATGAGGGTACGTTTGAAAAAATACGAAGAATTTAATAAGGCAGGTATATCAGTTTGTTAGGGCTGCTATGACAAAGTACTACAGACTGGTGGCTCAAACAACAGAAATATATCCTTTCACAACTCTGGAGGCTAGACGTCTGAGAGCAAGGTGTCAGCAAGGATGCTTCTCCTGAGGCCTCTCTCCTTGGCTTGTAGATGACCGACTCCTCCCTGTGTCTTCACATGGCCTTCCCTCTGTACCTGCTCTCCTCTTCTTAGAAGGACACCAGTCATATTGGATTAGGGCCCCCTCTAATGACCTCATCTTAACTTAATGGCCACTTTAAAAACCCTATCTCCAAATACGGTCACACTCTGAGGTACTGAGGGTTAGGACTTCAACATACGAATTTTAGGGGACCCAACTCAGCCCCTATCAGTAAGGTAAATTGGGGAGAGGGAGCAAGAAGACAGTAAGTTTAATTTTGAACAAGTTGAATTAAGGAGCTATCAAGCGAGCCTCCTACAATCTCCTGCTATAAAGGTTCCTAAGTGGCAAAATTACTTGCAGTCCCCAAAGGATGATTCATTTGTTTTAGGAACTGCCAAGGCAATAAAATGTTGGGAACTCTAGAAATCAATTTCCTATGGATCCTGAAGCCCAGAGAGACTCCTAATTTTCTGTAGCACTCTACGACGCTTTTATACCAAAATGTCTCACAGTGTGTTCCACAGGTCATTAGCCCCATTAAATGCGGCGTAATCACAAGCTTTCTGTAGCCAAATAAATTTGAGAGGGCCTGCATACTATGGTATCCACCTGGAGAACCACAATGCACATTGATAAAGGCAATTAGAAATCTTTCAGCAAATAAATGGCAGGGTTTGTTTTTGCTTAATCTGCGTTCTCAATCTGATTTGACCATAAACACTTTTGCTTAATATAGTCTCTTTCATGTCCTACAGAATAGAGTTCTGTGAAAAGCTGTTCTTAGACCTATCTTGAAACTTGAATTTTGGCCTCAATGTCCCCACATTAGGATTTTGAGTATAACATCATCAGGGCATGAGATAGCCCTCTGACACCTAGAAATAATGTATGCTGAAAGCACCAAGCTATGGAACCTGCGATAGGGAGAAGAAAGTAATGAGGGCAGCTGTTCTCTATTGCTCTAGGCAGAAAGAATAATGCCCCCCACCACATACACACACACACACACACACACACACACACACACACACACACACACAAACACACAAAGATCTCCACATCCTAATCCCTGGGACCTGTGACTAGGTTGTTGTATGGCAAGGGGAAATTAAGTTTGTAAATGAAATTAAGGTTACTAGTCATGTGACTTTAAAATAAACAGAAAACAGATTACATGGGATTATTCCAGCAGGCCCAGAGTAATTACCATTTTTCTTAAATGGGTGACAAGGCAGTAAAAATGGCAACACTAGAAGAACTCCACTGGCCATTGCTGGCTTTGAAAATGGAAGCAGGCCATGGGCCAGGACATGCAGATGGCATTTGATATGGTCAGGCTTTGCATTCCCACCCACATCTCATCTTGAATTATAATCCCTATAATCCCCAAGTGTCAAGGGAGAGACCAGGTGGAGGTAAATGAATCATGGGGCAGTGTTTCTCCCATGCTGTTCTCATGAAAGTGAGTCAGTTTTATAAGGGGCTCTTCCACCTTCACTACTTGCACTTCTCCTTCCTGCCACCTTGGGAAGAAGGTGCCTTGCTTCCCCTTCACCTTCCACCATAATTGTAAGTTTCCTGAGGCCTCCCCAGTCATGCTGAACTGCGAGTCAATTAAACCTCTTTCCTTTATAAATTACCCAGTCTCGGGCAGTACTTTGTAGTAGTGTGAAAATAAATTAATACAGTAAATTGGTACCACAGAGAGTTGGGTGCTGCTATAAAGATACCCAAAAATGTGAAAGTGACTTTGGAACTGGGTAACAGGCAGAGGTTGGAACAGTTTGGAGGGCTCAGAAGAAGACAAGAAGATGTGGGAAAGTTTGGAACTTCCTAGAGACTTATTAAATGGCTTTGACCAAAGTGCTGATACTGATATGGACAGTGAAGTCCAGGCTGAGGTAGTCTCAGATGGAGATGAGGAGCTTGTTGGGAACTTGAGCAAAGATGACTCTTCCTATGCTTTAGCAGAGACTGGCAGCATTTTGCCCCTGCCCTAGTGATCTGTAGAACTTTGAACTTGTGAGAGATGATCTAGGACATTTGGAAGAAGAAATTTCTAAACAGCAAAGCATTCAAGAGATGACTTGAGTCCTCAAAAGCATTCAGTTTTATGCATTCCCAAAGAGATGGTTTGGAATTAGAACTTATGTTAAAAAAAGAAGCAGAGCATAAAATTTTGGAAAGTTTGCAGCCTAATGGTGCAATAGAAAAGAAAAACCCATTTTCTGAAGAGAAATTGAAGCTGGCTGCAGAAATTTGTATAAGTAATGAGGAGCCAGATGTCAATTGACAAGACAATGGGGAAAATGTGTCCAGGGCATGTCAGAAATCCTCATGGCAGCCCCCCTTTCAAAGGCCCAGAGGCCTAGGAGGGAAAAATGGTCTTGTGGGCCAGGCCCAGGGCCTGGCTGCTTTGTGCAGTCTCAGGATTTCGTGTCCTATGTTCAAACCGTGGCCAAAAGGGGCCAATGTACAGCTAAGGTGTTTCTTCAGAGGGTGCAAGCTCTAAGCTTTGGCAGTCTCCATGTGATATTGGGCCAGCAGGTGCACTGAAGTCAAGAATTGAGGTTTGGGAACCTCTGCCTAGATTTCAGAAGATGTATGGAAAGGTCTAGATGTCCATTTAGAAGTTTGCTGCAGGGTTGGTGCCCTGATGGAAAACCTCTGCTAGGGCAGTGCAGAAGGAAAATGTGGGATCAGAGCCCCCACACACAGTCCCCACTGCGGCACTGCCTAGTGGAGCTGTGAGAAGAGGGCCACTGTCCTCCAGATGCCAGAATGGTAGATCCACCAACAGCTTGCACCATGGGCCTGGAAAAACCATAGACACTCCACATCAGCCCATGAAAGCAGCCAGGAAAGCTTTACCTGCAAAGCCCCAGGGGTGGAGGTGCCCAAGGCTGTGGAAGCCCACCATTTGCATCAGTGTGACCCGGATGTGAGACATGGAATTAAAGGAGATCATTTTGGAGCTTTGAGACATGACTGCCCCGCTGGATTTCAGACTTGCATAGGGCCTGTAGCCCCTTCATTTTGGCCAATTTCTCTCATTTTGAACAGGTGTATTTACCCAATGCCTGTACCTGCATTGTATCTAGGAAGTAACTAACTTGCTTTTCATTTTACGGTCTCATAGACAGTAGAGACTTGCTTGTCTCAGATGAGACTTTGGACTTGGACTTTTGAGTTAATGCTGGAATGAATTAAGATTTTGGTGGAGTGTTGGGAAGGCATGATTGGTTTTGAAATGTGAAAGAGACATGAGTTTTGGGAGGGGCTGGGGTGGAATGATATGGTTAGGCTTTATGTCCCAACCAAAATCTCATCTTGAATCATAAAACCCATAATCCCCATGTGTCAAGGGAAGGACCAGGTGAAAGTAATTGAATCATGGGGGCAGTTGTCCCCATGCTGTTCTTGTTTTAGTGAGTGAGTTCTCATGAGATCTGATGGTTTTATAAGGGGCTCTTCCCCCTTCACTCAGCATTCTCCTTCCTGCCACCTTGTGAAGAAGGTGCCTTGCCCCCCTTCAACCTCCCCCATGATTGTAAGTTTCCTGAGGGCTCCCCCATCATGCTGAACTGTGAGTCAATTAAACCTCTTTCCTTTATAAATTACCTAGTTTTGGGCAGTTCTTTATAGCAGCATGAAAATGGACTAATACAATGTCTAAAAGCTGGAAAAAGCAAAGAAAATAGATTCTCCCCTTGGGCCTCCAGAACGAATACAACTTTTCTGACACCTTGGTTTTAGCCCACTGAGATCATTTTAGAGTTCTCACCTCCAGAACTGTAAGAGAATAAATTCATATTGTCTTAAACCACGTTTTTTTTTTCAGAAATTTCTCATGGGAGTGAAAAAAAAAAAACTAATACAGAACCTCACAGGATAATTTAGAAGGCTCTTATGAATTGTTGATTTCTAAAGGTAAGTTACGTCCTTGCTAGAGAAGTAACATAATAGCTAAACACAAGTGCTTAGTATTTATTTTGCATGCCAGTGATATTTATAATCTAGCTTTGATTATAGGAGAGCAAGAGCAATGCCATCCTAATTATCAGATCTTCTTCACAGATCAGAGAATAGTATATCTGTTATCTAGGGATGTTTTATTTATTGATTGGAGTTAATTTTTCAGAGCAAATCTGTGATTAAAACTAAGATGATAGAATATCACACATCAAAGATGTGGACTTTGTTTGATTCACTCAGACCAGGCTCAGTCATACCTGCATTTGTTACTCACCATGCTGGGCTGAACGATAACAATTCATTCCCCAAATATTGATTGTGCTGCACCCACCACCACTTCCCAGGCACTGTTCCAGGCACTGTGATGGAGACAAGCAAGGTTTCTGCTCTCATGTAGTTTACATTCCTGCAGAAGTGAACAGCCAACAAAGGAAGCAAATAACTAAATAATATTTGCTTCTCAGGCAAGGGGTGATGTATTCATTTCCTGGGGCTGTGTGGATTTAACAACAGAAATTTACTGTCTTATAGTTCTGGAAGCTAGAAGTCTAAAATCAAGGTGTTGGCAGGGTTGGTTCCTTCTGAGGGCTGTGAAACAGAATCTATTCTATGCCTCTCATGTAGCCTCTCATAGCTTTGGGTGCTTCTTGCCTTGTAGATGACATTCTCCCTGTGTCTTCAGGTTGTCTTTCCTCTGCACGTATGTGTCTCTAAATCTAAATTCCCCCTTTTTCTAAGGACACTGATCATACTAGATTAGAACTCACCCTCATAAACTCATTTTTACTTGATTATCTGTAAAGACCCTATTTCAAAATAAAGTCACAATCATAAGAACTGGGGGTTAGAACTTCTATATCTTTGCAGGGTGGGGAGCACAACCCAATTCATAACAAGGAGGTTGGGAAGACCCTGAAACCAACTCAGTGGAAGTAGGGAGGTGCTAGTTGAAGCCATGGAGATTCCTCCAGCCAGCCCTTCCTGCTGTTATGCTGGGAGAGCTATGGCTAACAGCACCAACTCTGGCTGTGTGATAACTCAGTTGATCACTGAGTGTCAACTTCATTGGATTGAAGGACCCAAGTATTGATCCCGGGTGTGTCTGTGAGGGCATTGCCAAAGGAGATTAACATTTGAGTCAGTGGGCTGGGTAAGGCAGACCCACCCTTAATCTGGTGGGCCCAATCTAATCAGCTGCCAGTGAATATAAAGGAGGCAGAAAAAATGTGAAAGAGCAAGACTGGCCTAGCCTCCCAGCCTACATCTGTCTCATCTGTCTCCACTGTTAGATGCTTCCAGCCCTCAAACATCGGACTCCAGGTTCTTCAGTTTTGAGACTCAGACTGGCTCTCCTTGCTCCTTAAGCTTGCAGACAGCCTATTATGGGATCTTGTGATGGTGTAAGCTAATACTTAATAAACTCCCATATATGTGTGTGTGTGTGTGTGTGTGTGTGTGTTTGAATATGGAACTAATAGGAGATATATATATATCTCTCTCTCCTATTACTTCTGTCCCTCTAGAGAACCCTTACTAATACAGGCTGTTTTGCAGAGATTATTCTTCCACTTGCTCATTTATGCTCTCCCTGGTATTAAGCTCTCTCAAGTATTCAGAATCCCTTCTCCAAGGGCTTCTGAGTGGTGCTCACCTTCCCTTGATTTCACCATTACCCAGAATCTGCATAATAATATTGAACCTAATCATCTTTCATGAGATGATGCTCTTGTGCAGAAAGATCATTAGGTGACATTTGATTTAGGGTTGGGTGAAATTATGTCTTCTTTGAGCATTTTCAGATATTGTTTGGTCATGTCTGAAAATGAGAGGACCACGTAACAATGTACATATTTGTGTATTGCTTTATAAGAAGCTTCTTCATAGATATTTTACATTTTGTCTTCTCAATGGATCTATGGGACATAAATTAATATCCTTATTTAATGAAGACAGTTAGCCTCAAAGACATTGCCAGCCATGCCTGAGATCACAAAGCTCCTCAGTGGTAGGTGTGAGATTCGAACACAAGTTGGTACGGTTTTGCTTAAGATCATCTGTCACTTGAAATTATTTGAAACTGGAAAATACGGTGATGATGAAGGCTAATTAAATACTAGAATGTGATCCTCTCACTCACTAGGTAAATTTTCACCAAAATCATTCCTTTCTGCTGCATCACACTCCCTTCAGGTGAATTGAGAAACTGTCTCTTCAGGATTTCAGCTCCCTCCTGACTGCACAGCTAATAAATCTTTCTTCCCTGTAAGAGACATGTCATGATCAATATTTTCCTGTGCTGAAAACCCTATGTTTTATCACAAAAGATCTAGCTTCGAACTTAATTCCATTTTGTTCACTTTCATTCTCCTCTTATTCAGATTTAAAAAAAAAAAACATATCAAAAAGAAGTTTTCAAAAGGCAGATTATCATTCCCACATGGGGAACTGTTCTAAATGTGCTTTAGAAAGAGCTTGATGCTGCCAAAATGGCTCAAAAGGCTAACAAGTCCATGGGTGGTTATTAATTGAGAAAGATTATTGTCTGTGTGCTCCAGAGAAGGAGGGAAAAGGCTCTCTGCTCATTATAGCTCTACCCTCTGTTCTTCTCATAACCTTTGTTGGAACTTGCAAGGTGGCAGGCCAGTCCATGGGCTTCAGGCTAAAGGAGGAGAATGCTTAACATGAATAGGTCAAAGAGTGTACTGTCTCATAACGAAATCTCAGAGAGAAGTACTTAATTCCAATGCTGGAAACCTTGTAAAGGTTAATAGCAGGGAAAAAATCCATGGCCAGAAGACAGTCAAATTCACGCCTATCCAGCATGTGTGGTTGTCACCTGAGAGGAAAGCTCTGTGTGTTTAACCACAATGTGAAAGTGAGGAATCAAATCGCTGGCATGACCCAAGCTTCTTTATTTCCTTGATTATTGCCCACATGTAATGTATTATTTGGCATAGTGGGCTTCTCAGAATTTTGATAAAATTACATGACTTCCGCAGTGAGAATTGCATTGGTTTCTCTATCCTTTTTTCCACATCCTGCCATATCATGACAATAAAACACACAAGAACTTCTAACAAAAGTCTTATTAGAATGTTTTATTACCAGAAAACCCCTTTATCATAAGAAACATAAATGCACTGGAAATTTTTCAAAAATGGCTTCTGGTTTTCCCTTGAAATTATAATAAAATGTGATGAAAAATGCGATCTTGTCAACCATTTAGGAAGGAAAGTTAATCCTGAGCCAAAAACTATGTCTTTCAAATATCTCTCCAAATAGTGTGCAAATCATTGTGGTATTTAGAACTTTGAGTTCCAGGAAAGAAAACTGACATCCAGTTCAACTGGAGCTTTAAGAGGGCTAAGTTCTTAGAGATGCCTGTTTTGAAGTCAATTTTGTCAATCACACCAAAAAAATGACTATCTTAAATCTCTATAGCTCTTTAAAAATTACCAAAGACATGTATGATGTCCTCTGACATCCTCATTCAACTTGAAAGGTAAAAAAGACCAGGGGTATTGTGGTCTGCATTTTATTAGTTAGGAAGTTGAGGCTCAAAAACTCCACACAATTTTCTTTAGTTTCAGATAGTAATTGGCACACCTGGGACTCTGGTTCTCTGTGCAGGCTACATTATAACTCACTGATTAATAAATCTATTCTACTTAGCCCAAGAACTGTTAGATGCTTCCAAATCAACTGCAGCTTCAGTTATCATTGAAAGGTTGATGATGCCCAAATCTATCCCTTTGGGCAGACCCACAGACTTGATTTCACATACTTGGATATCCCACGAGATCTTCAAACTTGACATGTTCAAAATTAGATTCACCTTCAACAGGCTACTCCTAATAGCACCATCACTCCTTTGGTTGGTGAAGATAGGTGTTGCAAATAAATTGTTGGAGGGAACTTTCCAGTGTAGCCAAATGCTATTCACTGAAATGCCTCTCTATGGTCTCAGCATTGACAAAGGCATTATGCCATTCTGTATCTCCTCCCACCCCAGGATGTGTTTACATACTGTGTCCCCTCAATATTTTGAAGTCTTTGAAGGCAAGTACCTGTCACTTGATGGACACATCATATTCTATGCTAAGGTTTATCAGAAATCTCTGAAAAGTTTTAAATTTAGAAAAAATGTACGAGGATGGCACAGAGGCTCTCCATATACCTCACACATTTTCCCCTATTATTAACATCAGACATGAGTATGCTACATTTGTCACAATTAACAAACTAATATTAATTATTATTTTCTAAAGCCCATACTTGTCATGTCTACTTAGGCTGCTCTTGGCTGTGACAGTCTCTCAGATTTTCCTTGTTTTTCTTGACCTCAAAAGTTTTCCAGGCCGGGCGCGGTGGCTCACGCCTGTAATCCCAGCACTTTGGGAGGCCAAGGCAGGAGGTTCGTGAGGTCAAGAGATCAAGACCATTCTGGCCAACATGGTGAAACCCCGTCTCTACTAAAAGTACAAAAATTAGCTGGGCGTGGTGGCGCTCGCCTGTAGTCCCAGCTACTTGGGAGGCTGAGGCAGGAGAATTGCTTGAACCCAGGAGGTGGAGGTTGCAGTGAACCGAGATGCACCACTGCATTCCAGCCTGGTGACAGAGCGAGACTCAGTCTCAAAAAAAAGAAAAAAAAAAGTTTTCCAGAGAATGGTCAGTTATTTTGTAGAATGTCCCTCAATTTGTGTCATTCTGAGGTTTTTCTCATGGCTTGACTGTGCTTATGGGTTTTGGGGGAAATACCAAAGGAGTGAAGTGCTGTTCTCATCATATGATATCAGGTGTACGTACTATGAATATGAGTTATCACCGGTGATGTTAACCTTGATCACCTGGCTGATATAGTGGTGATCAGATTTTCCACCATAAAGCTACTCTTTTTCTCCATTCTAATACTGTGCTTTTTGGAAGTATGTCACTATGAGTAGCCCACACTTAGGGGCACAAAGTATAATACTAAAATCATTTGGAATACTGCACAGGAGATTTGTCTCTTTCCTCCCATTGATTTTGTAAAAGGAAAATAAATTGTGGGTCCCCCAAACCACTAAGGGGGAAAAGTCAAATGGAACTGCTTAGGACAAACCTGCCTCCCATTCTATTCAAAGTCATCTCTCTGCTCACTGAGATAAAAGTATATCTGACTGCCTCCTTTGGAAAGGCTAATCAGAAAATCATAAGAACACAACCATTTGTCACTTATCTACCAATGGCCTGGAAGCTCCCTCCCCACTTCCAGTTCTCCTGCCTTTGCTTCAAGTTGTTCTGCCTTTCTGGACCAAGCCAGTGTTCATCTTACACATATTGATTGATGTCTCAGGTCTCCCTAAAATGTATAAAACCAAACTATGCTCAGACCACCCTGGGCACATGTCGTCAGGAACTCCTGAAGCTGTGTCACGGGCGCACGTCCTTAATTCTGGCAAAATAAACTTCCTAAACTGACTGAGATCTGTCTCAGATATTCAGGGCTCACAATTTATTTATTCAATCATCTATTCAACCATTTATTTATGTCAGTATGGACTTACGGATATTTATTTTATACTTTGGGTTATAGATTAATACTTCCTTATTTTGTTGCTCAAATTGTTCCAGCTGTGGCCACTGGGCACTCTTTCATCTGTAAGACCTTTTTTATTCATTAAAAAAATACGAATATAATTTATGTATGCAAGACTGGTTTTTACAATTTGAGAAAATAACATGCCGTGTAATTCAGATGCTGAAGCCCTGTCTTTAATGAACAATAACATTCGACAATAACATTGGATTCTGGGTTTTTTCCCATGCTTTCCCCTCCTTTTCTTACTTCGACAGTTGGAAAAATATATAACTCTTACTGATCTTCATATTGCACCTAACAAATCCCCACATCCAGCTTGGCAGGATAATGAAAGATTTTTATCTCTATTTTACAGATGAGAAACTAAGACACAGAACCACTAAATGGCATGCTCCAAGGCTTTCCACGCCACACTAGGGAAATGAAGCCTGCAATTCATCAGGCCAGCCCAGCCCAGCCCAGCCCTCCTGCAGCGTGCTGGGTCACTGTGGCCTCCCCCTTTCCGATAATGGTGGGCCTTGCAATCAAGGTAGTTATCATGCCCTTTGCAAAGGTTGCACCTCTCCTGCAAAGGTTGGCTGTTGTTTTGCAGTTCCTCAAGCATATTTTGCCTCCTCCTTCACATAGATCCCAGCAGAGCAGGAAATTTCAGCTGCTTTTTAGGACCACCTAGAGTTCTAAATTCCCAGCTCCCCCAAGAAACTTTACAAACAAGCTCCTCGTTTTTGCCCCGATCCCCCAAGACCTTTATTCAACATCCAGTTGCCTGTTAGGTTTAGCCTTCCTTTCAAAACAAACAGGATTCATTTCTGTTTTGAAAAGTTAAGCCCTACTAAGCCACAGGAGATGAGATTTTGAGCTCCCAGTGCTGCATTACATAAGGAGGGAAAAGGAGGACAGAAAAGGAAGATAGGAACGGTGAAATAAAAGTGCCTGGGGTTCTAATCAGCACTTTGCTTGTAATTAGCTTCCTGACCTCAGGCCACCCCCTGGCTCCCTCTGGGCCTCAGTCTCTCCATCTGTAAAACACAAAGGCTGTAGAGATCAGAGCCTTTCAAGCCTGGCAAATTAAAGTCTTCACAGGGATAATTTCATCTTAGACATATATAACTGGAATAAAAGTTTCACTAACTGATACCTTTCTACATGTGTGTGTTCTGATATATTTTAATTTAAAAAATTAACTCTATATTTTAATTGACATGCATTGTATATATATTTGGTGTGTAAATGCGTGTTGTTTTCATGTACGTATACATTGTAGAATGGCTAAATCTAACTAGCATATGCAATACCTCACACACATTTTTTGTGGTGATATTCTGAGAGGTCATGTTCTACCTCATAGCATTTTTTTAAATGCAAGTGGTTTGGGACCCAGTACAACTGGTTTCCCAAGCCATTAACAGATCATGATCTGCAGTTTCCTGAGCGACTAATGATACGGGAGTTAAGAAGAAATCACTTAGGCAGATAGTAAGGATATGGGAGTCCTCAGTAAGGCTTTTCTTTTTCATGCAAAGCAGCCCCAAGTCATTTTCTCACAAAGTCCAGCTGCAGACATAGGCAAGCAAACTGGAAGCTTGCAGGAGTGAATGCTGGCAGGAACGAGGCACTATACATGTTCAAGATGGCGGCTCCAACTTCCCTTCTGTTTGTCAGCCACATGTACTGTAAGGAGCAGACAAGATGGTGCAGATCAACTGGAAAGCCTATTTGCATAATAAGATTAGGATGGGGCTACCAGCCTTCCTTGTGTGCTATGTAAATGTCATACCTGATCGAACCAATCTGTAAGCTTTATGTAAATCAGGCACTAACTCCTCAAACCTGACTATAAAATTCGGTGCATCCACCACCTACGGGTCCTTTCCACTTGGAGACCCGTCTCTCTATGGAGAGAGCTGCTTCTCTTTCTCTTCTCTTCTCTTCTGCCTATTAAACCTCTGCTCCTGAACTCCTCATGTGTGTTGGTGTTCTAAATTTTCCTGGCACATGATCACGAACCCTGGGTTTATACCCCACACAATGTAGCCACTTCACCAACAGATCATGGTCTAAACATTCCAGGGCTAGATGGTGCCTGAGATGCTGTGCAGCATTCTCTTGCCAAACTTCTAAGTCGGGGCTGAACTAGATTCTTACCTCAGAGCCACTAAGTGCATCCTGTAATCCTGCCTACTTGCCCTGGATTTTGTCCTGACTCTGCAGGAACCGCGTGTCCTTAAGCAAGGAGCTCAACTTCCTGAGCCTCAGTGTTTTCATCTTTAAAAGAGGCCTATTGTCAGTACATTAGAAAATGCTCGTAGCAATGCCTAACATTTCATGCAAACTATATGGTGTTTCTATTGTCATAACAGATTTGAGGAAAAATTCTTCTTATCTGGGTCTGAGGCATCTTCCCCAGGGAATGAAGGGGAGTAGTGCAGGCTGCCCACGGGAGGGGTTGTGGGGAGCCAGGTAAATCTTTGGTGTGCTTTTGGGCATAGTTCTCTCTGTTATGCCAATTGGCTGTATTTTTAGGATGTCTTAGGTTATGTGGGTGCTGAAAGTTAGTTCCCTAGATATTCCTCAACAAAGTAAATCAAGTTGCCATTAAATTGCGACAACAGTACCATTTAATCATGTAATTGTCATACTGAAACCACATTTGAAAAAATTACAATAGTGAGAAAATTATGACAGTGAAAGAGATCTAACCAACTTCAACTTGTTTGCAACCTCCAAGCTGCCCTTGTTCATTCCTGGCTTTAGGCTGAACTAACTTTGGGAAGAATTTAGTTTATAGTTTATATGGTAATAACCCTTCCCCAAAACTAAACTGCCTTTGTAAAACTAATCAAAGGTCACCAGGTTAGGAAGATGAGAGGGGCTTGAATTCCGCTAAGATGTAGGTACTGTTAGCCACATTCCAGAGGTCACAAGATTTGCAACTTCCCCAATTCACTATTGTAGAAGCTAAAATTGGCCTTTTGAGATATCCTTTCAGGCTTTTGCATTTCTGACAACCAGATGGCCCCACCCAGACCTGAAACTCTTGGCTCAACTAGTCTTGCGGCCCCCACCCAGAAGCAGACTTAGCACACGAGGAACATTTTCCACACCCTAACCAATCAGCAGCACCCATTCCCTTGGCCACCAAACTGAGGCAGCGTTCCATTTGCAGGGGCACTAGCTCCAGGGGGGGTGGCGGCGGTGGGGAGGTCTGTTCCTGCAGACCCTTGATTCGGTGACAGATGAATAAAGTACACTGACACACAGATATTCTGCTCTGCCAGTCCAGCTGAGGGTCCGAGCCGCTTACAGGCTCTAAGCTGAGTTCTGTAAACAGTTGCAACTTGGCCCCATCAGATAGTGAGGCTGGCATTTGTTCAGTAAGACTAATTAACAAAAGTTGTGAGTAAACACCACTAGAGGGTAAAGATTAAAGGCCAGGTTCTGAGGCTTAAAGCACACCATTTGCAGGTAATAAACTTCTGCCAACTGCTCCCACCTGAGTAGGAGGCGGTATAGTACTGAGGTAGGACAAAGGTCAGTCTTAAGCCCATACAAGTAAACAGGTTACTAAGATAAACTTCCCACATTCCTTTGTACTTGCACCCTCTTTCTGGCTCCTGCAAAGAGACCCTGGCTGCCTTCAGCCAAGCAATCTGAAGCTATGCAAACTCTCAGGCCTTCCAAGAGAGTTTTTGACTATTACTATAACTATCTTTAGTATTTTTCCCACCAGCCTGATGGAACCCCAACACCAAACTACACTTAAAAAACCATAGCCTCTGAATTTTGGGGAGGTTTATTTGAGATTGATTTGTCTACAAGGCATAGCCACCTCATGCCAATTAAACTCATTCTTTATTATAATGCCATGGTCTCAGTGAATTGGTCTTATCTGTGCAGCAGGCAAGAAGAACCCATTGGGTAGTTATAATACCTTATAAAATAGAGGAATGTAGGCTGAAATTAACAACAGAGTCATTTTCAAAGCCCCTTTTACTTTGCCTGGAAATCTCCCTCACTGTATTCTTCCCTCTGTCTTAGCCCCTTCTTACCTGTCCCCAATCCCCACACTCACTCATCCAAGGCTCATGAATAGCTCATCTCCAGGTTCTTCCGCCCTCCAAGAGTGTTTTCAAGTAAGAGAACAGGCTGCCCCATCCAACGCAAGCAGCCTAGTTTGTCAGCAGGTGTCATCTTTAAATGAAGTCTTCTAAGAGTAAGGAGGATTATTTCTACCCTCCATAACACAGCAAGTATAAGAGAAAATTCAAATGAAAAATAAAGAGCCTACATTCTCCCTGTTTAAAATGAGACTTCTTCCCTTTTCTTAGAAAAATTATTTTAGAAAACTTATAATTGTAAATTATTTCTCTATCTCTCTGAAATGTTTATAAATCATTTTAAAATCTACATAGGGGCCAGGCAGGGTGATTCATGCCTATAATCCCAGCACTTTGGGATGCCAAGGCAGGAGTATGGCTTGAGACTAGGAATTCAAGGCCAGCCTGGCAACATAGGAAGACCTCATCTCTACGAAAAATGTTTGAAATGATAGTAAATCTAAATAGGTTTCTTTCCGGTGTTAAGACCCAGGAATATCTTTCTCCAGGACCTGAGAGCCATCTCTTTGAAATGCAATCGTCAAAGAAAATAGCATCCCCATCTTCCAGTTATGTGGGAGGATAGGAGCCTAACAGGTGAGCATGTCACTGCAAGATGTAAAACTACCCCCCACCATAAGATACAATAAGTTTATTTTTCCTTTGGATACAGCCAATTAACTAATATGGATGGTCACTCCAATTACAAGGTGAATTTAGAATGAACTGTGTGTGATAATAGCGCTGTCAAGTCCTACTTGAGAACTGGTTATTATTGATTATGTTGAGAACATGTGTATGTAGTGGGTTGTATCTGCATGTCCATATAATTTTTTTTTTCCTGTCTTCACACTGTCTTAGTGAATTGCCTGTGACACACATTACATTTTGGTTTAATGTTATTCAATGATAAAACTGTTTTTTTCTGTCTCTCTCTCTCTCTCTTTCCTTTGTGGAGAGGTTTTCTAGGTTGTTAGGTGTGTTAGTCACCTTGGGCTACTGTAACAAAATACCACAGACTGGGCGCATTAAACAATACACATTTATTTCTCACAGTTCCGACAGCTGGGAAGTCCAAGATCAAGGTGCCAGCAGATTTGGTTGCCTGCGAGCGTGCTCTTCCTGGCTTGCAGACAGCAGCCTTCTCCTGTGTGTCAGAGGGCAGACAGAGAGAGGGAGCTCTGGTCTCTATTCCTCTTCTAATAAGGACACTAATCTCATCATGATAGCCTCACCCACATGACCTCATCTAACCCTAATCACCTCCCAAAGACCCCACTTCCAAATGCTACTGCATCAGGGGTTAGAACCTCAACATAATTTTAGAAGAACGCATTCAGTCCATAACAAGAGAAGATTATGTATTTAATTGTATTTCCTCAACCCAGGCTGTCCCCTTCCTTCAGTCTGCAATTGGGGTGTGGGTGCAAAATGGCCTGGGAGTCCATAACCCTCCCCTACCCCTCATGGAACACTCTTAGGCAGGTGCTGAGCCAGTAGAGATAAGGTTCTTTGGGACTAGATGCTAAAAGCACATGTTCTTACCAGGGATATTTAAGAAAATCAAGACTGATCAAATCAAGAGGGAAAATTAAGATTCAAATGCTCAGAATTACGGAACTCCTTCATCTCCATATCAGAAATGGACAAGGATGTCATTAAGTTGGAGTCCCTATGAGGGCCTAAGGCAGAGATTCAAATGCACAGGACTTATTAAGGGGATGCTATTGGAGAAGAGAAATGGAGGAAGGAAAACAGAGAGGGGGAATGACATCGTTTAATTATGTGTTCCCACCAAACCTCATGAGGCCTGGTGGGAGATGTCTGAGTCACAGGGGTAGATCCCTCATAGGTGCTGTCCTCATGATAGTGAGTGAGTTCTTGCGGGATCTGATTGTTTAAGTTTGTGGAACCCCCCCACACACACACACAAACACACTCTCTTTCTTGCTTCTGTTTTGTGTCCATGTGACATGTCTGTTCCCATTTAGCCTTCTGCCATGAATAAAAGCTCCCTCAGTCCTCCCCAGAAGCTGCGCAGATGCTGGTGTCATGCTTGTACAGCCTGCAGAACCATGAGCCAATTAAATCTTTTTTCTTTATAAATTACCCAGTCTCAGGTATTTCTTTTAAGCAATCCAAGAACAGCCTTATACAGAGGAAGTCCAGCAACATTATGGTCTCAGCTAGAGAAAAACTTCAGGTTGATCCCACAGAAAGAATCTGGAGCATAATCATAACACAAAATCCTCCCACTTCAAAGCAAAGAAGCTTCCATTCTGCTCCCCCAAATTAATCAATTGCTCATTCAGAGCTGTGTATGTTTTCTGGGTCAAGGTGATTCCTGTCAGCTGAGGGCAATTTTCCAGAAAAGAGGTCACCCTTGAGCCTTTAGCAGCCAATTCTATAGCAGTTAGTGGGTGGGTGCACAGCTTCTCTTCTGAGCTGATATCGATGCCCAGAAAAATGGCTGGGGAAAAATAAGCAAGTGCAGTGAATTAGCACCTGTTTTAAAGAGCTAAAATCATGTGTGAGGAGGTGACCTGGATTGTGAGGAAAAGGCCACCATGACCCCTTCTAGACCTTTAATTCTATCCAGCCACTTTTAAGCACACGGAAAGGATCTTCTCTTCTGCCTTGCCCCCTTTCCAGTCTTCTTTAAATGGGAGGGTGGCAGCATAATTTAGAGGACTTCTAGTGGCCAGTGGGAACTCCTTTCAAAAGTGTGAGCAGACCAGCGACTGCAATATGATTCCAGAAGCAAAGCCAGGATCAAATAGAGATTAGAGTTTGGAAAAAGAGCAGCATCAAGCAGCCAGCCCATGCTACTTCTGTGAAATATGCCATGCTAGATGTTACAAAAAGCCAGGAGACAGAACTATTATTAGTCCCATTTTACAAATGAGGAAACGGAACATAGATCCCTTAAGCAACCTGTCCAAAGTCTTGGAACTAGTATAAGTGAAAATTCTAATCCCAAACCTATGATTTCAAAGTGCAGACGGTAATCTCTGTAGTACAGTATCAAAGACATGAATTCTGTTTCTGCTCAGTGTGAACTTAGGAAATCCCTAAATATCTCTGACCCTCAATATATTCATCTGAAATGAAATATCCTAACAGAAGTCCTACTGCCTCAGAGAATCAAGCAACACAGCAGATACGAAGTGGCTCAGAAAGGTCGAAAGCTTTTATTTTGAAGTAAAAGTATAAGCATTGTTAATTAACCTGACTGTGAAGGGGATAAGAAATCAAAGAGTCCTGCTAAATGGAAAATTTATTAACACACTAAGAAAACAACAAAGTAGAGAATTGCTTGGAGAGCCTTCCCTGGCTTCCTGGCCACCATGGAATCACGGAGCATACTCCAACCATGGCACCAAGTCAACCCCACAAGCTCCAGCAGAAGCATCTTCGAAAGGGCTCTTGAGTGTGCCATTCACATGAAAGACATGCCTGTCTGTGAAGATCCAGGCTGTTTCTTGGTGATATTACAGGGATATTTTACATCTGCGACCTGGCAAGTGGTTTCCTGCAGCATCCTTATGTATTTTATAGTTTTTATTATATTTCTGAGCCAGCAGTGATAAATGCCCTCTAGAAAGAATCCTATTCTCATGTGAAAAGAAGAGAAGGAATAAAAAATAAGCAGGCTTTATGGCCACAGGAATGTTTGATGTCTGACCAGCACTAACTGTTGCTGTGCAGAGATGGAAAATTTTTCAAGAAGAATGTCAGGATTGACTGCATTAACCTTGAAACATTGGTCCCTTTGGGCTGTAAATTTCTGCAATCTCTGGAGGCAAGGCTATTCGGAAGGGAACAGCAAGGGCAGGGCAGTAGGAGAGGAGGGAAATAATCCTTGCTTCAGTAGCAAAAAGAAAGATCTCTGAAACTTAATCTTGGGAAATCTCAAGGACAAAATACCACTGATCTATACTGGCCTTCTGAATGAAATGTATAATTTGTTAGGTAGAAATTTTAAAACTACCACCCTCTCCAGGAAAACAAATCTGATTAGAACGGTTTAAAATACAAATGTACTTACTCCTATTTTACCAGTGGGAAACTAGAATTCTGAAGAATTAAGCAATTTAGAAGTGATGGAATTATAGGATTTCAGTTTTGAAGAATCCTTAGATAGCAATTTGTCTGTGATGATTTATAATGTAGGAATCCCCTAAAACCAAAGCCTGGTTTGCCATAATAAGGATCCTAATTCCCAGAGTCCATTGAAAAAAGTACCATGCAAAGAGTGAGATATAATATTATACTAATTCTTCCACCGGTATCCAGAGGACTAGCCACAGTGACAGTATGTATAGAATTGAAAGGACCAGAGGTGAGAAATAAACTAGATAAAGCAGCTGAAGCTGGGAAAATGGTGAAATCAATGAGTTCTTCAATATAATCTGCTTCTCTGCTTTCAGAAGATCTGCTGAAAATGAACTGACAATAGGCAGATTAATAGAAGAAAAGGCATACACATTGATTTAACATGCATAAGCACAGGGCAATTGCAACCGAATGATTTCCTAACAACCTAATGAGGTATAGATGCTTACATACCCTTCTGTCAGAGAGGAAGGGGAGATGAGAGTAATGTGGCCTTTTTGAGGAGTGATAAATGATTTTTAGGGGGAATGAATGGGTCTAATGCTCAGATAATGGTTAACAAGTGTTTCTCTTTGGGAATTGAATGGGACCAGAGAACAGATAATAGCTTGGGAGAAAGTTCCTCTAGGCTGTAGATGTGGTGTTTAATTTTTAGTTTTTCTCTGTGATATGTGATATGTCTCTTAATTTTCTCTGGTTAATGACATTTCACAGGGCTGATTGAAGGCAACTGTGTTCCTCTTTGGCGGGTCCAGTTTCTAGGTAGATAAGAGAACTTCAGAGAACAACCTTACCCTGTGCTTTGAGAGAGACAGAGGATTGAAGAACAGGAGAAGGAGGAAGATCAGAGAGACCTTATGGCTGCTTCTTTAGCTCAGCAAGTCAAAGCACCATATTTTGGGGTATGGTTTTCTGAGCCACAATACTGCTGATATTGATGAAAATATAATTTTATATTATGTACCAAAAAAACACAGTTCAGTTGATGCACAAATTTTAGAAATTCACTACTCCACTTAACATAAACTAGTTCATAAAACTTAACAGTAGAATGTAAGAAAAATGTTAATTTATATATGGTAACATAAACTCTAAACTAGAAGAATCACCTTCCATTTAAATAACTATCTAACAAAGAAGGGGTAAATTTCAGAAACCACAGCTGAAAAATACCATTTTTCTTTTAACGGTTTTGATCAATAGCACTGATGCTCAGTCACTCCACATTTTGGATCTGCAAAATCCTTCCCCCACCCCTCCAGTGTTCTTTCTTTCTACTGGATTATATATACCATTTGGTTTACTTTGTGTGATATTTGCTTTGCCTGTTATCTACTTCATTCCTGCCCTCCCCTTCCTACTTCTTCTTTTTTTTAAAAAAATTTGGTGCTTGTTGAAGAAGTTGGATTGACAGCCCAAGAGACCAAAATCCTCTGTTTATCCAGAGAAAAAATAAAGAGAAAAGCAATGAGACTGAGCGCTCCCTGACCTCCAGTGTAGTTCACGTTACTGTTGAGCCCCTGGCTCTTAGAAGCTCCCACAGAGGTATTGGTGACCTGTGAGGCAAGGTGCAGGGCTGGCTGGCTTCTGGGGAACTACCTGATGTCTTGGCATTCAATGTGAGTGGTAGGATAAAATCTGCAAGGAGATATGAAATCCATAGCTCTCCTAGCTGTCTCATTTTTTACCCCAACCTGCAGTGAATTTGGCATAGTTCAGATACCATGCTTTCAAAATTTTGTGTGTGTGTGTATGTGTGTGTACACGCGCGCATGCATGACGGTGTACATACCTGTAGTGCATTCTCTAACTTTCTGTGTATTCTATCACCTAGAAACCTTGTTAAACTGCAGATTGTAATTTGAATGGTCAATATGTAGCCTGAAATTCTGCATTTTGAACAAGTTCTTTGGTGATGCTGAGGCTGCTGACTCAGGAATCACTTTTTTTTTTTTTTTGAGATGGAGTCTTGCTCTGTCACCCAGGCTGGAGTACAGTGGTGCAATCTCAGCTCACTGCAAATTCCACCTCCCCGGTTCAAGTCATTCTCCCGCCTCAGCCTCCCAAGTAGCTGGGACTACAGGCGCCCGCCACCACGCCCAGCTAATTTTGTTTTTGTATTTTTAGTAGAGATGGGGTTTCACCGTGTTAGCCAGGGTAGTCTCGATCTCCTGACCTCGTGATCTGCCCGCCTCGGCTTCCCAAAGTGCTGGGATTACAGGCGTGAACTACCGTGCCCAGCCCCAGGGATCACATTTTGAGTGGCAAGGGTTATGTTTACTAGAGAAAGACCAGAGGTATTTGCCACCCATCAAATATAGTTCCTCCCTCAATTATTTCTAGAGTTGGTTTCATAATAGAAATAAGGAAATTACCTTGATACTTCAGCCATTAAATCCCTCCAGGGTAAACATCATCACTTTCTGTATTGGCTCATTTTCATCATGGTGGCAAACACCGATGGGATAAGGAATCTATGATTCAGGGAGAATCTATGTTTGCTTAATAAATGTTCTATTATGTACAACGTCCTAGCAGTACTTGGGCCATATGGTCTGTAGAGCCTAGGCTACTCATCCCTTTCCCATATCCTTAAACCTGGGCTAACTGTTAATTGGTACAAAACTGCTCAGCAGGTAAGGAGCTTGCTCTAGGAGCCTCCAACAGACAAGAATCATTTATGACCCTACCTTCAGCTGGAGACCAGACCAAATTTCATTCTCCAAACAATTGTGTCATTTTGTCTGCTTTTATCATAGTGGTTGCTTCAACATGCTACCATTTTGGGTAACAATGAGCAATATGCCTAAAATTTTATAAAATAGCTAGATAATGACTCTTGTCCATGAAATAAACGTTAATTTTTTACTTTGGGGGAATTAAGTACCTAGACTACTAGTCTATCCTCAAGGCAAAATCCTAGGGCATTTGCTTATGTAAAGATGTGACAAGATCTACATTAGCATTAACTAGTCAAAATTTTAAAGTTTTTTTCCTCGTAATTGTGAGCCATTAACAGTAAGTTTGACCCATGATGGAAATGTTCAGCTTCCAAGGGACACTTTTTCCAAAGTGGTATAAAAATCCATGGATAGGAGAAGGACATTGAGGACACAAAAGTTTCATGTGGAAGAATTTTTTTAGGGTTGAAAGTTGGGAGTTTCTGAGTGGAAAATTTTCAGAGGGTATCACAATTTGCAGACCTCTTTTGGAACATAACTGACTTGGCAGAGACACTCTCTTTCTCCCTATGACCACCAGAAACCTTACACAAACCTAAATAGTGAGACAAAAAAATCAAAAAGTGAGTAAAGTTTATAAGGGGGCACATTTCATGTCATTTTTCCCTTTATTTTATCTTTTAAAATTTTTAAATTATTCTGTTTTTTAATCCAGCATCATGTTCAGATCAACAAGACAGCAACCATTAGCCCCTCACATCACTGCACTTGCCTTTCCTCCTCTGAGTCTACACCTTATTTTCAATGATCTCTCAATATGACATTATTATACATTTATGTCAGAAGAAATGACTTATTCTCTCTGTTCTAGAAAAACAAACATTATCTTATTTTTCTAGAGGATTTCTTTTCATAAGACCAGATTTTTGCTCTTTAAATACTTTCTAATTTTTAAAGGCTTTTTCTTAACAGTTAAGAGAAAGATCTTCTGAATTATACAATAAATTCTGTTAAAAATAGAGCAATGGTCACTTCTCATATTCAATAGAAATCATGCTTATTTTCAGAAATGTCTAGGTTTGAGATCACTGGATTAGTGAAGTTGGAATATTCTGTAATAAGATTATCTTATATATGAAAAGGAGTTATATGCTAAATGTAAAGTATGCTATCTTAAAAATGTTTATTCATTTAGGCCTAAGATTTCTAAGTCCTCATTTAACAGCCTAGTGGTCTAAAAGCGTATCTCCCAAAGTTGCTAAAAGAGATGCCTACAACCAAATTTCCTAAGTTATCTTCTTCATAAGACCAATTATGGGAATTAGTAGCAGGTATCAATTTCAGAATAAAAATTTATAGTCATTTAAATTCAAAAAGCACGAATCCAAACAAAGTTTAACAGACGAGTTACTGCAGGGCTTCCCTGAGCTTTTACAGGTTCATACCAGAGACTGGCTGAGTGCTGGCCAATTCCATTTTCTATTCTGAGACACTTAGGATTACTACATTTTCCAGCTGCTTTATTTTTAGATTGGGGCCATAGGACTCATTCTGTCCCATAGAATCTGGGAAGAGTGATATGTGCCATTTTCAAGCCTGACCATCAAACATGCCACCTCATTATCTTTTCACTCTTCACTCCTTGGGTAGCTGAATTCAGAGCATCCCTTAGAGAACTCCAAGAAAGCTCTATAAGATGAAGGTACCAGAAAATGGAAGGAGCCATATCTTTAAATCACCACATAGAAGACCATGTCTTATAACCCAAGTGAAACCTTGCTTGTGTGAAGCTACTAAGAAGTTAGAGATGCTTGTTATAGCAGATGGCTTCAATCACCCTAACTAGTACATGTGCTAAGCACTCTGTGAATCTCCAAGGAGTGGATAAGTAGATAGCATTTCCTAAAGTTAATTTCAAGTGATTTTTCTTTCATGCAAAATTTTGAGATATTATTACTCCACTAGTTTAGCCCCATCTTGAATGCCATTCACAAGCCTTCTTCTATAATTAAGTTTCTGAATCAGGCTTGCTCAATGTAATCACATAGCAGAAGAGGAAGGTAGACTAGTCCATCCAAGAAATGTGGCAGAAGGGGAAGTTGAAAAGGTTTGAAAAATAAGAAGACATGCCCTGCCATTGTTGTGAGCAGGCCACATCAAAAACATGAAAACGATTGTGGCTGCCTCTAAGAACAAACTGGTCCCTGGCTGACAGACAGCAAGGAAATGGGAACCTCAGTCTCCTAACCGCAAGGCAGTCAATTCAGCCAACCAGCTGAAGGATCCTGGAAGTAGATTCTTCCCCAGAGCCTCCAGAAAGGACCACAGCCCTGGCAAAACCTAGATTTTTCCCTTTTGGGATTCTAAAAAGAAGACCAAGCTGAACCATGCTGCATCTAGACTTCTGATCTACAGAACTGAGACATTATATATTTTTGTGGCTTTTGAGTCAATAGTTTATAGTAATTTGTTATGGTAGTGATTGAAAACTAATATGGAAATTGACACATTAATGTATTCCTTCCTTCAACTCCTACCAGTGGAGTGATTACTCTAAGCAAGGCTGTAAGTAGTAGAAATGCAAAGTTAAGATGAAATGGCTCAGGACTTTAATCCTTCCAGCCACCGCCCCTCCACCCCACACAGTGTCCCAGGTCACTGGGCCTTCCATCCTCACCTGGCTGTCAGGAGGCACCCCTCTTCTCCCTGCAGGGGGTGTCAGAGGAGGCCTAGAGTGGAGTCAGGATTTTTACCATCACACAGCAGTAATTAGGCCATGTTCCCTGTGGTGTCAGAGGTGATCATGTGGGGAACCAAGTTTCACGTCCCTCTCAGCAGTGACAAGGAGGCAGAGGCCCCTCAACCAGGGGTCATGGAGGCTAAATGGATAACCTGAGCTAAAGAGAAGGAGAGTTTAAAAGAGGGGTAAAATCAGTGTCAAATCTGACACACACAAAAATTAGGTAAAATAATTGTTTGCAAAAGCTTCTATTGTGTATTTAGAGACCACTGTGACTTTAGACAGAAAGTAATTTGTAATGGATGGTGGGGTTGCAATGGATAATCTTCTGAGTATAATTAATATTATATAAAAGTAGACACAAAGTAAAATTTGTTGTTTTTAATAAAACTTGACTATGAAGAAAGGTATAGGGAGATGACTCGAGGTAAACAGGGATGTCTGTTATACAAGAAGAAAGGGACATAGCTATGCTTATACAATGAAGAGTAAAGGCCTTGAGAGAAAAACAGGTGAACAATTTCAGAGCAGGAGTGATTGGCTGTTACAGTTCTCCAGAAGACCGTGGGACTCCAATTACCAAGGGATTAGCCTTGACTAGGGAAAGGCTTCTATCTTGAAGACAAGATTGCAGACCAAGGAGGAAGGCTGAGCAGAGAAACGTGTTTTTAGTAGCAGGGAGTCCAATCAGTAGAATGCTCCTGCAATGGTTTGGGGATTTTCTCAGGAGGTTAGAGGCACAGTAATTTCCTAATAGTAAAGAGACAGAGATGTTAAGTGTTTTTAGGATTGCCTAAGACAGTCACAGTGAACAAGTATAATTAAAGACTGATTCTTTGATCAATAATTATAATAAATTAGAGTAACAATGTTTTAAATAATTGTTTCTTTTGAGCATTTGCATTATTTTGAAAAATCATTTCTTGTCTTCCTTGGTAATAAAAAAGAACATTAGTAAAATTGCAATGTTTTGCCAGTCGTTTTAAAAAGTGAATTATAGCTCTGCCATCTCCGAGGTATTTTCAGCCAATTTCTACAATTTATTTGGGAAGCATAAACCAAAAAAAAAAAAAAGCCATATTTTCAACTACACAATCAGGAAAGGAAGATCACTTAATAACATTTTTCTCCCTCAATCAGTGCTAGGCTACATCATTACTCATTGGTAATAAGTGGCATGTTCCTGTTTTTTGCCTCTATCTTTATTTTCTTGTTTGTTACAAACAGAGCGCAAGTGTGACTTCCTGTCCTAGGGAACGAGAGTCCGGTCCTGATCTGAAGAACCCAAGACACACAGTCTGTTGCATAAGTGTCAGAGACATCCGACATACAGGATATTTGCTAGGCTTGATGCCACACACCTGTAGTCCTAGCTACCCGGAAGGCTGAGGCATGAGGATTGCTCGAGCCCAGGAGCTCAAGGTTACAGTGAGCTATGATCCTGCCACTGCACTCCAGCCTGGGCAACAGAGTGAGACTCAGTCTCTAAAAAAACTAATAATAATTAAATAAGTAAGTAAAATAACCAACACACAGGGGCTCAGAGACAGTGAAGCAGGAAGGGGGCATGTTACCATCACAACAGCCAGTCTTATCAGTAAGCTCTGGAGAGACCTGAATAGAATGAAAATGTGGCTGAAGACATGCAAGAGAACAGAAGCCTGGTTAGAAGACCCCTTGACTGAGAAAGAAAAAGAAAATCATTTTTAAAGCTAATAATACTTTTCTCTCTCCCCACCTCCACTTTGATACTAATGTCACGTATCCGCACAGGAATGCCTTCTCCTAATTCCCAGTGCCTGGACTGAGCAAGAGAGCAGTATTGTATACATTTCCAAACTGTGTACGTCAGCATGACTAAGTACATCAGGCACACACGCTGTCTCAAGCTCTGTAAAATTGCACTTTTGTTGTTGTTGTTGTTGTTTTACCGTGGGTTATAACTGAACTCCACCCAGCAGTGAAGTCACATCTGGAACATTTAAAGACAGGCTGGAAACATAAAACACTTACATATTATCTTGTGAGGTAATAGAGCATCTCTTTGTATTATGATTTTTTCCATATCACCAACCAAAAAAGGAGTCATGGAAAGATTCTAGAAAAGTTAGATGATGCTTGCCGTAGGTCTACCACAATTTAGTCAAGGGCTTCTTCAAGATACTTGACTACTTTGGAGCTCAGACATACTTAAAAGGGAAAATTAAATTAGATCTTTGATTTGTTGAGGTCCATACATATTCAAGAATCTAATGAAAGTGTTGGGCTCCAGTTCTGAAATGTGAACTCTTTGATGACACAAATTTCAGAAACGTCATGAGTCACTGCAGTCCAGTTATGGACTGTATTATGAATTAATTGTGTCCCCCAAATAATATGTTCAAGTTCTAACCCTGGGTACCTGTAAATGTGACCTTATCTGGAAACATGGTCATTGCAGATGCCATCAAATTAAAATGAAGTCATACTGGAAAGGAAGAAGGAAGGACATCCTAAACCCAATATGATTGACATAAGAAGAAGAGAAGAAGAGACACAGACACACAGGGAAAATACCATGTGATGATGAAGGCAGAGATTGGACTGATGCATCTACAAGCCAGCAAACACCAAGGATTGCTAATAACCACCAGATGCTGGAAATGGCAAGGGAAGATCCTCCCCTGGTGCCTTCCAAGAGAGCATGATCTGGCTGACACCTTGATTTCAGAATGTTAGCCACTATAACTGTGAAATAACAAATTTCTGTTGTTTTATGCCACCTAGTTTGTGGTGCTTTGTGATGGCAGCCTTAGGAAGTGAATATAGATTCCATGGCAAGAAGCTCCAGACAAAGTGATTGCAAGGTTTCTCTGTCTCTCACATCCACACACACTCCATCAGAAAATCCTGCTGACTTAACTGCAAATTACATCCAGGGTCTGACCATTTTCACTAACTCCCATTCTAGTTCTCTAGTCCAAACCACTGTCCATCATCTCTAGTTTGGATATCCAGATATTTCTCAATGGTAGGGCTAGTCAATGCTAGGCCACACACACCATTACTTATTGCTAATAAATGTCATCTTCCCTCTTTTTTGTCCATCTCTTCATTTTCTTTCTTTCTTGTTACAAATCAGTGTGGACAAAAAACAGGACTTCCCAACCAGGAGTTGGCAAACTAGGGCACATGGGCCCCATCCCACCCAAAGGTGCCAATTTTCCAGGAGAATTCCCGGGTCTGCTATGCCGAGGACAGTGTCAAGGCTCTTGAGAGATTACACAGAAGCTGCTTCCACAATCTAGAGCCCTTTGCATTTACAAACTTTGTTCTTAAGTAAACTTTTATTGGAATACAGCCATGTCCATTCATTTATGTTTTGCCTATGGTTGCTTTCATGCTACAATAGCAGAGCTGAGTGGTTGTAAGAGACTATGGCCGGCAGAGCCTAAACTATTATTTGAACCTTTACAAAAAATGTTTTCCCATGTTCTAGACTATATGGGATCCTGGAATTCTCTGTCCACAAGGTTCAGAACCCCCTTCTGGAGCTAGATGAGTTTCTTCTCCAAATCTACTCCCTCAGGAATAGACTGTGTGCCAGATGTGTACACACTGTGCCTTGGCAGGAGTGGTCAAAGATTGGTGACTTGCTGAAATGTGGTGTGAGTTATGCTTGGACATGCAAACTGCTGTGTCCACACGCATAGGTGTAAGTTTCCTGGATTGGAGGATGAAGTTGGGAGTGGGAAGAAAATGGCTTCCCTATGCTGCCACATTCCAGTGAGAAAGTCCACAGGGTCCAAGAATTCTAAATTTGCAACTGGTCTTATTGATTGCTATGAAGAAATATTTGCCAAGGTTGGAGGAGAAAACACATTTTATTTAACATATTTTAGGGTGATGTATAACTTTAAGTATAGTCGTGAGCCACATCATAATGTTTTAGTCAAGGACAGACTGCATATATAATGGTGGTCCCATATAATTATAATACTGTTGTATTTTTGCTATACCTTTTTATGTTCAGATACACAAATGCTTACCACTGTGTTACAATTGCCTATGGTTATTCACTACAGTAAAACTCTGTGCAGGATTGTAGCCTAGGAGCATTATGCTATACAGTATCACCTAGGTGTGTAGTAAGCTATACCAGCTAGATTTGTGTAAGCACACTCTATGATGTTCGCACAACAATGAAATCGCCTAATGACAAAATTGCCTAACAACACATTTCTCAGAATGTACCCCTGTTGTTAAGCAATGCATGACTGTATGCAAACATATAGGTTGTGAACTTTCATTGGACTTGTGCACTGTTAACTGTTAATGGATCTGCATTACGGGAAGATGGTGGTAGACTTTAAATTCTGTTTTCTATAGATTAATTAAACTGGAAGTTTCTTTCCATAGGACATACAGCCTCATGTACTCCTGCATAGATATTTTATAGTAACCATAGCCTGGCCAGCTGTGGTCTGGGAGAAGTGAGATTCCACTTCCATACAGGCCAGGAATTGTGCTATTTCCCTTACATCTCTGTGATTAAAGATTACAGAAATTGATAGCAGGCAAAATTAGAGCATATTTGACCCCAGAATAAGGGTCCATTAATCTATTGATGTTCTGTAAACTCAATTGATAAGAACAAGGTTAAGGAAAACAATAGTTTTAGCTAATCTTCAAGTTCTGGTTTTGTTGAAACCAGTGGTCTTTTCAGTAGCCCATCAGAATTTGCAAGACTGTCTCTCAATTCTTAGAATCTTCATCAGCAGAACATGAGTCAGCTGTGAAAACATTTGTAATTTATTCTTTCTTTCATTCTATTTACCAATCAGCCAACAGGTGAATTTAGATATAAATCATTGTAATTATTGTGTGATTATATGTTTATATACTTTAGTTATGTTATCAAGCTTTGCCAGTGGCCGCTATTACAAGTTGCTCTAGTGAAATATTCCTGATGTTTGCTATTAGAAGAGTCACTGTTGAGTTTTCAGCCATAGATTCTCACAACATTCGTTCAAGAGATTTTCATCAAGAACCATATGCCAGGCTGTGCACATAAATAGAATTGCTAATTATGTACCAGTGTGGACATATCAGCTCACAACATAGATGCAGTTCATGCTGTAATGGAACTTATGATCCAGTGGATGAGTCAGAAATTAAACAAAAATTGGTACCAAAAATACTTACATGAGTTTTTCTTACATGCTAGGAAGGACCAGTGAAAGATTTATAAAGCAGTTATCAAAGATGAACCAGCCCTAACTGGCAGGGAGCAGGGTAGGTGACAGAAAGCTTCTTTGAGGAAATTACATTTAAATGGGGGCCAGTAGAATGCAGAAATGTTATCTGAGCAAAAACAAAGCAGTTGTAATGGCCCTGCAGCAGGAAAGAACCAGCTTTGATTAACTGAAGAAAAACCAAAACCAATGTGGCTGGAGGAAGTTAGCAAGGTAGAAAATGTATCAAAGACTGAAGAGGGGTGCAGGAGCCAGATGAGAAACAATGAGTCCTTAACACATCTGAGATGGGTTGGATGGTAGGTATTTTAGGCATAGTGAGCGAAATGGCAAAATCAAGGATATTATGCAGGTTTGTATATATCAGGAAACAGAACAAATTCCCATATTTTTAGTGACAAAAATCAAGATATACTGCTACTACTACTAATAACAGGTAAGTATTTTTTGTAATGCAGCTCTATTAATAAACTTCTTTTGCAGGGGGATAACATATTGCTTAATATGCCTTCAAAGTGAATGTTTCCTATGACTAAATTGATTAAATTTTATGTATTTTATCTTTGAAAATGTCTTTTCACACATCTATGTACTAGCAAATATTGATCTGAATCCATGAGCACATGATTTTGTTTGAGCATGTTCATCCTGTAGAACCAGGCATTTATAGAATCCTTCTACAGTAGATTCTTCTCTTGATATTTGCCTTCTAGCATGTCATTACATTGCAGATTCATCCTTTCCAATGGAAAGTTAGGTGGAAGCTCCTCAATGCATAAACAGATTTTGAAATACAAAAATTCCCTTTGCACTTGCATTAAAGTCCAGAAAGCACTGCTGAAATTATAAGTGGAGTCTGTGGAAAAGTTGTTTGTTTTATTATATAAAATGATGCTTGATAATCTTTCTTCTAGAGTCCTCAGGAGGGACAAAAATGTAAGATTCTAGCCCATAATTAAATGGTAGTTTGTTACCTTAAATGATATGCAGTTTTGTCTGTTTTAAAAATTTTGCCTAATTGCCTTAGCAGAAACCAAAGTTTCAGCTGTCCAGAATTCAATTTCTATTTCAAACATTATCACTATTCTTTCTGTTTTAGTTAAAATATTTTGGCTATTTACCAATCTTATGGATAAAATAAAGGGAAACATAAGGCAAACAATTCAACTGTGGAAGAAATTGAACTGAAAATGTGTAACCTCCTAGGTTCACTTCTTTCTTAGCTATTCTCATAGTGTTTCTCATCACAGGTGAGTTCTTAACATAGATTTTCTTTTAGTCAAAATATGGTTTTATTTCAAGAATCTCAAAGGAATTATCCCAAACCCTTTGATGGCAGTGAAGACAGCAAAAAATTGTTCATCATAACAGTTTCACAGAACTCAATCCTAAGTACCTTAATGAAGAAGAGAATTTAAAGATTTTTTTTCAGTCTTTGCTGGGAAAACATCCCACACACTGACATGACTGGGTAGAGGGAATTACTGTGATTTTGCTTCTCACTGTACCAAAGCCTTATTTCTTCCAAGACAAGCAAAGGAACAGAGGAATAAAGCAACATTGGTAAATAGATTGAAGAGATAAATGCTGAAGTTAGAAAATGATCCCTAATAAATACACATCTATTTTCATTTTCTAAAACTGCATAACAAATTCCCATAAAGTTAAAGGCTTAAAATGACTCTCATTTATTAGCTCATAGTTCTATAGAAAATCCAACATGACTTGACTGGGCTCTCTGCTAAGGACTGAAATTGGCCAGGCTGAGTGCTCATATGGAGGCTCTAGGGGAAAACCTGCTTCCAAGCTCATTCTTGCTGGCAGAATTTAGATGTCTCAAGTTGAAGGACTGAGGTCCCCGTTTCCTTGCTGACTGTTAGCTGGACCAATGTTCACTTCCTAGAGTCAGCCTCAGTCCTAACAAATTGCAACTCCCTCCAGTAAGGCCCATCCAGATAGTCGCCCTTTCTTAAAGTCAGCTGTGACATATAACACTCTAATCAAGGGAGAAAAAAACCACCAAATTAACAATGCTAGAGATTGTGAAGAGCGTGTACACAGAGATAGGGGCGATGTGGGAGCTATTTTAGAATTCTACCTACCACAACGTCCCATGAGACTCCAGTCGAAAAATAAAAGTTCCGATACTTGTACATATCTGTAAGCATACATCAAAGTGAAATTAGTTTTCCTTTCTGATTTTTTAAAAATTTCATTTATGAATCTCAAAAAGTAATCTTCATACAGAAATGATTCTATAGCCCAAGATTTGTAGCTGAGTACTATGATCATTCCATAAATAAAAACGATAAACTATCAGAGGGCAGAAAAGCTTCATGGGCATAAGATCTCAAATAATAATTTCACTTCTAAGGCTAACATCACTCTTCTTTCAGCCAAAAATTTCTCACCTTCTACATCATAATCCCTACATGGATTACGATAGTTGTGTGCATTAAGCTAGAAGTTTGCAAGAGTGACTATTTGTGAGGGTAAGAATATTAAAAATATTTAGAAACTGAAATCTCTTCCTGTTTTTCTGGAAAAATAAACATTTTGGGAGTTGCAAAAAATGTTCTATTATGGGGAATGCTAATATATTGGGTAAAGAGAATCTATTACTTCCCAAAAAATACAAACTTGTAATAGAGAGGACACTAAAAGTGAGTGCTTTTAAAATTGTGACTATCATTAACAGTTAAAGTCTAAATTCAAGGATAAACCAATGTGAAACTGCCTTTGCAAAATTATAACAGTGAGAGAAATCTAACATAGCTGACTCCATCTTTGCTCATTCTTGCTCACAGGCCAAGCTAACTGTGGGAGGAATTTAGCTTATAATTTAACTTTAAAACAAAGATGATAACAGCCCTTCCCAAAACTAACACCCTCCTCACTCAGGAACCAGAACGGCCTGTATAGCATTAATGAAAGGCCATAAGGCTGGAATTGTGGCAAAGGCCTGAATTCGGATAAGACCTAGGCATAGTTAAATAATAACTAGTCAGTGTCTCCTAATGTACTTACTGCTCAGGAGTCATGTAGCCAGACGTCACAAGATTTGTAACTTCCCTAATCACCCCTATAAATAGCATCACTATTTTAAAAACCTAACACTGGCGTTTCAGATACTTTTCAAAGTCTGCATTCTGGTGGACCAATTGATGCCAACCAGACTCAGGACCCACACAAAAGAACGGACTCAACTGGTTCTGTGATCCCTACTCAGAAACTGACTCAGCACCTTAAGACAGCTTCAACACCCCTAAAATTTCATCCCCAATCAATCAGCAGCTCCCATTCCCTAGCCCCTTGCCCATCAAATTGCCCTTAAAAACCCTAGCCTCTGGTTCTTGGGGAGGCAGATTTCAGAATTATATCCAGTCACCCTTGTGCAGCCTCCCTGTGAATATTAAACTCTTTCTCTGCTGCAACACCTACTTTCCTCAGTGTATTGGCATTTTCTGGGCAGTGGGCAAGAAGAACCCAGTTAGATGATAACAAATGTATTAAGGATCTTCTTATCCAGGTATTATTAAAATTGTATCTCTTTTCTAAAATACAGGTCAGACAAAATAAATCATATAGCTACCTTATTTTTTACATTATAATCTAGCTAGTATTTGATGTCTAACATTAAACATATTTTATTAATTTATTTCAGAATTTAGACTGCTCCTAATACATTTTAGGTATTTAAAGGTAGTTTTGTAACTTAACTGAATTGAAAAGTTTTCTTAATGGTAATATAGTATAAGGCCATAAAGAAACATAAAATATTATAATAAAATATTACGCACATATATATTTCTTCACCAATAAAATCATCAAAATACTTCTGAATATAAAATATAGAATTTTTGCTGTGGTTACTCAGATTCTATTCAAAAAATCAGGTAATCAGCGTATATAAGCATTAAATTAAAAAAGAATGTATTTATAGAAGGAGAAAAAGATTAAAAGCAAGAAAACAGTGTACAAATCAATTCAAGATTATAAGAATTTGCTGCAAGGTTGTTTTGATTTCAGGATGAACTTTAAAACCAAGGCTTTATCTCAGTTGCCATGGTAAGTCAGTTTTTCTGTGCTGACATTGGTTTGCAATCTATGTCTTTCTGATTAACATTCTTGCTGCTAATATAAAAGAAGTCCAAAAAATTAACTTTTTGGAGTGAGAAAGAAAACTATTATTAGATGTCTCTAAATTGACTAGGATAAATTATACTTATTTTCTTCTCCAGGAATAAAACTTAACCCAATCAACTGGCTGCCAGCTCCCAACTTTCCAGTCTGTTTCAGTTAGCTTTGCTGCAAAAAAGCCATCCCAAAACTCAATCATGTAAAAAATAAACCATTTTATTCTTGTGTATCGTGTGGGTCAGACAGCATATGGTGGCCATAACTTGTCTCTTCGCAATGTCTGGGGACTCAGCTGGGAAAACACAAATGACAGAGAATGACTCATACCACTATGGGAGGGAATCATCTGGAAGCTTCTTGGTTTTCTTACCTGAAAAATTAAGCATTTGATCATGAATAAACTATGAATTCCCTTCTAATACTAGAAGTTTTTATTAAGGGGTTTTTCCTCTCTTACTGTCTGCTTTTTTGTTGTTACTGTTAATTGTTTGCTTCTTCGTTACTATTTTTATATAGCTTTACATATGGAAAGCTGGTAAGTTGAAACCATATTCTGAAATGAGTTCACCAACAGAAATGATGGTAGATGGAGATAGTCCCCAAGCTATCCTTATTTAATCCAGCTGTATGGTATTGCATTTCAGCTATTTTATGAGTTTGATGGTTTGTCCTAGTTCTTCCTTTTGGGGGTAGAGTGTGGAGGGGCATTCGTGGATTAAATTGAGAACCTACCCACAATTAGTAATATATGTCTTTGAGTAAATGTGCTTAAAGACAAAAATTGGGACACATGAAGCATGCAACCCAACTTCACAATCCCCAGACATACCTGCAGTGAGATTAGAAATCAGGTAAATTACATTTTTCTCTTGAAACAAGCAGAAAATGCTGGCTAACCAGTCAAAAGGAAAATCCTCATCCAAAAAGCCTTACTAGGAACCTAGTCCAAAGAAAGATAATTTTTAATCTCCAATAACTATTCCCCACCTCTGGCATGGCTGCTATTCGTGGGCAACCTGGCAAGTATGTGTACCTTTGGAAAATTAGGACTGTCCTATTGCCCATCACCACTGCAGACTGCCACTGACCAACTGCATGAACTTCCCTGCACATAATTAGGACAGTCCAGCTGCTGCCAAGTCTCTTTAGAGTCTGAAACACCAGTTAGAAATCACAATTGTGCCTTAAAATTTGAGTTTCTAGGAAAGAAGAGGTGGTGGTAGATGAAATGATGGTATATTTGGAGTTAATAAACCTATTCATGTATTTTCATTGCACTTGTAACCATAGACAGAGAGGCTGAATTGTACAAGACTGGACAAACAAAAATCATCTTGAGTTTCACAGATATAATAGGAAATGTGGTAACTTTACAGCAGGGAGCCAAGTAAAAGGCAGCCACAATTCTATTCACAATCTAAGGTAAGTGAGCCTTGGCTGTCAGAGTTAAGAGTTAATTTCTCAGGAAGTGGTATGGGGTGCTGTCTACCTTGGACTCCACCATATCCCTAGAACCTAGCTCGGTGCTCGGTACCCAGAGGATGCTCAATACATTTTTGTTGAATTGGGTGGACTTAAAAGGCAATGAAATGTATGCAGATCAGGGACATGGGAGAACTGAATTCTAAACTTAGCTATGCCAAAGTTTTTGAGGCTTTTTGTTAGTTTATCTATAAAATCATAAATGTGGAGTGGGGCTTTCCAATATATCTTTTAGTGCTAACTCATCTGACTCTGTGATTGCCGTATCTTTGAATTTTGGTCACAATTTGAGGGAAATTAAAGTACTGAAGATGATCCTCAATCCAATCACTCAGATTTCACAAAATTTAAGACAACCTAAGCTTGAGTCATGTGGGAGGAATGGCTACCATGAGCACTCTGTCACCATTCCCCATCACACACACTTGTACAAACTTAGCCTGCAAACTGGGTAAACCCAAAGGCCCTCCCTCTCTAGAGAAAGACATCAATGCTCTCCTTGCTGTTTTCAAAAGAAAACTGTGAGGTATATTTGTATTATTTCTTAAAATTCCTCCTTATAAGGGTAAATTTTTGCCAACACCATGAGAAACCCTGGGAGAAATCATCTAACCATCCAGTAGAACAGAGCCAGTTATTCTAGGCAAGCATAACCCTTAATTCTGCCTACCTTCCTGGTGAAATAGTTCCTTGGTCACCATTTATCTATCATTTATGCTTTCACCTCAGCATTAATATTAAAGTATAAAATATAAAGTATAAAGCAAGGTATCCTGTTATAATGTAAAATCACTATATCAGTATCTGACCTGTTTCTTGAATAGCAGTTGCATATATAATTTTTAAAATAAAATTATAGTGCTATGAAAACCACTGATGCATATCGAGTGTGTGGGCAATGTTGCATCAATGAACAAGAGAGTCAGAGACAATTTTCTGTACATCAAAATGTATATTGTCCTTCATACATTGTGAAGTTGCCACTGCAATGTGCCGACCCAGTGGGAACTATGTTTTCCCACCCTCTCTTACACTCAGGTGGCCATGTGAGTGGCTCTCATCTATGGAATATGAGTCCAAGTGCTATGTGTCACTTTTGGACAAGAGTTTCTAAGAAGTGAGTTTGCCTTCTCTGCCCTCTCGTATCCTCTTTAGCAGATAAATGCACAGGACACTGAGGGTTTAGAGATTACTAGTCCACAATATGAAAGAAATCTGGGTCTCTAAGTCACTGCAGGAGCATTTACACTACTGATTTGTTACACATTGAGATTCAACATCTATTCAACATCTATTATGTTTAGTCCTTGATATCTTAAGGTTTATTTGTTACAGCAGCTGGTACTACCCTAATAGACTAAAAAAGTGAATATAATTGCCTAGTCTCAATTTCCTCCCAGTGATGCAGAGACAATAGAAGCCACCTCAGAATACTGTTGTGAGAGTAAATGAGATAAGAAATACACACATAAGCAGTCAGTCTGGCTCTTGATGTTCTACAGGTACTCGTTAAATAATAAGTACAATGTCACTTGTACCTTAATTTTCCATCACTCCTCCCATCTAGGTGTAATGGTAATCCTTCAAAAAAGATTATAATTAATTTTGTAAAATAATAATAATGTTTAATTGCTGTGTTTGATCCCTTATCCCTTTCTTTTTGGACATTAGGAGAAAATGTTAATTGAATACAGCAGACCACCATTCACACATCCCCCCACCACACACAAACATGAACACACAAACAACAAAAACATAAAACCTTCCTTTCCGGCCAATAGTGTTTGCAACTGCCACAGGTCTGATTTGAAAGTGAGAGTGGAAGGATTAGAAAAAATAAACAACAGAATGCTCACACCTAATAACTCTTATTATTAGTTTCCCTCTCATTATTGCCACTCGAGGACACTTCAGCCTAAGGCTTCAGAATAAAACACACACACAAGCAAAAAACACACACAAAAAATAAAATTGCACACCACCACCAACAACTAAGGATTGTTTCCTTGTTTTGATCTTGATTGCTATAACTGCATCCATCTGTCTCAGCAGCTTCAATCAAGATAATGAATTTTGTGGAAAAATTGTTAAAATATAAATTCCTATGCTATTTTGAGAGAATGTATGCCCATGTAGAGTACTTATGAATTTTAAACTTATGCTGATTGCAAATTTCTCTTGCACTGTATGACCATTAGGATACATGTAATTTAGTTTTTAAATTGTTTTTTAAAAGTCCATTTTGTACCCAGGCAATACAGTCTCATAGATTAGCTGAAACACTGGGCATTGTCTTGTCAGTTCTTTGCTCAGTTTACACCACACCTGGAAGTCAACTGTCCCCTGCAGAGTTGGGTCATCCCCATAGGCATAATGGATTTGTCTGCTGTGATCAAGTCCCAAACATGTTTGGTCAGTCAAACTAAAACAGAAAGACAGTCTGTAAATTATGCACAGTGCTGATGCTTATGAGGCATTTTAGTTTTTTAAAAATTATGTGCTATTTTAATCTTGACTATGATATAAATAATACTAAATAATTTAGAAAGTATAAAAAAGAAAATTTCCCACTTCAATATTCAAAACCAACTACTGTCAGCAGGTTTGCATTATTCCTCACTACGTGTGTTTTGTCCAGACTATGTGCCACTTTTTACACTGTGACATATAAAGTCATAATTAGGTGTTCTCCAAAGATCACCTTAGCGGATGGTTTACAATTATTAGAAGAGTAAGAAATTTACTTTCCAGAGCCACTCTGTGTGCCACTAGCAGAACTGGTATTATAGAGCTCATGCTGTGTGGCTGAGGGTTTTTCTTTAAAAATAAATAAATAAATAAAACCCTTGCAATAAATATGTTGTATGTTCAGGCCCAGGAGCATGCTGGGTGAGGTCAATTTCTCAGGCTTTTCTCCCCATGGAAAACTACCAGATACCATCCCCAATGGAGTTACTGAAAAAGCCCATGTTTATATCCTCTCCCCAGACATCTTCCAAATGTTTGTGTGTGAAAGAAAATTTCCCAGCACAATTCTGCTTGTTTTCAGGTTCTGTCCTGATAAACAGAAGAAAATGATGCCTGTAACAATAACAAATGCCAGAGAAGGAGAAAAATTTTTGTCCCAAAGTCTCAGACTATGGTAGGTGATATCTTTGAAGGAACAGAGAGAGAACTCCTGGGAGTAGAAACTTAGGAACTTTCTGGATCATGTGGCAAGCCATTTATAACTAGGGGCATTGACTGAAAACCACTTAAAATATGTAAAATAAAACAGTATTAAAATCAAATCTTAAGTGATCACATTGTATAAGATTAATGAAATAATTGGGGGAAATCATTTGGGTAAAAAGAAGTTAAAAATTGAAGAACCCATGTATATCACTTTCCTGGGATGGCTGTAACAAAGTACCACAAACTGGGTGACTTAAATAACAGCAATTTATTGCCTTGGTTCTGGAGGCTGGAAATCAACACGTCGGCAGGGTTGGTTATTTCTGAGGGCTTTGAGGGAGAATCTGTTCCGAATAGTCCCGTCTCCCAGCTTCTGTCAACCTCAAGTTGGATTGTAGATGGCATTTTCCCTGTGTCGTCATGTCCTCTTCCTCTCCGTGTGTCTGTCTCTGTGTCTAAATTTCCCCGTTCCTTAAAGGTCAAAATCACACTGGATGAGGGCTAACTCTAATGACTTCATCGTAACTTGACTTTCTGCAAAGACCCTATTTCCAAATAAGGTCACATTCACAGACACTGGGGGGTTAGGACCATTTTTACACCTTTGAAAATCAGTAAAATAAAGTATATGCCTATGGCATTTTAATACCTGTTTTAAAATACTGTGCTATATCACACAACTAGCACACTGTCTATATCAGGTTTTTTATAATAATAATAACCAAAACCAATAAAAAGTCCCCAGAGGAACTTTAGGGGCATTAACCTAAGACATTTTCTGCTATTTTTATGTACTAGTTTCACCATCTATAAGACATGTTTGTTGACAATTATTAACTCAGAAAATTACACATATAACTTACAATAAAAGAGGTTTTTCTTTCCTTTCCTTTTAGTCAGTAAGCTGAATTTTTAGATTTTCTCTTTTTTTATGGATCAACTGGCAGCAATTTCTATATAGAGCTTTTTAAAATTCAGGGTCTATCTGCTGTCTTTATCTCAGCAATTATTTTACTAACACAAAGAAGTGAATTGCCAAGTGGTTTTAATTCTATTCTTGGATCTGGATGAACAGCACTATTCTATAAAGGCATTTTGATTTTGGCTTAGGACACACAATCTTGGAATGTGGCAGTCAATGTCACTGGTGCTCCAGAGATCTCAAACAGCACCTTTTACAACTTCTTCATTTTGCAGACCACTTGAACCCCCCATAAGAACCTAAGTCCCCACAAGAACATCAGGATTTAGAAAAGTCCTGAGATCTCTCTTCTACAAGACATGGAAAGCACATGTCAGCTGGGAGCAAGGAACTAAAATTTGCTGACATCATATACTCTGCCTAAAATCTAGAACTTCATACACTCTTCTCAGTTTATGTCAGAATAGGCTGTCAGACCCAAAGCAAAGTACAATTTTATGATTCGCCTTTATAAAGGTTCTGTGTTGTTTTTTTTTTAAACAACTTGTCTGAATGAACTTGCATCTTTCAAAGCTGGAATTATCTCAACTTTCTCATGAGCGGTAAGTTGTCAGAAAAAAATCACAAATCTTTTTTTGATGGGCTTGACAATTCTATTACTATTTTCCATGGGCTTTGCTGTTATTATGATATGATACAGGTGCAGGTACACATAGATATTTATGTGCATACAAGCCTCAACCAAGAAGAAGAAGAGATGGGATGGAAGGGAAGGGGAAGTGTGATGAGTAAAATTCTGAGAAGGTGGTCAAGATGTCCAGACTGGTGCATACTCTCGTGTAATCTCTTCTTCTGGAGTATGGGCAGGACCCACAAATGTGAAAGGATATCATTTTCATAATTAGGTTACTTTGTAAGGCAAAAGTGAAGATAATTTTGCAGAAGTAAATGAAATCCCTAATCTGTTGACTTTGACCAAATCAAAGGGAAGATTATTCTGGATGCCCCACCCTCAATATTTGAAGTACTAGACAGCTTCTCCTGCTGGCTTTGAAGGAGCAACTATTCTGTTGTACAGAGGGTCTGTGGCAGGAAATGGAGAGTGGCTGTTAGGAGCTAAAAATGACCCCCAGCCAACTGCCAGCACGAGAAGGGAGCCATCAGTTCTACAAATGTGAGGAAAGGATTTCTGCCAGCAAACTAAGAGCATAGAGAAAGACTCTGGGCCTGAGATCACACTGACCCCCATGCCAACACTTTGATTTTGACCTGGGAAACCCTGACCTGAGGACTCAGCTAATCTGTGGCTGTGATTTCCTGATCCCTGGAAACTGAAATACTAAATGTATGTTATTTGAAGCCCTTCAGTTTATGTGGCAATAAACAAGGAATACAGGAAGTCTTAGAGGAGAAAGATCCTGGAGAAGAATGGAAGGAAAATTCATTCAACAGATGAGGTTCACCTTTCTCATCCACTCTGTTTTAAGATTTCCCATTGTTTGGCAAACAATACTGACTGGGTCAGGAGGAACACACTTGGGTATCTGGAAATATGTTAGTATCTCTCTCCTTTTGTTCCAATGGCACTTTTTTTACAATGATGAATGTTACTATGGCAACATCACAAGATTCCAAATGATGTTTCTGATTCGTTGAAATAGTGAATTAAGGCATGTAGTGAGCAATGCTTAGGTTCAGTGAATGCTCCAGTCACTGGCTGCAATAAATCTGCCTCCATTGCTCCACCTGCTACCTAAAAACCTGTTGGTAAAAACTTCAAAATAGATGCAATAGTTTTTACACGTATAAAAGAGTCATATCCACCATAAGAAGTACAACTGTCTATATTACAGATACCTAATTACAATCACTGAAATAATTCTTCTTTAAGCTATCTTAAAACTTAACTCCAGTGAAACAGTTTCAATTATCTTTAGTTGACTATCAATACAGCAGCAAGAAAAGTCATTCAGGTATTTAGTCTTTAGCTTATTGTTTCCATTACACAACTGAGCACTTCTGTTAGGAGACTTATTTTAGCAAAACTAAAAAAATTGACTGAATCTAAAGGTTTTAAAAAGCTAAACAGAGCTCCCAAACAAGTGAGGTGTCATTTTGACAGACACCTGATCACAATTAAATAAGGACTTGATCCTTAAAATATTCCTAACCATTAGATTAAAAAGGAAGAACAATGCAGTAAAACCTCTGAGAGGCTTCTCATAACCTCTGAGTGCACATGTCATGATTTCTGGGAAAGCCATACATGTCCCCAGGCCCAGAGGGTGAACTGTAATCAGTCTAAGCCAGCAGTTAATCAGTCTTTACCTCAGCTGCATCTCTTGGAGAGCTCATTAACAACAGCTTGCAAAGCCCAGCTCCAAGAGTTTCTGACACAATAGGCTTGAGATGTAGTCTGAGAGCATGCATGTTTAACAAGTTCCTGGGTGATACTGATGGTACTGGCCCAGGGACTCAAATCTGAGAACCATTCCAACGATTTTTCCACCCAGTAAGTGATTCATTTAAATTGAGGCCTCTGATTCCTCTGAGCATTAAGGTGGCAAAGCACATCTTTCCAAATATTCAGAAAGATTTTCCAGGATGAGAACTGAGACATATGGCAGATTTCCTTTCTTTCTTGCTTCTGAACTTTGTGGACTTCATTTGATGCCCAGAACTTGGGCGTTTATCTATGGAAGAGTCAGGTTAAAAGAACAATTCAACAGCAGGTTGGAGAGGTAGAAAGAACCTGGATCATGAAGCTGTTGAACTGCTGAGCTGACCATCCCTACAACAGTCTACCTCTGAACTTGTTATTGTATGTGATTTATTGGCTTCATGCCACTGTTGATTCAGTTTTCTGTTACTCAGAGTCTAAATCTCCATAACAGAATCATCAAAAATTAGAATAATCTGTCATTAAAGCGTTTGGATTAAATAAGAAAAAAGTCATCATTAATTAGAATTGTTTATTATAAGCCCCACACATTATTCATGTCCTGGGTCCTACTGCCTTAGATATTTAAATAATCAATCTCCTGTTGTGAAAACTGATCAAAATTCAAACACTATTTTGATGAATTATGAGAACTGAAGGAAAGAGTGGAACAAAATAAAATTATTAAAACGTACAACTAAACTTAGAAATATATTTCAAAATATTAGTATTCCAGACATTTCTGAGTATATGCATTACTGTCACTAGTGGGAAGGCTAAAATGAATTAACTTATTAAAATTAAGGAATGTGACAGTTGGCTTGTAAAGAGTTTTTTATGTCATTTTACTTTTATTCAAGGTTAATTAACTGTTTTATTCAGGTGATTCAGAGGCTTCAGGCAGCCTATTTTGCAGAAGATTTAGCACCTGAGTGTTTGCCTGCCCTGCCCTCTCAAGAACCTAATCCTGCCAATGGAACAGCAGAACTCATCCTTTATGTCAAAATGGGTCTGGGCTTTCAGTTTCAAGTCCATGCTGGAGCTCCTGTTCTCATTAAGAATTCTTTGGGCTGTGTATTTCACAATGGGATATTTTGCTTTGTACATTTTGGTGAAGACCTCATCCTGAGGACTCCAGCTCCTCAGCCTAGTAACCCATAGAGTCATGGGTGAGTTTTGCAGGAACCAAGGACTTCTTAGGCTATCCCTGTGGTGGAGGTTTTCCAGGTCAAGGCATTGTAAGGGGGCTCCTCTTCCTTGAAACCCCTTTCCCAAAGTGACAGCAAACACCACATCCTTTGTTGAAATGCAGCTGTGGTGATCATTCTGCTCCCTGTTGCCATAGCACACAGCCACTGCCCAGCCCAGGCTGCCAACAGCTCTTGGGCCAGATCAGGCCAATGTCAGCTCCAGGCCAGCACCATGGCCAGCGCCAGCACGAGGCGGTGCATCCTGGGTAGCAGAGTCCTCAATGCTGCCTGGCACGCCTGTCATTTTGGCATCTCATTTGGAGCCTACTATGACAAGGCCTACCTTGCAATCCTAAGGCCCAGATATTTGTAAATGAAAATCCACCAGGAAATCAGTTTATTATTTTAATTCATCCAAAGTATATCAACCCCACCTGTGGGAAAGACCCTAGAAAGTTTATCATGAATCCTCTACTATAGGAAAAACAACAGGAACTTCATCTTGAGTTCTGTTCTAGGTAGTTTGGTCACTGTAATGCTAAAAGAACTTCATTACCAAGCAGCTCAGGGGCTTTCCAGGAGGTTTAGACATACTAATTAGTGTTCCCTTCTTCCTTCCTTCCTTCCCTCCCTCCCTCCCTTCTTTCCTTTCTTTCCCTCCCTCCTTCCTTCCTTCCTTCCTTCCTTCCTTCCTTCCTTCCTTCCTTCCTTCCTTCCTTTCTTTCTTCCTTTCTTTCTTATTTTTTGTGAAGAAAGTAGTTTAGTTATCCTGTCTAGAATTGTCAAAAATGATGTCAAGGCCAGGTGCTGTGGCTCATGCCTTGTAATCCTAGCACTTTGGGAGGTCGAGACAGGAGAGTTACTTGAGCCCAGAAGTTTGAGACCAGCCTGGGCAACATAGCAAGACCCCAGCTTTACAAGAAAATTAATGGTGACAAATATACCTATGTAGAGTCAGAGAGATGGAGGAGTTGATCTGCTGAGATACATTTAAATAAGTTCCATCACTTTAAGAAAACACTTTATTCTGAAGTCTTTTCAAAGGCAAAGTTCTCTTTTGATCTCTGTGTGTCACTGCCTCTTTGTTCTCTATTGCAAGTTATTTTCACAGAATTTCTTTGGCCATAAACAGAAGAACTGTATATACTTATAAAGTACAAAGAAATTTTGGTTAATTGGTATAAAAAATAGTTATAATGAATAAATAAGACCTATATTTGCTAGCACAACAGAATGACTATAATAAAAACTAATTTAATTGTACATTTTAAAATAATTAAAGGAGTATAATTGGATTGTTTGAAACACAAAGAATAAATGCTTGAGGGGATGAATACACTATTTATCCTGATGTGATTATCATGCATTCCATGCCTGTATAAAAATATCTTATGTACCCCATAAATATATACACTTACTATGTACCCATAAAAATTAAAAACTAAAAAAAGAAGTCATTTGAAACGTGGTTTTCAAACTGTTGCTCTACAAAAGAATTTAGGCACTACCAAAAGAATAAAGAATAAAGCATCTTCCACCAAATTATGACTATCTAAACTGCCTGAGAAACCTACTCAGTGAGCCTACTATATGTATATACTACTATTACCATAATATTTTATTGTGTGTGCTTTTTCTTTAAAAAAAGTCTACTGTTAAGTAATGAAAATGCAGCACCAAAGTTGATAGAATATCAGGCAATGTAAAAGTTTTAGAAATAAATTTACTTTTATTCATTGCTTCTCTAGACTCTAATGTTTAAGTTTTTCAGAATGTGTCTTATTTCCAATTCGTACTTGTGCCCCTTCTTCCAGTAACTTTGAAAAGTTTTGATCACTTATTCTCCTTTGAAAAAAATCCATGAGATGTGCATTTTTAAGTTAATTTGTCTTTAAATAAAATGTATGTTTTATTTTAGAATACTCAGAATATTAGAAAATAAGTGGAAGAAAATATAAAAGAAAACCATTTATAGCCTCAATATCCCAAAATAGCCAACACTAATTTATATTTTGATAAATTACCTCAAAGCCTTTTTTTTTTGAGTTGGAGTCTTGCTCTCTCACCCAGGCTGGAGAGCAATGGCGGGATCTCGGCTCACTGCAAGCTCCGCCTCCTGGGTTGAGGCCATTCTCCTGCCTCAGCCTCCCGAGTAGCTGGGACTACAGGCACCACCACGTCCGGCTAATTTTTTTGTATTTTTAGTAGAGACAGGGTTTCACCATGTTAGCCAGGATGTTCTTGATCTCCTGACCTCGTGATCCACCCGCCTCGGCTTCCCAAAGTGCCGGGATTACAGGCGTGAGCCAGCCCACCTGGCCACCTCAAAGCCTTTTTCTGCTGATTTTAATCTCTTCATTTTTCCAAATTTATCAATTTAGGTTCATTCTCTGGTAATGGTTTCTCACCATCCCTAGCTGTTTTTTCTATGTCTGACTATTGACCATTGGTAGTCTTCAGCTTCTGACTTTAAACCTCTTGTAGTCTCACGTAGTACACCCTCAGGTTAATATGATCAATGAGCTGATAAATCCCAAATAAATATCTTCATTTACATAACATTTTAATCATTACATCCATTTTTCTATTTGCTTACTACATAGCTCCACCCAAGTGTCTTCAAACAGAAACATCCAAGCTTGCCCTTTCTTCTCTGCTCTTCTAAGATAACTTTGGTTGCAAATAAGAAAAAAAAAATCAAACTTGTGGATCCAGGATAGGATCAGAAACTCCAGTACTGTTACTAAGTTGGCCTGATCTTGCTCTACCTCTCAGTTCTGCTAGTTCCATTTTATTTTATTTTATTTTATTATTTCTTAAGTTTTACCTTTGTACAGATTGTCATTTGTGGTTACTAATGGCTGCCACCATCTTTCTCCACCACGTGCATCGGGGTCCTAGTCAAGCAGAAAATCTAGGGCAAAGCTGTGCTGCTATGATGGAGGTGATTTTCCCAGCATCCTCAGCAGCTCTGAGAGGCATTCGACTGGACTGGCCTAGGTCCCATGTCTAACACTGAGCCAATCACATTGGCCAGAGGAATCCAATGGGCTGCTCTGTTCTCCTTAGGCCTGGCCTCACCCTTTTCAGGGGTCTTGGATACCTTCTCATGGACTGAAAGTGGGGAGGGAGAGACAAAACCCAGATGGAAATCAAGCAGATGTTGAACAGGAACAAATACCATTTCCCTCTCTTCTTTAAGTTAATGGCACTCGATCGCTCAATTCTAAAAACTGACATGATGTGAAATGCCTAAGTCTTTCTCCCCATTGTGGCCACATGGTCAACAACTCTTTCATTTCTACTCCTGCAATATCATATAAAGTCATTCCCTTTCTGCATTCCCATGGCTGTCTCACACCTGGCTTTCACAGGTCTTCACAACTGATTCTTCCTGCAGCTGGCGGATAACCCCAGCATTCACTGGGCCTCCCGAGTGATGTATCTAAGTGTAAGTATGATTCTGCACTTCCGCGCTGAGTGGCTCCCATTGCTTTCCAGACAAGTGCAGCGCCTCAGTGCTTCCCTTCAGGGTGCGTGTCCTCATCCAGTTTTGCAGCACCACTTTGATCAGATTCCTTCACATACACTTTGTTACAGGTACATTGGCTGATTTTGAGTGCCCCAAACAGGACATTGTCTCCTATGCCTTTCTCCATAGCAGCGCCTGTTTTCTCTCCTAGAATATCTTTCTTTCCTAGCTCCCTGCTTTCTACCATTTCTCACCAGCAGTTGAGACAAGCTAATTCCCACTGTATTTGTTTCCTGTTCCTGCTGTAGTAAATTACTATAAACTTAGTGGCTTGAAACAGCACAAACTTATCCTCTGACAATTCTGGATGACAGAAGTTTCAAATGAGCCTTATGGAGCTAAAATCAAGGTGTCAGCAGAGCTTCGTTCTTCCTCGAGACTCTAGGAGAGACTCTGTTCCTTGCTTTTCCAGATTCTAGAGAGCGTCTGCCTTCTCATGGCATCCTTTCATCTGCAATGTCAGCAATAGCATCACTCTGCTTCTGCTTCCATCATCACACTTGCTTATTTTTTACTTTTCTATTTGTAATTTTTATGGGTACATAATACTACGTATTTATGGGGTTCATGTGAAATATTGATACAAGCATACAATGTGCAGTGATCAAATTAGGGTAATTGGGTATCCATTACCTCAAGCATGTATCATTTCTTTGTGTAACAAACATTCCAATTCCACTCTTCTAGTTATTTTGAAATATACAATAAATTCTTTTTAGCCATAGTCATACCTTATTGTACCACTGAGCACTAGATCTTATTCCATCTGTGTGACTGGATTTTGGATCTATTCACCAACTGCTCTTTATTCCTGCCCACCTCCTCCACCCTTCCCAGCCTCTGGTAACCATCATTCTACTCTCTGTGTCCGTGAGATCAACATTTGTAGCTCCCACATGTGAGTGAGAATATGCAATATCTGACTTTCTGCATCCCATCTGCATCGACTCTCCTGCCACCCTCTTTTCCTTTTGAGGATCCTTGTGATTACCTTGGATCCATCCAGATCATTCAAGATGATTTCCTCCATCTCAATATCCTTAACTTAATAATTTCTACAAAGTCCATTTTGCAAAGGAACATATTCACAGGTTCCTGAGATTAGGACATGATCATTTTTGAGGGATCATTATTCTTTCTACTATACCCATGTATCTTTTAAGAACCAGCTGCAGCATGACCTGCATCTACAAATATGTTCCGACCTCAGGTCTATTTTGAGTTTCCTCTGGTTACTTGCTTACCACTCTGCATTCCTCTACTCAAGCCCTCAACACACACTGTCTTTTACTCTAGTGATAATGCCCAACTCTGTGTTTGGCACAAACAAGGAAATTAATACATGTATTATAATTCTACAGTCCTCTGACCACCAACCTAAAAGATCAATAATTTTTAACTAATTCCTGTGTCCCAAGTTAATCTTAATGTGGGCAGTGTGAGTTACAGTTAAATTATTTTATATTCGAATGGCATTTGGACAAAGTTCACTTTACTTTTTACTAAATTTCAAACACACAAATTTGATTTCTGACTTTCAGTATTTCATATGATATTTCATGTCAACAAAGAAACAGAAACACTAAATCTTTAAACAAAGCTTAAAGTTACTTCTTGCTTTCATCTGTTCTGACAGTTATCACTAGTTCCAAGTGCTTCCTAGGAAAGATGTTCTAGGAAAAACAACTAAAGAAATGGTGGAAAGTACACAGTAATCCAACTCATAAATATGTGTATGACAGGAGTGTGCCTTGGCTTCAATACTCTCCAACATTGACTCAAATGTTCCTTCTTCATCCCCTCTTAGAGCCCTGTTTTGCCATCTAACAGAGTTACTTCTCAACTCTTGAAGCACCCGTGGATCTAGAGATGCAATGGTTGTCATGCGAATAACTGTGTGAGGCCTGTGGCGAAATGACACGTAAGAAACCCAATCACCACCCCTATCTCCTCTCTCTCATTGGAAGCTTTGAAGCAATCTCAATCACATAAGGTGTAACATGGTCATAATTCAGAGGGGAATACTTAAAGATTAATGAACTACTTGTCAAATGATAGAAAAATCAGTCCAGAGGAATTGTCCGTAGATGGTTTTCAGTAAGAAAGATGTTGCATCCCCAGGAGGTTGTTGAAGAGGAAATCTGACAAACATGTGTAAGAGGACTGTGCAGATGGTCCTCATGATATTTCAGTGGAAATAATGTTTCATTATATTAAAAGACTTAGTGTGAGTAACAGTGAAAACATCACGGGTCAGATTTCTCTAGTGACACAGTCCACAAAAGAGAAAGTGGTCCTGTTGTGAGTGGATGTGTTTTTCTAATTAACCTGCTTAGAATTGCTCATCACGACAGCAAGCAAATACCTGAAATTCTTCGTTCCTGATTGTGATCATAGAACATTTACGTATGGTTGTCAGCTATATTTTTATGTTGCCTAATGTCTACTTCCATAGCAAACAGCAGATGTCTTGGTCTAGTTCTTATTTGCACCACTCATCATAGTAGCCAAGTATATATCTGTCTAATGATATGTGTCTGTTTGTGTGTGTGTGTGTGTGTGTGTGTGTGTGTGTGTAGTCATAGTAGTAGTAGTAGTGCTTTGGTTTCAGCTCATGGGCAATAAAATAATACTTTTATTGACCAGGGTACTGACCCATATATGCTATCTCTTTCAGTCATACACTTTGATTCCATAGATTAATAGAAAACAGGAACATCACTTCATACTCCATAAATTTATACAATTATAAATTGTCAGTTTATGAGAAAAACAGGATTTTTCTGAAAAGCTATCATTTTATAAATTATATAACACATACAAATCGCAGTCAATTAGAACTGAACTACACAGTTTCAGGTAAAACTAACCCTCCCTATAAATCTGTCTTCTTAAGTTCACTGGCTGCTAACCAACCATATGGCCTTCTTTCTCACTCTGAAATCATTTAGCATTTATAGAGAAGACAACTGAGTATCTGTCCATCCCAATCACCTGCAAAAGATACTCATCAGATTGTGATTTTTACCTGTGATTTTCACTATGGAAGATTATAATTAGGAAAGGTTTTGCTTGTTTGTTTGTTCATTTGTTTGTTTTGATTGGAATGTCATTTGGTGTTAGAAAAAAATGAAGTGTGAGAGTATTTGATTTGCATTTAATATTTAGCATGTAGTTTGACATGCTGCCTTTTACTTCTACCTTAACTTTGATCACAACCATGCGGAATTTATTTTGGATACATAATACAAGGCTGGTTGAACATTTGAAAACTATACAATAAAATCCATCATAATTATAGGAATTGAGACCAAAAAGGCATTCGACAAAACTCAACACCTATTCATGATTAAAATCTCTCAGCAAATGAGGAATATAGGGAAACTTCTACAACTTGCTAAAGAACATCTACAAAAACCCTACAGCTAACATTGTACTTAACTGTGAGGAACTGGATGCTTTCTTCCTAATGTAGGGAACAAGGGAAGGGTCTCCCTTCCTATTTGACATCACATTGGAAGTCATAACTACTGTAGTAAGATTTTTAAAAAGAAATAAAAAGTATACAGATGGGGAAGAAATCTATCCTTTTTGGTAGATGGCATCATTCTTTGTGTAGAAACTCTCAAAGAACAGATCAAAAAATAATCCTGAAACTAATAAGTAAATATAGCAAGGTTGTAGAATACAATGCTTTCCTATATGCCAGAAGTGATCAACTGAAATTCAGAAATAAAAACACAATCTCATTACCAAAAAGGAAAAGAATTAAGTTCATAGGTAGAAACCTAACAAAATATACACTAGGTCTATTAATAAAAGGTTACAAAACTTTGAAAAAAGAAATCAAAGAAGATCTAAATAAATGTAAAGTTACTCAGTGTTCATGGAAGGGAAGACTTAGTATTTTCAAGATGTCATTTATTCCCAAATTGATATATGGATTCAACATAACCATCAAGAGTCCAGAAAGGTGTTTTATAGATATTGGCAAACTGATTTTAAAGCTTATATGGAAAACAAAAGAGCTAGAATGGCCAAACACCATACTAAAAATGAAAAAAGTTGTACTCACGTTACTCAATTTCAAACCTTACTATAAACTTACAATAATCAAGACAATGTGATATTGGCAAAAGAATAGACACATAGATCAATTTTAAAAATAAAGAGCCCTGCAATGAACATAGGCGTGAATGTATATTTGCAATAGAACAATTTATATTCCTTTGGGTATATACCCAGTAATGGGATTGCTAGGTGAAATGGTATTTCTGGTTCTAGATCTTTGAGGAATCATCAGACCATCTTCCACAACTGTTGAACTAATTTACATTCTCAACAACAGTGTAAAAGCATTTCTATTTTTCTGCAACCTCACTAGTATCTGTTGTTTCTTGACTTAAGCCATTATCCTCAGCAAACTAATGCAGGAACAGAAAACCAAACACAACATGTTCTCTCTTATAAATGGGAGCTGAACAATGAGAACATGTGGACACGGGGAGGGGAACAACACACACTGGGGCCTGTGGGGGGATGGGTTGAGTGGGGAGGGAGAGCATTAGGAAAAATAGCTAATGCATCCTGGGCTTAATACATAGGTGATGGGTTGCTAGGCGCAGCAAACCACCATGGCACACTTTTACCTATATAACAAACCTGCGCATCCTGCACATGTACACCAGAACTAAAAATATTTTTTTTTAAAAAAGAGCCCAAATAAAGAACCACACAAATATAATTAGTAAAACTTGGACAAATGAACAAAGGCAATTCAATGAAGAAAAAGTATATTTTTCAACAAATGTTATTAGAACTACTAGATATCCTTATGCAAATAATGAACCCAGAAAAAGAAAGACCCTATGACTTTTACTTAAATTAACTCAAAATGGACCAAAGACCTGAATGTAAAATGTAAAACTATAAAATTTTTTGAAGAAAACACAGAAGAAAAATCTGTATGACCTAAGTTTGATGATAAGTTTATAAATGCAAAACCAAAAATATAATTCATGAAAGAAAAAACTGATAAATTGTATTAAAATTTAAAACTTTTAATCTGCAAAAGACACTCTTAATAGGCTGGAAAGACAAGCTATAAACTGGGAAACAAAAATTGCAAAACATATCTGTAACAAACCTATCCGAAATATAAAAAGAGCTCTCAAAACTCAACAATAAGAAAAACAACAACCCAATTAAATAATGAGCAAAATATTTGAACAGACACCTCACCGAGGAAGATACACAGGTGGTGAACAAGCATACAAAAAGATGCTCAACATCATTTGTAATTACGAAATCAAAAATTAAGGCAAAAATGAGATGCCATTAACTAAACATCACCTATTATTATCGCTAATTTTTTTTAAATAACAACACTAATTGCTGACAAGAATATAGGGAAAAAGGAACTCTTATTCATTTCTTGTGGGAATGCAAAATGGTACTTCAGAAGACAGTTTGGCAGTTTCTTACAAAGCTAAACGTGGTATTAACATATGACCTAGTAATCGCACTCCTAGATTTTTACCCAAATGAATCAAAAGCTTATGTCCACACGAAAACCTGCACATAAATGTTTATAACAACTTTATTAATGATCACCAAAAACTGGAATCAAACAAAATGTACTTTAATAGGTGAATGAAATAAACTGATACATCTGTACAATGGAGTATTATTCATATGACACATAAATCTTAAATGCATATTGCTAAGTGAAATAAGTCAGTCTAAAAAGTCTACATACTACTGTGTGATTCCAATTACATGACATTCTGGAAAAGGTAAAACTGTAGGGATTTTCAGAGATTTGGAAGGATAGGGGAGAGTTGAATGGGTGAGCAGAGGGAAATTTTTTAGGGTGGTGAATGGATTACTATGATGCTACAATCATGCATTCATGGTGCTACACATTTGTCAAAATCCATAGACTTTAACAGTGCAAAGAGTGAACCTTAGTTTATGCAAATTTTAAAAATATCTTTTAGAAAGTGGGGGTATATCAGGATGGAATGAAGAATGTGACAAAATAACTCTATCAAAAATACATAAAACCACTTTATTCATTGAGGTGAGTTCAAAAGGTGCTGACCTAAGTAACATCGGAAAAGAGTGAGGTCTGTAAAACCTAAAGACAAAGGAAACTGCAGGTAAACACCACACTCTAATTGACAAAGCTTTTTTCCAATTGCAGGGTACAGATTCATAACACTAATAATGCTATATGTTTTTACTGGAATTGAAAAATTAAGCACATGGGTGGCAGATGGTGAGACCCAGGTCTCTCACTATTGAAGTGGGAACTTACAGACAGACCAGAGGAAGAGGATACAGTGATCTATGTGGTAATAAATTAGAGCTTAAACTCATGTTTAGCTTAATAAAGGTACAGATTGTTAAACATGGAAGTCCTTATAGAGATGTGTGTATAAATGGACTGGTATACATGTATTTCCTTGTTCTGTTCAGCTAGGAAGGCCTAGAAGCAAGACACCTCAAGGAGCAGTGAGCACACCTACTGCCCAGATATTGGTTTCTAATCCCATTCACCAATGAAAGGAACCAGGAACCCTTAGGAAAAATAGCTGATTCAACTAATAGGATAGAAATATACAAGATGAGCCTGAATCATCTTATAGTGATGGAAAGTAGGGAAGTGCTAAGCTATATATGTGTGTGTATATATATATATATATATATATATATACACACATACATACACACACATACACAAAATGGCCAAAGCTAAAACAACTTGAGCAACAAAACAAAATAGTATTAGTTTATAATCCAAAGAATAAAGTGAATGTCCATGAGAAACCTCAGAAACACTACCTTTAGTTAGATGATCCAAGTTAACATCAACAGTGGTAAGTGATATTGAGAGTATGCACTGTTGGTATGATGTGCTAAAAAATGGCACTTTACCTGTATTGTCTTCTCCAAAAAAACACCACACAATCCAAGTCGAATTACAAGAAAAACTTCACACAAATCCCAACAATTAATAATGTAGATTATAATAAGTAGAATAGTGGAACATTCTGCAACATAACTAGCCCAAACTCAAAACTTTCAAGGTTATTGTTATGGTTAGGCTTTGTGTCCCCACTCAAACCTCATCTAGAATTGTAATCCCCATAATCTCCATGTGTCAAGGGAGAGACAAGGTGGAAGTAATTGAATCATAGGGGTGGTTTCCCATGCTGTTCTCTTGCAAGTGAGTGTGTTCTTACAAGATGTGATGGTTTTATAAGGATCTCTTGCCCCTTCACTTGGCACTTCTCCTTCCTGCCGCCTTGTGAAGCAGGTGCCTTGCTTCCCCTTTGCCTTCTGCCATGATTGCATGTTTCCTGAAACCTCCCCAGCCTTGCTGAGCTGTGACTCAATTAAACCTCTTTCCTTTATAGGTTACCTAGTCCCAGGTAGTTGTTTATAGCAGTATGAAGATGGACTAATACAGTTATCAAGAGCAGGTAAAGTCTCAGAAACTTTCTCAGCCAAGAAAAACTTAAGGAGACAGGATAACTAAGTGTAACTTATATTGGGTGGGATTCTGGTATGGAAAATGGATATTAGGGGAAACATTAAGAAAATCAGAATAAAGTAGGACTTCAATTGGTAGTAACATATCAATATTGGTTCATTAATAAGAAAAATTTACCAAACTAATATAACATATTAAGAATAAGAGAAACTGGGTGTAGGGTATATGAGAACTCTATAAACCCTTTAAAATTTTTATGTAAAACCAAAATTGGTCTAAAATTAAAAGTTTATTTTTTAAAATAGCACTAAAATTGATAAAAAAATATATTTTACTCTCCATCTTATGCTATTTGATATAGTTTGGCTGTGTCCCCACCCAAATCTCATCTTGAATTCCCACGTATTGTGGGAGGGACCTGGTGGGAGGTAATTGAATCATGGTGGCAAGTCTTTCCCGCGCTGTTCTGGTGATAGTGAATAAGTCTCATAAGATCTAATGGTTTTAAAAAGAGGAGTTTCCCTGCACAAGTTCTCTCTCTTTGCCTGCTGCCATCCATGTAAGAGAAGACTCGTTCCTCCTTGCCTTCCTCTATGGTTGTGAGGCTTCCTCAGCCACATGGAATTATAAGTCCAATTAAACCTCTTTCTTTTTTAAATTGCGCAGTTTCATATATGTCTTTATCAGCAGCATGAAAATGGACTAATACACTATTCTTTTCAATTGGTTCCAACTCAGGTGTTTTATCTACCCCCACTATTCACCATCAAACCCCAACACTCATCTCTACAATGGGGTCTATTTTTGTCTTTGGTGCCTATGATTGAGGAGAAGGTGCATTTCTTAGGACTGGCTTCTGAGGTACTACCATTCCAGAGATGTTTCCTAGAGCTCAAGGAAGTGAATATGCCTTTGTGTTGAAACTTAGGGCACTACTTGCATTCTTAGTTAAACCAGGAACAGTAAATCAACAAATTTTAGTTATCAAACTATAAATTAAAATGGAATATACAAAAAGTTAATATAGAATACAGAAACTTGGCCAGGCACGGTGGCTCATGCCTGTAATCCCAGCACTTTGGAAGACTGGGAGGGGCAGGTCACTTGAGGCCAGGAGTTCAAACAAGCATGGCCAACATGTGAAACCACATCTCTACTAAAAAAAAAATAATAATACAAAAATTATCCAGGCATGGTGGCATGTGTTTGTAATCCTAGCTACTCAGGAGACTGAGGCAGGAGAATCACTTGAACCTGGAAGGCAGAGGTTGCAGTGAGCCAAGATCATGCCACCGCACTCCAGCCTGGATGACAGAGCAAGAATCCATCTCAAAAAAAAAAAAAAAAAGGAATAAAGAAATTTGGTTTTTCTGAAACATTTCAGTTCATTTATCATTCTAATAATTCTTGTGTTCCATTTTAAGGGACTAGACAAAAAAGCTGAAATTTTAATCACCACTCTATTTTGATACAAATATTTATGACACTATGGTTTATTCAGTGGGTATCTAAGTTTTTTAAAAGAAATGTTTCAACAAATTTCTATTACTTACCTCATTTTAATATCTGAAATTTCTTGTAGTTCATTAAAGTTAAGTCAATGTGCCTGTGGTACCACTTTATGTTTATGAACAATATGAACATGCCCAACTGCAAAAATTGTGTAAGCCACTTGATGCTGAGTTTGTGGTTGATGACATTGGATTTTCTTATAACAATCAATGACATGAAAGATATTCCTCAAGCTCAGTGGAGAGGAAATTCTGAAAAATTCTCCTATTTCATGCTATTATTAGGCTTATAACATCCTTTCTTTACACAAGTTCTGTTGTTATATCTGTCATATCTTTCCTTGACTTGCATGGCTGATTTTTTGGAAGAAAAAATATTCATTAAAAATGCATCTAAATGACATATCCTAAGCTAGAAAAACTACATCATTTTCTCTCAGATCTAGAGACTAGCACAATTGCTGTTTATTTCTTGCTTTAAAAGACTCTCATTACTATGGACAGCCATGTGTCAGTTAGAACATTTGTTGAGAATCACTGGTAAGAAATCATCTAAGCTGTTGACTAAATGCTGATTCATTTGTTACTCAGCTGCAAAGGAATCACAGCCAACTGGTGATTATTCAGCTCTTTAGTTTAGCAAATACCTGAGCACCTACTTCTGTACCACGTGCTCTCACTATATCAGAGAGCAGAGGTCAGCAACGGTCTTTGCTAAAGGGACAGACAGAAAATATTTCAGGCTTTGCGGGCCATAAAAAAAAAAATCTGTCACAATTGCTCAACTCTGTTGCATCATAAAAGCAGCTAGAGAAAATATGTAAAACAATGGATGTGGCTGTATTGCAATAAAACTGTATTTACATCAGGCCTGATTTGGCCTGTGAGCTCTAGTTTGCCAGTTGCCCTCATGGAACAGGGAGAATGGGACAGAGAATTGGGATGGCAGAAACTGCTTACTCTTTGAAGTCTACAATGTACTTTGTTTCTTTCTCTGCCTGGAAAACTCCTTTTCATTTTTCCATGCTAGCTCACATATTCTTTTCTTCCATGAAGTTATTCTCAGATTCACCAGATAGTTTTCTGGATTTTCACTGTACTATTATGACTACTAATTTTCAAATCTGCTATTCTTGCTAAACAATGGGCTCCTTGGGAAAAAAAGCACCTCTTTGACCCAATTAAAGGCATATTGTATACAATATGGCCAGTTCCCTTGGAGTTGAGCAACTTGGTGGCCCTTTTTGGGGACAGGAAAAATATCTCATCTCTGTATCCTCATCATAGTAGAGTGTCATCATTTAATGAACAAATAAATATAAGGAAGAAAGTGATAAGAAAAATAAACAACATGTTCCATGAACTCAGAAGAATTAGAGAACGCCTTCAACTGGAGAAATGAGAGAAAGGTATACAGAAGTCTGAGTGAGGATATGTAAAGCAGGAAATAGCATCTATTGTAGACCCTGTGTATAGCAGGCAGCCTCCAGCATGGCCTACAATGATCCTTGCCTCTGGATATTCATGCCCTGTGCATTCTTCTCATGCTTTTTGGCTGAATATAATGACATAATTACTTACTCAGAATGAATAACATAGATGTGGTGAAAGATCTCTTCCAAGATTAGATTTAAAAGATACTGTGACATCTGCTTTGATCACTCTCTCCCTCAATCACTCTGAGAGAAACCAGGTGACACATTGTGGGCTGTCTCATGGAAGGGCCTTATGTAAAGGAACTGATGTCTCCAGTGTCAGCCAATCTCCAGCCAGGACCTGAGGCCTTGCAGCAGTCACAGAAGGGAGCTTGGAAATGGAGCCTTTATGAGTCCAACCTCAAGATGATAGAAGCTCCAGCAGATACCTGGATTGCAACCCTGTGAGACACTCTGAGCTAGAAACACCCAGCTGTCCTGCTCTGGGTTTCTGACTCAAAGAAACTCTGAGGTAATAAATGGGTGTTCTTTTAAGCTGCTAAATTTTGAGGTAATTTGCTACACAGCAATAGATAACTAATACATGATGTTAAGTATTTTAGATACATTTTCCCATTAAATCCTCACAATAAACTTACATAGTACACAATTAGTCAATTCTACTGATGCTATGGTTTGGATGTGGTTTATCCCTGCCAAAACTCATGTTGAAATTTGATCACCTGTATGGCAGTGTTGGGAGGTAGGACCCAGTGGAAGGTGTTTGGGTCATGGAATGGATGGATCCTTCATAAATCCTTCTTATGGGAGAGTTCTTACTCTTACAGGACTGGATTAGTTCCTATGAGAGCAAGGTGTTACAAAGAGTCTGGATTCCTTGGTTTCTCTCTTCTGCTTCCTCTCTCTCCATGTGATCTCTGTGCACATGCCTGCTCCCCTTTCACATTCTGCCATGAGTTGAAACAGCATGAGGCCCTCACCAGATGCAGCTGCCCAATCTTGGACTTTGCATCCAACAGAATTATAAGCAAATAAGCCTATGTTTTTTATAAACTACCCAGCCTGAGATATTTTGTTTTAGCAACACGAGATGAACTGGGACCTCTGATAAGGAAATAAAGGCTCTGGAGACTATAGAGTCTGTCCAAAAATGCCTGGTTAGTAAGTAGCAAACATGCTATTCAAATCTTTGCTCTTTCAGTCACCACACACCAGGATAGGCATGAAATAAGTGAAAAAATGAGGCTAGAGAAAGAGATTGCCCTAAAAGTCACCATGCAAAGTCTGCTCTATTTCAGGAGACCCTGAAAAAACATCAGTGATTTTGTCCAGTTCACCATACAAGCAAGACCTATATAGCATGTCATCATGAAATCAACTTTTTTAAGGAGTCTCTCACTATCTCTTTAAATCTGCTCAGTAAGACTATCCTCCTTCTCTGGAAAAAAAATGCTGAGTCTCATTTTTGGTCAATCTTAATTGATAGAAATGGTTACTTTGTCCCAGATATAATCTTAATTCAGTGATTAAGTTTATCAGATTTAATACACTGGTCAATCCTTCAACCCTCATTCAGATGTAATGCCTTGCCCTTCTTTCAGCAGCAGATGGGCTACTGGGTGCCTGCAGGCAGCATGCAACTGACCTTTTATTTCTACCTCATGATGAACAGCTGTCTCACTTGCCAGCTGGTATTTCTTGTCCACCAGGATTGAAGCGGGTAGCAGTGGGAAGGAAGAACATGGTGGTTGGAAAAACTCATCCTGTCTAATACTGTTGTGAGAAGGTTTCGTAATTTCTGGACCTAGAAACTACTTGAAGTTGACTTCTCACATACTTTCTTCAGAGTCTCCTGTGCCCCCACCCACTCCCGACTGCCTGCAACAACCTTGACAGAACCTGGATCTTGCCTTCAACCAGCCTCTCCTCATCCCCAGTCAGCTTTTATCCCTAGCAGTGTTCTTCACACAACTTTACTTGGGTCCCTCCACTCCAACATCTGCTCTCTGGAGCGGAATCCCCTTTCAAATCATCCCAGACTCATGTTCCTGCTGAAGGGGCTGTGCATTGGCATCCTTGGTGTAGCCCTTTACTAGGTTGCAAAACACTGCCTCAGCTTCCTCTTGCAGGAGCTAGGGATCATCCTGAAGTATCCTTCAACTTCAGGGAACATGTAGTTCCCCCCATTGAAGCACCCCTGTTTAGTCTTGAAGATCCACCCATCTCCGCTGATTGCCAGTGGGTAGGGCTCACAGCACAGCTCTTTCCAATAATATCCTCAAAATCATCTCCCAACTTCAATCTCCCAACTCACCAAAACATTCCTTATGGGTGGGGAATATCAGATTTATGAAGCTGACTCTCAGATATCTCCTTTGAAAATCTGTTTCTAGTCTAGTATATTGCTGAAATTTCAACTTTAACATCGAGTTATAGCACAAGCAGAGTTTTGCTTTAGGGGGATTCATCTCGTGTATGTGGGTGAAATTGAAGTTGGAAGGCACTGAGGGAGGGAGACAAAATAAGCAGCTATTGAAAAATCTAAGCTACAGACAACTCAGGGCTGAACTAGGGTAGTTGTAGTGGGAATGAGTATAGAAAGCTTGTTTCAAGAGTCATGGATGAGGTAGATCAGTAGGAACTGAATTAATGTGAATAGAAAGAGGGGCTTGAGAGCTGGAAGGAAAGTTTGGTCAATAATAGAAACCAGAATTCAGAAGGAGTGTATTTGAAGGGATAAATAGGCTGATCAATCATGTCGATCTTTAAGCACTCTTGCCAATATGAGGTGAAGATAAACATCAGTGAATTAGAAAATGGGCCTTAGAATTCATTAAAATAGCAAAATCATCTGCATGGAGGTAATTATTGAACCCCTAGCAGTCACAAGATTAATGTTACAAAGTAGGTAACAGTAGAAAATGACTAAGAAAGGGAGAAAATGTTCTTTCTCTTTGAGATAACAAGAATTCTCAGAAAAGTGAAAACCCAGGAAGAAAGCAGGGCTTTAATGGAGAGGTAGTCATTAGAGTCAAAAGCTAAAGACAGGTTAAGGAAAAAAACCTCCTGAATATAGCCCTCAGGAAGACGTCCATCATCAGAAATGTTTCAGTGGAGTTATTGAAAGCCAATTCCAAATTCCAAGGGTCAGAGATTGAATGAATCCTTAAGAGGTGGAGGCAACAAACATAGATTTATATTGGGGAATTTGTTAGTGAACAAGAAGAGATCTCTAGAGAAGATGAAAGAGTCTAAGGGACATTTTTAAATAGGGATATTTGAACACATTTGTAGGTAGAAGGGGAAGAGCCAGTGAACAGAAAGTTATTCACTGAAGCAAAAGAGAAGGGCACTACCAGGGAATCAGGATCCCCAAAGCTGTGCAGCAGGACGGAAGGACAGGCACAGGGTAACGGGCTGGCCTTACAATTACAGACAAGTGCATCTCCTAAACTAAAAGGAAAAAAAATGTGGGGAGAAAGCTCAAGACACAAAAGAAGAAATTTGAGAAAGTCCAAATTAAAGGGTTTCTTTTTTAACTTTCAATAAAGTAGCAGGTGTGGTCATCTGGGAGAGTGAGGAGATTAGGGGTTGTTTTCTTGCAATGAGTAAAAAATTTCAGAGCCTTCACTGTGTGGGATGGAATTTTTTAAACACAAAATTAATCAGATACCAATAAAAGATATTTCATAAATACTGAGGGTTCAATGGAAACTAACCTCTTCTTCCTCCACACTAACTCCATATTAATATCAATTTCTTTTTTCAAGGTTAACTAATGGATATTAGGCTGTGACTTTCTCTGAAAGTGCTTGTCAATTCAAGTAGAAGAGTGGAGAAAGTAGATAAAGAATTACCCTGGGCAGGCATTTGGCAAAGTAGTTGTGGATGTAGGTCAGGGTGGGGAGAGTGTGACCTCTAAGTGGCTATCCAACCATTGGTCCTGAAAGCAGACAAGGAGGATGAGGTAAGGTGAAGTTCAGCCCACAGGGATGTCAGATGGAGATGGAAGGACAACAGGTAAGGACCAGAAAGTAGAGTCCCGAAAGAAGGGGTCAAAGTCTTTCGATGTTGGTGGAATCGAGAGCTGAGAAACAAACTGAGAGTTACCAAATAATTAGGAGACCAGAGAAGGCTTAGGTTGTTTATTGTGTGTGTGGCTGCTGGGAAGGGGAGCATAACTCCTCATATTCCACACCCCCGCAGGTGGTCTTCCATTACTCCGCCCCACGGGTGGTGCTGTGACTTTCCTGATTGCTCACTTGGGAAGAAAAAAGTGGAGTGCTTAGGTCAGCTTCTACCCTTCCCCTCTGGGGCACTAGCTACCCTGAGGAAATGTGTCATCTCTGCCACTCTTCCACAGTTGAGGTACAGCTGGAATCAAACATTTTCTGCAACTGGCCAGTTAATTGTAACCGGTTCTGTGGTTCTGGTCTATTTGACCCTCACGCCAAGCTACATGTTCCAACTTGGCAGTTATCAATTATTTTATTTTCCATGGTTCACTTGAGAGGCAGGAGAAAGAAGTGAATTTTTTTATGGATGCATCTGGGGACTGTTAACAGCCTACTGAGACCTCCTGACATCTGGAATTCTTCTGGTTTATTTCAGTTAGAAGCTGAATCTAAAAGAGAACCCCACTTAAACACTCTCCTGTTCCTTTCCAGCCCCACTTCATATACGCCATGTGCTTAATCTGAGGGTCACGGCTGGTTCTCTGATGAACAGCCAGCCATGGGCAATGCAGGATATCAAAGCCAGCCACGAAGAGTCAGCTGGATCTAATTCTACTTGCTAAGGAAAGTTTGCCACTGACAGAAAATTATCATTCTTGGTTTTAAAAATGTGTAAAGAAGGATAAAATTGGTCATATTTTTGTCAGAAGAAAATATTAAGGTCTAGCAGGATAACAAAGAGTAGACTCAAGAAATTTAAATTTGGTGTAGTAGATAAAAAAGAAATTCTCACAACTTAAAGCCAAGTTCCCTGGTTAAGTCCCAATTAGGCCCTTGCTTTGGTTGCACAGGTGGGTAAATATGCAATCATTGCAGTGGCCATTGCCCCAGCTCCATATAAGGGAACAACTTTATGATTGTCTAACTACAAAGGCATAATTTCCAATCCCATGCTTACATTAAATTTACATTATACGTGTAGTGTTTGAAAATTCTGTTTTTGCCAATGAAATTGTCTCCATAGTAACTAATGCACTCCTAAAGGGGGAAAATGTGCACCAATTTTGCACTGAAAAGGTAAAAATTAAACTAAATAACAACAGATCATGGCCATTTCATTAAAAGGTTTTTTTCTCACAAATGGTATTACAAAGCTCACATGCTTCTTTGAAAAATAATATCCTCTTCCCCATCCTTGTGCCTTCTCACTGAAAGGCATATGATAGATCTTTGAAGAATGCACTGAAAAGACTCATCAAGAACCCCCTAAGTAAATGAGAGTGAAGGTAGATGATTATAAGGCATACTATAACTTAAGTGGTATTTTTTATGAGGTTCTATTATAATAATAATTTCCACCTCATGTATAAGGGAAGCACCTAAACAGAATTATATTTAGGTTCTAAAATTATATTAAATTCTATTTAAGCTCTAAACTTCAGGTAGCTACAAGAAATCTTGGATCACAAAAAATTATATTCATCATATACCAGTGAATATCTATGAATTAATTCCTTTGCCATTAATTTGTTTTGCTGCTGTTTCAGTTATAACAAAATTTTTGAGCAAATACTTAATTGAGCTTATTAAACCATTTTTTTCTCTTTAGTCATGTTGAATCACTGTAGTGTGAAAGGTAAAAGTGAATTTATAAATTTTCATTTAAACATGTATTATTATTAAAACAAGGGAGGCAGGGCAAAGGCTAGAATTTAGTTTTAGTTAATTGAACGTGTCCTACTCTAAGAGCCTACAATAAACAGATAAATTTAGCACTAACACTGAGATTTCTTAAAACCTAGAGTCTTTCTACAGCTAGATATCGATATCAATCCTGTCATTTGATCTTCTTACTGCTTTCTATGTGATGTCTTTTTCTTGCCATTTAGAAATAATATTTCCAATAAACATTGAAAGCATTATGCTTTATGTTTTCTGTAAACCACCGACTTTGAAATCAGTGGAATAAAGTCATATATACTTTCTAGTCATCTCTCCTATTGGCATCCGTAACAGGAATATGAACAATGTGAAATAAACAGAAATAGAGGAAAATAAAATTGTATCTCAAAAGGTGTGAAAATATCACCTTTCTTTTATGAACAATTCTAGAGTAAGGCAGAGTTCTTTAAACCAAATATTATAGTTGTAACTTCAGACAGTAAAGCAACAATAAAATAATACAACACAAAGAGAAATTAGATGTAGATACTCAACAGATGGATGACACACAGATGTTCCTAGAACAGCTGCTACAACAATAATACTTGAACAGTCTTTCAGAAAATTTAGGAGATTACTTTTCATTTCTTCAATGAACTGTATTTAAGATTTAGATCTAATAAATATTGCCACTGCATTCCAACATGTGCCTATTAGCCAATCTGAAGTATAATAAACTGAGCATTCATTTTTAAATGTTTGCAGCTTATAATGGCAAACACATTCAACCTCATGGTCACTGCTGTCATTATCAGATTATGTCCCTAATTGATCACAAATGGCCATAGCTTTCCCAAAATAATTCTATCCCCAAATGTTGATTACTATATACAGCATTCATTTGGAATGATAAATGATTTCCAGTGCCATGTGAAAACCGTGTACCTTGGCTCCTCTTTGGGGTAACCCAATCCATCAGAAATCCAGCCAAGCCCAGAAGACATTTTGGGTTTTGCCACGCATGCTAGAAAACTGACAGCTGATTGAGGACCAAGGCTCCATTTTAATGAGTCTCCCTGGTGTTGAATCCATCACTGCCAGACTAACAAGTATCAAAACTTGGCACCCACCATTAGAAATTATTTAACCTAGAAGTCTGCACAGTGTAAGGGTTGAAGAGCTGCCAGCCTTGAAGTTTGTAATAATAAAAACTTGCTTAACTAAGCCACATGACCAAGTGATACATCTGTCTCACCAATAAGAGCCCTGAGGATTGAAGCACTAAACACAGGTTTTTCCATACTTTTAGCAACTGTAAGTAAATATTTAAAATGTTCTTTTGAATTCCCAGGGTCCAAATACTGGGTACAGAAACAAAGCATTTAAGCCAGGCACAGTGGCTCAAGCCTGTAATCCCAGCACTTGAGGCCGAGGCAGGTGGGTCACTTGAGGTCAGGCGTTCAAGACAAGCCTGGCCAACACGGTGAAACCCTGTCTCAAACACAAAAATTAGCCAGGCATGGTGGAACATGCCTGTTGTCCTAGCTACTTGGGAGGCTGAGGCAGGATAATTGCTTGAACCCAGAGGGCGGAGGCTGCAGTGAGCCGAGATCCCACCTCTGTACCCCAGCCTGGGTGACAGAGCGAAACTCCATCTCAAAAAAAGAAGAAAGAAAACATTTAAATCTATAAATGCAAGTTATTTGTGTGAACAATCATTATTTATAGAAATGAATGTAGGTATAGCCAAACAGCACAGGCCTACCCAGGATGGTCTGTAGCCTAAAACAAAATTGACTCTTTATCACAGGACCAACAATTGTGAATGGCCTTATGATGAAAGAAGGTCACCCACCCATGCGAGGCCTGGTCTCTAGGGTACATGGAGAGAAACACACTGGTTACCAATATGCGTGTGTTTCTCAACATGTCCCAGTCCCCTTGCGGTTAGCAGGACGTAGGTGCCTATTCTGGACAATGAGTCCTGTGTGGGAATGAAGTGTGCCACTTCTGGAGTGGGTGTGGGTTGTCCATGTTCTCTTCCTCTGCTACAGTGATCCATTTTTTGAGATGCCAATGTCACAAAATGGTCGTGTCTCTGTAGGCCTGGGTCTCTAACCACCACCACCAACCCTCACTGAATGTAGCATAGGGAGGAAAAGTTTGCATGTATGGCCACTGAATTACTGAAATGAATTTGCTGCTGCTATATCGCCTAACCTTACCTTGGCAGAGAATACTAAGAATACCTAGTGACCCTCAGGCAAACAATGTAAGAGCAGAACAGTCTCAGTTACCAAAACAAGAAATTCCCTATGACTAAGAATAAGAATTTTGCCAAGGTGGGGGCACCTGGGGAGAAGGGTGTAATGTAAAAGTACCAGTAGAGGTCTTAATATCCCATCTTTCAACAAAAGGGATTTTTTTCTGAGACAGAGAGCCAAGCTGGCTAGCATAATTAATTTTAAATTTTAAATTGAAAAGTTTGAACAAGATTCATACAATGACCAATTCCCGGTTTATTGTTAAAATTATTAAGTAAAATACTAGTGAGTCGGTCCTCTCAGGCTGAGTCGATTCTCAGATCACGGTGGCCTCAGTGGAAAAGAGCTTCAGGTAGCAGGAGTTGGTTCCAGGCCAGATTCATGCTAAGCCTACCTCATCTGACTATCAGCATAGAATAACTCTCTTAGCCTTCTGTCCAAAAATTTTTCATAGAAATTTAATGTCTTCGGTATTGATAATAGACTATACCATTTGACGGTATTAATACAGCAGTACCACTTAATGAAAATCAGTTCATAAATTTTTTTGTTTGTTTCCATATATTTCATAAAACATACATTCAAAAACATTTCTGATTGCCTTTTGAAATACAGCAAACAGCAACATGTAAAAGTAAAAATTAGAATGTCTTTACCTACTGGCTTTGGTGAGGACAAAGGGAGGCCTCCATCTTTGCGCAAAAAATGTATCAATGTTGTTTTAGCCAATGAGCTTCAACGTGCCAAAAAAAAGAAAATAAGAAATAAAAAAGTGAATTTAGATTTAAACTTTGCCCAGATACAAATTGGTTTTGTTAAATTTAAAATTAGAATTCATCAAAACACCCACATTTGTCTTTAAAATATTAAACCAGCAATCTGACAGATGTGTTTTCTTTACAGATTTGATCTGTTATGTTATAGATAGAACCACATCCAGCTTTACTAACCAACATTCAGATGATTTACAAAAGAAGAGGAGGATCACCAATGAGGAAGGCATCCAGAGATTTATGAAGAAGAGGTATCTGATAAGAAACTGGAATTCCATATGGAATGAAGTCTCGTAGTCACAGACCAAATATTTTTTGGTCATATATTTTGGCCATTACCAAATTACCACCAAATGATTGACTCAAATTGATCCGTGAAGCAAATGTCAGAAGCTGCTTTCAGTTAGTTAAAACAGTGATCAATTTGCAAACAATTGAGTATTTGATATGAGTATTATTACACATAGACATACTAGATCTGCGTAAAAAATAGTTTGATTTAACTTACCTAGTCAACTAAATGTTTAAAATCATTTAAAGATTTTCTTTCTTGTAGTTTTTGCATGTTTTTGCAAAAAAGAGTTAAGTTCTTTTACTTTTTATGAATTAGTATAATATTTTATACCCCTGACTTTTAAGCTGAAATATTAAACCGTCAACTTTGGTTGTTGGAAATCTGACAGCAAATATATGCGCATGGTCATATACATCATATACACATGCGGCTTTAGAATACCATCCCACTTAAATCAATAGTGTAAAATTTATTGACCTAATTCTATCTTGAGAAGGGAAAATGAGCAGTGGTGCTTTCTTATGACTTATCATTTTTCATACAGAGTTTCAGATTTGTTTATGATTATAAAGAAATCTATCCACCTCATGTCAGACTGATAAACAAATAGGTCAGGGAATTACCAAGGGAAAGACATAGTTTTCAAAGAGCCTATAAATAAAAACATCAGAAAATATTTCATGTTTAAGGAATTCAAGAACATTAAATTATTTTAAAATCATACAGGTTTTTTTTTTCTAATTATCACAGTGTCAAATTACTTGTATGGGAAGAACTATGTTTCTGCATACATGCTGTGTGTACAGGCACACACACATATGTACACATTCCTCAACATGCCACAAGACTCTTAAGCAAAGTGAAATTAATTCAGCAGATGTGTTTTAGCATATCAGGAAATTATAATTAAATATGATAAAATAATAATATTAAAATATAATTAACTATCAACTTACATAATGAGGTACCTGATTGATTTGACCTTCTCACAGAATCAACATTCTCCACCATGTAAATGGGTCACTTAGTAACTATTTGTTGCAGTGATATCACTCAGCTTATGCTTTAAATCAATCCTGGCTCCTTCACCAGTCACCTGGCCTCAAAATCCAAGGTGGTAAATTGGCAAGTGGACCAGCTTGTTAACTTTCCTGGGACAGACACCAGGTCTTGGTGCCTCCGGCCAGGAGAGACATGGGGCTGCAACCCAAGGGCCAAGTAGAGTGAAAGACGAATCCAGATTAGAAACAGGATATGAAATATTATATGTGACAAGAAAGAAAGATAAAACAATGCTGGTTGAATTGGACAACCAGAAGAAGCAGCAAAGGAACAGAACTGGTAATAGTGAGAGGTGACAGAGTGCTGGCGGTCCTCACAGCCCTCACTCACTCTCGACGCCTCCTCTGCCTGGGCTCCCACTTTGGCGGCACTTGAGGAGCCCTTCAGCCCTTTCTGGGCTGGCCAAGGCCGGAGCCGGCTCCCTCAGCTTGTGGGGAGGTGTGAAGGGAGAGGCGCTGGCGGGAACCGCGGCTGAGCGCGGTGCTTGCGGGCCAGCGCGAGTTCCGGGTGGGCGTGGGCTCGGCGGGCCCCGCCCTCGGAGCGGCCGGCCGCCCCGCCGGCCCGGGCAGTGAGGGGCTTAGCACCTCGGCCAGCAGCTGCTGTGCTGAATTTCTCGCCAGGCCTTAGCTGCCTTCCCGCGGGGCAGGGCTCAGGACCTGCAGCCCGCCATGCCTGAGCCTACCCCCGCTCCGCCTCCGTGGACTCCTGTGCGGCCCAAGCCTCCCGGACGAGCGCCGCCCCCTGCTCCACCGCGCCCAGTCCCATCGACCACCCAAGGGCTGAGGAGTGCGACCGCACAGCAGGGCCTGGCAGGCAGCTCCACCTGCAGCCCGGTGCCGGATCCACTGGGTGAAGCCAGCTGGGCTCCTGACTGGTGGGGACTTGGAGAACCTTTGTGTCTAGCTAAGGGATTGTAAATACACCAATCGGCACTCTGTATCTAGCTCAAGGTTTGTAAACACACCAATCAGCACCCTGTGTCTAGCTCAGGGTTTGTGAATGCACCAATCAACACTCTGTATCTAGCTTCTCTGGTGGGGACTTGGAGAACCTTTGTGTGGACACTGTATCTAGCTAATCTAGTGGGGACGTGGAGAACCTTTGTGTCTAGCTCAGGGATTGTAAAGGCACCAATCAGTGCCCTGTCAAAACAGACCACTCAGCTCTCTGTAAAATGGACCAATGAGCAGGATGTGGGTGGGGCCCGATAAGAGAATAAAAGCGGGCAGCCCGCGCCAGCAGTGGCAACCCTGCTTGGGTCCCCTTCCACAGTGTGGAAACTTTGTTCTTTCACTCTGCAATAAATCTTGCTGCTGCGCACTTTTTGGGTCCACACTGCCTTTATGAGCTGTAACACTCACCGGGAAGGTCTGCAGCTTCACTCCTGAAGCCAGCCAGACCACGAAACCAGCCAGACCACGAACCCACCGGGAGGAACCCCACGGGGAGGAACGAACAACTCCAGATGCGCCGCCTTAAGAGCTGTAACACTCACCGGGAAGGTCCACAGCTTTTCTCCTGAGCCAGCGAGACCACGAACCCACCAGAAGGAATAAACTCCGAACACATCCGAACATCAGAACGAACAAACTTCGGACACGCCGCCTTTAAGAACTGTAACACTCACCGCGAGGGTCTGCGGATTCCTTCTTGAAGTCAGTGACACCAAGAACCCACCAATTCCGGACACGATAGGAGAGGTCTACAAGGCATTTCTGACTTCCCTAATACAAAAAAAAAAAACAAAACTGAATCCCAGGTAGGGAAGAACAGCCAGACTCCAAGTCCCTGAATAAAAGCTGAGAATCATGTTACCCTTAGGAATCACACTCCCATCGTAGTCATGTCTTTATGCAAAAAACAGAGGTGGGGTGTGATAGTTAATATGAGGTGTCAACTTGATTGGTTTGAAGGATGCCTAGATGGCTGGTCTGTGGACTGGGAGAGGAAGACCCACCCTCAATGTGCCTGGGCACCATGCAGTTGCTGCCAGCACGGCTAGAACAAAACAGGCAGAATAAGGTGGGAGAAACTTGATGCTGGGTTTTGTGGCTTCCTTCTTTCTCCCGGGCTGGAAGCTTCCTCCAAGCTCCTCCTGCCATTGGATATCAGACTCCAGGTTCTTTGGCCTTTGGACTCTTGGACTTGCACCAGTGGCTTTTCAGGGGCTCCCGGGCCTTGGGCCACAGACTGAAGGCTGCACTGGCAGCTTCCCCAGTTGTGAAGCTTTCAGACTTGGACTGAGCTGCGACTGGCTTCTCTCTTCCCCAGCTTGCAGAAGGCCTATCGTGGTCCTGTGCCTTGTGATCATGTGAGTCAGTTCTCCCTAATAAACTCCTTTTTATAAATACATATATCCTATTTGTTCTGTCCCTCTGGAGAACCCTAATACATGTAGGTTCTCCCTATTTTACATTATGGCCTGAGTAGAGATAACGCCACCTTTTCCTTGCTTCTAGCTGACACAAGGATGGAGTGTCAAAGAATTTGTAAGGTCTAAGGAGGGAAAAAATGGAAAGTAACATAGAGTTAATAAATTGCCATAAATTTAGGTAATCTAAGTTACCAGGTAAACCAAGACAGAGTCCCTTAGCCCTTTCTAATAATAGGTGGCTGCTGTCAGGAATATCTTTACATCTTCACAGAGATGCTGACTTCAACATTATGGTCCTCAGGAGGATTACTGCACCTAGCTTCATTGTCTTTTTCCATTTGAAAAGTAGATGAAGCTTTACTCTTTAAACAAATCCTACTGTAACCAATCTAATCTACATTGATTCTTTGCTCCTCTGACTTCTTAATCTGCACAATATGTATACACTCATTTTGACATTTAATTCTAGATTCTCCTAAATAATATTGTAATTGTCTAATTTATTTCAATGAGAAATGACAATAAGTTCTTTCTTTAAATTTCCCACACAGGACTCAGCATGTTGTAGGCATTCAGTACTCAATCACTTGAATTATATGAAATCTACATTCTCTGTGAAAAATTTACTTAAAATGTTTGAGCAAGGTTTAGCAAGAAGCTGTTCTTTCCATGTATATTAAAATTATATTATAAAAAAGCATGCTCTTTTAGAATCTAAAAGTGAGAAATAAATTTTATTATGTCCTAAGAAGGGCGTTTAACCAAGAACTGTGACTATATTGGATTTTCATTCCCAGGGAATCTGACTTCATGACTTAAAAGTAGCTACAACTTTTGGCACCTATGTCGTGAGAGGCACTTTGGAACAGCATAGCAGAGATGTGAAAAACGGTGGGCGTGTTTTGAAAGGATTGGGCATAGGAAGAGACTTCACTGCTTTACCTAATTGCTTACCCAGTTATCTGCTTCGGCCTGCAGTTGCTCACCAATGCCTGGGAATATAAATCTGAGTCAATCTTCTTTTCATTCAGTCATTGATTCTTTGACTTATTCACACAGCCAATATTGATTGCATGCTATTTTGTGCCAGTTGCTCTGCTGGGGACAGATTCATTCACAAGGCTGTCAAGAGCCCTGCCCTCATTTTCTCACATTCCAGTGACAGAGAAATAAACAAACATGCAAACTAATAAATAAAAGGGTAACTACAAACTACAAGTGCTAGGAAGAAAATAAATGAACCAGACAATAAAGTGAAAGCCTCATTAGGGTGGTCAGGAATGGCTGCATTAAGACCTGAATGCTAGAAAAGAGCCACGCTTGCAATAAGGCTGGCGAAGAACATTCCAGGCATTGGTATCCCTGGATTGGGCCTTATTCTTCCTTACCTACTTGTGTTAAAAAGGAAATCTGGACTATTTCACCACACCATTTCTAAGGGCAGAATTTCAAAGAGTTGGGCTGTTCTCTGGAAAAACACTTAGGTACCTTCCTAGCGCCACTCAGTTTTGCAGATTTTTGTTAGTCATATGCATATAAATGTATATAGGAAACTAAATGCCTCAATATACTGACAGTTTATCAGGAAAAAAACCTGCTCTGCACAGCCCATATTTATCTCATATCCCTTCTCCTTTATCGCTTGTCACTCTTTCACCTCAGTCCTCTGAGAGCTTTTGATTATACAGAGCGGAGAATCACACAATTGGCTTTTAACGGCAGCTTCTCACCAGAAGCAAATATGTGATCCCGGCCCCCAAAAAGCCCATCTTCTCTCAGATGGCGTCACTTTGTTTTTCCACGGTCTCTGACAATTAAGTCAAGATGATACATTATTATAAATGAAAAATGAATTTCAAGTCTTGGATTTAGGGCATTTAGATTGGAACAGACATTGGTCTTTCTTACTTTGTTTCTTAAATAATATTTCTTTGCACGAATGGGATAAATGAGAAGGAAAACTCACCATCTTTAGGCTGAAACAACCCTGACTTTAGATGCTACTGCTTTATAGAATTGATCAAGCTAAAAAAGAAAATATCCATAGCTTAGATCTTTATTCTTTTGAGTTATATTCATTAAAGAATTTTTTGATTAATTCTGCTTAAGGGTAGTATTTGATGGACAGAATTAAATGAAACCGTTAGGTTTTAAGGTATTAAGAGATGACAGTAAGGTAGCCCCTAATTGATCATTATGCCTGACTTGAGAAAAGAATGGAGCATTGCCTGGAGTCCATTTCATATGATAAGTTTCAGCAAGAAGATAACAGTTATAAAAACAGGTTAGTAGGTTAACATTAACAAAATTTCATTGGAATATTAACTGTCCTAGATATCAAAGGTCTTCCTGTCAATGTTTAACATGGTAATCCATAGCAGGTTATAAATAATTATTAGTTACCCCTTGAACCCTCTGTGACTTGCTCTAATTGTTTAATCTTATTATAAAATCAGTCCTCTCTACCTGCATCCAAATGAAAGATTTTAGCTACCAACTATGGATATATTTCTCCCATAGAATTTTATTTCAGAAAAGACAAAGTTGTTTGTTAGAAAGAACTTATTGCTTTTGTTCTCTACATGGATGTATAAATCATACAATATAACAAAGCCATTTTTTAAAGTTGCAAAATAACAGCAATAAAAAAAAATCCTCCATATTTATTTATCCCTCTTGGAGCTTTAAAAAAGAGGGCCAAACTAATTTTTGTCCAAAAAATTACTCCTGGACTTAACAGCTTGTATGATAAGTTACATTTCAGCCTTGGAGGGAAATTTGATGAACCAAATTACACCCTTAGAAAAAAACAATGCTGTAATGGAGTGTTTGTTAAGTTGTTACTTGTAACTACACAATGTAATATAAACAGGAGAAGTAGGAATGAGAAAACTATGTTTGCATTTTTTTAAGTTAACTTGGGGAACAAAGCACATCTCTAGGTGCAAATTATCAATCTTTAAAAAGAACTTCTTTAGTTCTTCTGAATGTGCATGTATAATATAAACACTATTTGATAAGAGTATAACCCACTAAATATATACCAAAGGGGGAAAAGGAGAGTTTTGTGCAAGTATTTAATGTTTTCCAAATAAAAACTTGTTGCTGTTGAGTCTAGTATAAAAAATAGCAAGACAGTCATATGTAAAAACAAAACCAAAAATATAATAACAAAAAAATAAATAAAACCTCCCTTGGAACAGCACGTATCTAGGATTACTACTCACGCTTCTCATTGGCAACCTGAATTTAGATTTCTTGTTTATAGCCCAAGAAGAATTTTTCAGACTGACTCCAGAGTCTTCCACAAGGTAGGCCAGACAGTGGCCCACTATGCTAGGTAGTAATAGCCCAAGGAGTTTAGGCAGAGGTCACTGCCTCATGAACAGGTGTGAAATTACAACCGAGGGTTTCCCTGAAGAAACAGAAATATCTTGTGGCACTCTCAAAAATCTCTAAACTAGTTTGAGGTCTCATGTTTAAATCTTTGATCCATTTAGAGTTGATTTTTCTATAGGGTGAAAGGTAGGCATTCCAGCTTCAATATTCAGCGTATGGCTAGCCAGTTATCCCAGCACTATTTAATGAATAGAGAGTCCTTTCCCCATTGCTTGTTACTGTCGACTTTATTGAAGATCAAGTGGTTGTAAGTGTGAGGCTTTATTTCTGAGTTTTCTGTTCTGTTCCCTTGGTCTATGAGTCTGTTTTTGTACCAGTACCGTGCTGTTTTGGTTACTGTAGCCTTACAGTAGAGTTTAAATTCAGATAATATGATGCCTCTGGCTTTGCTTTTTACTTAGGATTGCTTTGGCTATTCAGGATCTTTATTGGTTCCATGTGAAATTTAGAATTTTTTTTTCTAATTCTGTTAAGAATGGCATTGATAGTTTGATAGGAATAGCTTTGAATCTGTAAATTGCTTTGGGCAGTATAAGCATTTTAATGATACAGATTCCTTCAATCCATGAGCATGGAATGTTTTTCCATTTATTTATGTCATCTCTGATTTCTTTCAGCAGTGTTTTGTAGTTCTCCTTGTAGAGATTTTTCACCCCTGTGGTTAGCTGTATTCTAAGGTGTTTTGTTTTCTTTGTGGGTGACAGGATCTGCACCCCAAACCAGAGCATTATGCAACATTTCCATGTAGCAAACCTGCAAGTGTGCCACCTGTGTGTGTACCTCTGTATCTAAAAGAAAAGTCGAAATCACACAGCTCAAAGTGCTTACCAGTGACTTCCTAATTACTTCTAGCCACTTGTGGAGACAAAAGTGACTCCATCTTGGATGCTAGTCTGCCATGTTGACTTCTGATTAGCCTCAGTCCCTACAATACCTCCTGATTTCTACTTTATTTAGTGTGCGTAGTGTGAGAACATGTACTCCTGTTTTGGATCAAAGCAACCCAACCTTGATATTATTGCACAAACTGTAGGCTATGACACACAGCATTCTTGCCTGTTCTAGAGAGTTGTCTTTAATTGCCTTGTACAGACCATGTACTCCTTTCCCTGTGGTATACAAGCCCTGGGTGTGGTGGGGTTGCTGTGCAGAGATCTGTCCTGCAAATGCCCAAGACCAAGCTTCTGTCTGTAAGTTCCCCAATAAGACATCCTTTACTGATAAAATAAAATAAGGTTGAAAAATTTAAGTATTCCCTAGGTGGCCAGGCACAGTGGCTCACGCCTGTAATCCTAGCACTTTGGGAGGCCAAGGCGGGTGGATCACCTGAGGTCAGTGGTTCAAGACCAGCCTGGCCAACATGGTGAAACCCCATCTCTACTAAAAATACAAAAATTAGCCAGGCCTGGTGGTGCATGCCTGTAATCCCAGCTACCCGGGAGGCTGAGGCAGGAGAATCGCTTGAACCCGGGAGGCGGAGGTTGCAGTGAGCCAAGATCACAGCACTGCACTCCAGCCTCAGTAACAGAGTGAGACTCTGTCTCAAAAAAATAAAAAATAAAATAAAATAAATAAAAAAGTCCCTAGGCTAATGCCAAAGCACAAATGGAGTTTACCCCCAAGGAAGGATAGAGCTCGAGTTCTGACCTTTCCCTGGAGGCAGAACTGCTTGGGGTCAGCTGTGGCTCGTCTACTTGCTAACTTCCTGACTTTGGGCAAGCTACTTAAATTCTGCTTGACTAAAGTTTACTCATCTGATTATGGTTACAGTATTGTTATGACAAGACAGTATACAACATGTTTTCATGTTGGGCAGACTATATAATGTTATAGGGAAAGATGCTCTCATGTTAAATTTAAAAAAATGTTAAACAGATCCCAGATTTACAAAACTGTATATACTGCGTGTGTTTATAAACTTCCTTTAAAATATTTGTTTAAAAAATACCAAAAATTTGTGCGGCTTATGTTGAGGTAGTGGGAGTTGCAAATGAGGGAGAGAGGCATTTAGAGAGGTAGCGGACTTTTCATGTAGGAAGGAGAAATGAGCTGATGAAAAAAAAAGAGAGAGAGAGGAAAACACTGCATAGAAAAGAGAGAAAATCCTAAAGATATAAAAATGACCTTGGCGAGCTGAACTTCAGAGGGTTCGAAGGAACCCTGGAGGAGAAAAAATTAGAAAGTTACTGCAACATTAGGTGAAAATGGGGTAGATAAAGGATGATGGGAATTTCCAAAGTTTTGATGCATTATTTACCGAATGCTATGAATGCATCCTAAGTTACCTCATCTCCACCTAATCTTGTGTTTTGCTTTGCTTTGTTTCCTCCAACAAACATGGTAAAAGTATACATAGTTCCTTAATTGTATGCTGGGTTTCGTCTTTCTTCAAATCAACACCCATCCTAAGTAGTCCTCTGAATAATCCTGATTTTATATAAATCACATACAAAACATTGTATAGAAATTGCATTTTATTTTTTGTATAAGTTGGATTCTACTATACACACATATATTCTTTTAGCTTGATAACAAATGATGGAAATCTTCCCATATCAATAACCCCACAATTACCCCATTGTGTATTTTTTTCTTACTCCATAGTATTCCATAATGTAAGTGGACCAGGATCTATTTACATTGTTTCTATGCTCCCTTTATTACAAGCAACACTCTAGTGAATGTCCTAATAAATGTCTCTCTGAGTTTACATGCAAGTATAATGAAGAGTCTTTATCGATTTCTGGATGTTTGACTGCTGACAGCTTTCAAGCCTCATGCCACCACCCTCTTCCCCTCTTGCCCCACATCTGGGGAAGCTGAAAGAAAAGCCCATGCTTTCTCTTCCCTTGTGCCAGTGGGAAATTCAATTCATGCAAGCCCTGGCCCCACACAAGAACCTGCTAACTACAATTAAATTCCAAGACACTCACTCCTCTTTTTAATTTTAATTTTTATTTTAAGTCCCGGGGTACATGTGTAGAATGTGCAGGTTTGTTACATAGGTAAACGTGTGCCATGGTGGTTTGCCGCACCTGTCAACCCACCACCGAGGTATTAAGCCCAGCATGCATGCATTAGCTACATTTCCTAATGCTCTCCCTCCCTCCACCCCACCCCCTGACAGGCCCCAGCGTGTATTGTTCCCCATTGCCACTCACTCCCCTTTGCTCTCTCAAGCTATGTCACACTGCTTGGGAGCCTGCTCTGCTCTCCTCAAAAAGCTTCATTATGTAATAATTTTTTTTCATATTCTCTTGTCACATGCGTGGCATCTAGATATCTGCACCAAATTTGAGTAGGTACCGATCCCATGCTTCTACAGGGGAACCACAGGACAGCAAGTATTTATGTGGAACTTAGTTCTCAAGGTAGATATTCTTTTATTATTATTATTATTATTATTATTATTATTATTATACTTTAAGTTCTAGGGTACTTAGACGTGCAGGTTTCTTACATATGTATACATGTGCCATGTTGGTTTGCTGCACCCATTAAATGCAAGAAAGGCAGCCAAAGACACCCCCAAAGCTATTTATATAGCCATTTATATTGGCTATATAAATTTATAACACCAACAAACAGTATAATGGCCCGTTTTGCTACAGCATTACCAACTAGATATAATAGTTTTTTTAATAAACTTTTATACCCTGATAAGCCAAAAGGGAGAATAAATATAGAATTCAATTGCCTTAATTTCTAATTCTCTGATTGATAATGTCTGATGTTCTTTTCATTTATTTGCTGGCCATTTGTAATTCTTTCTCTATGCATTTTTGCATATTGTCCTTATTTTTCATATGTAGGAACCCTTGATTTGTCAGTACTGTTGGTCTTCTTTTGTAGTACGTATTGCATATATTTTACTCATTCTAATTTTAGTCTTTTAACTTTGTTTATGGTGTCTTTTTCTATAGGCAAGCATTTAATCTTTATATAATCCAATCATTCAGCTATTTTCATTTTATCTTTTTGGTGTTCAGTCATGCTTAGGAAGGACTTTCACACCCTAAGATTATAAATTTGTCTTCCCATATCTTCTTTTAGAGTGTTTATAATTTCATATAATTTTCTTACAATTATATATTTAATCCATTTGCAATTAATATTGAAATATGTCATTATATAGTCATTGTTTTTTTTCCAGATGAATGCTTAGCTATCTTACTATCACTTATTAAATAATTTGACTTTTCTAGCCTGGCTTGAACTACAAATTTTATCACCTACAAAATTTTCTCATTCCATATATATGGATATATACAGTTGTCATTTGTGTGCATAAGTACATATAATATTTCTGTACTTTGTTTTGTTTCATTGACCTGTGTGACCACTCATTATTTTTAGAAATGAAAGAAATCTATTTTTATAATCATAACCCATTAAAAAACATTACCTCCACTTCAGCAGGAATTTTTTTCAAACTTCCAAATTTTTTGGCTACTGTTTGTAGTAAACTTAAGCATTAATTTGTTCCCTACAAATTTCTTGTCTTTATTTCAACATCATTTTTAGATTAATTTTAAAAAACATGATATCATTATTTTATTTAGTCTTTCCCTCCAGGATATAGCATATTTCTCCATTTCTTTAAGTTTTCTACAATTCCTGAAGTTAATTTACAAGTACTAAGGTTTTAATAAGCACATAGTTACACACGTTACATTTCTGAATGCAGCACTTACATCATAATGTATATGTTCATAGTAGTATTTCTCTTTTTTCAAACTGCCATAATTAACAGCATGTCTATGTAGATAGTATTTTAATGTCAAGAAAATATTGTGCCTTTGCAATAGAAAAACGCAGCATTTCTTAATGTATTTTCTAAATGTAGTTAGATATTTTGGGTACTTTCTGACATTGTTTTGATTATCTTTGACTGTCTTCACAGGAATTAGAGGTTATTTTAATGTAGAAAACTCTACAAAAGAAACAATTTTTGAATTATATTTTTAAATATATTTTGGTAATCAATATTTAAAATATGGAGAATTTTCTTATAATCAAACCATTATTTAGTAATCAGTTTTATAAATTCAGTGTGTATAAATCCCATTTTCTTAAGTAAAAAAATCTCTACTCTTCTGTTAATGTTTTCTATCAACAGTTTGCACACAAATTGATTTGTGTAAATCAATGGACTCATTTGAATGTTATTAACCCTCAATACTGCAATTAGTGGCATTAGTGTGTTAGAAAACAACAACTATTTAAGGAAAGCAGATGCTAAGGCAAGAACTTCAGGGATTTAATGACGAGAACCATCCTCATTAACAATGCTGTTTGTCCCAGATCAATGAGGCCAAAGTAAATAGGAAGCCAAGATTCTATAATTAAGAGCAAATAGTCCAGTCAATACCAATATGTAGTAACAATATTAATCTCTTCATAACCTAGGTTTACCCTGCTGTTTAAAATAAAAATCTCATACGCCTTTTGAAAGTTTCTCTGAATAAATAAATAAAGGGAGGTCCAGCACCTAGGAAGTCGAAATAAAAAGCCTATTATGAAGTATCAGGAAGTTTCTGTACATTACACAGTCCACGAGTAGAAAGGAATTGTGTTAATAGCAATAACCCAGATATCTCAGATTCTTGCCTCACATAAAACACCAACCATTAACAGTTAAACCCTTAAAAGTTCATCCATCTCAGCTGGGCGTGGTAACTCACGCCTGTAATTCCAGCACTTTGGGAGACTGAGGCGGGCGGATAACTTGAGGTCAGGAGTATGAGACCAGCCTGGACAACATGGTGAAACTTCTTCTCTACTAAAAATACAAAAATTAGCCGGGCGTAGTGGCAGGCACCTGTAATCCCAGCTACTTGGGAGGCTGAGGCAGGAGAATTGCATGAACCCGAGAGATGGAGGTTGCAGTGAGCCAAGATTGTGACACTGCACTCCAGCCTGGGTGATAGAGTAAGACTCCATCTCAAAAAAAAAAAAAAAAAAGTTCATCCATCTCTAAGAATGTCTGGAATTTCAAGTCTCACACATAAAGACACGAGTAAATCTACCCAGTTTCATATGATCTCCAAAGTTTCTGACATCTGCTTTTGTGGGATTTTGTCTACCCTCTTCCTCCAGGACTGCCCTAGGTGCACCTGAGTCCCTGAAAACCAAACCTGCATGCCTGAGGCTAAGTTGTGGAGACTATCTTACTCTCTGGTGGGGAGATTATCTTTTCAGGAAGCTGAAGTCTTAGGTGTGAACAAGAATGTATTGTGAGTCCCTCAGTTCCATCTGGAGGCCTCCTCTTCTATAGGACCCAGGCATGAGTTTTATACAATAATTGTCTTCAGTATACACATGTGCCAGGGATTGTGCTAAGAATTGCAGATGCATAAATGCATAAGATATAGGCTGTGACTTCAAAAGGCTCGTGATCTAATAAAGGTGACGCATATTTTAGAAAACAGATAAAATACAGAAATAGACCAAAATTACCTGATTGCTCTTAAAACATGTTTGCAGAACTTCACTTCATTGTTAGTCACTACTGCCTTATATTCTCTTGAAAATGATATTGCTACCCTATCAATAGGTGTACTTTGCACCTTTGGGAGCCTCTACAAACACAGTACAATTCATCTTGAGATGCAAATCTTTACTCTGTTAATGAAGACAGGAAAAGCAAGACCATTCTATTTGTCCAAAACTCACCTCTTTATTGGCTTGCCTAACAGTCGGGAGTTGTCCAGAGAAAAAAATAATCATAGTTTGACAATTCCAATACCCCCATATTCTGATGTATGTTTCTATTCTAAAATAACCCCTTGATTTTCACTCATATCAAATACTGTATAGGAAAACACAGTAATATAATGCAAATGAAGAATGTAGCTTTTTTGTAGTAACTTATTTTCTCTCTTTTATGAATACTGTTGATAATAAAGTAGGGGGAAGAAAAGACAATCTTCTAGCATTCTAACTTTCACAGGTAAGGAGAGTAATAGGGTGGTCTTGGACTCAATTTTTACCACTCTACAAACCAAGTTTAAGTGCGGACACCAAATCTGTTAACATATTCAAAAATCAGGTCTTTAGGGTTTAGGTTCTTAGCATATGGCCTCTTCCACATTCCCTGGAAGTTAATTCCTAATCTACAATGCAGCCACTGAGGAAAAATTGTCAAAGCTTTAAACATATTGGAGAAGAGAGGTTTTCTATCCACTGCCAAAAGAAAAATTAAATACCTATTGAAAGGCATAACAAAATACTTTATCATCAGAGGGCAAAAGTAGCTTTCAGTACTTTATTTAAACTTACATATGTTATTACTGTCTGGCAAGTAAAGTAGCTGAAAAGCTTTCTAGATGTTTCCTTCACTTCATAGAAAAAAAATGATTTGTTAATATTTTCTTTCTTCCACAACAGCACTAGACTATAATTATACAAAATCTCCTTATGCCATAACTAGGAAAAAAGAATGGGGGTGCTTACATGTTTAAGTTAAATTCTTATTTCCCTCAAATTCTGCCACAATTTTTAAAATATGTTTTTTAATTTCATATTCTGAAGTCCCCCATGGCATATGCTACCTATGAATAATATTTTTAAACCCACATACACCAAAATGTTGCTACTGTTCTCACATTATTAGTCAAGTAAAGTTCCTAATTCCACATAACAAAATGTTCCCAACACTTAAAAACACTTACAAAATTTTGCATTTTTCCTGAGTTCCTTTTTACCCTGAAGCTCACAAAATTAATTTTAATTTCCTTGAGAAAACCATGAAACTAAAAGCAGATTTCATAACACCCATTAGGCTTTAAACAATAGCCCAAATTGACAGTTTTTATTTAATCTTCGTTCACCACTGCCTTCAACTTCTATTCTAATAAATAGTTTTGCCTGCTGGCCCCATCTATGTAACATTCAACAGTTTTTAGCCCAACCCATTTAGTCTCTAATATTCAGTTAAAACCACAGAAGCATGACCAGGCAAAGCCAAGATACAGAATAGGAGAAGACTGAATCACTTCCTCTTTCTACTGGGCAGTTTTCCAACATATCACTGCCCTTCCAACCTCTCTCCACCATATTTGAGAAACACTAATGGACAATCTCACCTCTTTCTGGCTCTCAGTTTTTGTTTTCTCATTTCTCCAATTCTATCTTCCTGACTTGCTATTCTATATCATCTTTCCCCTGTTAGCTCAAATCCTCTCTAATTTTCTTCTCTCTTTTGAAATGGAGCCCCCGCCCCGCAACACACACACACACACACACACACACACACACGTAAGAACTAAGAGGGAGAAATTCAAATGTCTGTCCTTGGGCTATCATCTGAATTTTCATTGACTTTTTTTGTTGTTGTTGTTTGAGACAGAGTCTCACTCTGTTGCCCAGGCTGGAGTGCAGTGGCGTGATCTTGGCACCCTGTAACCTCTGCCTACCGCATTCCAGTGATTCTCCTGCCTCAACCTCCCGAGTAGCTGAGATTACAGGTACCCACCGTCACACCAGGCTAATTTTTGTATTTTTGGTAGAGACAGGGTTTCACCATGTTGGCCAGGCTGGTCCACTGACTTTTTCTATTGCACATTTTGTTCCTTATTGTCCTCAAATATCTCCAGGGCTGTTTCCCAACCTATCCCACCCCCACAATCCAGATAGCTAAAACCTGTCATATATTTTACCTGAGGGTCACTCTTCATTCTTTATCTAGCAGATCCATCTATTCTGGTGTATCAGATGTGCTTCAGCAGATAGTTAGCCTTCCTTCAACTTTAAGGTAAATGTGTTTCAATAATGTCCCCTTGCTTTTGTTCTGTATCAAAGGAATTCTTTTATTTTGGGAAATTGAATCCTTTGATGCTGTAGCACATCCTCTGAAGTAACACTGCACATGTATGTTACCTGTACCTAGAGCATTGGGGATTTAGTATCCCTTCTCCCCTCCAGAAGTAAATATTGTATGCAAAAAAGCTAAAGACTCAATAATTCAGAGTATTCATTCATTGTTCAACAATGAATAGTGCGTGGAGCCTTCCATATGCCAGCTGGGGAGCTAGGCCTGGGGGATAAAAAGATAAATAAAAAGCAATCTTTGCCCTCAAACACAGTCCAGTGAGAAAGGCACACAGCACCATGCAGTTAGTTCTGTGACTGTGACTGTCAAATTACGTTGTGTGAATTTGGAGAAAGGTGCCTAACCCAGATTGGATGCATGAGGTCCTGGAACATTTCCAGGTGGAAGTGACACTGTAGCTGAACTGAGTTTTGAAAGACCAAAATCAGATGGTGAGAGGTGAAAACTGAATTGAAAGGGTACCACGAAAATGTGCAACATTTACAAACATCCTGAAATGTGAAAACTGAGTGGATGGGGAGTAAGGAAATGTGAAGAGGTTCAGATGTTGGGAGGTCGACACATGAGTTGAAGAGGAAAAGGGGCCAGATACCGACAGGTTTTTCATGCTAAACTACAAAGTCTGATATTATCTCAAAGATAACAGAGAATTACTGAATAATTTACAGCATAAAAGTAGCATGATCCTGTGTTAAAATATATTAAAGCCAGTGTTACATAAAGTATAAAAACATCATCTTCGAGGACATTCAAGTGCATTCCAGCTCCACTGTTGCTTCCCTGTTGGACGTTAGACAGATGTAAGGGGTCTGAAGTCTACTTTCTTCATTTATAAATGGCAACACAGCCTGTCAGCTTGCTGTTATGAGGATAAATGACAAAGGGACCCTATTTAAAACATCTAATCTATTACCTGTGTGCAGCTTACACTCTGCTTGCCCTCCCCTCCCCCATCTCCCATCCCTTTCTACTCTTTTGTGACCATTCTGTGTCCTAGAAATCTGATTCTTAAATACTGGATTTTTCCTGGCTCCTTGGGTCTCTGCTTCATAGTCAGTGGGAGGACCCAAATTTCCAACTCTGCGACTCCCAGGGTGGATCCACATCCTCTGTTTTTTTTTCCCCTCTATCTTGCTACATCTCTAGAGTTTTCCATTAGAGTCTCTTTAGTTGATAGGTCTGATCTGAGTAGAATTCTTTTTCCCGACAGAACTCCATCTATGCACCCAGCCTATAAACAGCCATTGACCACAAATGTATAGAGACGACTCAAGCACCAAAGAGTGTTACCATGCCAGCACTGTATAATATGGGCTATCCCAAGGGAAAGCAACATTATCATGTATTAATAGCAGTCTTAAATGGAGTACTAATTCTTTTTCATTAGGATTATAAAGAATAAAGAATGGTGAGTTGTTGCTAAGCAGCTGGTATGAGGCTCATTCTTCAAAACCCATTGCTTCTTTAATTTTGAATCCTAGAACTTTCCTCATGAAATAAGTGCTACATGTGGGAGAGGTGAGAGTACATCTGCCATCATAGCTCTTTTTGGTGCCAAAGTCCCTGCTGTGGGAAGACAGCAATCTGTTGTAACTATTAATATTGTAGAAGGAAAATCCACAGTAGAAGAAATTTGCAGAGTCAAACACCCTATAGTCAGAACATTAAAAAGTTAAGAATTCTTTAGCCAGAATGGTGTATCCATATTTTGCTAGTAGCTTAGCAACATACTAGTCTAGACTTAAATTATTTTCACTGGTTTTGACAGGAAAGAAAATTTTTTTGTGGGAAAGGAGGCAAAAAAAAAAACTCTAAATCATTTAAGAGCTTTAAATTCAAGGGAAATTCTCCTTATTTACTGAAATGTGTTTAGCCAGATCTTAGTGTAATAGATAATTTCGTAAACTCAAGTATTCTTGTTAAACGATGGACACAGGAAGCATAAGACCTTCTTCTTGTATATGAAAGCCATCCCATGGGAAAGAATGAACAAGAATGGCAATTAAAAATTCTTCATGGTACTGGAAGATGAAAAAAATGTGGACAATTAGTTAATCATCAAGTAAGCCTGTTAAAGTATAAAAGTATAGCTATAGATCAAGTAGGAGAGTATTTTGTCTGTCATGTCAAGTTTGTATCTTGTAAGTAGAAAACACTCAGTATCAAACAAATATGCCGTGTTAAAAAAAAAAAAAGGATGATCCAGATTGAGCAAAAGATTTTTTAAAAACAATGAAATTTTCTTCCTAATCCAAAGGATTTGCCACTCTCCAGGATGTGCTTTCTAGAATGTGTTTTATTCAGGCATAAAAGTGTTTTCTACATCACTAATCACTTCAGAAATGAGTTTTGGGCTTGAGATGAACGTTGACAGGACAGAAACTGAAAACTGAACTTTTGCAAATTACAAACAATAATAAGAAATTAGAAATAAAATATAACCCTTGGAATTTCATTACAATTTTGGGGAAATAGATTTCAAAACAACACATAGAGAAAATTGTCTGCACAAAGGGAGTCTGATTCAGATATTTTGAAGAAAAAATAGGGAAACTTCCAACTGAAGATAGCCAAGAGATCACATACTTTTGCCTTTTTTGGAAACCAATGTCCCACTGATGTGACCAGAATATAATACAACAGAGGATAAATTACAGCAGAATCAGAAAAGGTCTTCACCAGCAAACAAGATGAAGAGAAATTTCTCAAAGGTATAGAACTGATGGAATCAAACTGATGATAAAGCCCAACAAAGGGAACCCAAAATATAGGCATCAGATTGGACTAAGGCAAAGGATGTTTCTACAGAAAAAACACCATCAGGGTTGAGAGTAAAGGAGGAGTCCGAAGTGCCTGAATTCAAATCCAGACTCCACCACCTCCTACCAGTCTTGGTATCTTTAACCAAGACAGGTAGGTTATTATTATGGGAATAATAATAGTATTAACCTCACAAACTATTGTGAGGATTACAGGAGATAATGGATTTAAAGTGCTTAGCAGAATGCCTGGCTAATGGGCTGTGCTCAGGCACTTAGAAATCAACAAAAATGAGAATAACAAATATTCTGTTATGCTTCCCAACAGAACTGGGTGGGTTTAAAAAAATCTAACCAACCAATGACTAGTAACAATTCAATTGGATTAGGGCACTTCTATTCTACTTAAAAAAGACTCTAAAACCAGAAGATAAGGAGGAAAAATAAGAAAATAAAGACATGTTTGCTCAGTTGTGGAAGAACAAACCAGAAACTGATGTGATTGGTGGGTGAGCAAAAACAAGGTGGAAAGAACAGTGGAATAGAAATGATGTAAAATGGTTCAGTGGGAGAGGTGTTCTCTGAGAATACCGTTTGTTTTATACACCTCTGACTTTCAGAACCATGTTCCTGTTTTTCGTGCTCAAAAATAAAGTAACCCAAATCAGGCAGAATGTGTGTAGGGTGGAGAGAGTCCACAGAGCTCTGTTCTGCAGTCTCAGAGCCCGTGGGAGGGGAGGAACATACGTCTGCTGGCTGCTGTTTACTCTGTAGTGGGGAGAGGCCACAGGGCTCCCTCCCGTAGCATCCCAAGCTGAAGCTGGGGTGGAAGGTGGGGCAAAGGATGTGGTATTTCTTTGGTGTTGTTTGCCTTGAGTAGGGCAGGTAAGATCAGAAAGGTTCTGTCCCACGGGACTTCCTTTACTTGGTCCTCTGGCTGGAGAGAGTAGGCTCTTCTGGGGCTCTTAATGCCTTATTTATTGGCAGTTCTTTTTTCAGGCTGTTTGTATTGGTCTGTTTTCAGGCTACTAATAAAGACATATTGGAGACTGAGCAATTTACAAAAGAAAGAGGTTTAATGGACTTACAGTTCCACGTGACTGGGGAGGCCTCATAATCAATCATGGCAAAAGGCAAGGAGAAGCAAGTCACGTCTTACATGGATGGCAGCAGGCAAAAAGAGAGCTTGTGCAGAGAAACTCCCCCTTATATAACCATCAGATCTTGTGAGACTTATTCACTATCACGAGAACAGCACAGGAAAGACCTGCCCCTATGATTCAATTACCTCCCACTGAGTCCCTCCCACAACACATGGGAATTCAAGATGACATGTGGGTGGGGACAGAGCCAAACCATATTACCGTTCTAGCATCCAGACAGAAATAAATGGTAGGCAAAAAGACAAAAAAGTCAAGGAATTCACTGCTGGGTCATACTTGAGGCCTACAGGTCCTTACTCAGTAGACCCATATTTTCCCAACTTTTGATGTCTTCTGATAGTTGCTTTATGCATTTTAGTCCAGGGTTATTAGTTGTTGCTAGTGAGAGAGAGACGAAGAGATGGGATAAGGTGTGCTTACCACATATTAGCTAGAACCAGAAGTCCAAAATTCCTACACCTGTTCTTCCACAACATCAGGTAGAAACTTTACCCGTTTGGCTTTTATTTGATTCTGTCTGGCTCTTCTATGTCCTCTGAATTAACTTCTCTACTTCTGTTCTTTTCTTTCAATGGAGGCTGCAACGAGTGATATTTAAATTCTGCTATTCCCTTCTCCTATACGAAATGCAATTCTTCTCTAAAAAGACTTCTTTTCCCCAACTATTTGGTTTCCCTGAAATACAATACTTTTAGGAAATGCCAATGAATACTTGATTTGTTCCTTTTATTTACTAACTTGAAGAATAACAAGTTGTTGCCTTAATAACCTCCAACAATGACCAATGAGGCAGTTTTTTTGGAGTCATTCTTTTCTGTGTTCACATTGTTAAACTTCTGACTACTAGATATTTCTTCAAGATGGCTTCTTTATCCTTTTAACAGAGCCCTCAGCAGTCTTTGATACCTCCCTTGCTATATATATATATACATTGCATATTATATATATTTAGAGATGGGGTCTCACTCTGTCAGGCTAGAGTACAGTACAGTGGCGTGATCATAACTCACTGCAGCCTCAACATCCCGGGCTTAATGAGTTCTCCCTCTTCAGCCACCCAATTAGCTAGGATTACAGGCATACCATCATGCCTGGCTAATTTTTTTTTTCTGTTTTGTCAAGACAGGGTCTCAGTATGTTGCCCAGGCTGGTCTTGAACTCCTGGCCTCAAGTGATCCTCCTGCCTTAGCCTCCCAAAGCACTGGAATTACGGGTGTGAACCACCACACCCCATCTTTTGCTTTTTAATGCAATATGATGTTTGAAGCATACCTTGTACATTTCCTGCTCCCAAATTTTCGACTATATATTTTTCTCCCAAGGGGTCTTGATTAATTTTAGTATAAGGTGGTATTTAGAAAACACAATGTAGGCATTAAGAGGTGCTCATTACTATTGGGCTCTTAACAAAATCTATTTCTTTTCTCTAGAAACATACACATTGACAGACATAAATAAATCATGTTTTCATAGGAACCTTTTTAAGATTGTATTCTTTTTACTTATGCTGAAATTATTGGTTGCTAGTGACATTAATATAATTATGTATTTACTTTGTCATTATATACATGTTTCAAAATAACAAGACATTTATTTATTTAAGGGATGGCCTTCTGAATTTTTTTTTAATTTTGGTTTATAATTGCATAAAACATTTTTATGCTCCCAAAGTAAAAACTATTTTTAAAAAGACACATGCAGAGAACTCTAGTTTCCATCAATGTCCTCTTTTCTCCCTATCTTCCAATATGTAACCAGCATCCTTATGGGTTTTTGGTCTATGTGTATGTCTGTCCTCTTCCCCAAAACAAAAGTCAATAAACTCTATATAGTTTGTTATTCATGTAATTTTTTTCTCTGGACTATATATCCTGTAGAGTAGACCATGCCTATCTATGTATGATGATATATGAAGATAGGTATGATGATACATACCTATGTATGATGATATATGACCATACCTATCTATGTATGATGATACATCGTGCATGATACATGTATGATGATACATGAAGATATCACTCATTCTTTCTTATGGCTGCATCACGTTTATTCAGTTACTCCCTTGGTAATAAAGATTTGGATTGTCTTCAGCTTTTGCTCATGAATATTGCTGCAATGAATAGCTTTGTTCAAATGTAAATTTGCATTATTTCCAATAGACCTTTTGAGACACTGAAGTGAAATTTTACAGATTTGAAATTGCTGGGTCAAAGGTTAAGTGCGCTTTTACTAAATATTGACAAATTGCTCTCCATAGATTTTCTATAGTTTTATTCCCACTAGCAATAAAACAGGCATGTGAACATGCCTGTTTCTCACTTGTTCACCAACAGAGGATGTGTCAAACTTGTAGTATTTGGTCAATCTGACAAACGAGAAATGGTTTCACAATGTAGATTTATAATTTTAACCACCTTAAAGTGAGTGAGGTTGATCACATTTTCATGTTTAATGACTATTTGCACATCCTTTTCTGTAAAATGTATGTTCACATTTCTTGCTTATTTTTAAATGGCTGTTAATATTTTCTTCTCAAGTTTTAGAAAGCTTTAGTATGTACTAAGTGATATTAAAACATTTTCTGTGACATAAACCATAGCATTTTTCCCAGTTTTTCAATTGTTCATGGCATTCTTGAATGAAATAAAAGCAAATTGTACAGGTGTGTACAAATATGGTATTCTTTTATATAAGAACATTTGTATGTATAAGCATATTCTATTTATACGTAATATGTCATACAGTATATAACCCATACTGTATACTATGTATAATATAACATATGGTGCATTGTATATTCTGTACCTAGAAGGGTATATACAGAGTTGATATTAGTGATTACCCTGGTAACTGGGAAGGATAGTCATAGGGAACTTCCACTTTTTATCATGTTCGTTCTGTTTGGCTTAAATTTTTTCAATAACGAATATGTCCCTCTTTTCTGTTTTTTAAACAAACAAAAAAATGAGAGTTAACCGTTAGTTTCGAAGTTTTCTTAAAATACTTTTCCAATATCTAGGCTATTTATGTGATTTCAGGAGAGAACTCTGCAAGTGAACTCTCAGCTTCTATAGTCCAAAGTAAAGAGATGATGTAAGAATTTCAAAAGACTAGAGCTTTCTTCTTGACCTTGATTCAATTGCTTGAAGAAATAAGCATTATATTAATTGCTTTCCTGGCACATTTGACTTGTTCCTGTCTCTGCAGCACTTTGTTAGCACCATTTCTTTTCTGTGTATCAGCTCTGATAGTTGCCTTCAGCAGTGAGCTTGGAATAAATTTTAATACAAGAGACCCATTTCCTCCGTGCTAATTTGGTTTCATAAGCCACAGTGGGGACAAGTCATTGTTCTAGTGATTATACGAGGCTATGATGTGTTTTCTCAAATATGTAATTAAAATATTTCCCTTTTATCTCGGTAAACAAGCCAGGCTAACCAATTCAATCCAAAGAATCAGGAATCCTTACATATATTTGAGGAACGCTAACATTAGTATTCTAAGACTTCATTTAGTATCTCTCCATGGAGACATAATAAATGGGAATTACATCATACAATTTAATCTCTTAATGATTTAGAGAGAACTTTCAAGTATTTCAAAACTATAAGAGAATGATGAATATGCAACTTGAGCCATCATATCTAGACAAATGAATTGTCAATTCCTACAGCATTTATTTCAGAGGTTATCAACACTGCCTTCTGTATTTTCTGAGCTGCTTTGCAGAGTCAGAATTGTCTTCGACCACGATTAACAATAATGACCAGGTCTTGATCATATATCAGTTTGCACTACACCACTTTTGAAATCACAAAAACTCTGTGAGAGATTTCCCTAAGTTCTGCCACTTTGGCGGTGTTTGCTGCAATGATGGGAGTATAAAGACACATCAGCACTTCTAGTATTACCTTTATATTAGGATGCTTACATTAAATGGAAGCTCCCTAACCATAGCTGAGAAACTTTTGTTTCTGTAAGCATCCAACTTCCCCCTCACTAATTCACAAAGATCACCTGTGAGTCAGCATTCACTGCAGACAACTATGGGTTCCACACCTGTGTAAATTAAATTAACATCAGCTGCTTTAACTGAGGAACCCAAAATCTCAGTGGCTTAATACAACAGAAATTTATTTCTTGCTCATATATCAGTTCAATTTATGTGTTTGCAGGGGAGTTCCACAGGTTGTTCAGGCACAGACTCTTCCATCCCAACTTTCTGCAAACTAGATGTTGACATCCACGTAGCAGAGGGAAGAACAGAGATAGTGGAGAAGTCATCTCTGCCTTTTAGTCACATGGGCCCCAAAGTGACAAATGACATTTCTGCCCACACTTCATTGACGAGAATAGCTGTATGGCTTCACTTTCATGCAAGGGAAGTTAGTAAATGTAGTCCTTGGCTACTCAGCTGCTCCCAGGAATTGGAACAATGGAAGAAACTACACAAATCTGGTAGCCATGTCTACTACAGGATCACAGAGTCTCACTGCAGAGATCCATGCTTAGTATAACTCAGCTTCCTAGGGCCACATATCTGAGCTGGATGTGTGTACCCTGGAGAATTAAAGAAACAACTCTCTGAGGATGCATACAAACCATGAATCAAACCATGCAGCCCTGAGCTTTACCAGGAAATATGTGTAGTTGACAGAAACACAAAGCTTCCGGCTAGAACTCCAGTTTTGTGAATATGATGAACAAGATACTAGGATGGTTCTGCCTACTGCCCAAAGAATTCTCCACATGACTCATGCATAATGCCTGTGGCTCCGCCACTGTTCATTATTTCCTACAGCTTAGGACATGGTGCAAACACTCCTGGAAAAGAAAACAGGATAGGCACTTATCATCTCTTAAAGATTGGTATGAAACTCTGGCCTAAAGGCAAGGAGTACATGCAGTTGATGCTATTGGTGCTCTGCCCTGACCCCTTTACACTCAGATTGACCTACTGCCCAAGTTACTGACCCCCCAACTCCTTTGAGTGTTGGCTGCTCATGGCCCACAACTGTCCATTCTGCAGACAACTGTCCTCAGCCTAAAGGCATCAGCCTTTCCTGAGAGGTTAGGCAACCTTCACCCCAACCTGGGACAGCCCACAGCCAATCACTGACTGATAAGGGGCACAAAAAGCAAACTCCCATATCTCAAAAAAAGCTGACTCTGTGGTACAGATCATGTGCTCCAGAGCATTCACTGGGACCAGGATGACACTGGTCCCCTGCCAAGACCCCATCCATCAGCATTGCCCCATGTCCTATCCTGCTTCTTCACTCCCCTTCTCCCAAGAGCCCTCCTTCAGTATGTCACATGCATCTGAATCCCTGGCTGTGCTTCTACAAACCCTGACTTAAGATACAGGGGCTAGTTTTGAAGGAAGGAGAATAGAAAGGTACACTCATGGGAACGGGAGACATGACTGACTTACAGAGCTGCCAAACAGCCTGTGCTAACCAGAGGACTATAGAAAGGTACTGAAAGGGTGGACCTTGAAAGATGGTATAGAAGAGGACAAGAACAAAATGCTGCCTGCTTTTCTCTCCAGGGTTCGGCACACACTGATTCATAGGAAGAACCATGTTGTAACAAAAGACATCAACAGCCAAGAAGGTGCAGAGCTATAGATGCTGAGAGGCTTTGCAAATGCTTTCAGGGCAGCAAGGCAGTGATGCACAGTCCAAGCAAGACCAAGTGAATGTCTTTGTCTTTTCATACAAAGCCCAACACATTTTATTTCTATTGGATTTCGAGGCTTTCTCCCCAAACTCATAATTCTGTCTCCCAGGGAAATTGCTTAGTGGCCTTCACCTCCCTAACAAACTCTTTTTTGATGAATTGGCCCCTCTGGGAGCATAGTTACTGTAGAGAAAGTAGATTTGTTGACTTGCCATTCAAATCTGTACTTCTCATAATCCTGAATCTCTTTCATGCTCTCCTGCCCCCACTGTATCTCCAGAGAGAAAAGGACCAGCTAGAGGCCAGGTCCATGATGCAGAGGGATGATAACACACCTGTGGCTTATGACTTATCTATCTCTTTCCTTTGCCTTATTAAGAATATGTCATGAAGGCCAAGAAACAAGGGAAAGGGAAAATTTGAGAAAAACCTGAGTAAAGTGCAATATATAATTAGAGGGAAGGGATGCAGGAAAGGGGGTCTCTGAATTGGGCTCTTTCCCTCGAGAATTTGAGCAGGAGAATTGCTTCACAAAGAGAGCAATAAATGGTTACCCCAAAGGAAATTTTATTTGAAGTAGAATAACTGTAGAATAAGAAAAATAATTTAAGTGTGGTCATCCCAGGGATCCCTTCCTAGGTTTTTCCTCAGGGTTCCTTCTAAAATACTTGCATATATATTACTAACCTGGTTGTATCCAACTTAGAGGAAGGGAGGCAGGAGGTGTTCTAAAAATGTGACTAAATTCTCTTTTGCTACCTGAAAATCATGTGATTCAAATTAGTCAAGAGGAGGAGTTCTTTTACACTGCAAATAATCATTCCATTTTAATTTATATAGGTTTATGTTTCATCTGTTGTTTTGTTTTGTTGTCCAGGTGATGAACACTTGTACATACACTGCTTCCATGAGAAAATTGGAGCAGAGGTATTCTAACTTGGTTCATGTTGACTGGATTTTTTTTATTTCACCTCCCAGCCACACTATCTTTCTTCAGTTCAGATATCACTGAGTGTCTCTGGTACTTAAAAATCTTCCAGTGGCTCCCTAGTGCTCACAGACCAATGATCAGTAGCAGGAAGACAGTTCCCAAATCTTGTTTCCTCTCTAAATCCCTACTTCCCCAAGCCTTACTTATCTAATTCCCCAGACACTAAAGAGCACCAATGTCGAGCCCCTCCTTAAATGTCTCCTTTCCATACCTTCTAAACCTTTTCTAACCACTCCATTGCTTATACCCAGTGGTACTGTTATACCAGCTGACAGACAGCCTTGCGAAGACTTTCTCCTGCACACCAGCCTCTTCTAGACTGCAAGCGCCTTGAAGAGTAAATTGATTTTTGAAAACTTGCACCTATCACAGCATCTGGCATTAGCTAAGTGTACAATCAACTTTTGTAGACTTAATAAATTTCACATTAAGTTTGCAAAGTATCCTCCTGCTTCAGCATATCACCAGTAATACGGGATTAAATTTTATTTAATTAAAAGCAAAATTCAGAGGGCCAGTTTTTCTCCATGTAATTATTACACACTAGAGCCAGAATCAATACATGTTTGTGTCAAATTTTCACACCAAAAAAATGTAAAAACAACATTCTGGAATGATACATTGTTTGATGTTCAATATCTCCCTGGAAAAAACAGAAACAAAAACAAAAACAGAATAGACCTGTAGCACCAAAGCTGCAGTTCTTTAATTCCTAGCAAATCACTGCGTTTCCGTGACTTTGTCTTCATGGCAGTGTTTATCTCATTTAAATTTTATATCATAGTCTTAAAGGTCAATTCTCAAGTGGTTCAAGTTAGAAGAAAATTTGGGCTATTTTGTTGTTAATACCAGGAAACTCCAGGACTTGATATTAGTGTTTCTATCCTATTTTAGGTTCTGTCATGTTTTGTTGTAGGAATTTTGGGTGCATTTAGCTCTCTGGTTTTGGACTCAATAAATATTTATGAAGGATCTGCTGATATGGTTTAGCTGTGTGTCACCACCCAAATCTCATCTCAAATTATAATCCCCATATGTCGAAGGAGGGACCTGTAATCCCTATGCGTTGAGTGAGGGAGGTGACTGGATCATGGGGGAGGTTTCCCCCATGCTGTCCTCACAATAGTGAGTGAGTTCTCATGAGATCTGATGGTTTTATAAGTGTTTGGAATTCCTTCTTTGCTCTTCTCTCTCCTGTCACCTTGTGAGGAAGGTGCCTGCTTCCCCTTCTGCCATAATTGTAAGTTTCCTGAGGCCTCCCTAGCCATGCAGAACTGTGAGTCAATTAAGCCTCTTTCCTTTATAAATTACTCAGTCTCAGGGAAGTTCTTTATAGCAGCATGAAAACAGACTAAGACAATGACATTGTCTGCCTTTGTTGGCTCAATGTAATATATTCTGACAAAAACAGGGACCACGTAAAAAGAAAGCTGGATCATGTGTTAAACCTATTTTCAAGTACTAACATTCATTTCAATATACACCAGGAAATTTGGATGTTAGCAATGTTAAGCATTGCTTTTGAAGATTCTAGAGAGTCGCATATCGGTGGGCCAGCTGCCGAAGATTCATGATACTGATTCTAGCTTGGAGACTTTAAGCAGAAGCCTGTTATTATGTACCTTGGTGTCTGTGGAACCTAAACATGAATTTCCCACCACCTGTGACTGACCTCATATCGGGGTTTTCTAGAGCTTGTGGAAATATAAAAACCCACTTTGTACCATTATCATCAATAACTATGACTTTATGGAGACAAGCGCTCTAGGAATAAGATCAGAATGATGGCAGCTAAGATTTCCCCATCGCTGTACTGAGTGCTTCACAGACTTTATCCCATTTAATCTCCTTGGAAATCCTAGACAGTGGTACTTTTATATGCTGTTTCTTTTTCTTTATTTTTTTGACACAGGGTCTCACTCTGTCACCCAGACTGGAGTGCAATGATGCAATCACAGGTCACTGCAGCCTTGACCTGCTGAACTCAAGCAATCCTCCCATCTCAGCCTCCTGAGTAGCTGGGACTTTAGGCATGCGCCACCACACCCAGGTAATTTTTTTGTATGTTTTGTGAGTGGCCCAGGCTGGTCTCAAACTCCTAGGTTCAAGCAATCCATCTGCCCTGGCTGCCCAAAGTGTTGGAATTACAGGCATGAGCCACTGCCATTTTGAATCCATACCTTACCAATGAGAGAGCAAAGCCACAAAAATAAAAACTAGGAAATCTTACATTTTGGAAAGCTATGTATTTGAGGAAAGAAGAATGAGAGTAAGGAGGGAAACAAAGGCAGGCTTCCCAGTATTCCCTTTGACTGACTCTTGAAAGCTGCTGGTATTCACCTCACTCAATATGAGGTATACACAATCTACTATGGACATCCACCCAGAGGCTGCTGTGTTTCTGGGAGATGCTCAATGTTGGCTGCAAAAAATTCTGAACAGCAATCATGTTCTTGTTTGAGAATCTGCGAAAAGCAATGTGCTCCACTAAGCACTGACAATACAGTAGTAAATACGGTAGGCAAAGTCCCTATTCCCAAGTCACCTGCATTCCAAAGGGGTTAGGCCAGTAGTTGTTCAGATTGTCCAGGTTGTGTGGTCCTCTAGGTAATTCAATTTGGAGAAACTTCTTTCAAATAAGAACACCAGAAGTTATGAATATAAAATTAGGCACAAACGTGAATATTTAAAATAAAAAAATTTTCAACAAATAAATTTGAAACCCAACAAATACCATAAATACCAAACTGCAGAAAAATAACATAACATTTTAATTAATTACCTGCTTAACCCAGCAGTCAGCATGGTTCCTCTCACACATGAGGCACTAATAAATAAGTCTAAAGTGCTGATCGCTAAGATTACCTATGCACTACATTTTTATCCTATGGGTGCATTATAGGAGTCTCTTTCAAGGGCTTGTGATTATGATAAAGACCAGGAAACAAATACTGCCTACCTATATCCTGAAATATCTACAATGACTCATCCCAGACTCCTCTACTGAAGCAGTGACTTAAGCAAACAACTTAAGGCTAATTAAATTCCATTACCATTCATAATATTAAACTGAGTAAAAAGGTGACCAATAAAGAAGCCAACAGCACACCTATAATCCCAGCACTTTGGAGGCCAAGGCAAGAGAATTGTTGAGGCCAGGAGTTCAAGACCAGCCTAGGCAACATAATGAGACCCCTCCCCCCAGCAATATCTACAAAAAAAATTAAAAAATTAAAATTAGCCATACACAGTAGCATGTGCCTGTCAGCTTACTTGGGAGGCTGATGTGGGAGGATCGCTTGAACTTGGAGAGGTCGAGGCTGCAGTGAGCCATGATTGGGCCACTGAGCTCCAGCCTGAGTGAAAAAGCAAGACCACAAAAAAAAAAAAAAAAAAAGAATGGCTTGCAAACTGTAAATTACAGCTCTTACCCATGAATGGTGCCTTTGTGAAATATGGCATCGCTTTTCCACAGGTAAATCATCATGTTACCTCCAGAATTCTACTCCTCCATGCAGCTTCTCTGTGCATAAAATCCTTGGATAGAAGAAATGTCTGCTGGCCTAGAACTGATTTTAACACTGAAAATATTAAGGCCACATAACACAAGGCTGGGCAGGTGCATATCTCACCCAAAGCATCTGCTTTTCTGTAAGTAGCCAACCCATGTTATCAAGGGCCCATACAATCTTTACAGACCACTTTCAGGTAAAAGCATATTGTTTTCAAAGGCTACTTAGAACTGAAACTACTTGGTTCTATTCCAAGGTACAACCTCAGCCAAGTGATTTGCTTAATGGGAATTGCCAAACATAAAAAGATCAAATAACAAATTTCATTAAGTTCAAGAATCTATGACTCCTACAACTCAGTAGTTAAAGAAATAACAAATAATTCAATTTAAAAATGGGTTAAGAAGTTGAATGGACATTTCTCCAAAGAAAACGTACATATGATTAATGGGTAAACATATATATTTTTAAATGGTCAATGTCACTAATCATCAGGGAAACACAAATTGAAATCACAATAAGATATTACATCATACCTGTCAGGATGCCTATTATCAATGGAACCAAAACAACAAGTGTTGATATGGATATAGAGAAACTAAAACCTTTGTACACTGTTAGTGTGGGTGCAAAATGATGCAGCCACTGTATTAAACAGTGTAGAGATTCCTCAAAAAATTGAAACTAGAACTACCATAGGATACAGCAATCACACTTCTGATATTTCTCCAAAGGAATGTAAATCAGGATCTTAAAGAGATATTAGCACTCCCATGTTCACTGTGATACTGTTCACAATAGACAAGATGTGAAGCCAACCTATTGACAGATGAATAAAGAAAATGTGGTATATGCAAACAATGGAATATTATTCAGCCTTTAGAAAGAAGGAAATCCTGCAACATATGACAATATGGATGAACCTGGAGGGCGTGAAACTAACTAAATAAACCAGTCACAGAAAAACAAATACTGTATGACTCCATTTATATGAGCAAATCAAAACTACAATGAGATATCATCTCACCCATTTTGGATAAAATCGCTTTTATCCAAAAGACAGGCAATCATGAATGCTGCCAAGGATGTGGAGAAAATGGCACCCTGTTGGTGGGAATGTAACTTAATACAACCACTGTGAAAAACTGTATGGAGGTCCTCAAAAGACTAAAAATAGAATTCCCATATGATCCAGCAATCCCACTGCTAGGGATATTCCCAAAAGAGAGGAAATCAGCATACTGAGGAGATATCTGCACTCCCATAATTTCATTGCAGCACTATTTACAATAGCCAAGATTTGGAAGCAATCTAGGTGTCCATCAACAGATGAAGGGATAAAGAAAATGTGTTATGTATACACAATGGAGAACTATTCAGCCACAGAAAAGAATGAGAGCCTGTCATTTACCAGTGTGGATGAAACTGGAGATCATTACGTTAAGTGAAATAAGTCAGACACAGAAAGACAACCTTCACAGGTTCTCATCCAATTGTGGGACTTAAAAACTAAAAGAATTGAACTCATGGAGATAGAGAATAGAAGGATGGTTACCAGAGGCTAGGAAGGGTAGTTGGGGCTGAGGTGCAGTGGGAATGGTTAATGAGTACAAAAATATAGTTAGATAGAATACGTAAGATCTAGTATTTGGTAGCACAACAGGGTGACTACAGTCAACAATAATTCAGGACACAGTTTAAAATAACTAAAAGAGTATAATTGGATTGTGTGTAACACAAGGGAAGGATGAATGCTTGAGGCGATAGGTACCTCATTTACCTGGAGTGCATTTTACTCATTGTATGACTGTATCAAAATATTTATTGTACCCCATAAATATATGCACTTACTATGGACCCATAAAATTATTTTTAAAATAAAGAAAAGAAACTTAGAAACTTTAAACATAGAATCAATATCTAAGTTACCTCCCCAAGTTATAATACCTGACTAAAAGAACAGAGGAAATAGAGGAGAAGAAAGTATCAAATGAATTATAAAATTAAGTTTTCCAGTTGAAACAGCACAGCAAATTCCAGCCAAATAAAAGAAAAAGGACTCACCAAGACTCATTCCTATAAGGTCCATAAAACCAAGGATAAAGAAAAGATCCTACAAGGTTCTGAGGGTTAGAGAGGTGGGAGAATAGTTGCAGGAAAAAAAAAAAAATGAAATCAGAATGAAACCTGGAACAGGAGACCTAAAAATTCTAAACAAAGATGACATCCAGCACAAAAGTTTAACTCCTAAATTAATACTGAGATACTAGAAAACACATTTTTAATATGTGAGATCTCAAAAAAGTACCTCCCACATTTTTATCTTCTATAATAAAAAGACAATAGATAATGACTAAAGTGGATAAATCAAGAAACAGCAAGCATATGCAATTTCTTTAGAAATACAGAAATAAATACCAGGGTGAATAAAGCACTACTAATTTGGAAATAGTTGGCTTTTTGGAGTGGAACTGAGGGGTGAGAAAGGGTGAAACAGGAGATAACTGTTTATTATTAAATCCCCTCCAGTACTACTTGACTTGTGAATCTTTGTACTTGTATTATATCAACAAATTTTTTAATTTGAGAAAGAGAACGACAGATATACTTGCTGTATTAGTAATCACCCAAAATGTGCTTTCCTAACAAAGTCAATTCTGACAAACTGCTGATGAAATTAAGTTTTTAATACTGGACTAAAACCACCCAGACACGTTTCACACACAGAACATGACCTGTCCGGCCTGCCTAAGTTCCCGGGTATTTGTACTACAGAAATAAGTCTCTGCTGAGAACTGAGGCAGGGGCCACTCTAAATAAGGCCTCCAGACCAATGTCATTCCAGATTCTGATACAGAGGAGCCTCTGTTATCTTTTTTTGATCCATGGTGACAAGGCTCTGCCCAGCACAGCATGATGGCAAAAATGTCAACTATGTCCCCTGAAATCATGAATGGAAATTCGGCCTCACTGACGACTCCAGAGAATCCTCCTCTATCCAGTGAAATGGACAACAGTTCTGTAACTCCTGAAAATTCTAATGTGGATATTACCCATATTTCTGCACCCAACACAGCTACAATCTCAAAAGAGAACTACTTGCCCATTGTTCACACAGCTCATGGGTTAACAAGAGGTAAGAAGGCATCGGTCGCTACGTTTCGGAAAGAACAGCTTCACTTCATCTGAGTCTCTGTGTTTCTGCACCAGGTGAGGAGGTGGAGGGATGTGAGGAGGGGTACTTGAGTGCTTCAGCATCTATTAATGGCTTTTGTTGAAGATCTGTTGCTTGTTTACTGTCACCCCAATAGCCACCCAAGGAGAAGGTGACAATTTCTAAGACCCTAGTGGGCCAGAATATGCTCTTTCCTTTGATTCTAAGAATCGTCTGAGAAAATGTATAGCTTTCGTGGATATTAAAAATAGAGACCGTTTTGTCAGGAGCTCTCCTGGGAGATGAGCTTTGCCCCACCCTCCCATCTCTTTTGAGAGGGAGAGAGGGAGGAGGTCCTGCTGCTCTGATTGCTGGCTGTGATAATAAGAGAGAAAACGGTCGCACTACCTGCCTGCCCTTGTAGAAAAGCTGCTGTGGATATGCAGAAAGAAACCCTTTCATCAGAATACAGTTGAAGGGTTTTAATATGCTTTTCACTCTAAATTTATTTCTCTTTCAAAATGGTTGTAATCAAATCAAAATTATTATTTTATGAATTCATTTCAAATTAAGATGGTTTTAAAGAAAGATATCATTGATCAAACTCCTACCAAGAGTGAAACATTTTAACATCATTGTTGCTCTGATTCTGCACAAACACGGCATATTTAGAAATGAAGAAATGGACAATGGGAAAAGGATCATTAGTCCACTAAGTCTCTCTAGATAGCACCATCTGAGGATAACTGGGGCAATGGAACTCTACCACTCTAAATAAGGTCCCTAGGTCAATGTCATTCTAGATTCCAGTAAATGGTACAAGCTTGCCTGTGAGATACTCAGAATACAAGTTTATTTTTGTTTCTTCTGTTCCTTGAAATGTACTCAGCTGGATAAAAAGTCAGGCAAACTCAAGACTTTTTTGATCACTATGAGAAAATTAAAGCCTTATGGCCAGTTCATAGTCACAATTTAGAAATTACATCTGATTGCTTCCTCCAGCAAGAAGCACAGAAGGAAATCCTCAGCCTTCTGTTTCCAAGTTGCTATGTCACCTTCTCCTTGACCTACCCTCCCACATCATGGCTGCCTCTAGGTTTCTTCTGGATCAGATATAGAGAAGGAGGAGGCAGAAAGGCACAGAGACTTCCTACCTGCTGTCCTGTGCTGACTACCTATGAAACTGGCTTATGAAAAAGCCAAATCCATCTCTAGTGGGCACCTTCATGAACTCTCTGGCAACAACTCCCAAGGCCAGGAGACGCAGTTTTCCTCTAGGTGTCCCTTGGCCCTCCACCCTGGGTTTCTCATGGTCCATTCCATAGAAACAACCTCTCCACTGGACCTCCAAGGAGGTCCTCTCAGGAAAAATGTAAAATGACTGCAGATCAGCTCTTTCACATGTGGCCCACAGGAAAGACCCGGGAAGGACCCACAACAGCCCTTCTTTGCTACTGTAGCCCTCAGAACACTTTAGCAGCCACCCTGTGGACTGAGAGATTTCTAAAAGATACTGTGCTCCATCGTCAGAACTTCATACTATTTAAGAAGTCCTGTTAAAGCTCAAAGCTATCTCATTAGTAGCTCAGGGAGGAATATGAGACTCACAGAACTCCATAAGCTCTCAAAAAACATCCCACCTTCTTTCAAGTCTTCTCTCTACATTCTTTTTGAATCTTTTAATATCCTCCCTACATGTGATGAACTTGGGAATTTGTGAAATTGATTCCCACGTACTTCCTTTAAAAATCAGCATCTCCATCTGAAAACTTTCTTGTATCTTGATGACTCACTCAATAGTTACAATGAACCTTCTGATACACCGGTAAAGACCAAAACCAAGATTCAAATCCAGGCCTGCTAACTTCAAACCCATCCTCTTTGCTGCAAGACCATACTGATCCCAGGAACGCTACTGCCACTGACAGAACCACAATGACTCCCTGTAACTGGCACAAGATTTACCAGTACAGCCTCTATAGAGATGAGCAACCATTCAAGCTATTTTAGATACAAAGGTCAAAATAAAGTTGACATTTTAAGAAATATGCATTGTTTGTAGACATAGAGATTGATAATCTGTAGGGAAGCCTCTCAAAACGGTAAGACATCAAGACAGCAAACATTCTCAGTAGTGAATATACAAAACACAGCTCATCTAATACAATTGGCTCACCAGTGGGACCTCAGCAATTCTGCTGTGTCACTCCATGAATTATCAGAATTGGAATATCCATGAGAGATCCTCTGTCTGGCACCCTCACCTTCTAATTAGGCAACCAAGGCCCAGAGAAGTGAATGACTAGTCCAACTAGCTAAGGGGGGAACAAGAACAAGGAGTCAGGACTCAGGATACCTTTTTTTTTTTTTTGAGATGGAGTCTCACTCTGTCACCCAGGCTGGAGTGCAGTGGCATGATTCCGGCTCACTGCAACCTCCACTTCCCAGATTCAAGCGATTCTCCTGCCTCAGCCTCCCAAGTAGCTGGGACTACAGGTATGCCACCATGCCCAGCTAATTTTTGTATTTTTAGTAGAGACAGTGTTTTGCCATGTTGGTCAGGCTGGTCTTGAACTCCTGGCCTCAAGTGATCTGCCCACCTCGGCCTCCCAAAGTGGTGGGATTACAGGTGTGAGCCTCTGCGCACAGGCCACTCAGGATACTTATGCCATGTCTTCATCCTTTCACTTGATATTTGGAGTGGTTTCCCAAAAATTTAAAGGAAGAAAAAGCATTAAGAGATAGAAGACATATTTTGAGAAATTACATTCTCAGTGATGAGGCTCAATGAAGTCATAAAATGGCACCTAGATTTCATTTAGTTTTGCCTTATTAACACTGTACCACTTTCTTAAGACTAGGGTACAAAACAAGACCAGAGGTAATGCTTGTTAGATTTTATTCATATGTCATCTCTCCATTTTTATGCAAAAGCATAGCAAACTATGTATTTTGCTGTAAAGATAATTTCCCTAAAGGTACTGAAAAATGAAGCTAAATGAGTCAAAGTATCATTTATGCTCAGCATGACACACCAATATTGCACCTCGCTTATTTAAAAAGTAAAACTCTGTTGCAGATTTTATATTTTGAGCCTCATTTACATATTTGTTTCCAATCGTTGGAATATTTGCCTTATTATCATTGACATTTTCTTATTAGACAACTTATTCTGATAGCTAGACTAAAACATACAGATGGGGTTGGGCACAGTGGCTCATACCTATAATCCCAGCACTATGGGAGGCCAAAGCAAGAGGATCACTTGAGCCCTGGGCAACATAGGGAAACCTCACCTGTATGGAAAGAAAAAAAACAAAACTTAGCTGGACGTGTGATATGCACCTGTGGTCCTAGCTACATGGGAGGCTGAAGTGGGAAGATCGCCTGAACCTGGGAGATCAAGGTTGCAGTGAGCTGTGATCATGCCACTTCACTCCAGCCTAGATGACAGAGGAGACCTTGTCTCAGAAAAAATAAAAAATAAAAAAATTAATAAAACCTATCAGTGGGTCAAAATATGTTTCGAATGATTATTTATAAACAGGTGTCATTTCTAATGAATATGCTGAAATACTTAATATCTTGCTGCCAAACTACTTCAAACTCATTTGATATCTTTATTTCCATAATTGTTAAAGAAGCCACACATAGAAAAATAACTCAAGAAGTATAGTTGAAGATGGCCGAATAGAAACAGCTCCAGTCTGCAGCTCCCAGTGAGACCAATGCAGAAGGCTGGTGATTTCTGCACTTCCAACTGAGGTACCCAGTTCATCTCATCGGGACTGGTTAGGCAGGGCATCTCCGAAGGAAATGCAGCAAACCCAGTCAGGGGCTTACAGATGAAACTCTCTTCTCCCTCAGACTGAGCACCTAGGCGGAGGGACGGCTATGGGCAAAGCTTCAGCGGACTTAATCTTTCCTGCCTGCTGGCTGTGGAGACAGCAGCTGATCCTGACAAGGGGTATTCTTCCAGCACAGCACAGCAGCTCTGCTAAGAGACAGGTTGCCTCCTCAAGTGGGTCCCTGACACCCGTGCCTCCTGACTGGGAGAAACCTCCAAACAGGGGTCGACAGACACCTCATGCAGGAAAGCTCAGGCTGGCATTAGGCCAGTGCCCCTGTGGGACAAAGCTTCCAGAGGAAGGAGCAGGCAGCAATCTTTGCTGTTTTGCAGCCTCCACTGCTGATACCCAGGTAAACAGGATCTGGGATGGACCTCCAGGAAACTACAGCAGATCTGCAGAAGAAAGCCCTGACTACTAGAAGAAAAACTAACAAACAGAAAGCAACAACAACAACATCAACAAAAACTCAAAACCCAAATCCACACAAAAACTCAATCCAAAGGTCGCCATTCTCAAAGATCAAAAGTAGATAAATCCACGAAAGTGAGGAAAAAACAGCACAAAAACCCTGAAAATTCCAAAACCCAGAATGCCTCTTCTCCTCCAAATGATTGCAACTCCTCTCCAGCAAGGGCACAAAACTGGATGGAGAATGAGATTGACAAATTGACAGAAGTAGGCTTCAGAAGGTGGGTAATAACAAACTCCTCTAAGCTAAATAAGCATGTTCTATTCCAATATAAGGAAGTTAAGAACCTTGATAAAAGGTTACAGGAACAGCTAACTAGAATAACCAGTTTAGAGGGGAAAATAAATGACCTGTTGGAGCTGAAAAACATAGCATGAGAACTTCATGAAGCATACACAAGTACCAATAGCCAAATAAATCAAGCAGAAGAAAGGATATCAGAGATTGAAGATTACCTTGCTAAAATAAGGCGTGAAGACAAGATTAGAGAAAAAAGAATGAAAAGGACTGAACAAAGCCTCCAAGAAATATGGGAATATGTGAACAGACCAAACTTATGATTAATTGATGTACCTGAAAGTGATGGGGAGAATGGAACCAAGTTGGAAAACACACTTCAGGATATTATCCAGGAGAACTTCCCCAACCTAGCAAGACAGGCCAGCATTCAAATTCAGGAAATACAGAGAATACCACTAAGATACTCCTCGAGAAGATCAACCCCAAGACACATTATCGTCAGATTCTCCAAGGTTCAAACAAAGGAAAAAGTGTTAAGGGCAGCCAGAGAGAAAGGTCAGATCACCTACAAAGGGAAGCTCATCAGACTAACAGTGAATCTCTCTGCAGAAACCCTCCAAGCCAGAAGAGAGTGAGGGCCAATATTAAACATTTTTAAATAAAAGAATTTTCAACCCAGAATTTCATATGCAGCCAAACTAAGCTTCATAAGTGAAGAAGGAATAAAATCCTTTCCAGACAAGCAAATCTTGAGGGATTTTGTCTACACCAGGCCTGCCTTATAAGAGCTCCTGAAGGAAGCACTAAATATGGGAAAAAAAACAGTACCAGCCACTGCAAAAACACACCAAAATATAAAGACCAATGACACTGTGAAGAAACTGCATCAACTAATGTGCAAAATAACCAGCTAGCATCATGATGACAGGATCATATTCACACATAACAATATTAACCTTAAACATAAATGGGATAAATTCCCCCAGTTAAAAGACACAGACTGGCAAATTGGATAAGGAGTCAAGACTCATCAGTGTGTTGTATTCAGGATACCCATCTCACATGCAAAGACACATATAGGCTCAAAATAAAGGGATGAAGGACTGTTTACCAAACAAATAGAAAGCAAAAAAAGAGAAGGGGTTGCAATCCTAGTCTCTGATAAAACAGATTTTAAACCAAAAAAGATCAAAAAAGACAAAGAGGGCATTACATAATGGTAAAGGGATCAATGCAACAAGAAGAGCTAACTGTCTTAAATATATAAGCACCCAATACAGGAGAACACAGATTCATGTAGAGACATACAAAGAGACTTATACTCCCAAACAATCATAGTGGGAGATGTTAACACACCACTGTCAATATTAGATCAACAAGACAGAAAATTAAAAAGGATATTCAGGATTTGAACTCAACTCTGGATCAAGTGGACCTAGTAGGCAACTACTGAACTCTCCACCCCAAGTCAACAGAACATACATACTTCTCAGCACACCATCACACTGATTCTAAAATTGACCACATAATTGGAAGTAAAACACTCCTCAGCAAATGCAAAAGAACAGAAATCATAACCAACAGCCTCTCAGACCATAGTGCAATCAAATTAGAGCTCAGGATTAAGAAACTCACTCAAAATCATACAACTACATGGAAATTAAACAACACACTCCTGAAGGACTCCTGGGTAGATAATAAAATTAAGGTAGAAATAAAGAAGTTCTTTGAAACCAATGAGAACAAAGAGACAATGTACCAGAATCTCTGGGACACAGCTAAAGTAGTGTTAAGAGGGAAATTTATAGCACTAAATGGCCACATCAGAAAGCTGGAAAGATGTGAAATTGACACCCTAATATCACAATTAAAAGAACCAGAGAAGCAAGAGCAAACAAATTCAAAAGCTAGCAGAATACAAGAAATAACTAAGATCAGAGAACTGAAGGAGATAGTGGCACAAAAAACCCTTCAAAAAGTCAATGAATCCAGGAGCTGTTTTTTTTTTTGAAAAAATTAACAAAACAGATAGATTGCTAGCTAAACTAATAAAAAAGAAAAGAGAGAAGAATCAAATAGACACAATAAAAAATGATAAAGGGGATATCACCACTGATCCCACAGAAATACAAACTACCATCAGAGAATACTATAAACACCTCTATGCAAATAAACGAGAAAATCTAGACAAAATGGATAAATTCCTGGATACATACAACCTCCCAGGAAGAATTAAAATTGCTGAATAGACCAATAACAAGTTCTGAAAGGCAGTAATTAATAGCCTACCAACCAAGAAAAGCCCAGGACCAGATGGATTCACAGCTGAATTCTACCAGAGGTGCAAAGAGAAACTGATATAACTCCATCTGAACATATTCTAAACAATAGAAAAAGAGAGTCTCCTCCCTAACTCATTTTATGAGGCCAGCATCATCCTGATACCAAAACCTGGCAGAGACACAATAAAAAAAGAAAATTTCAGGCCAATATCCCTGATGAAAATTGATGTGAAAATCCTAAATAAAATACTGGTAAATCAAATCCAGCAGCACATCAAAGAGCTTATCCACCATGATCAAGTCGGCTTCATCCCTGGAATGCAAGGCTGGTTCAACATATGCAAATCAGTAAATGTAATCCATCATATTAACAGAACCAATGACAAAAACCACGATTGTCTCAACAGATGCAGAAAAGGCCTTCAATAAAATTCAACATCACTTCATGTTAAAAACTCTCAATAAACTAGGTATTGATGGAACATATCTCAAAATAATAAGAGGTATTTATGGCAAACCCATAGCCAATATCATACTGAATGAGCAAAAGCTGGAAGCATTCTCTTTGAAAACTGGCAAAAGACAAGGATGCCCTCTCTCACCACTCCTATTCAACATAGTATTGGAAGTTCTGGCCAGGGCAATCAGGCAAGAGAAAGAAATAAAGGATAATCAAATAGAAAGAAAGGAAGTCAAATTGTCTCTGTTTGCAAATGACATGATTGTATATTTAGAAAACCTCATCATCTCAGCCCCAAAACTCCTTAAGCTGATAAGCAACTTCAGCAAAGTCTCAGGATACAAAATCAATGTGCAAAAATCACAGGCATTCCTATACACCAATAATAGACAAGCAGAGAACCAAATCATGAGTGGACTCCTATTCACAATTGCTACAAAGAAAATATATTATCTAGGAATACAACTTACAAGGGATGTGAAAAACTTCTTCAAGGAAAACTACAAACCACTGCTTAAGGAAATAAGAGAGGACACATACAAATGGAAAACAATTCCATGCTCACTGATAGGAAGAATCAATATCATGAAAATGACCATACTGCCCAAAGTAATTTATTGATTCAAGGGTATTCCCATAAAGACACCATTGACTTTCTTTGCAGAATTTGAAAGAAGTACTTTAAATTTCATATGGAACCAGAAAAGAGCATGTATAGCCAAGACAATCCTAAGCAAAAAGAACAAAGCTGGAGGCATCATGCTACCTGACTTCACACTAGGCTACAGTAACCAAAACAGCATGGTACTGGTTCCAAAACAGATATATAGACCAATGGAACAGAACAAAACCTGACAAAAATGAGAAATAGGGAAAGGATTCCCTATTTAATAAATGGTGCTTGGAAAACTGGCTAGCCTTATGCAGAAAAAAGAAACTACACCCCTTCCTTACACCTTATACAAAAATTAACTCATGATGGATTAAAGACTTAAATGTAAAACCCAAAACCATAAAAACTCTAGAAGAAAACCTAGGCAATACCATTCAGGACATAGTCATGGGCAAAGACTTCATGACTAAAACACCAGAAGCAATTGCAACAAACGCCAAAATTGACAAATGTGACCTAATTAAACTAAAGAGCTTCTGCACAGCAAAAGAAACTATCATCAGGATGAATAGGCAAGCTACAGAATGGGAGAAAATTTTTGCAATCTATCCATCTGACAAAGGTCTAATATCCAGAATCTAAAAAGAACTTAAATTTACAAGAAAAAAACAAACAACCCCATCAAAAAGTGGGTGAACAATATGAACAGACACTTCTCAAAAGGCGACATTTATGTGGCCAACAAACATATGAAAAAAAGCTCATCATCATTGGTCATTAGAGAAATGCAAATCAAAACCACGATGAGATACCATCTCACACCAGTCAGAATTCTGATTATTAAAAAGTCAGGAAACAACAGATGCTGGTGAGGCTGTGAAGAAATAGGAACGCTTTTACACTGTTGGTGGGTGTGTAAATTAGTTCAACCATTGTGGAAGACAGTGTGGCAGTTCCTGAAGGATCTATAACCAGAAATACCATTTGACCCAGCAATCCCATTACTGGGTATATACCCAAAGGATTATAAATCATTCTACTATAAAGACATGTGCACACATATGTTTATTGCAGCACTATTTACAATAGCAAAGACTTGGAACCAACCCAAATGCCCATCAATGATAGACTGAATAAAGAAAACGTGGCCATATACACCATGGAATAGTATGCATTCATAAAAAAGAATGAGTTCGTGTCCTTTGCAGAGACATGGATGAAGCTGGAAATCATCATTCTCAGCAAACTAACAGAGGAATGAAAAAACAAACTGCATGTTCCCACTCATAAGTGTGAGTTGAACAATGAGAACACATGGACACAGTGAGAAGAACATCACACACTGGGGCCTGTCGGGGGGCGGAGGGCAAGGGGAGGGAGAGCATTAGGACAAATACCTAATGCATCCAATGCTTAAAACCTAGATGATGGGTTGATGGGTGTGCCAAACCACCATGGCACATGTATACCTATGTAATAAACCTGCATGTTCTGCACATGTATACCAGAACTTAAAGTAAATTTTTAAAAAAGTATTAAAAAAAAGAAACCACACATAAAAATGGTCATGGTATTGATAATTATGTAAGATATACATATGTATCACCATCTTATAAATGAGAATAAGAAAGTAACAAAACTAGGGAAGATTTTTTTCCATGAAAGAGATAATGGTCCAGTGCTGGATGCACCCCCTCTGCTTAGCAGGTGTGTGATAACTCTTCTAAGACAAATGACTGATGATGATTGATTATATAAATTAGATTAGGACGCCACTTATTTAACCCAGTAACACTGTTTTACAGATGTGGAAGACAGGATCTGAAGGTATTAAAGAACTTGGTCTAAGGACACACAGTTAGAGCCAACAGTAGTCTTTTTCCTTTAACTTCCACCCTTTATGATTTGGTCCCTGCACACCTTTTATGTTTATTCTAATGTTTCCCACTTCTACCCATTATCCTGTTGTTGTCCACCACATCTCCAGATAAATCAGACTTCTACTTTTTGGAGCCCTGTGATTTCCATACCCATGTCTTCCTAACTGTAGCAGATACCTTCACCTAGAAAACATCTGCCCTCACTTTTCCTTTTGGAAACCTAACCCTGAAGCTGATCAGATCCCAACATCTATGGCTGGTTGGCTGTGGTGCTCAGCTCCTTGCTCTGGTCTCTGTTCGCATTTACCATGGAGGCATTGTCCATGTTTGTGTTTTACCTCCCCCACCAACCTGAGAACAGTTTTTAGGTTAATTCTGGACCTTGTTCTACTCATCTTTGTATTTCAGGCAATTAATGTCAACAGACAATTTACAAAAAACAAATAATAATAACAATGACTAAATACCTCTAAATGCTTATTGACTAGATAAGCACTCTGCTAGTAGAAATCACTCTTCCTATTTGATGATAAAGCTTTCCATGAAATGCAGTTTATGGTCCAAAGCACCTTCCTTTGGCTCCCTGAGTGCCCTTTGGTGCCTCTGTATTACTTTTTTATCCTCCTCCCACCTCTCCTGTCCCAAAGCCCTCTTGGTATTTTTCTTAAACCCCTTTGTCTTCCCTCCCTGTTTTAACTTTTTTTCTTAGCCTCTTCACTTCTCTGTCCTTGTGCTACACAACCACTTAGCAGCACTTAACATTGCTGACCACTCTTTCTTTCTTAGAAACTCTTTGTATTCCTTAGCAATACCAACAGAACAAAATTCTAGGAATTCATCTTAGAGTCTTCTTTTCCCCTTTGTGTTGCACATCCCATCTATCAGGAAGTTTGATCAACTCCAAAAATATATATATCTCATTTTGTCATATCCTATCTATTCTAGCCTAGTCTAGACTAGCTTAGCCAAGACTATTCTCCATACCTGATCCCTTCTTGCCATTTCCACTTCTACCTCTCTGGTGCGATTCTAGTTTATTTCATAGGAGTAACAGGTGGCCTCCATATGGGTTTCCTTCTTTCCCCGAGCGCACCTTAGATTCCATTTTGTACACAGCAAACAGAATTTAATTTTAAAATGGAGATCAGATCACATCATGCCCCTGCTTAACTTCCCCCATTCGGATTTCTGCCTGGCCTCTTCACCCCAGGCCAGGGGTGCTGGTAATATAAACATCAGAAGGGTCTCAAAATCTGACTAACAGAGGAGATCCTATTTCCAAGGACAGCTTGGGACTTGTCAAGACCCATAATCTTGGGGATATCTTGGTGCTAGAACAATAGCCTAGACATGGTTATGTGGCACTGGGACAGAAGGACCTTAGAAGCTTGAATCAAATTATCAAAGAGACATGGAAGCAGTCTAATATTTTTCTTGCATGAAAGAGGGACCTGTGAGCCGGTGGGAGAGTCTTCAGTCAGGAGGAACAGCAGTGACTGATAAGGGCCAATGACAAGAAGGATATTTTAGTGCTTGCCCGTGTGGGTGGATGATGAAGACCAAGAGCCATGACCTCACACTGCACACACTCATGTTTAGCACTGTACAAGTGCTAGATAACACAGACGCAACTCTATGGATTTGGGGAAGTGAGCAAGGCCCAGAATCAGCTTCAATTTAGTTTCTACTGTTGGATACAGTGGGGATTTAACATAGAAATAAGATTTTAGGGCATTACAGGGAAGTTCTGCAATCCTTCATGTTATTTTCAGAACATTATTTTCTACTGCTTTGGATTTTTTTCCATTTCTAATCATTTTTTATTCTTTTTCTGTAAGATGTATATTAAAAACACCATAATTTTTAAAGCCACAAGAAGGGATAAACATACAGTATAAGAAACTATTGATTGACAACATTTCATTTTCCTCAAATTTTCACAATTTAAAAAGTTATACTACTTTTCCAATATTGTGTTTGGTATGCATGGTGCTTTGGTATGCTGAGTGCTTTGAATAAGAGGAAACTGAAAGGCCTCAGAAATAAACCTCGGGACCAAGCTCCCTCTCTGAGCTTCTCCACTCCCTGTCTCTCTTGTCCCCTTTCTTTCCAGAAGTACCAGGAGGGGCTTTCTCTGAAGTTCCCTTATCTGATTAAAGGAAGTTCTTGCAGAAGAATTGCAGTTGTCTTAAAACCCCTCCCTAGGAATCTCATTAAATAACTCACCAGGAATGGTTGATGGAAAGAGACTAAAAGTCGTCACCTCACCCAGATAGACTTTTCATATATTCTTCTCAGGGAAACTCTGGGAGATTGCCAGGGAGACTTTCGGGAGACTTTATCTGCATAATAAGACAAACTTTGTTTACAGTGAAGTTCCACCCCTCACCTTCCCACCACATCTCTTGGAGCTCCAAGGAGCTTTGTTCCAGGCCATTGTTCTTCAGGCTTATTCATTTCATCTGAGAGTCATGTACTACCCCTCACAATTGCCCACATTTCCCCAATCTCCCTTCCCCTCTCTCCTATGAAGAGGATATATAAGCTTCAACCATCTGACTTTTCTTTGAGTCTCATAATGTTACATGGCTACTGTGCTTATACACATTAATAAATTTATATACCTTTTTCTCCTATTAATCTGTCTATTGTCATTCATTTCAGCAAAACTTAAGAGGGAACATAAGAGAAGTTTTCCTTCTGCCCCTACAGTAAATGTAACAGGAATAATTGACAAAAAAATTTTTAATTAAACTTTCCAACTGCTTTTATTTCATATTTTAAAATATTACTTTCTCTCATTAAAAAATGTGATCTCATTACAGAATATGAAGATCAACAACAACAAAAAAGAACACTTATAACCGCAGCCACTCAGAGGCATTTAACAGTGTCTTAAAATCCTAAGGTTTCTACCAAAAATATATATATTTTTACCAGATCACCTGGATCTCTAGCCATTTGTGTTTAATAATGTCAGCAACAATTTGGTCAATTACATGGACATATTATTTTCTGACTTCCTCAATTTATAATTTCATGTCATTTCTGGAAGCACTCACAAGTTCTGATATCTATCCAGAGAGCCTGTTTTCCTAGGATGCACAGCCGCCAGTGGAGCTAACCAGTGCTAGGCTGGCAGGCACGAGTTCATGAACCACACTCTATCTAGGGTTGCTACTATAGTTGCTTTACCTCTAGCAAGTTTTAAACTTTCACTTTACTAGTTATCTGTGCTCTTTATGCAGTTAAAGGTGGTTTCTAATAGCAAAGACTCTTTGGGAGACAAAAAAAAAAAAAAAAGAAAACCAACAACTCATGATTTGTTTTTGTACTGGAGACAAACAAAAGGCATTCTACCATTGATCCAAGAACCAATAATGTAAAAAATGCAGAGGTGGGCAGCTGAAAATATAGCCAGGAATAGAAGCAGAGACAAAGAAAGTAAGGATAAAAAAGGAAATCATCCAATGAATGCCAAACTGTGCTTTGAATAGCATGTACTGACAGAAGACCCTAAGTAATCCCTAGAGACCTTAAGTTCCCTGTAAGGAAAAACACAGCTAGTAAAACTAAAAGAATAGCAAAAACTATCACTAAAGGTGGCTTGTGAAGAAACACTAGTGCATTTTGCAGAACTAAGCTAAAGGCATTGACTTAAAGAGAGTTTTCCAACATTCAAGGCTCTAGGTAAGTTTTAGAACTCCTGATTTTAAGAAATAAATATTAATTAATTATTTACTTATTCATTCATTCATTTACTATAATTTCTATTTTTTCAAATACTTTATGAGACAATTCTGAGAGTACTTATTCCCAATCAAGACAGTGATTTACTATTTTATGATATGACTTTAGCCAAGCAAGTAACAATCAGTGGAGAATCCTCTTAGACCTAAATTAGGTCAATGCAATGTCTGTTAGCAATTGCTATATTGTACAAGCCTGTTCAACTCTAATGATACAAGTCATCTTTATATCATCCACATATTCTCTCCCACACAGGAATATAACCCCTTTAGGGCAAATACCAAGTCCCTGTATCTCCCACAGTTCTTAACAAAGCACCTGCCAAAAAAACAGATCAATATAATAAAAGGAATATCCAATAAAATTAAACTACTTACTCTTTTATGAAGGTTAACAGCCTAGTACAATTTCCAGCTATTCCTTGTTAGAGGTGGCCAAAATCTCCAAGATAAAGCCATGAACTAACCCAGATTGAAACACCCTAACACATTTTTAAATCAGCAAAGCCATCCTATTTTATTTTTCTTTCAAGACAGAGCTTGCAAAGCACTTGCACAATTGAATAGACTTTTATTTATTTGCCTTTTCACGTTGTTGGGTGAAATGTGAATTTCCACTAGTGGATTTCATTGATTTCTGTCAAGCTGGATAACGATTTGGAGAGTTAGTCTGTCCTTTCAGGAAGAAGGGAAAGAAAGATACTATATCAAGCCTTCTCCATTGTCAGCAAAATATTGGGAAAAACTACTCTGCATTGACTTTAAAAATGATAAGATGTACATCTCAGAATTCAAGCCATTTGGCTTAGGCCACTAGTGATATAACTCGTACAAAACAGGAAAATAAAAAGAACACTCATTTATTGGCCATTTCCAAGTAGTTCGGGATGCCAGTGGTCTGGAATGCATGGGCTGTCCACCAACTAGCCCCAGGGAACTGTTCCAGTTCACAAATGATCATTTGGCATTCTAGGTGAGAGATATCTAAAAGCAAACACTGAAGGGCAGCAACAGGTCAGGAACTGACTGGGAGCAGCCACCAAAGGGACATAAGCTGCCCAGCAGAGGACAGGACTCCCAGCCCAACTCCACAGACGCAGGTTTTGATACCACTCCTTTCAGTTAAATAACAGAAGAAGCACAATTCAGAGAAGAGGGCTCAAAGATAATAAACTATTAGAATATGTGTATTATAATGCTTTGGGGATTTAACAAATGTAGTTAAGGATTACTCTTGGGCATTGTGTAAAATTTTTCAAAAAATATTCGGGTAATCCGCAACTGACCTCAAAAGAAGGGTGTTGTAAGGAGTGCCAACTCCTGATTGGTCATATTGAGGACTGGAGTCAACGTCCAAAGCCCTGCATAGGGAAGAGACCTGGACACATGTTTCTAGCCAGAGCTTTGATTACTGATTTCTGGAGGCACATTTAGAACCAGCTGACTTTGCATGCCCTTGGGGAAAATTGTTCATGGTCTGGCTGGGTCCTAAAACATCCATTGAAGGTAAAACATCCTGCAACTCTATTTCCTAACCAAAGAAAAAGTGAAAATCTGAAATGCAATTAGAGCCAGGACATACCTTTCTCTGGAAATAATGCTTCAAGTTCAGCAAAAAACGTCGTCGGAATAATGCTTCTCCATAGGTGAGTCTTATCCCTGGAAAACTGTAGGTCACTAATTTTTCCAGTTTTTTTTTAACATTTATTTTAGCAGAAGGCAGGGGCAAGAAAGCTAGATTCTCTTTAAAAACCATGGGAAAAGGAAAGCAGACCAGAAAGCTTCTTCAGAAGAGTCACTAAGTGTGTCCCATGCAGTCATCCTACAGCAAGAGACAATGCAGACTTCTCCAAGGGTGATACACAGAATCAAGAAAGGATTACGCGAGCATTTTAGCTTTCAATGCTTTTGTTTCTGTTTTCCAGTTCAAAATTCTGTGATGATTTATTCATGGCAACTTGGTCATCTTGATGCAACTTCTGGGCAGAAATATTCTGCTCTCCTTCCCTCTCTGTAAACTTGCCAGGTAACCCTGGAAGAGGAGAATTTGAGTTAACACCTCTATTAGATGCTAATTTTATGCACTTCTTTGGGTTATGTGTGACTCTTTTGCCTCCTGGACCCTGCTTAGGGCAAGAAAATCCCTTGCTCTCAGCTACCACCATGCAGCCTGGCCCATCTGCCATGTGTGTGTGGCCCCTACCTCTGCTACCAGAATTCAAGCAACAGAGCTTAGCCATTGGTGAACTGTAGCTTGTACAAAACAGGGAAATAAAAATAACACTGCCCACACAGAATGGAATTTAACATACTTAATGACCATAAGCAGAGCTAAATGATGTGTATTAGTCAGCGTTCTCCAGAGAGACAGAACCAACAGGATATATGTATGTATGAAAGGGCATTTATTAGGAAGAATTGGCTCACACTATTACAAGAAGTCCCACAATACTCTGTCTGCAGGCTGGGGAAAGAGAGAAGCCAGCAGTGGCTCAGTCCAAGTCCAAAAGCCCAAAAACCACAAAAGCCAACAGTACAGCCTTTGATCTACAGTCAGAGGCCTGAAGGCCCCCAGGTAGCTGCCAATGCAAATCCCAGAGTTCAAAGGCCAAAGAACTGGAGTTTGATGTCCAAGGCCAGGAGGAGCAGAAGCAAGCATCCAGCACAAGAAGAAGAAGAAAGAGGGCCAGAAGACTCATCAAGCAAACTTATCCCACCTTCTGCCACCTACTTTGTTCTAGCTGTGCTGGCAGCTGATTGGATGGTGCCCACCCACACTGAAGATGGGTCTTCCTCTCCCAGTCCATGGACTCAAATATCAATCTCCTGTGGAAACACCCTCACAAACACACCCAGAAACAATACTTCACCAGCCATGTAGGCATCCCTCAAACCAATCAAGTTGACGCGTAAAACTAACCATCACATGATGTGACCTATAAGTATTATACTTCTGCACAGCAAAAGAATCAACAGAGTGAACAGAGAATATGGCAGAATGGGAGGAAATGTTTGCAAACTATGCATCTAACAGGGGACTAATATCCAGAGTCTACAAGGAACTCAAACAACTCAACAAAAACAAAAAACAAATAATCCCATTATAAGTGGACAAAGGACATGAATAGACATTTTCCAAAACAAGAAAAATAAATGGCCAACAGGTATATTTTTTTTAGTGTTCAACATCACTAGTCATCAGAGAAAACATTTTGTAGGTAGAGATTCTCTACTTACCCATTTATACGTCCTTTTGTAGAAAGTTTAACATAAAAGACAATAAAAAACAAATGAGATTTATCCAGGAAAATTAAAATAAAAAGTAAACATAAAGCCACAATGAGATATCATTTTACCCCATGTAAGATGGCTATTATTAAAAAGTCAAAAAATAACAAATGTTCCCAAGGATGTAGAGAAAAGGGAATACTTATGCACTGTTTGTAGGAATGTAAATTATTACAAGCTTTATGGAAAACAGTATGGAGATTTTTCAGAGAACTAAAAATAAAACTACCATTCAAACCAGAAATCCCAGTCCAAGGTATCTACCCAAAGGAAAAAAAATCATATCATGTGTTTATTACAGCACTGTTCAGCATAGAACAGAATAAGCAAAGATACAGAATCAACCTAAGTGAACATCAGTGGAAAATCAGATAAAGAAAAATGTGATATAGATACACAGTCGAATACTATTCCACTATAAAAAAGAATGAAATTATGTCTTTTGCAACAACATAAATAGAACTGGAAGTCTTTATTTTAAGTGAAAGAAGTCAGACACAGAAAGACAAATATCACATGTGGAATTATAAGTGGAAGCTAAATAATGTGCACAATGGATGTAGAGAGTGGAATGATAGGCATCGGAGACTCAGAAGGGTGAGGTAGTAGGAGAGGATGAATGATGAGAAACTACTTAATGGATACACTGTATATTATTCAGGTGAATAAAAACCCAGACTTGACCGCTACTCAATCTATGCATGTAACAAAATTGCCCTTTTACCCCATACATTTGTACCAAAAAAAAAAAGGACTCAGAAGGCTGAGGTGGAAGGATTGCTTGAGGCGAGGAGTTTGACACCAGCCTGGGCAGCATAGCAAGTCCTAATCTCTACAGAAAATAAAATAAACAAAGTAACCAGACATGGTGGTGTGCACCTGTTGTCCTAGCTACTTGGGAAGCTGAGGTGGGAGGATCATTTGAGCCCAGGAGTGTGAGTCTGCAGTGAGCTATTATCATGCCACTGCACTCCAGCCTGGGTGACAGAGGGAGACCCCCACTCTAAAATAAAAAGAAGTGCAGGAGAGTTAACTCCCTGTGAAGCATACTTTGAACAATGGCAACAGGAAGAAGGAGGAAGTCAACCCCTACCACCCACATGGGCTGCTCTGTGGGCACAGCTTTTCCATGCAGGAGTCTTTGTCAGTGCCCTGTGCTGAGGAGGTGCCCCTGTGGGGCCCAGCAGTGTCTTTTCATAGCTCATTGTGATAAAGCAGTGGTTGGGGAATGCATCTCTTCACATCTTTCTTTCTTGGTGCACTTTTTCTTCACTTTTCTGCTGCTGCCTGGGGTTGCATTGCCCAAGTAAAGCATCAATATTTCACATCTTTGCATCAGATTCTGTTTTCTAAGAGACCAAGTCTCAGACTGAATTTATAAAGTTTCACCTAAACTTGATTTTTGAATTATGTCATTCATCCAAATTCTAGAATTGAGACACAACTAAAAGTAAGTTCTAGATCCTTGGTAGAATACTAAGATATATGCAAACTCATCAATTTTAAAATAGAGAAAATCAGCCAGGCACGGTGGCTCATGCCTGTAATCCCAGCACACTGGGAGGCTGAGGCTGGTGGATTACAACATCAAGAGATCAAGACCATCCTGGCCAACATGGTGAAACCCGGTCTCTACTAAAAATACAAAAATTAGCTGGGCGTGGTGGCACATGCCTGTAGTCCCAGCTACTCAGGAGGCTGAGGCAGGAGAATCGCTTGAACCCGGGAGGCAGAGGTTGCAGTGAGCCAAGATCACGCCACTGCACTCCAATCTGGTGACAGGGCGAGACTTCTTTTTGTTTGTTTGTTTGTTTGTTTTAAAAATAGAGAAAATCTAGAAATTTTTATAAGTAAGTACCTTCTTTCAAGTACAGTAAAAATGTTACTGTAAAAAAATAAGGTTACAGTCAAAATCTATAGAACTCTATGATGAACAACAACAAAATAATTATCAAAGATTCTCATTTTTCCTCTTCATCCACATTATAAAAATAAATATGGTATAGGAGACAAGTAAAATTTCCACTGCAATGAACTTCATGCTCTAGACAAATTGATTTCTTGTGGTTCAAAACATGTATATTTCTTGGCTGGGAGCAGTGGCTCATGCCTGTAATCCCAGCACTTTGGAAGGCCGAGGCAGGTGGATCACCTGAGGTCGGGAGTTTGAGACCAGCCTGGCCATCATGGTGAAACCCTGTTTCTACTAAAAATACAAAATTTAGCCAGGTGTGGTGGCACACACCTGTAATCCCTGCTACCTGGGAAGCTGAGGTGGGAGAATTGCCTGAACCGGGGAGGCAGATGTTGCAGTGAGCCATGATCATGCCACTGCACTCCAGCCCGAGTGACAGAGTGAGACTCTATCTCAAAAAAACAAAAACAAACAAAAAATGTGTATTTCTCAAATTGCTGGAATTCATATTCTCAGGCAAGTGAAAATAAAATAGGTATGTCCAACCTCTAAAATAATTAGAAAATGTAAGCAACTGAAGTAAAAACAGTTAAGAAAATAAAAGACACCATGAATTCTCCAAATGTGTAAACAGATGTACACATTGTCATTTTCTTTTGAAGGGTAATCAGGATCTGAGAAGGAAGGGGATAATGAGAATAAGGCGTGCAGTGAGTCAGGCCCTGGGAATTCAGAGATAAATAAGATACAGTCCCTGCTCTTGATGAAGTCACAATCTATAAACTACAGGCAAATAAAAACTTAGCACAAAAAAAAATATGAGAGTACCTTAGTATGCTCAGGCCGATACAAGAAAAAAACATAAACTGGGTGGTTTATAAACAACAGAAAGTTATTTCTCACAGTTTGGAGGCTGGAAGTCCAAGATCAAGGCACTGGCAGGTTTGGTGTCTGGTTAGGGCCTGTCTCCTGGTTCTCATAGATGGCTCCTGGTCACTGTGTCTGCACAGGGCAGGAAAGGATAAGGGCGCTCTCTTGGACCTCTTTTGTAAGGGCGCTAATCTCATTCATTAGACCTCTATCCTCATTACTTAATTATGTCCAAACTGCACCACCTCCACATACCATTGCATTGGTGAGTAGGTTTCAGCATTTGGATTTGGGGGAGAACAAACATTCAGACCATAGCGGAAAGTAATAAATTATATGTCCTGAAAGCACAGATGACAGTTGCTAATTCACCTCGGAGGAGGTCAGAGAGATTAGTAGGTTTTTCTAGTTAATATGCTACTGTTAACTGAGATATGAATTGGTTTAAAGAGAGAAAATAATCGTTTTGGTTTTGAACATGCTGAATTTGAGGTAATACTTGCCCATGAAGGTGATCTGTAGACAACTGAAATGCCAACCTAAAGTTTAGGAGATACTTCCCGTGTAAAAAGAAGGTATGACATTTGAAAGGACATAGGTTATATTGATTTCATAGTATGAGACAGTCCAGGGAACACACATCAGTAAAACGGGAGTGGGCTGGGAGAAGGCAAAAAGCCCAATTTTGGAGTCCTTGAGAACACACATATTTAGAATTAAAAGGGAATTAGAGAAAGAAAAGAAAACAGGCTGAAGAATTAATAATGTTAAAATGTCCATACTACCCAAAGCAATTTGCAGATTCAACTCTATTCCTATCAAACTACCAATGACATTTTTCACAGAATTAGAAAAAAAAATAACTATTTTAAAATTCATATGGAACCAAAAAAGAATCTGAATAGAAAAAGCAATTCTAAGCAAACAGAACAAATCTGGAAGCATCACATTATCTGACTTCAAACTAACCTGCAACTTTACAGTAATCAAAACACAGGGTACTGGTACAAAAACAGACACATAAACCAATGGAATAAAATAGAGCACCCAGAAATAAAGTCACACACCTACAACCATATGATCTTTAAAAAAGTCGACAGAAACAAGCAGTGGGAAAGAACTCCCCATTCAACAAATGGTGCTGGGATAACTGGCTCACCATATGCAGATTGAAACTGGACCCCTTCCTTGTACCATATATGAGAATTAACTCAGGATGGATTAAAGACTTAAATGTAAAACCTAAAACTATAAAATAAAACCTAGGAAATAACATTCCAGAAATAGGCCCTGGCAGATTTCATAATGTAGACACCAAAAGTGATTGCAACAAAAACAAAAATTGACAAAAGGAACCTAATTAAACTAAAAAGCTTTTGCACAGCAAAAGAAACTATCAATGCAGTAAACAACCTACAGAATGGGAGGAAATATTTGCAAACTATGCATCTGACAAAGATGCACTTAGAAAACTTAAACAAAAAACAAACTACCTCATTAAAAAGTGTGCAAAGGACATGAACAGACACTTTTCAAAAAGGAAACATGCACACAGCCAACAAGCATATTTAAATAAAAACTGCTTAACGTCACTGATTGTTACAGAAATGCACAGAAAACCACAATGATACCCCATCTCACACCATTCAGAATGGCTATTCATAAAAAGTAAAAAAAAAAAAAAAAAAAAAAAAAAAAAATCAATAGAAACAATAGTTGCAGAGAAAAGGAAATGCTTATACATTGCTGATGGGAATGTAAATTAGTTCAGCCATTGTGGAAAGCAGTTTGGTGATTTCTCAAGGAACTTAAAATAGAACTACAATTTGACCCAGCAATTTCATTACTGAATATTTACTCAAAGGAATATAAATCATCATTTCATAAAAACACATATAAATTAATCTCTGCACTATTCACAATAGCAAAGACATGGAATCAACCTAAATGCCCATGAACAGTGGACTGGAAAAAGAAAATGTGGTATATATACACCATGGAATACTACACAGCCATTAAAAAATAATGAGGTCATGACCCTGGCAGTAACATGGATGGAGTTGAAGGCCATTATCCTAAGTGAACTAACTCAAGAATAGAAAACCAAAAAATGTGTGTTCTCATTTATAAGTGGAAGCTAAACATTGTGTACACGTGGACACAAACAAGGGAACAGTAGAAACCAGGGTCTACTTGAAGGTAGGGGATTGGAGGAGGAGGTTGTTCCAAAAACTACCCATCATGTACTATGCTTATTACCTAGATGACAAAATAATCTGTACACCAAACCCCTATGACACAAAACTTCCCTTCATAACAGACCTGCACATGTACCCCTGAACCTAAAAATTAAAAATTAAAAACAGAAGAAAGAGCAGTCAAAATTAGGAAGAAAAACAATACAAATATTATCTTAAATGAAGTCTGTAAAGTTTTAAAGAGGAAGAAGGTACTCCACAGTTTTCAATGCTACCAAATAGCCAACTGAAATACCCAAGAAAAGTTACCACTGGATTTGGCAGTCAGTAGGTCATACTAAGAGAACATTTTCAGAGGAGGAATTAACCAAATCAGATTGAAATGATCTAAACACAGAATGATAGGCAAGGAAGTAGAAAAGGTGAAGAGACACCAGCATACAACACAGAAGTTCTATCATTACACTGGGTCGTAAAAACTAAACAGCATAAAACACAATTGTTAGGTACAGTCTGTTGCAGCTCTTTCTTGGGTCTGCACCATCTAACTTCATCTGCTCCCATACACAGTTTGATGTTCTTTGGTGTCATTTGTTGGCTCCAGCTTAAGGATCTTTTGAGGACCCTTCTGGGTTCTGTGGCTAGCTGGGATGTAAATACTTAGTAACTCCCTATGGGGAGTAATTCCTGCTTGGATAAAAAAGGCAGACTCCATATGTCACATGAGCTCGTGCTTGTATAGAAACTGTGCCAGTCATGTGTCTTTTTCTCTTAAATTCATTTTCCGCTCTTCCTTTAAGGAACTACATTTTCAAGGATCCCTTTTCTGGATTCCACATAGCTTTAACCATTGGATAGTACTGGCAGAAGACTGGAGGGCAAGAAGAAAGAAGTCAGATATTGGGAAGGAGTAGGGGCATTTCTCCCTCTTGCTCTGTTTCACACAGCACACCCAGCAGTGGTGTCTTACATGGAACTCTAGATTTCACCACGTCCCTGTCATGATTCTCACTCCCTGAAGGAGACCCTGGTTCCTGTGTTCTGGTAACACCACCAACACCACTGTCTCCCAATGTCTCTCCAGTCTTAAGAGTGAGCATAGCTTCTGGCTGTGTTACTAATCTCTTGAGTATTTCAACCATCCCATTTGGCTTCTCAGCTCTTCCCTTCCCTAAGGACAAATTCCCTGAATGAAGCTGCCTCTGTTGAAAGGCTCAAGTGGTTTCTGTCTTCTGATTGGACCATAACAGAGAAATCACCATAATCAGATATCATAATCAGATCTAGGAAGCACAGTTTTTGGATTATTAGCAAAGACCTGTGTGTGTGTGTGAGTGAGTGTGTCTGTGTGTGTAGTGTGTGTACAATTGTCCCTTGATACATGCAGGGAATTCATCTCAGGGCCATCACAGAAAACAAAATCTGCACACACTCAAGTCCTGTAGTCACCCCTGAGGAACGTGCATGTACAAAAAGTGGGCTCTCCATATTCTCAAGTTTGGCATCCCTCGAATACTGTATTTTCCACTCACATCTGGTTGTGAATGTGGAATTCACCCCTAAGCGGGGACCAACTTTTATTGAAAAAAATCCATATATAAATGGACCCCTGCAGCTCAAAGCCATGCTGCTCAAGGATCATATTCAGCCCTCATCATCACACTCTCCTACCCAACCCTCAACCAAAAGTGATAGAAGTTTAACAATGTCTTTCCTAATAAAAAAATTAAATATGTTAAAAAAGCAGTAAATTATGAATACAAAGAAAAACAATACCCTGAAGAACAGAAATGTTATTGTAAGGGCTCCCAGACAATGTAGGCTGATATCCCTGAAGAGTACATTAGTTGAAGAAAAAGGGAGAATATTGGGGGTTAAGAGGTATTAAAAAGAAAAGGTACACCAAGATAAGATGCATACAAAATGTGCTACACAAAATCTGAAAAACTGGGGTTATTATCCTACTTAGCCAAGTATAGATCTATAGGGTGAGGGGAGGTAGGACTCAAGGGGAGGGGAGAGAGAGGGAAAGAACTGTACTAGAAAACAGGGGAAAAGAAGAGTATTTTTTAATTTAAGAGAAACAAGTATATTAAATATAAGTCTCCACTGAAATAATTGGGCAAATAAAGCCTGTGTAGATATGACTTTTCTCAAGGGCTAAGAACTTAAGAAAGTTTGCCATGTTTCTCATTGGGTTCACCTGGGGTGATTCATTAGAGTCGTTTATGGTGCCTTAAAAATGAAATAAAATAAAAACAAATTCCTGGACCCACCACTCTACAATTATTAAAACAGACTCTCTAGAGGATGATGCTTTCAAATCTTTTTTTAAAGAAAACAATAGAGGAAATTTAGAGCTCTCAAAGTTAGAGAACCCCAGGTGAGAAAAAAACCTGTAAGACTTCCAAGGGAGGACAAATACTAGCAGAGCTGAATGATCTCCTGATATCCAACCTGTAGTAGAGCCAATCTTCATTAAGAAAAATGGGAAAATTTTTATCATTTTAGAGATCTCAAGATCTAGAAGAAACATTTCACAATAAATATTTTGGGATAGTTTGCACACTGAGAGTGGAAAGTTGCTTCCAACAGACCTGGGTAAGCCTTCTGTTTGAGGACTGATATGGTTTGGCTGTGTCCCCACCCAAATCTCATCTCGCATTGTAGCTCTCATAATTCTCACGTGTTGTGGGAGGGACCTGGTGGGAGGTAATTTAATCATGGGTGCAGTTTCTCCCATACTGCTCTCATGGTAGTGAATAAGTCTCACGAGATCTGATGGCTTTATAAGGGGTTTCCCTTTTTGCTTGCTCATTTTCTCTCTTACCTGCCCCCAGGTAAGATGTGCCTTTCACCTTCCACCACGATTGTGAGGCCTCCCTAACCACGTGTAACTGTGAGACCATTAAACCTCTTTTCCTTTAATTTTACCCAGTCTCAGGTATATCATTATCAGCAGTGTGAAAAATGGACTAATACAAGGACCATCTGGGAGGACCCTGTCTCGTACTAGTCCAGAATGAAATTTTTATTTCTATGTATGTTTTATTGTTTAGGATGTAAATGTACATCTGAATTTCCCGCAACCCCTTTTCTTTTTTCTGCATTTGTGGTTTTGTTCTGAATTTTAACCAACTTTATTCACTATAGTAGTTTCTTTTAACTCTCAATTGGAAGGTTCTGGGACATTAAACAAAACAAAACAAAATGAAAAAGTCTCTTTTAAAAATATTATTTTATTGAGCTATTTGCTGCACTTATTTTACACACAGCATGATGATTACTTTCTCAGGCTTTTTTTCTTTCCTTTCTTTCTTTTTTTCTTTTTTGTTTGTTTAGCAATAACTAGATAAGATATCTTTAGGAGACAGGCATAGACACCCAATACTAAATGCCTAGCATGTTTGAGGGAGTTTCCAGACCATTTGTGACACCACATAATAATAAAACGTTTTCAATAACTGGCACAATTTTGAAATGAAAATTGAGATTGGTGTTAAATTTTAAAAGCAATTTTGTTTGGAAATATTAGTTTAGTCTGCAAAGAAACATCAAAACATACAGCTAAAGGGACTAACAGGCTTTGAAGTTTTAGCAATAGACTGTGAACATGTCTCATTCTTTTATTTTTCTTTCCTCCCTTTTCTTTCTTCCTTCCTTTTTTCCTTCCTTCCTTCTTTCATTGCTTCCTTCTGATATATATGAAAGATAGAATAGTTAGCCAAACAGTCATATTCTCTGCCCTCATTGGTCTATAGTCCAATGAGGCAATCAGAGATTAAGCAAATAATTGCACAAATAAATGTAAAATTTTAAAGGAGATATAAATATAAGAGCATCTGACAAGGAATTTGATGTAGTCAGAGGGTCAAATGACAGGTTTCAGTGCCTTTTAGACATCCAAGAAGAAAGGTTACATAGGTGATTGGTTATATGGTTAAAGTCAAAAAATGGGTTGTTGCACATTACTGCTGGGAATGTAAATTGGTAAACCCTTATGAAAAACAGTATGCAGGTTGCTCAAAGAAATAAAAATAGAACAACCATATGATCCAGCAATCCCACTACTAGGTATATATCCAAAGGAAATAAAATCAGTACGACAAAGAGATACCTGCAACCCCATGTTCACTGCAGCATTATTCACAATAACCAAGATGTGGAGCCCACCTAAGTGTGCACCAATGGATGAATGGATCAAGAAGATGTTGTATACCTACAATAGAAAACTATGCCCATTTTATTTTATTTATTTATTTATTTTGCTCAGAGCTTTGTATGTATTGCTCATTTTTTTTTATTTTTTATTATACTTTAAGTTTTAGGGTACATGTGTACAACGTGCAGGTTTGTTACATATGTATACATATGCCATGTTGGTGTGCTGCACCCATTAACTCGTCGTTTAACAGTAGGTGTATCTCCTAATGCTATCCCTCCCCCCTCCCCCCACCCCACAACAGGCCCCGGTGTGTGATATTCCCATTTTAAAAAGAAGGAAATCCTGTCATTTGTGATAATATAGATGAACTTTGGGGACAATATGTTATGTGAAATAAGCCAGGCACAGAAAGACAAATACCACATGATCCCACTTATATGTGGAATTTTTTTAAGTTGAACTTATAAAAGTAAAGTATAATGGTGATTATCGGGGATTTTTCAGAGGGAGGTGAGGGTGTTGGAATGATATTGGTCAAAGCTTACAATATTTTAGTTAGATAAGAATAAGTTCAAGAGGTCTACTGTACAAGATGGTAATTATCATTAATAACAATGCAGTGTATTCTTGAAAATTGCCAAAAGTAAGTATTAGGTGTTCTCATCACAAAAAAAAGTTTATGAAGTAATGCATGTGTTGATAAGCTCAATGTAGCCCCTCCACAAAGTATACATTTTCAAAACATCATGTTTTACATAATAAATACATATAATTTTTATTCATCAATTTAAAATTTTAACTAATTAGTTTTAAAATAGATGAGTTGTAGGTAATGATTGTGGTTAATAGATTGATTACAGCCTAAAACTATTCTGATCGACAGGTGTTTCCTTTAAACTATGAATGTGGATAGCCTGGATGAAGTTCATTCCTTCAAGTAATGATTACTAAGCATGTGGCACTATGGTAGATATATATGTAGTTCTGGGCATTAGAAAAAAATAAAGATAAAAGAAATATCTTTCTCTTGTATTTAATTAGACCAACCTGGTCATTAGTCTAATTGAAAAGGCAAGATAGATATGCTTGGAACAGTTAAGTAGAAAGCCCTACATAATTCAAAGCCAAAATGAGAATTGAGGTAAAAGCTGATGGGAAGTCCAAAGGCAATCAAAGGCTCCACGCAGAGGGTTAGGAATGGAGAAGAGAGAAAGGGAAGAGAAAGAGCTTCCAGTGAGGGAATAGCTATACCAAAGCACATATCTGCATAGAAAGTAGAGAGCCTGGAAAGACAGTGGTAGCTAAGCCAATTCGGTTAGAGAGTTAGTAGAGATGTTGATTGGAGCCAACATCAAAGGGTAGGGTCTGTGTATGCATATAGGTGTCTAGGTGTATGGGCATATACATGTATATGTGTGTATTAGGCTGATTTTTGTGTTAGGCTGTGGTTTTTGCCATACTTTTAATGGCAAAACTGCAATAACCTTTGCACCAACCTAATAAATATATATGTACATCATGTATACGTATTATCTGTTAATTAGTACATAAGACTCCAAATACTTTAAAAATGTAGCCAAGACTGAGACTCATAGGTTGAGAATAGGTAAGAATTTGAGCCAAACTTTATAGAATTTAGAAATTGAGAAGATAAATAAAACTGAATAGCTCACCACACAAACACACCTTCTCTCTTGGTGTTCTCCATCACCCTTTGCCCAGCACTGTGGGTAAAGAGAAGAAAGCTATTGCTTATTATCACTGACTGTCATTCAAGTCACCTCAAAGGCTTAGAAAAAGCTGCCAGTAGTTCGAATGTCCTAATATCTGCTATTTAGTTGTTTTTTGTTGTTGTTTTTTGGTTTGTTTAGTTGGTTTTTTTTTTTCCTGCCTCAGGTTTATTTGTACAAATAGCACAGGAGAATCCCAGCCCCATGCAGACGGTAGCCCGGGGGGGTCACACCAGTCCTTCTGTCCTCACGTTGGCAGACAGAGATCTCTACTCTGAAGCCTTTGTAGGGCCCTGGGCACCTCTGGGAGCCTGAGCTGGAACTGAAGCTGGAGCTGCAGCCAGGGCCTTGGTTTGATCCTTGGCCTTGGCCTTTGGCTGGCATAGCCTGAGCCCCTTGGCAATGCGGGCACGAGCACGCTTCCCAAGCTTGGGGTGGGCAATGTAGGCAAGTCGATCTAGCTTGCAGCTGACACCCTTTGGGGTCTTAGGCTCAACCTCTTTGGGCTTTACGAGGATCTTGATAGCCTCAGCGCGTGCACTCATGGCCTTGGCATTGTTGGCCTGCATCTTCTTTAGGCCCTTCTTGTGCTTCTTGGCAAAGTGCATGTTGCTCAGGAACTTGGGGTCCACCCTCTTAAGAGAGTCATATCTTTGTGATCGGGGTTTCTTGATACCGTTTCTGTGCCATTTTCAGGACTGGTTGTGTGTGGTGTGATTCTTGGTCTCCGCCATGTCTGCACATTTGAGACAGGGTCTTGCTCTGTCGTCCAGGCTGGAGTGCAATGGTGTGATCTGGGCTCACTACAACCTCCACCGTCTGGTTCAAGCAATTCTCCCACCTCAGCCTCCCAAGTAGCTGGCATTACAGGTGCGCCACAACGCCTGGCTAACTTTTGTATTTTTTGGTGGAGATGGGGTTTCACCATGTTGCCCAGGCTGGTCTCGAACTCATGACCTCAAGTGATCTGCCCAACTCAGCCTCCCAAAGTGCTGGGATTACAGGTGTGAGCCACCATGCCAGGACTGCTGTTTAGTTTTAACTTAACCCTATAAAGAAGAGGGAAATCTCATCACTCTCTATGTATGCCTGAATAAACTTGGAAAAAAAATATATGTAGGCAGTACATATGAGCAACACCATCCAGCCACTGCCAAATGAAGAATAAAATCTTGGAAATGCTTCTAGTTGTATTAAAATGCCTTTGTCATCATAGAAATAATCTATCATTAGGGAAAGTCTTTTGATATCATAAGTAGAAAATGAAAATGCATTTGCTTTGTTGATAGCTCTTAAAATATGGGCTTTTTTGTTATTGTATTGCCCGTCACCACCCCTCTCAGGCTATAACCAACTCAAATTATCACAGAAGTAAACAAGGTAGAAGGCTTTTCTTAAACAAATGATTCTTGAAAATACACTTAAGTAATTGTACTTAAGTACAATTTCTTAATTTTTTTTCTTTTTCTTTGTTGCATTAACCAGCCCCTTTCCCTTTGTTTCACAAAAATAGAGCCAACCTTACAAAAAGGAAAAGATGCAAATGCTTAGAAAAAGCAGTATATAATCTCTCTGAGCATGGGCTCTTCCTCTGCAAGACAAGGCAGTGTGTCTTAATACTGGTCCAGTGTCTATCATAACCAGGTGGGGCTCCAAGCATCTCATGTCTAGCACCTCAGTCACCCCTTACCACTATGAAGTGGCCATCCTCCTGTTCCAGTTTGGACCACTGGCCCCCAGTCAGATGGTCCCAAAGCTCCTGAGGACAAAACAAAGGTTCAAAGGCAGGCACTTTGGCACCAGCATCTGTGCTGTTAACCACTATGCTACACTGTCCTATAAAACATGCCAAGCCTAGCTCCTAGGATTCTCCTGCAGACCAAATGGGACAAATTATATAAAGCACTTAATACTTTGTAAGGAGATATAAAAAGTAAGTTAATAATTTGATGATCCCGGGGGAAATGAAACATCCTAGGCTAATATTACTGATGACTTACTATCCCAAGATTTTCACTAAAGTGTTGCCTGATTTGGCACATCAGATAATTGTGCAGAAAACAGGAGGGTTTTGCATGTTTCATGGTACCATAAAATATTATTACTGACCTTGTGTCTCAACATGAGTAAAGTCAAGTCTTGATAATATGCAATACCTTATAGCTGTGGTGTTCTAGTTATAATTACACATAAAAACTATAACTTATTTTGAAATGTTGTCATACAAGCTCAGAATATAAAATTGTTATTTAAAGTCATTCTATATTTTAGGTTAGGTATGTATTATATTTAGTGCACTGTCATTTCCTGAAAAATTCTGAAATATTTTTGAATATAATTCATTTGAAAAACTATACTGTTGGGATTATCAAAACTAATTGTTTAATCTTAAACCTAGGCTTACTCTATCAGTTAAGAAACATAGGCATTCAAATGTGTACTTTTATCATTACTCCTTTCCCAATGTTTTTCCTCATTTGCTTATAAATCACAAGAATATTATAGAATCATATGACAATATAAATGTTAGAAATTGTTCTGTATTAATATAAAGCATCACAATTTTCATTATCACTATTATTAACATAATTATATATAATATATAATTTGATACCCATGAAATTGTCATTCTTGGATTTCAGAAGCTTTTTATTTTTTTCATTTATGTAATGTTTTAGAAAAATATTTTATTTTCTTCTCTTGCTAGAACCTCGTTAAATCCATCAAAGTGACTTGTACTTGGTTAATCATTAGTTTAGTAAGCAAGAACTTTGTGTGAAAAGTTGTGGAATGCCTAATGGTATGCAATCGAAAGGCCACCTCATGCAATGTGGCAACACTGACAAAAATCTTAAAGGTACACTGTCCTAAATCCCCTCCTGGGAGGTTCTTACCTAGGTCCTTTCCCTCCATCAGTGGGTGATCCTTGGGTAATCACAAACATCTAAGAAAATGAATAACCCAAAATTCTAACACACTGATGATTTGAAAGGATATGGTATATCATAATTGTTTCAAGAGTTGAATATTGATATTTATATTTAGATAAATAACATGATAAATATAAATAAATATTGATATGCTAATATTTATTGTATTTAAGATATTTAAAAGGATGAAGTAGTACTTAAAACAAATTGATTAAGTACTAACAATGTGTCAGCTACTCTGCTGAGGGTTTTGTGTACATTACAGTTAGAAAGAAAGGAAACGTATTCAGCTGAACATACAAGGTGTTTATGTGGAGCCAGGGATTAGATGGTGATATCATTTGGATGTGTGCCCCTGCCCAAAACCATGTTAAGCTGTAATCCGCAGTGTGGGAGGTGGGGCCTGGTGGGAGGTAATTGGATCCTAGGGGTGGAGTTCTCCTGAATGATTTAGCGCCATCCCTTCGGTACTGTCCTCGGGTAGAGAGTGAGTTCTCTCAAGATCTAGTTGTTTAAAAGTGTGTGGCACCTCCCTTCTATTCCCCCCAACCCCTGCCCTGCTGTCTCACTCCTGCTCTGGCCATGTAATGTGTCTGCTCCTCCTTCGCCTTCTGCCATGATTGTAAGTTTCCTGAGGCCTCCCCAGAAGCTGAGCAGATGCCAGCATCAAGCTTCCTGTACAGCCTGCAGAACCAGGAGCCAATTAAACCTCTTTTCTCTATAAATTACCCAATCTCAGGTATTTATGTATAGCAGTGTGAGAACAGGTTAATACGGATGTGATATTAGGAACCTGGGTCAAATTTTATAGTATTCAATGATAGTTCATTCTAGGAAGCTAAGAATGCTCTGTTTGGCTTTTCCCCCTGAGGTTAATGATAAGTAATAGGGTAGAAATGGAAGTCACTTTATTAATAGCAGGCCACCATCTGATACACTCCCAGAGTAGAATTCCTGGTGAGGTTGGACAGGAGCCCATAGCTCAGGCTAGAAGTCTAACAAAGCCACAGTTTCCCCCTAGATTTCTGGATTGCTGTAATGACAGGTACAGTAAGGCACAGATATGAAAAAAGGAGAGAGAAGAGAGGGAACAGGCTCCAAGGGAAATAGCCCAGTCACCAGTATCACAGAGTATCAGCCAAAGACACACAGATGAGCCACTCCTACATGAAGCACTAAAGGATAACATTTATAAAAATATAAATGTATGACATATAGTAAAAAAAGGCAAAATTTTCCAGATATCCCTGGTTATTTGCATCTATTCATGACTATATGTAGACAGTGGGATTATGGATATTTTTAATTTTCTTAATTATTTGCTAATCTTCTTATAATGAAATTGTAGTGATTTGAATTGAGAATCAATATTTTTAACCTGAATCTTTTTTTAGAAAGCCATTGAACAATTTAGATGTCTCTTGGAAGTTTATGTTTGTTTTATCTAAATATGCTCTGTGGGAAGCCCTAGGCCAGATATTTAATTCATGTAGTACTCACGATAATTTGTGCTGTTATAATCTTAATTATTAATTTTACCCTGCCTATGTTCACAAGGCACATATCTCATTTACCCCACCTTAGAGGAATGATGGATATATTTTTTTTTGCAGGCTCCATTGAATTCTTATAGTTATCACATTAATACCAACATCATCATCATTATTATCATAAGTAATTAAGTGTACTTATGCACTGATCCCTTTCTAGATATTTTACACAGATCTCATCAATCCTTGAAATAATCCTATGCAGTATGTTCCAGCATCACCCCCATTTCAAAGATAAGAAAATTGAATCGGAGAGAGGTTAAATGCCTTGTTTTTCTAGATCACATAGCTAGAAAATGGTGGAACCGGGATTTGATCCCAGATAGCAGATTTCAGAGCCCAAGTTCCCAACCTCTTTGTTTTGCTTCTCCGAAGCACATGGACAAAAAGGAGAGCTGGGAATAATGCGAGTTAATATGAAGTTCACACACCTAGAACCAAGCAGAAATGAGCAGTGTTTCTCCTCCAGCTGCATGCTAGAATTCTTATTGGATGAGCTGTATGTCTTTCCCGGCATGAGTATCTGAGAGTATGCACCGTAAATCTTGTCCTAGAGGTTTTCTACTGGGTCACATTTATCCATCAGTCCAAATGGCAAATGGGTTAAAGAATACTTTGAGTCCTTGAATATAAACTTTATGTATGGTATAAGAAGAAGTATAATGGAAAGTCCAAATCTACTTTCAGTTGAGGACAGAGGTAGAGTCCACAGTCACTGAGACTTTAGGACATGTCCTGTCTTCACAGCTCAGATTCTATCCTTCTCGGTCTAGCTCCACTTACCTTTCCCAACTTGGATGCCATTTTAACAGTCTACTCAACCACTACCACCCAGACATTCTGCCATGTCTACCTTACTATTTACCAACTGTGGGAAAAGCTGACCACCTGTTCCTGCTAATTTCCCGCTTCTGCCTATGAGCTGCTAATAATTATAAGAAATAAAACCATGACAATTGGCTTGACTATAAATGTTCATTGTCTGTTTCAATTCAGCCTTTCTCTACCACTCAGTAGCAATTTTCATTTAGTTCTGCTTTATTCCTCTTTCCTACAGTGGCGGATATTGCAAAACTTTTCCCCCTCACTCCATCCTTCCATCTCTATTCTTCCCTCACAATCATCAGATTGTCTGCATCTTGATCTTCTTACAAGATTAAGACTGTCAGATTTGAGTTTCCTCCATTTCCACCCCAGATTATGAAAATCTCTCTTATCTTCAATCTCTAGGTATTCTCATTCCTACTCTTAAGAGAAGCATATCTCCACCCTTGACGACAGCAACCCCTTCTCGTTGAGCTCATTGGCCCTCATCTTCCTGCATTTTCTTGCTTCATTCTTTATACTTTTCATCAGGGAAATATGCATTATCTCCTTCTTCACTTATGCATTTGAAATTTGGTCATGATTTCCTGCTATTTAAACAAAATAAGTGTGTTACCAGCTTTCCAGCTTTCCAAATCAGAGTCTCAATATTTTTTTCTCCTCATCTCCCTTGGTCAACCAATTCCTTATCACATTCATTCATTCAACAAATATGTATGTGCAGTCCTAGTATATGGCTCTATCCTAGTAAATGAAATAGGCAAAAATCTCTGTCTCTTGGAGCTTACATTCTGAAGAAAAACAGGCAATAAAATAGATTAAAAAGTAAAATATGCTCAATGTTAGATCATGCAAGAGAGAAAATTAAATTGGGGAAGGGAGATATAAAATGTCAGGGGATAACAAGTTGAAGCAATAGAGAGAGTGAAAGAGAAGTGCAACAGTCTGGAGGACATGAAAGAATTTGCTGAGTAAACATTTGGGGCAATCGTACACCAGGTAGAGGGAACAGCAGGTACAAAATACTGAAGGCTGGATTATACCTGATGTATACCAAGAATACCAAAGAGGCCATGTAGCTGGAATAGAATGTACAAAGGAGAGACCAGCAAGAGATAGTGTCAGAAAGGTATCATGGAATCATATCTAGTAGGGATTTTGTAGGTCACTATACAAACCCACTTCCACTATGAAAATATGTTTCAGTTAGGTTAGAGAATTGATCCAAGATAAGAGTGCATTCTGCAAAATAGGGGATTATTTTTTGTACATATAACATAAAGTTCAAATAAAAGCAGTCCAGAACTGGTATGACCATCATGATCCAAGCTCCATTTAAGTATCTGTTCTGCTTTCATCAGCTTGTGACTTCTATTCTCAAGATTACTTCATAGTAAGAAAATGGATGCTGGAACACCAGTCATATGCCTGCATTCCAGCTGAGTAAACCCCTTTAAAGGGAATTCTTAAAAACCACCACCTAATATATGGTCTTTTATTTTATTGTCTATTCCTGATTATAATAGGGGTTACAAATCATAAATTTTAGCTAAACACATTGCCATCTCCTATTTAGGGAGAGAGGAGGTTGAATGGGCAACTAGCTGCCATAGATAATTAAAATTGTTATAGCTTGTAACCAGAAAACAAAGAAATTGGATACATTTAAAGGTGTAAGTCTAAATTTGGAAGGCACTTTGTCCACAAAAATAAATACTATAAAAATGCTATTAAAAGTAAATAAGTAAACTAACTTTTCAAACTGTTTTAATGAGTATTCCATCAGTGGGAAATTTTTAAGAACACTGGAAAAGCTCTTTTAATTATGATATGTGAATACAGTAAAAACATTACTCTCAAAGAGAATTATAAACAAAGAGACACTCAAGAGAGGCATGGGTCTACTCCATTCTTATTACGGCACAGAAATTCAATTATGATAAACCATTCCACAAATTATCTACCAAATTTATATTCTCTCAGGAAGACTGATTAGGCTTGAGAGTCACTTTACCAACTTTAAATGTTACCCACATATATGTTTGGGAGTGCCATACAGACCTCAGGGGAGAGAGAATAGATACAAAATACACACTAAACAATCATAACATTTAAAAAATATAAAGGCAAAATTAAAAGAAGGGGAAATCATTCAGTATATCTGCTGGCATGTTAAGTAGAGAAAGGAGGGAGATAGATTTGTAATTTTAAATTCTTCTTAAATAAGAAAAATCATAGATTTTAGGCTTTATCCCTAAAATTCTTCTGTGAAGGTCTCAAAATTTATTGAGGTCCTTGACATTCCCATTTCCAGGGATGATTTATTCTACAAAATTATTTCAGACCCTGTAAGGTGGTTTTTCAGCAACCAGATGGTACGATCTTCCAATGCAGAAGTTTCATCTCTACCTTCAGGAAACAGTAACCCAGAGTCATTCTCTATGGGTGCTAAATGAACATTAATTAATGATGAATGGGGGATGCTTTACCATCTGTTGAGTACTGATTCAAAATATACTGTTGTCACTTAATTGGATTATTTTTAGTCTTGTAGTTTCAACTGGGTGAACACTAATGGCTGGAACTGTGAGATGCCTTGGCAAATCATAACTCCCATTTTGAATTCCTTGTCTGGAGGGGTGGCTAATTATTGAATGATAAGTAATCCAAATAGAAATGAAAGGTCCTTTCTAACACTTGGTTTTCTTAAAATGATAAAGCATCCTTCAGTAGAATAATTCAAGTCATGGATAACAAGTGATATCCAGGAAGACTAGGAGTTAATGCAATGAATTACAATAAAAAAATTTTTTTAAAGGGAAAATAAAACAAATGGGATTCACATATATAATAACTAGCACATCATTTTTGTTGTCAGTAAACAAACCCTCAGCACTTCCCAGCACATATCAAAGTTGCTGTGCTCTGCTACTCTCTGGAGAGAGGTACTGTGATATGCTTTGCCAAGTCAGTCATTTCAAATTAATAATATGATAGCCATTTCTTTATAAAGGAGAAATTGAGATGTTTAAAAAATTACTTAAGGCAACAGATTTCTGAGAGGTTACATTAGATTTTTTCAAACTTTCAAATTAGACTTAAAAAATAAGTAGTTGGCTATGGCAGGGAGAGTTGTGGTTCAATTTTAGTATATTTTCTTGAGTCCCTGGATTTCATGCTAGAATGACTTACTGATAGCCCAAATAAAGTGTTGCACTTCATGTGATTTTCCTAGTCTGCTTTCAGCTGCTCCAATACAATGTAACCATTTCAGATATTTGATGACATCAGATTTAAAAGACAATTTAAATCGTGCATTTGAGAAGCATGTTCAGATTAGCGGAGTACACTGCAGAGGCCAATTGCCAACCTTCAAATCCCAATTTCACCACGTACCTGGTGTGTTCACTTGGCACACCTGCTTGGCCTCTACAAACCTCAGTTCTAGAAGAAAGTTAAATATTTTTTAAAAATCTATACCATAAAGTTGTTTTGAATATCACATTAAATAATGCATGTAAGGTGGGATGGTTTGGCTCTGTGTCCCCACTCAAATGTCACCTTGAATTGTAATAATCCTCACATGTCAAGGGTGAGGCCAGGTAGAGATAATTGAATCAGAGGGGCAGTTTCTTCCGTACTGTTCTCATGGCAGTGAATAAATCTCATGAGATCTGATGATTTTATAAATGGGAGTCACCCTGCACACACTCTCTTGCCAGACGCCATGTAAGATGAGCCTTTGCTCCTCCTTTGCCTTCTACCATGATTGAGGCCTCCCTGGCGACATGGAACTTTGAGTCCATTGAACCTCTTTTTCTTTAAAATTACTCAGTCTCGGGTACGTCTTTATCAGCACCATGAGAGCAGACAAATAAATAAGGTTTTTGTATGGACCTGAGTATATTAGGGTTCTCCAGAGAAACAGAACCACTAGGATACATATAGCAAGAGATTTAGTATGAAGGATTGGATCACATGACTATGGAAGTTAAGAAGCCTCACTCTGCTGTCTGCAAGCTGCTGAAGCCCCAGAAAAGCCAATGTTGTGGGTCGTCCAAGTCCAAAGACCTGAGAAACAGAGGAGCCAGTGGTGTAAGTCTCAGTCCAAGTCTGAAAGTTCGAGAACCAGGACAACTGATACCCAAGTACAGGAGAAGATGGATATTCCTGCTCAAAAAGAGAAAGTTAATTTGTCATTTCATTGCCTTTGTGTTTTATTCAGCCCTCAACAAATTGGATGGTGTCCACATACACTGGTGAAGATCATCGTTGATCAGTCTACCCCTGCAAATGCTCTTCTTTCCCAGAAACACCCTCAAGAACACACCCAGAAACCATGCTTTACTAGTTTTCTGTGCATCTCTTAATCCAGTCTAGCTGACACATAACATTAGCCATCACACTAGGACTTGACATATTTTCAATAAATGTACATCGTGTATATTATATAGAAATTTCCAACTATACCACTTGTCCTATGGGAGGCATCCTCCCAAGGGTCACTTGTACATGGTCCCCATGACATGGACCCAGGCCAAGGAGGATTTAACCAGGGGAGAAAGAATGAATGAGGAGAGAACTGGTAGAAGTATGGAATAATTTACCTTCTTTTGACCACAGTGGGGAGGTAGAAATTTGGCTGCACCACAGGCTCTGAAGTCAGATGCCTGGTTTGAATTTCAGTGCCATCACTTATTGGCTTTGTGATGTTGAACCGATTGATCTAGAGTTTCTGTCCTTCAGTTTCTTCATCTATAGATTGGAAATAATTACAATACTAATCCTAACTGATCGAGTTGTTATGCAGAGTTCTCAAACCAGTGTCTGGTATAAGATGAGCACTAAAAACTCTCCATATTAGCTCTTTGAATTATTATGAATTAGAGTTAGATGTCAGTCAGGAAAACAGAGTCACTAAAATACTATGGTAATAAGAGGCTCGCTATAGCAATTAGAGCACAAACAAATGTAGGAAAAGTTGGGGAAGTGAAGGTCTGGAAGATGGAGATGGAGAATCCGAATAAGTCACTAACCATAATGGTCAGAAGGAATGTTATCTAGTGCTTGGTTTTGGCATTGGAGCTGTTTGTTGGTGGGGCCAGGAGTTGGAATCTAGAAGCTGAGGCCTGCTAGGCACAGCTGCATTGGTCTGTCACTATGTTGGCTGACATGGCCTTCTGAGAGTAATGCTTTCTGGTCACTTCCATTTTCCAAATGTCCATCCTAAAATCATACATGGAAGGGGATTCTGGGAAACATAGTTCACAGACTTAGATGGGTTCAGTAACTCCAAGTTGACAATGTGCAATCAAGCAGAGAGGTCTTGTTTTGGCTTGGGTTCCCTTAAAAACAGATCCTCATGTAAGGGTCTGAGTGTGAATAGCTTATTTTAGAAGTGATCCCAGAAGCACTAGTAGAGGAGGAAATAGAGAGACAGGAAGGAAAGGAGGCCAATACAGAGTGTGTGCGTGCAGGCTAAGCCCACTGGCAACTCGAGCTCAACCCTGCTGGGGTCATCTGGGGAGCTATGTAGAGTACATTTGGAAGGGTAAGAAAAGCCACACCCAAATCTAGAAAACTCCCAAGTCCACATTCTTTCTTAAATATCTACATTTTAAACGCTGTGATCTACATTTTAAATATCTACATTTTAAACACTGTGGAGTTCTCTCAAGGCCTGGGGTTGGGAGGAGTAATAAACCGAAGAAAGTTGGAAAATTCTTCCTTCCTTCATGACGCGGTTAGAAGTTAGCTGAATAGTCCCAGAAAATGATGGTCTACTATTCAATAACTGCGATAAACAAATTCAAACATCTCCAAATCCCTATTTCTTCCTGAAACCACTACAGATCCTTCAAACTCTGGTATAAATGACTCCTCACCGAGCACCCCTCCCCTGACAGAACGAATGCCCCTCTCACAATATTCAAAACCTGTATCTATTTTACTACTTACTTTATGTATCACAATTATTTCTATTTCTGGATGTCTCCCCCCCAATCTTGGAGCATCTTGATGGCGGATGTTGTGTCTTAGTCAGTTCTGTATCTTCAGCACCTAGGACAGTGCATTTTGAGCCTAAAGGATGCTTAGGAACTGTTTGTTGAATGAAATGGACAGATGAATAAATGAATGAATGAACAAACAAGTGAACAACTGAAATATTTTATGACCCATCACTATCACTATTGTTACAATAATATAATGTCAGGGATGGAATTCTCCAAGATGGAAATCTTTTCTGCTCAGTTAAAATTAAACAGTCAACAGCTCAAAATATACATTCCAATTTGCATCCTAGAATATGTATAGCTTTAAAAAATAAATAATAGCAGCTTTTATTTACAGAATAAATGTTTACTCTGTGCTAAACACTATGCTATGCTATACCCTTTGGGTACATCATCAGTGTTAATCCTGATAAAAGTGTAAAGAAGTGTAAAGAATATTGTTATTCCCATTTCCATATGTACTGTCACTTAGACTAAACATTATGGAAAAAAATTATGCCATTAGCACATTGCACAGCTAGGATTTAAACCTCAGCCTGCCTGATTCTAAAGTTTATGCTCTTCACCTCTACTCTGTAATACCTTTAAAAATGTTACAAATAAATCAAGGTATGTGGTTATTCATTGTGGAAGAAAATAATAAAACAGCTCCAAAAGCTTATTGTTTTGCTTTAGTTTCTACCTGTATTTGTTCAGGGCTTCAGGATGTATGTAACTTTGATAACTATTTTATTGGGGGACCTTTAAAGTGACTCTATAAAGAAGCCCTTTTATCACTGCAGCATCTAGGTTTGGCAGTGGTTCCAGTTTCTCTGATGAAGCTGTTTCATCTGTGATTTCTTTGCATTTAATGTGCATGTGTGTTTTACACTGTGTCCAACCATTCTGGTGGTAGCATATGGTTAGTTTTGTTAATTGGGCTTTTTGTTATGCTGTGTCTGCAAAGCTCCTTTTAATTTATATTCAAATGTTTGTCATTCTCTAGCAGTCTGTTTTGTGATGTCTGTGTTTGTTTTGTGACCTATGACTATAGCATGTTTTTCAATCTACATTCTGACAGATTATTCAAATATGCCCACCATGTGCTGGCTATATACTACAATATAATTCCTGCTCTATTTCCTTAATTAGGTAACAAAGTTGGAGGAGGATGGTTTTGGCTTCTTCTAGGTAACTACATTGTTAGGAATGATATAGATGGGATGAAAGTTGGTTTCTTTGTCAAAGACAGAATGCTAGATGATTCAGGTAGCATCAAACATTCATAAAAGCCTACTGATATGGTTTGGCTGTTTGTCCCCACCCAAGTCTCATCTTGCATTGTAATTCCCACAATTCCCATGTGTTGTGGGAGAAACCTGGTGGGACGTGATTGAATTATGGGGGTGGGTCTTTCCTGCACTGTTCTCGTGATAGTGAAAGAGTCTCATGAGATCTGATGGTTTAAAAAAAAAATGGGAGTTTGCCTGCACAGTCTCTTTCTTTGTCTGCTGCCATCCACATAAGATGTGATTTGCTTCTGCTTGCCTTCTGCCATGATTGTGAGGCTTCCCCAGCCATGTGGAACTGTAAGTCCAATTAAACCTCTTTCTTTTGTAAATTGCTAAGTCCAGGTATGTCTTTATCAGCAGTGTGAAAATATATTAATACAGTAAATTAGTTCCAGTAGAGTGGGGTGCTGCTGAAAAGATACCCAAAATGGGAACCAGGTAACAGGCAGAAGTTGGAACAGTTTGGAGGGCTCAGAAGACAAGGAAATGTGAGAAAGTTTGGAACTTCCTAGAGACCTGTTGAATGGCTGTGAACAGAAGTCTGATAGTGATATGGACAATAAGGTCCAGGCTGAGGTGGTCTCAAATGGAGATGAGGAACTTGCTGGGAACTGGAACAAATGTGGCTGACTCTCGTTATGTTTTAGCAAAGAGACTGGTGGCAATTTGCCCTGTCCTAGAGATTTGTGCGACTTTAAACTTGAGAGAGATGATTTAGGTTATCTGGCAGAAGAAATTTCTAAGCAGCAAAGCATCCAAGAGGTGACTTGGGTGCTGTTAAAGGCATTCAGTTTTAAAACAGAAGCAGAGCATAAAAATTTGAAAAATTTGCAGCCTGACAACGTGGTAGAAAAGAAAAACCCATTTCCAAGAAGAAATTCAAGCCAGCTGCAGAAATTTGCATAAGTAACAAGGAGCAGAACGTTAATCCCCAAGACAATAGGGAAAATGTCTCCAGGGCATGTCAGAGGCCTTTACAGCAGTCCCACCCATCACAGGCCTGGAGGCCTAGGAGAAAATAGCTTTGTGGGCCAGGTCCATGGTCCCTGTGCTGTGTGCAGCCTAGGGACTTGGTGCCCTGCATTCCAGCTGCTCCAGCCATGGCTGAAAGGGTCCAGTGGAGAGCTTGGGCTGTGGCTTCAGAGGGTGCAAGCCCCAAACCTTGGCAGCTTCCATGTGGTGTTGAACCTGCGAGTGCACAGAAGTCAAGAATTGGGGTTTGGGAATCTCCACCTAGATTTCAGAGGACATATGGAAATGCCTGGATGCTCAGGCAAGTTTGCTGCAGGGGCAGGGCGCTAATGGAGAACCTCTGCTAGGGCAGTGCTGAAGGGAATTGTGGGGTCAGAGCTCCCACACAGAGTCCCTACTGGGGCACTGCCTAGTGGAGCTGTAAGAGGGCCACCACCCTCCAGACCCCAGAATGGTAGATCCACTGACAGCTTGCACTGTTTGATTCGAAAAGCTGCAGACACTCAATGTTAGCCCATGAAAGCTGCCAGGAAGGAGGCTGTACCCTCCAAAGCCACAGGGGTGGAACTTCCCAAGACCATGGGAACCCACCTCTTGCATCAGCATAACCTGGATATGAGATATGAAGCCAAAGGAGATCATTTTGGAGCTTTAAGATTTGCCTGCCCCACTGGACTTTGGACTTGCATGGGGACTGTACCCTCTTTGTTCTGGCAAATTTCTCCCATTTGAAATGGATGTACTTACCCAATGCCTGTGCCCCCATTGTATCTAGGATGTAACTAACTTGCTTTGGATTTTACAGGCTCATAGACAGAAGGGACTTGCCTTGTCCCAGATGAGACTTTGGACTGTGGACTTTTGAGTTAGTGCTGAAATGATTTGAAACTTTGGGGGGTTGTTGGGAAGGCATGATTGGTTTTGAAATGTGAGGACATGATATTTGGGAGGGGCCAGGGATGGAATGATATGGTTTGGCTCTGTGTCCCCACCCAAATCTCATCTTGAATTGTAACTCCCACAATCCCCATGTGTCATGGGAGGAACCCAGTGGGATGTGATTGAATTATAGGGCAGGTCTTCCCTGTGCTGTTCTCTTGATAATGAATGAGTCTCACAAGATCTGATGGTTTTAAAAAAACAGGAGTTGTGCCTTCACAAGCTCTCTCTTTGCCTGCTGCCATCCATGTAAGATGTGACTTGTTCCTCCTTGTCTTTCACCATGATTGTGAGGCTTCCCCAGCCACTTGGAACTGTACCTCCCATTAAGTCTGTTTCTTTTATAAATTGCTCAGTCTCAGGTATGTCTTTATCAGCAACGTGAAAATGGACTAATACACCTACCATTTGAAAGGTACTGTGCAGGATCCAGGATAGTAAAAGGAAATAAGGTTAGATAAGTCACCAGAAATGATACTAAGCCCATATTCTTAAATCTAACTGCCTGGGTTCAAATCCTAGCTCCACTACTCAACAGCTATGTGATCTTGGACAAAATACTTCACCTCTTTGTGCCTAAGTTTTCTTGTCTATATAAGGTGGATGATGATGATAATATCTACCTCATAGGATAGGTGGAAAGATTAATGAGCTAATACCTATAAAGTACTTAGAATAATGGACACAGTAACACTCAATAAATATTAACTACTGTCACTATTATTATTTTATACAGTTGCTAATAAAGGTAGGAATCTGGTTAGCACAGGGAGTGCTACAAGGCAGAAATAAGAAGCCAAAATCAATTTATTTAAACTACATTCTTCAGCAAATTAATAAATTTACAGAAAAAAGGATTTTATGATTGAAAATGGACTGGAGATGCTGAGATGACTGCACACATCACAGAGCCTGCATTAGGCTGATGTGTATTGTGACTTGCTGAAAGAAAAGAGGACATATAGCTCCCAAACTTATTAAATACAGGACTGTTGTCTAGATGAGCAGCTTAAGGGACTAGTTTCCACAGAAAATCCTTTGGGAAGTTCTTGCTTGTGTAAAAGTTCTGGACAATCACAATTAGCAATTAAAGCGCTATAATTAGAGGAAAGTTAAAATTAAGGATATTAGCCATATTTCTAAATGTTTATGGTTGAATTCCTGGAAATATGTAGAAATTACAAGTATGCAATTATGTGATGCCACACACAGCTTATCCACAAAGCAATTTTTGGTGTCAACATCAGAGACCAGATCCTGTGGCATTTTTTGTATTGTGTCCTTTGATGGAATGACAGAACATAGAGAATTTTGTCTCCAATTTTGCTCCTTGCAGAGAATGCAAAAATATATTGGTTTGTTTGTTTGTCCTACAATTTATCACATGATTCTCTAATTGCAGGAGAATTGGGAAATAAAGACAGAGGATTAAGAGGAGACCTACAGGAATGAAATAACAATAGCCAGAAAGTAACAGTGTCTGGGAGACATCACTATAGAAGCATTACCCCTCAGTTCAGGAACTCTTGCATTTGGCTTTTTTTTTAAAAAAAAAAAAAAAAGTTTATGTGGAAATATTTGAGGAGTTTTTATGTACATATAATCCTTAAACATTCTTTCTACACTGTTCTAGATGCTAGGGGGAAATAAGGAGCCTGATAAACACGGTCCTATGGCTGCCTTCACAGGTAATCACACTGTGAATTTTAAGTCATAGCTCTGAGCAGAATTAATTAGGAGCTGTGAGAACATATGGATGAGTCACTTAATTCAAGCTGGCTGGGAGAAAAGGGGGAATTCTTTCTAGAGAAATGGGAGCTAAGATGAGAAGTGAGGATGAATAAAAGTGAGTAAGATCATGGGGTGTGGAAGGAAGAAGCAAGGGTTACAAAAGAGAAAAGCCCCCGTGCAAAAGAAAGAGTAGGGCTGAAAAAAAGATAAATAGGATCACTATGATTTCAGGGAAGAATAAGGAGAGATGGGGCCAGACATGATGGATCACACCTAAAATCCCAGCACTTTGGGAAGCCAAGGGAGTTGGATTACTTGAGGCCAAGAGTTCGAGACCAGTCTGGCCAACATGGCAAAACCCCGTCTATACTAAAAATAAAAAGAAAATTAGCCGGGCATGGTGGCACATGCCTGTAGTCCCAGCTACTTGGGAGGCTGAGGCACAAGAATCATTTGAGCCTGGAAGGCCAAGGTTGCAGTGAGCTGAGATCACAACACTGCACTCCAGCCTGGGTGACAGAGTGAGACTCTGTTTCAAAAGAAAGAAAATGAGAGGAGACAGGACAGAGGGGCAAGCCATGTAAGCCAGATATAGATAAGAAATGGTTTCACAAGTCAAGATAAAGGGCTTACAATTGCTCCTGAGGATTATAAAGCTTTTGGAGTGTTCTAAACATAGCAGGGACATGACCAACTTGCCCTTTAGGACACAAATTTCCAGCTGGTGCAAGAAAATTAGTTTTGGTGGGAACAATATTGGTGGCCAGAAGAACATTTAGGAAGCGTGTTAGTACAGGAGTCTCCACCATACAATGGTGGAGAGGTAGGGAGAAAATTCAGGAGGTAAAATTTGCAACTGGTTTGATTTGGGGGATAAAAGGAAAGAAAAGATTCCAGGATAATTCACAACTTCTTAGATATAGGTGCTACTCACTGATTTAGGGAACAGAGTAAACAGAACAAAGGGTGCAGATAATGAATTTAACTTGGAATATGTGATGTTTGAGGTGTCCTGTCAGATGTCTACATGGAGATATCCAGTGGACAGTTGGACATTTGGGACTGAATCTCAGTTGTGAGTCATAGATGCTGAAGATAGAGACTTGATGGTGTCATCCTGGAGTGAGATGATGCCTATGGAGAGTATGTTGAGAGAGAAGAACTTCTAGGATAGTATCCTGAGAGACCAACTGAAAACAAAAAAACCCAGGAAGACTGAGAAGTCATGGGAAGAACTGGAGAAGAAAAATTGGCAAGAAGAATGAAGGCATGTCCAGCTAAGTCATGAGATGCTGAGAAATGAGGAAGGTGGAGCCTGAGGAACATGCTTTCAATGCAGCACCACTGCTGTTGTCTCAGAAAACTAGCAGCACCCACAGGGGTAGGCTGATCGCATTGAAGACCAAGGGACCATGAGGAATTGGGATGAGATGTGCTCTCCAGAGGCTTAGGCAGGAAATACTTACACATCCAAGTTTATCCCTCTTTCAAACACAACAATACCAAAGAGAAAGCCTCCTTCCATGACCCTGCACCCTCCTTCCATGACCCTACACACACTCCTTCCATGATCCTACACACACTCCTTCCATGACCCTACACACACTCCTTCCATGACCCTACACACACTCCTTCCATGACCCTACACACACTCCTTCCATGACCCTACACACACTCCTTCCATGACCCTACACCCTCCTTCCATGACCCTACACCCTCCTTGCATTATCGTACGCCCTCCTTCCATGACCCTGCACCCTCCTTCCATGACCCTGCACCCTCCTTCCATGACCCTACACACACTCCTTCCATGATCCTACACACACTCCTTCCATGACCCTACACACACTCCTTCCATGACCCTACACACACTCCTTCCATGACCCTACACACACTCCTTCCATGACCCTACACACACTCCTTCTATGACCCTACACACACTCCTTCCATGACCCTACACCCTCCTTCCATGACCCTACACCCTCCTTGCATTATCCTACGCCCTCCTTCCATGACCCTGCACCCTCCTTCCAAGACCCTTTACCCTCCTTCCATGACCCTACACCTTCCTTCCATGACCCTGCACTCTCCTTCCATTAACTTGCACCCTCCTTCCATAACCCTACACCCTCCTTCCATCACCCTGCACCCTCCTTCCATGACCCTACACTCTCCTTCCATGAACCCTGCACCCTTCTTCCATGACACTGCTCCCCATTACCTCACCTCCCCTGCCCTCCAGTGGGAGTGTGCAGGGTCATGGAAGGAGGTTTTGTCATTGGTACTGTTTTGTTTTAAAGAGGGGAGAAACTGGGCCGCTTAAATAATGATGAGAAAAAGTCAGGTGGAAGAAAAATTTTGAAACAGTAGATCAAGTAAGGCCTGAGAAGAGGCAAGGAGGGGTAGAACCCTGAGTTCAATAGTCCTTCATTTTGTACTTATGCAAAACACACACACACACACACACACACACACACAAATAACACACAGATATGTATCTATTCTAATACCTTTCTATGGGCCTTCTAAACCTCTTTTGAAATAGTTGTTTGTAGTGAGCTCCATGTGGGGAGGAATTATGTGTATCTTATTCATTATTGTATTTATCATGCCTATAATATATGCTTAGTAAATGTGCAGTTAGGCATATCAGGTGATTGTAAATATTTACATAATGCACGTCGTAGGAAGGAGAACATAGTACAAGGACTACAGTCTATAGCATGGTATTTCAATGCCCAAATGTGTCTCACACTTAGCAGTCGCTCAACGAAATCCTTTCCAACTCAAACCTTGGGGCTCTATCAAGAGGCAGCATGGTCTAGTGCATAGTCAGTCTACTCTCTCGGACCCAGCAGGCCTGAGTTGAATACCATACACTACCACTTTCTAAGAGCAGTGGGTCTCAACCAGATTGTTCCACTTCTCCAATCCCCAGTTTCCTGATCACAGAAGACAGGAGGAAAATAGGCCTAAGGGAGGGGTGACTCCATGGAGCAAAAAGCCTTCTAAGGGTTGTCAGGAAACAAAAAATTTGAACCATGAGCTGTACATCTTAGCACCCAAAGATTTTCAGAATTCAGGAAAGCAAAATCTAACAGAGCCTTGTCAAATAGAGATTTTTAGAAACCAAGGCAGGTTATATATTATATATTATGTATATATATGAAATGATTTTGGATTAACATTGAAATTGCACATAAACTGTTGTAAAATTTGTTCTCTTAAATGCTTCTCTAATAGACTGATGGTCCCAGCTCCAACTAATATCACACAGCTAGTAAGCAACAAATCTAGGGCTCAAATCCAGATCTAACATTCAAACTAAATCCCAAAGCCTTCCTACAAATCCGCAATTCATCAAAAAAAGTATCTGGGGCCATGCGCGGTGGCTCGAGCCTGTAATCCCAGCACTCTGGGAGGCTGAGGTTGGCAGATCAAGAGGTCAGGAGATAGAGAACATCCTGGTTAACACGGTGAAACCCCGTCTCTACTAAAAAAATACAAAAAGTTAGCCGGGCATGGTGGCACACGCCTGTAGTCCCAGCTACTCTGGAGGCTGAGGCAGGAGAATGCTTGAACCCAGGAGGCAGAGGTTGCAGTGAGCGGAGATCACACCACTGCACTCCAGCCTGGGTGACAGAGCAAGACTCCGTCTCAAAACAGAAAAAAAAAGATATCAATAGGTAACAAATATGTGAAGTGGTGCTCAATATCATTGATTATCAGGAAAATGCAAAGTAAATCCTCAGGAGATACCATCACACCATCACAGAATGGCTAAAACTACTGAAGAAAGTTAGAGAAAATAGGGATCAGCCTGAACTATGAAGAATATATCTAAAAGAATCCTTTGTAGAAATGTAACTCCATTTAGATTATAAGGCATCTCTTTCTCCAAATGATTCACTAATAGCTTGTGAGTAGAATTACCAATCTTTGTTTCTGATGTAAAATTTCTAGTCTGAAGTACTATTTAATTTATCAGAGTTGATTAAGTGAAAAAGCTTCCCTTTTAGAGCTAGTATGCTAAACTTACATCATTCACCAAGCACAGAAAGAATACCTACCCTGGGCTTGCTTTAGATAAGTGGCTGTCAAAGTGTGACCCCTGTACCGGCACATAGATCCTACGCACATAGATCCTACTCAACTCAGTTCATGTTGGGTGTTTCTGAGGCATTAGGAAGCCCAGGGTTGGAGGCCTTTTGAGTATCTAAATCCCTTCTCCATAAGGTAGACTTTCCCATTGTGGTACAGTGCTACTGATCCTGGGACCTCTTTACATCAGTGGTTATGAACCCTATTTGCACATTAGAATTTCCTAGGAGTCACCTAAAAACTAGGAGTCTCTAGCCCCACCCACAAAGATTCTAATTTAATTGCTGTAGGACAGGCCTCAGGCATCTGGAATGTTAATAGGATGAGAGTGATGAAAACTACTGCCTCATACAGTGCTCATGGAAGTATCCATTGGGATAAATACCTCGGAAACTGTTTTCCAGTAACCATGAACTAAACAAATGGAGATCCTATGATTCTACCCCCAGGCACACAACTAAAGTAGTGCATGCATATATGCACAAAAAGTCATGTACAAGAATGTTCAGAGCAGTATTATTTGACCTAGCATCAAATGGAAACAACCCAAATGGCCAACAGTGAATGGCTAAATAAATGGTGGTATATTCATATGCTGGCATACTATACATCAATGAGAATAATGTGCTAATGCTACACACACAAGTTGAGGAATTTCAAAAACATAATACTGAACAAAATAAGACAGACACAAAAAGGTACATGTGTTTGATTTTATTTTTGTAAAAAAAAATCCATAATGATAGAAGTCAGAATACTGGTTATTACAGGGAATGGTAATAACTGCAAGGGGCCAAAAAAGCCTCGGGGGTGCTGGCAATGTTGTTTCTCAATCTGAGTGAGCTTTACACAGGAGCGTTGATGTATGTTGGTGCCTCTGAGTCAGAGATTACCAGGAACACACCTGTAGAGAACAGTTACTTTTCTTACTTGCTGCAGCAAGAGAGATCAACACTATGGTAAATTGTGGTATGTCTCCGAAGAGAAGAATTAGTCAAGCCGTGTTCTTAATGTTTTTGATGTTGAAATTAACCACAGGACAGGACAGGCAGGGAATGGTCTGAATTTGTAAACTGGGGAGTGTCTGGAACAGTCAGGCATCTTATCTTTAGAACACAGGATCCCTTTGGAGTCACTGTTGGGTCAGTTTACCCCATTGTCTTGAAATACACAGATCTGAATAGGCTGCAGTTCAAGGAGTTTGAATCTAGTCTACAACACACCGGATGGTTTGGTTTGGTTTGGTTTGGCCCAACTTTTCTACTTTTGCAAGTTATAGTGTAACCTCTTTTGAAAAGTTGATTTTCTGTTTCAATTCTCCATTCTTCTTCCTTCAGAGTTCTTCTGCCAGTAGGGCAAATTTTATCTTTATTAGTACGTATTTGTAGACTATGTATTAATATATATACATTTTATTGAATTTTACACTTAAGATACATGCACTTTCTTGACCTATATTATACTTGAATTAAAATTCGATAAAACCAAAAAAAGAAATAAATTTCCTCATTTCTACTCTGCTTCTCTTCTCTTTATGTTCCATGGTTGTTAGTCCATCTTCCCCACTGTAATGTAATTCCTTTTCAGTCCTGTGATCAGGCTGGATACTTTCCAAGTCCTCCTTGGGAATGTGGCCGCCTCTGAGCCTACACATCTTTCCTGAGAAACAAGCTCTCCTTTCCTCTCTAAGACCTATTCTCTCCTCTTCCCACAGGACACCCTCTGGTTGTGCTAGGATTTCTCACAACCCCTTACCACGGCCTCTCTCAGAGGAAGGGAAGAAGGAACACACATTCCACCTTAGGTTAGCATTATACTTATCTGTTCTATTTTCCTCTTAAGTTCCATATATTTCAAAATGATGTTGTTAATGTGGCTGTGCTGTTTATTTCAGAAACTTTCCAGCTCAGATTTTACCATCTGGGCTTCTCCGACTATGAGAGATAGATATGCACATACCCAACACCCACATACGTCTTAACACCTTTTCGCAACATCATAATATCTTCTGTGAGTGCTACCCAGGTACACATGATCTCCTGTTTTATTACGATATCCGAAACCAGGAGGCTCTTTCTCTCTATGATATCTCAGAATGCACTTTTTGTTACGTGGGGCCAAAAAAGAAGAGAAGAAAGCAGATTTTTTTTCTATCAGGAAATTTATTTCTTTCTTTCTTCATTCTTTTCTTTAATTGTAGATACACTGATGTAACATATTTCCCGGTAGAAAGAAAAGTTCTTATAATTTACTTAGCAGTGGTTATAAAGCTAATAGGAGAAGCCCCTTGTGAGGATTTGTAAGACTACTTTGCTGACACCTACTGGATAGGCTCTTTTACACGAACTATAAACTGCAAGTAAGGCAACAAAGATTCCCTACTCTAATTGGGATGCACAAAATATTTTTTAAATAATAAAATAAATAAAATTATTTTTATTCTTTGTGTAATCCAAATAGATTGATCTTCTTTTTTTTTGTTTTGTTTTTCTTTTGTTCTTTCTTTCTTTTTTAATTTTTTTCTTGGACAGGAAATGTATAAAGGCCAAAACATTTCACATTTTTCAGCTTGGAAAGAAGTTCCTCTTTTCTTTAATATGGTAATGAATGGAGAAAATCTATTTATACTTAACAGGCTGTACCTAAATTGTCATATTCCTGCTGATAGATCTCCCAGCTTAAAAAAAAAAAGATGAGATTTTAAAAATATTATGTAAATTAAACAGCTGGTTTCTACTGAGAAGTTAATGTGCTCTCTTCAGTCATTAAGTAAGGCCCTTTTATTCCCAACCAGACACTTATGAGCATCAGGAATTCCAAAACAAACAAGAGATTTATTTAACAGTTAACTAGAGCTAACAAAGTTCTAGTTCTTAGAGCTGTAAATTTAAACCCTGTAATACAATTTACAACTACAGTGGAGCTTAAGATTTGCCTGATTCAAAATTTTCATTTTTAAGTTAAGAAATAGAAAGGTCTAAGATGAGAATGACATAAGATGTTAGAGTTAAGCCTGGAACCTAGAACATGAATCTCAGGCCAGTGCTTTTCACACACTTTTTAATATATCATTGGCCCATAAATGCTGACTTATTTATCCCTTTATAGCAAACTTTTGCATACATATGGATTAAGAGAATTTCCTACTTCAACTCATTGGCTTATCAGATGCTAACTAACAACAGGGCATTTGATCTGGTGAAAAATATGGGGGAAAATGTATTAGTTATCTATTGATACATAAGCAAAAACCACAAACTTAGCAGTTTAAAACACCACCTATTTATTATCTAAGGGTTCTGTAGATAGTCCTGTAATTCCTGTGTGTCAGGAGTCTAAACATGGCTTAGCTGAGGCCTCTGCCTTAGGGTCCCAAACAGCTAAAATCAAGGTGTTGCCTGGGTCTGTGTTCTCATCAGAGGCTGAACTGGGTAGGACCTGCTTCAAAGCTCTGTCGGATTGTTGGCAGAGTTCATTCCCTTGTCACTGTGGAAACAAGGGCCTCATTTTCCTGCTGTTTGTAGGACAGGGACTGCCCTCAGCAACTAGTGATTGCCTAGAATTCCTTGCAATGTGAGCTTCCCCAACCAGGCTGCTCAATTCATGGAAGCTTGCTTGTTCAAAGCCAACAAGGAAGAAAGAGATCCCAGCTAACCAGTGCTGAAATTTTATGTAATATATATAATCATAGAACCACATACATAAAAATCACATAGATTTTTTCCATATTCTATTGGCTAGAAGCAAGTTACAGACCACACCCACACTTGAGGGAAGGGGATCACTTGTGAGACTGAACACCAGGAGGTGGGGATCTTAGGAGCCACTCTCAAGTCTGTCTGCACAAAAGAGATCCAAAAATACCAGACTCCCACTCATATTCAGCTTGCATTTAAAAAATATGACAGTGCCCACATATATAATTTTGCTTGGAAAATGCTAACTGGTGTATATTTAATTTAACCCGACAACACCTAAGTGCAGCCGGTGCCCTAACACATGGACACAGGAAGGGGAACATCACACACCGGGGCCTGTTGTGGGGTGGGGGGAGCGGGGAGGGATGGTATTAGGAGATATACCTAATGTTAAATGAAGAGTTAATGGGTGCAGCACACCAACACGGCACATGTATACATATGTAACAAACCTGCACATTGTGCACATGTACCCTAAAACTTAAAGTATAATAAAAAAAAATAAAATTAAAAAAAAAAAGAAATAGCTCCAAGGAAGAGCCCTGAGAATGGAGGCAACCACTGCCCATTCGCCATCACAAACTGCAGGACCCCACACTTCTTTTGGCATGTTCACACACTCCCACCACTCAGAAGAGTGTGCATGCCCTTCAGGAAGAGAAGGGAAATGTGGCAGAGGAAAGCTAGTTTCAAGAAGCTACAAAATAGGTAACATGAATAACATAAGCCCATGTGCATGAGCATTACAGACACATAACTATTTAAAGTTTTAAAACTAATTCTTCCACGGGGAGTATGGCCAGAATATTTACTGCCGATAGTATGCCACATGTTTTGAACACCTATTTCAATTGTCTTGATTACATTTTAAAATAACACCCATTTGAGAAACTTCTACCATGAGCCAGGCAGTTATAATCTTATCAACTTATTTGTCCTCCATTCATTTTTTAAATTCAAGGACCTGGATTTGAATAGCACTATAAATAGTGCTAGAACAGACATAGAGAATACTTTACTAACATGAGCAAGCTATGCTAAACTGTTTCCTATACTGTTTCCTACATTTATAAAGAATTTGGCAATGATGGATACATGAGAGGAATTTTGAGGCTTTGAAGATGAGTTACATCTACTTGAGCATTGACTCATCAATGTGAACACACTGCCAGATTGATAATGATATTCAAGAAGTCTCATTTAATCTTTAAAATAACCTTGCAAGTCACAGTATTACTCTCACTTTGTGGATGAGGAAACTGATGCTTAGAAGTTAGGCAACAAGCCCAAGGTCAAGCAGATTATTATCAAGCAGAATAAATAAGAGTATTCTGACTTGATATCTACTGCTATTTCCATCATGGAATACTTAATTAATGTTCTTATTTTAAATTAATTTCTTATGCCTTAAAATATGTGCAGGAAAGTCTCTGCTCCCATCTTATTTCCTAAAGATGGCCAAGAAAACCTATATACTTGTCGATTTTAAGTTGATTTGAAGTGGGTAAAGAAATGGATATATGTAAAACAAAAAGTTCTTGGTTATCCAAATGCTGCCATGACAGTGGTCTTCAGAGAAGGGCAAGCTAAAGTTGGGCTTATGGCTATTGGGATCCCCTGATACCTTAGGGGCTATAAGAACCCAACTAGGGAGTCACCTAAGATGTTACTAGGCCCCCTTCACACCCCTACAGCTGGCTGCAGCTCCATGCTAGGTGCTCTGCATTTGAGCAGACCATGGCTAGGTCCCCATGCAACCCAGGATCCTGGTGGCCATCCTGGTCCTGGCCATGGCCATGAGCCCCTCAGGCACTGCAGGACCCAGCAATCCACTGTGCTTGCCAAAGAGGACCCTGCGCTCAGCAAGTACAAGAAAGTGAGCAATGACACATAGGACAGCCACACTGCAGGTGGTGCATGCCCACAAGCAGATCACATCTGGGCAAACTACCTTCTGGAAGAGCAGATCAGCCAAACCACATGTGCCAAGTCCATAACCAACCACATCTGAAGAGGAAAGCCCTCTGCCCTTTCCAGATCCACACTGTTTCCTGGGGGTCCACGATCCTCATGTCAAAATCCAGCGGCCAGAATGCAAGAGTACTTTGTGACACAAGGAGCTGCACTGACCACCTCTTACTTGTAGTCCCGCATCCCTGGTAGAGCACCCCTACTCCTTTGGGCATTGGCTTCTAACCCTTAGATCTGTGACCCCCACACCCCCCATTGCTGGAAGTCTCTCCAGTGTGCCGACACGCAGCAACAGATGGAGAAAACTTCTCTGGGCATTTTTTTTTTTTAACAACTAAGTGGCTCTAACCTTGTTCCTTTCTTTTCTTTGCTTTTCAAATACACTCATGTCTATGCCCATGTTCAGCTCCCATTTTACTCAATAGGAAAGTAACATCAGCCAAAATCAAAAACAAAAACAAAACAAGAAGTTTGGGTGGAAGGAAGAAAGGAACTGTGAACTTTCCTGACAGGAAGGGCAGTGTAGCAAATCATGCAAAGACCAGTCCTCTATTGGTTCTGGGTGTGTGTAGGGCAGTTTAACTTAAAAAACAAAAAACAAAAAACAAACTCTTACAATCAGTTGAGAAATTATGAATTATTTAAGAAACCATCTTCAGAAATTGGCCACTTTAAAAAAATGGATTCAAAAGATACCACTACTTAACCCCAGAACAAATTCTTATCACATTAAATATAATTGCAAAAACATAAAAATATTATACACTTGTACTGGGAAAGGGCTTTCTTAGCATAGCCCTTGGGTTAAACACACACGAGTGCATGTGCGCACACACACACACACACACACACACACACACAGATGACAGCTGTAGAAGTACTCCACTGTTCTTTCTTGCCAGCATCCATTCCCCACTTTGTTTGGCAAAAGAATATTTCTGATGCTTCTGTGAACCACCCCTTCCTGTTGCTCATGCCTTGTGACTCACCACGTTTCCCACTCTCCAGATTTACATCATAACCATGTCCTGACCCATCAGAGTCACATCCTTCAGGCCATTTCATATACATTGGATGGGACCTGAGCCAGGCCAAGCAAAGCCCTCCAAGGGCCTTGCTGGGATTCCCAGGAAAAGGACACTCTCCCTTCAGGGTCTTGGAACCTAAGGACCTTGCAAGTCTAAATCTGTTGAAGGTATGAAGAAGGAGGATGAGAAGGAGGGAAGAGTTGGAGAGAGGAAGGAGAATGGGGGAAAGACAAGGAAGGAAATGAAACATGAGGGAGAAAATGGAAAAGAAGACAGTGATTAAGAATACTCCTTCTGCAAGTTATCTTTAAAATAAATTGTTTTAGCTTTAGGATGCTCTTTGAGCCCCAGATTACTTTGAGTTATGGAATGGAAGGGAGTCACCAATTTTCAAGATTTGAATTCCTTTAAATAACTACATTCAATCTTGCTGTTTTGGGAAGTGCCTCAAAATTAAGACAGAAAAAATGATCTACTAATGGGAATGAAACATACTTTCATTAAGAAAGGAAGCCGTGAGTGTGTGTGTTTTCTATTTTGTTGTATTCCATACAGGAATCTAGCTAAGAATGATCTTTGTTTTCCTCTATCACTCTCCAATGAAATTCATGGATTTTAAAGGAACCTAAAGGATAATGAGAAAGATGTGATTTATTATTATTCAGAAAATGTTAATGATCAAAGAAACCAAGAGCTTATGTTAGCATAAAATACTTAATGTCACATTCTGTATTTACCAAAATGAATGCACAATTATGTCAACTAATTTATACTTAATCCATTGTTGGAATAATTTATTTATGAAAATTAACTTGAATAACATTGCAATCAGTGGGAGAACTGGGAAGGAGGAAAGCATAAATAAAATAAATAAATAATGAAGTGAAATAAGTAAGTGAAGAGAGACCATCCTTCACACTTAGAAACAAGTTAGGGCTGTGTGTTCTCTCCCTACATGGAAGATGGGTACAAATAATCTCTGCAAACTGAAATGTGAAATGTGAAATGGGCCAAACTCCTAGGTTTTAGGGAAAGACTTTATGCCAACCGATGACTGCCTTCAAACATGCTCTCTCCAGTGTCTTGTCCCTACTTTTGCCAATATTTCTGGAGAAGTTCATTGTTTTCTTGTCACTTTCAGACTCCAGTTAATTTCAGGTTCTATCACTTTCCAATCACATATTCACTACTCCTTACATATCCAAGTAGAAAATGTCCTTTGGAGGAAGCCCTTGTCTCTCTTCTACCTCCCTCACTACTTCTTGAACAGTTGTTCAACATTGCCTGTAAGTGGATGGGCAAATGAATTCTGGGATAAGGTTTTAGCAGTCATGTGCAATACAACAGAAGCCTCATTCTTCAACCAGCTTTATCTGCAAAGTTAAAACAATGCTGTATCTTCCTCTGTCTAACTTCTGAATCTATCAGTTGATTCAAACAGAAATCAGGCACGAAATATGTATATTAAGTGTTGCCTCCTGGAATCCCAATAATAATTGGGATGCACTGTCAGTCATTAAAGTTATGATCTATTTCTATCTATACTTCAGAACTTTACCCCTGCCTTGATACAGGTCACACCCATCATCCATGTACCTAGAGTAAAGAAAGGAGTGTGGTCCATTCTTCCTCTCTTCCACTCTTCTGTCCCCTATTCACTAGGCAATGACCTCCCTTCCTGACCTCTTGTGATGGCCCTACTCAGCTTTGCTTCCTCACAGCCCAGTGTTCCCTCAACCCAGCAAACTGCTGTCTAGGGTGGGCTCTTCCAAGATGGCCTGATCCCATCCACTCACAGCAAAAGGCAGCATGGCAGCCAGACTCACAGACTCAAACCCTGGGTCTTTTGTTTACCATCTACATGACCTTGAGCAAGTCTCAGGGCCCCATATGTAAAATTGAAAAACCAAAATACCAATATTTTGTGGCTGCTCTAAGGATTAAATAACTTTAGATACATATAAGTGTATCCTATATTGTCTGGCACATAGTAAGTGTCAGGCAAGGAGTAAGATACCAGGATCCCCCTCTGGGAAGTACTCCCAATCTTTCCAGATGGTTCTCTTGGTGCCCCTCACTTTCCTGGGATGAGAAACAGATCCTCACCGCCATCCCTAAGCTGACATCTCCCCTCTATTAGGGACTCTGCCCACGAACTCTCCTTAAGGATCTAGTCTTTTGGTTAAACGGGCTGGATGAAAAATCAGATGAGCTTCAGAGGACCAGCTTAGCTATCTCTTAGCAAGTCCTGGGATGCGGGTGTCTGCCTACTATCTTTTTGATGTGAGATTCTAATTGTCAACTTAAAAACAGCCAGTATTCCAGATAATAGTTAAGCAATTACCTATGGAAAGCTTTTACTATTTCCAGCAGAGTCTAGTTCATTAACTGAATAGCAGGAGGTCTCAATATGAGTCAGTCCTTGTTAAACCACATCTAATTAGGGTGCTAGAATTGGAACTACCAAGTTAACACAGGTAGCAAGTCTCTGTCTGCCTTTCTTGTTTCTCACATCTGCACATCTCTACACTCGTCCCCTCTGCTCTCAGTGAACGATTTGTAATGACTCAAACCTCACCATTTTACACCTTTTGGCCTGGCCTCCCTGTAGTTCCTCTGATTGAGATGCCCTTGCCTCCTTCTCTGAAACTTTGTCTGGGTTACCAGACAGCAAGTGGTCCCCAGAGCCCTTGCACATCCTCCTGTTTCAGCCTTTGCACACAGTCGCCATGGGTTATTCCCATGTCTGTATCCCCTAGAAGACTGAGAGCCTCTCGGATGCAGAAGCCTCTTCCTTTATTGGCTCCAGCATAGTGCCTGGCTCTTCACAGCCATTTAGGATTTGAGAAAATAAGAAATAAAAAATAATGTATCAAGGGATAAATTTTTCTTAATTTGAGGCCTGGATTTCAGAACTAGTCCAGGGAGACAGGAACTGACTTTCTTTACTACACCTCTCAATGGGTCATTTTTGTTTGGAAAGGAGGATTAAGAAGAGTAAAGTGAGATCGATGAATTATTCTGCATTCAAAAAAGCAAGAGTTGTTTAGTATGGGATAGAAAACAAGGAAGGAAAAGAAAAGTGGTTGGGCAAGAGAGAGAATGGCCAGCTGCATGGTGGGAAGCTGAGTAATGAATAAGAGACAAGAAGTAAAAATTAAGTGGGCATGCTGGACTTCTAGAATGGCTGTATGACAGACCCAGTATAGTCTCAGTACCAAAACCACTTAACTGGTTAAAATTTTTTTTTTTAATCATATAAAGTCTCTGGAAGTGTCACAAGCATATGCAGCAAATGGAGGAACACATATTCAATAAAATCTACTGAATCTCAGTAAGAACAGAAAATCTGTGGCATTTGAACCATGATCAGCTTCCACCCCAAGCCCCACTCATTATGGGATCTCTGCATGAGGGAGGTGTAGCCAAGAAGATGGGGCTATCTCCACCCCCAGCTTGCAGTCCAATGCTGTGCTTTCCAGATCAGGCTGCTTCTATCTCTCAACACTCCATTTCTTTATTGTAGACGCTCTCCTCCCAGTGGGAATGGTGGAGGGGACTCAGGTTTCCTTCACCCACCCAATTCCCACTTTGGGGCAGAAGCTGTATTCCAGGAATGGCAAGTCAGGAATATTGAGGACCCATTAACCCCACCCAAACAAGCTAATAGGGCAGAGGATCTATGCTTGAAGAAGGAAAACAAGAAGATCAAAGGCTATCAAAACCTCCCTCTGTCTCCGTCCTGTAGAGCAGGGAGTGTCATTCGGGTTCTGTCCAGAGAGAGGCAGACCAAGAAGGTAGGCCGTAAGGACAAAGAACTCCACAAATCTGCCTGAGAAAACTACCTTTATTTGGAACAGAGTATAGAAAATTGCACACTTAAGCATTAGAAACAATGGCAAATTGGTGAAGATCAATTAAGAGGGGTTGGTAGTTCCATAATACTAGTAGCAACAAATGCAATGGAAAAGCAGAAGTTTCAAAGAGAAAGACAGGTACAGAAACAGCCAAGGAGAACTTTCCAGAGGTCACAGTCAACCCTGGAGGGTGGGAAGACTGACTGTACAAGCTGCAGACTGTGTGCAAGAGCAGGCATTTCACAGCCATTTAGGATTTGTGTAAATAAGCAGTAAATAATAATATATCAAGGGATAAATTTTTGTTAATTTGAGGCCTGGATTTCAGAACTAGTCCTGGGAGAGAGAAACTAACTTTGTTTACCACCTCTCAATGGGTCATTTTTGCACCAAACACTGGTGCAAGAGGCTTGGTAGGCCCATCTGACTACACACTGACTAGAAAATAAGCAATTCTGACCCAGGGGCTGTTCCTAGGAAGCCAGGCTTAAAAATAAAATCACACTCATCCCTACAGGTCTGGAAGACTGCGTGCATGTTCAAAACTGCATCTTTTCAGGGGTGACTAAAAAAGAAACTTCCAAGCCACTAGTCCCTGGTGGAATGTGGAACAAAAGCATAAAATCCCCAAACTATAAAACCAGCCCCTATGCCATACATGTATCCAATGATAAAAGATGAAATGTGCACGGGCTAAGGAGCTAAAGCACAACCTTTTGATGAAAAGTGGCTTTTGCTGACTTGAGACCTACCCCTGCACAGCTGAACTAAATGACAAAAACAAGGGGAAAATAATCTAAGCTGGGACATCAGAGCCTACACTGCCAGGGAAATAGAGTTCACAGAACTAGTTCAGCCGAGTCGCTAAACAAACAGATGAAACAAACAGAGAGCAAAAACAAGCCCCAGTCGGGGGAGAGGGGTAGAGTCAGTACACAGATTAGCTACAATACATTGTCTAAAATCGTCAAGATTTTAACAACAACAAAAAAATACAGAACATGCGGAGACATAGGAAAGATGACCCATATTCAAGGGTTTAAAGAGGAAGCAAAAGAAATTGTCTTTGAGGTGATATAGATGTTAGACTCAGCAGGCAGGCTTCAAAGCAGCTATTATAAATATGTTCGTATAACTAAAGGAAAGCCTGTTTAAAGACTTAAAAGAAAATATAGTTTTAGCTCTTTGAGGAATTGCCACACTGATTTCCACAATGGTTGAACTAACTCACCCTCCTGCCAACAGTGATAAGCACTCCCTTTTCTTGGCAACCTCTCCAGCACCTGTTATTTTTTGACTTTTTAGTAAATGGCCATTCTGAATGGTGCGAGGTGGTATCTCATTGTGGTTTTGATTTGCACTTCTCTAATAATCAATGATATTGATGGTTTTTTCATGTGATTCTTGGTCACATGTATGTCTTTTTTTGAAAAGTGTCTGTTCTCATCCTTTGCCCACATTTTTTTCCTTTTATTTTATTTTATTATTATTATACTTTAAGTTTTAGGGTACATGTGCACAATGTGCAGGTTTGTTACATATGTATACATGTGCCATGTTGGTGTGCTGCACCCTTTAACTCGTCATTTAGCATTAGGTATATCTCCTAATGCTATCCCTCCCCCCTCCCCCCACCCCACAACCATCCCCGGTGTTGTGATGTTCCCCTTCCTGTGTCCATGTGTTCTCATTGTTTAATTCCCACCTATGAGTGAGAACATAATGGGGTTATTTTTTCTTGTAAATTTGTTTAAGTTACTTGTAGATGCTGGATATTAGACCTTCATCAAATGCATAGTTTGCAAATATTTTCTCCCATTCTGGAGATTATGTGTTTAGTCCATTGATAGTTTCTTTTGCTATGCAGAAGCTCTTAAGATGAATTACATCCTGTCAGTTTGTGCTTTTGTTATGATTGCTTTTGGCACCTTTGTTATGAAATCTTTGCTCATTCCTATGTCCAGAATGGTATTGCCCAGATTGTCTTCTAGAGTTTTTATAGTTGTGGGTTTTACACATAAGTCTTTAATCCATCTTGAGTTAATTTTTGTATATGGTGTAAGGAATGTTTCAATCTTCTGCATATGTATAGCCAGTTATCCCAGCACAGTTTATTGAATAGGGAGTCCTTTCCCCATTGTTTGTTTTTGTCAGCTTTGTCGGCAATCAGAGAACACATGGACACAAAAAGGGAAACAACAGACACCTGGGCCTACCTGAGGGTGGAGTGTGGGAGGAGGGAGAGGAGCAGAAAAAAATAAGTATTGGGTACTAGGCTTAGTACCTGGGTGATGAAATAATCTGTACAGCGAACCCCTATGACACAAGTTTGCCTATATAGCAAACCTGCTGCTCATGTACCCCTGAACCTAAAATATAAGTAAAAAAAAAAAAGCAAAAGAAAGTAGGATCATAAAGAGTCATCAAATAGAGAACATTAATAAAAGAAATTATATGAAGAATCACATGAAAATTCTGGAGTTGAAAAGTACAATACTGAAATGGAAAAAAAATCACTAAAGGAATGTGTATTAGTTTGCTAGAGATTTCATAACGAGATATCACAAACTGGCCGGCTTTAACAACAGAAATTTATTTTTGCATAGTGCTGGAGGCTAGAAGTCTTAGATCAAATTGTCCACGGTCTTGTTTCCTTCTAAAGGAGCAATTTGTTCCGTGCCTGTCTCCTAGCTTCTTTTGGTTTGCTGGAAATCTTTGGTGATCCTTCACTTCTCCAGCATCACCTCAATCTCTTCCTTTATCTTTACATGGGATTCTTCTTGTGTGTGTCTCTGGCTCCAAATATCTATATTAGTCAGGGTTCTCTAGAGGGACAGAACTAACTGGATAAATACATATAAAGGGGAGTTTATTAAGTAGTATTAACTCACACAATCACAAGGTCCTACAATAGGCCATCTGCAAGCTGAGGAGCAAGGAGAGCCAGTCCAAGTCCCAAACCTGAAGAACTTGGAGTCCAATGTTTGAGGGCAGGAAGCATCCAGCACAGGAGAAAGATGTAGGCTGGGAGGCTAAGCCAGTCTAGCCTTTTCACATTTTTTTCTGCCTGCTTTATGTTCTGGCCATGCCAGCAGCTGATTAGATGGTGCCCGCCCAGATTAAAGGTGGGTCTGCCTTTCCCAGCCCACTGACTCAAATGTTAATCTCCTTTGGCAACACCCTCACAGGCATATCCAGGAAAAATGCTTTGCATCCTTCAATCCAATCAAGTTGACACTCAGTATGACCATCACAGTTCCCTTTTTATAGAGGCACCAGTCTTTTTAGATTAAGGGCCCACTTTATTCTAGTATGACTTTATATTAACCAATTACACCTGCAACAACCCTATTTCCAAGTAAGGTCACATGCTGTTGTATTAGCGGTTAGGACTTCATTATATAAATCTGGAGGGCCACAGCTCAACCCATAACAGGTGTGAAAGTAGATCTGCATTGACAGAAGAAAGAATCAGCAAACTTGAGGATAGATCAATGGAGATTACAAAATCTGAAGCAACAGATGAAGTGGAAGATAGATCAGTATAGAAGATAGATCATAAAGATAGAAGATAAACTTTGTATGATTCCATTCTCATGCTGCTATGAAGAAATAATCAAGACTGGGTAATTTATAAAGAAAAGAGGTTTAAGTAACTCACAGTTCCTCATGTCTGGGGAGTCCTCAGGAAACTTAATATTACGGTGGATGGTACCTCTTCATTGGGCGGCAGAAGAGGGAATGACTGTCCAGCGAAGAGGGAAGCCCCATAAAAACCATCAGATCTCACGAGAACTCACTCACAATCATGAGAACAGCATGGGGGAAACCACCCCCAAGATTTAATTATCTCCACCTGGTCCCACCCTTGACATATGGGGATTGTTACAACTCAAGGTGAGATTTAGGTGGAGACACAGAGCCAAACCATATCAAACTTGAAGGTAGATCAACAGACATTATGAAATCTGAAGAACAAAAACAAAAATGAATTTTAAAAGATGAACAGAGCCTCAAGAAATGTGGGATATCATTAAGCACAACAACATATGCATAATAGATGGAAAGACCAGAAGAGGAGCAAAAAAATATCTTCGAAGTCATGGATGAAAACCAGCTGCAGTTGGAGAGCTGAGGTAGGGAGCAAGAAAAGAGATCGGAACTAGGAAAATAGGTAGGGTAAAGAAATGACAGAAAACTATTTTATAACAGCATTCTCTGTTCAATTTTACTTTCTATTATTTACTGTGTTTTGTAATCCTATCACCACATTAGCCAACTCTGCAATAAAAAGTCTACTACACACAATGGCCATATGTGATTATTGTTGGAGAAAATTCAGGAAAAGAACCACTGAGGCCAGGCGCAGTGGCTCACGCCTGTAATCCCAGCACTTTGAGAGGCCGAGGCGGGCGGATCACAAGGTCAGGAGATCGAGACCATCCTGGCTAACATGGTGAAACCCCGTCTCTACTAAAAAATACAAAAAAATTAGCCGGGCGTGGTGGTGGGCTCCTGTAGTCCCAGCTACTCGGGAGGCTGAGGTAGGAGGATGGCGTGAACTCGGGAGGCGGAGCTTGCAGTGAGCCGAGATAGCGCCACTGCACTCCAGACTGGGCGACAGAGTGAGACTCTGTCTCAAAAATAAATAAATAAATAAATAAATAAATAAATAAATAAATAAATAAATAAAAGAAACACTGAGATGGAGGAGAAAGCAATGGGCACAAGTAGTAAAATAAAAGAAAGATTGAAAGAGCAAAACCAGAGTGGACTGTATCAGAAGGAGCCAGGAATCCTCTGACAAACTGTAGGAAATGTTGGGCTTCACACTGCACTTAAGACAGGGACTGAACTGAATATCCAGGGACAAGGAAAAACCAGCCAGATTGTGATTTTTATAAAGTGGAGACAACTATTTTTCAGATGATACAGAATGAAGGCTTTATGGAAAAAGAAGAACTTTGTCTTAATTGCTTTTTCCTAAATTGCCACATGGCTTCAAACTAATGTTTAAACAGTGAGCTGCAGAGTATATGAATTCATGTTGCTTCTTCCTTATTTCTCAGATAAATATGTGTGTTCTTCTTTTAGGGACTGTTTAATTCCCATCGCATTTTTGCATACCTAGGAGAATAGGAGTAAGTCAAACTTACAACTGTGAACTCTGCTATGAGATCATTTCCTCATCTTTCAATATCAATCTTCTCACCAGGGGGAAAGAATTGCAAACGTCTTGGCTGCAGGCTCACTTCACACTACATAAAAACCTCAGCTATATCCAAGCAGCAAGCATTCCAAAAGGAACCTGCCATTCTCACCATCTTAAATCTCTTCAAAAATAGCGTACTTATTTTGTTCAAGATGAAGACTTCTTTGTAAAATGTAAAAACTATTTAATAAAGACTCTGTAAATCTTACTCTGAGGTAAACTGTGAATAGTCAATAGGTATGCGAATCCAAAGAGTGAGGTGCACCTGCAGAAGTCTTTCTCTCTTTCTTTGATGAGAATGTCATCATGGGGGCGGTGGGGGGCTTATATTCTCAACTGCACAAACCACTACAGCTGCCCTCTTGTTCTCCGTCACACTGTAAGAACAGCCTTTCTTTTGAATAAGAAATGCTAACTATGATATCATACTTCTCCTTCAAACAGAAAATTATTTTTCACAGAACACACTGTCCCTGAGACCCAGCACAGCGAATGGGCAGTTGAGAAATGAGCAGTACAGGCTCCAGCCCCTGAGTGCACCTGCAGGTCAGAGCATCACTGATAGGGCAGGTGTTTATCTCCAGGCTGAGTTCCAGAGTGTGCTGATAAAGACTAGTTAAGATGAATGTCAGGGATACTGAACTGAATCTTGGGCATTTAAAGGACTGAAAATATGAAAATAAGCACAGCAGCCAGGCACAATATACAACTTACTTGCTCTGTAACCTTGGCCCCTAACCAAATTAATTTTATCAAGCTTTCTCAGATGTAAAATGAAGATAATTTTTACCTCACAAGGTTGTTCTGGGACATAAGTGAGACACTGTGGATATTCCACCTAAGTTGATGAATGTTGGCTCTTTTTCCTACTGTCTGCTCCAGCTTGTAAAATAGATCCAAAATGAAGTCTTTACAGAAAGAGATGAAATATTATATGAATATTATATGAATCTTTACAGAAAGAGATGAAATATTTTACAGAAATATTTTTATAAATATCTCTTTCAAAAAATTTTTTTTTGTTTTTGTTTGTTTTAGATTGGAGGGGTTGATCATTTGTTTGTTTGAGACAGGGTCTCCCTCTGTCACCCACCCAATCTGGAGTGCAGTGGCAGCATAATCATGGCTCACTATAACCTGGGACTCTTGGGCAGTGTTTTTCCACCTCAGACCACTGAATGGTTGGAACTACAGGTATGTACCACCAAGCCTGGTCAATATTTTTCATAATTTTTTTTTTGTAGACACAAGGTTTCACTAGTTGCCCAGAGGGATCTCGAACTCCTGGGCTCAAGCAATCTGCCTGCCTTGGCCTCCCAAGGTGCTGGGATTACAGATGTGAAACATAAAGATATGGTTTGGCTGTGTCCCCATCCAAATCTCATCTTGAATTGCCATGTGTGGTGGGAGGGACTCGGTGGGAAGTAATTTAATGATGGGGGCAGGTCTTTCCTGTGCTGTTCTCCTGAAAGTGAATAAGTCTTACAAGATCTGAGGGTTTTAAAAACGGGAGTTTTCCTGTACAAGTTATCTGTCTCTCTTTGCCTGCTGCCATCCATGTAAGACATGACTTGCTCCTCCTTGCCTTCTGCCATGATTGTGAGGCCTCCCCAGCCATATGGAACTTTAAATCCATTAAACCTCTTTCTTTTGTAAATTGCCCAGTCTTGGGTATATCTTTATCAGCAGCGTGAAAACAGACTAATACACACCGCACCTGGCCTATTTTTGGTTTTCAATAAACACAGTGTGGAGAATTCATGACTATAATTTAGAACAGAAGGAGGTTTGAGCGGAAAACAATTTTCAATGCTCAGATAAAGAAGAGTGATGAGAATACTCATTTCACATACAGACATCACACTTAATATCACTTTCTGAGAAATTATTAATCATAAACATAAAGTCATTATGAGACAGAAAATACCACAGGGCCCTTGTATCCCCTTTTATAGATAGTGAGTAGGGAGCCTGTACATAGAGAAAAGAACCATATCCTACCAATTCCATTAAGCCTGTTGCGTTTCCAGAAATATGCCAGCAGTTGGCAAATGCTCGTTGGTTGATAAACTGATGGACTGGTTCATTATAAAATGACAGACAGTATGTGAGATTGCTACACGGAAAAACATTTCTAACCCTGGCTAAACATTCCTACCCTGAGTAGTGAGTAGTTCTCCACCCTTTTGCAATATAGTGTCTGCTTCTCAGTTTTTGCATCTATGTGGATGAACAGGAGGCAGGTGGCAGGAGTTACACTCATGTTTTGGTTCTAATTGGCACTTTTTAAATTTTCTGCAAAATAAAAGTAATTTTGTTAGCCAACCCTCAAGCAATTGACTAACTGATCCTTTTAGCAAGTTGGCAGAATTTTTCTAGGATGGTTGCAGTTTAGAAATGCTGTTTTTAAGGAGACCCATAGGGCTGATATTGAATGACTGAATAGCTTGGAGAAGCTTAAACTAGAACCTCCTGGGATTTACTAGAGCTGCTGGAAAGTGTATTTCCCTGTGCTTTCTAATGAGTCAACGTCCACTGTTTGCTATGTGAAGAGGCAGGGCATCATAAATGGTTAATAGCACATTCTGGGAAACAACAGATCTGGACTGAATTATGGCATCCAATCCCTGCTAACTAAGTGGCTTTGGGCAAGTTATTCAAACTCTCTGAGTCTTGTGATCCTCATCTATAAAATAGGCATGGACCACAATATTTGTGAGGTTTAAATAAGTTAATACTGCAAAAGAGCTTTCTCAAACTTTAATGTTTAGGCAAATCAGTAGACATCTTGATCAAATGCACTCTGGTTGAATAGGTGTGGTGTGGAACCCAAGAGTCTGTGTTTCTAACAGACTCCCAGGCAATTGCAGTATTGCTGGCCCTCAGACCATCTTTTCGATAGTAAAGCTTTCAGGAAGTCACCTCAGTCCTGGCACATTGGAAATACTCAGTAAATACTAGATGATGATGATGATGATGATTATGACGATGATGATGATGATGATGATGATGGATTGCTTAAATGCCTAGAATAAAAGAACTCTGCAAGCCAGCCTTCCCTTTACCTACAGAATGTCTCAATAACTCTCTACCAACCCTCAAGACCAGTGTTTTTCAAGAGAAGTTTGCGTATAGGAAAAATATGGTAACATTAACGCCATAGACTGAATAATGGCCACTCAAAAATATCATGTTCTAATCCCTGGAACCTGTAAATGTTACTTTACCAGAAAAAAAGAATCTTTGCAGATGTGTTCATGAAGTTTAGAATTTTGAGATAAGATCATCCTGTACTATCTCAGTGGGCCCTAAATGCCATCACAGGTGTCTTTGTAAGAGAGAGAAGGAAACTAGACTCATATATGGAAGATGAAGTGATGAGAAGAGGCAGAGAAGAGTTAGATTACAACAAGCCAAGGAATGCCAGAAGCTTCCAGAAGCTGGAAAAGATCAGAAAGCATCCTCCCCTAGAACTTCCAGAGGGAGGACAGCTCTGCTGACACCTTGATTTTGGACTTCTGGCCTCCAGAACTCTGAGAGAATATGTTTCTATTGTTCTAAGCTACTAAGTTTGTGGAAATTTGTTACAGCATTTATAGGAAAGGAATACAATGGTTTAATTATTTAATAAAACACTTATATGTATACAAGCTAAATTACTAATATCTCAAAGTTGTGCACTTTACAGAGTAAATTATTTCTCTTTATTTAAATAAGGATTCTGACCTTCATGAAAAGCATAAAGATACTAATGGTATACTAACAATGAGATTTTATTTTTAGGAAATTAGAAAAATCATATACAGTCATCCTTTGGTATCCATGGAGGATTGGTTCCAGGACATCCTTCAAATACCAAAATCTTGCAGATGCTCAAGTTTATTATATAAAATGGTGTAGTATTTGTATATAATCTATGCACATCCTGCTGTATGCATAATACTTGGCACACAGCAAAATTCAAGTTTTGCTTTGTGAAACTTTGTGGAATTTTATTTTCTGGCTATTTTTGATTCATAGTTGGTTGAATCCATGGATGTGGAACCCACCAATATGGAAGGCCAATGGTACTATGTTTCTGTGTAAAATGTGGAAGGTGTCAAAGAAAGTTATCCCCCTTCTAACAGGAGAAAAGGTCATATGAACTATGAATTATAACTTAGAGATCTGGAATTGAAGGGAACTTTGTTTTCTATGCTTCACTGGCCTACATTATTCTTTCACACTTCAAGAAACACCCTTGGAATCTTGAAACAAGCATCTTTGCAGTTGGAGTACTGGGGGAGTTTACCCAGAAAATGTCTAATGCCATCCTTGCCCTTGGGTGCTCAGGATTCACCTCTCTGCAAACCCTCACATCTGAGGGTACTTGGTTGCATCAGCAAGCATCCTACCTGCTGTCCCTGAAAGAAACTGGAAACAAAATGAGCACAGTTTGTCTTTTCAAAGGTAACCACATGTTAAAAAGAATTTTAATGAGAAAAACTTACAACCCAGAATTCTATGCCCACCAATTATATCTTGCAAAAAGGAAGAGGTAATAAAGACTTTTCCAGACAACAAATGCTGAAAAATGCCAGCAGAAATGCTCTTCGAGAATGTTCAAAGAAAGTCTTAAAGCAAAAATCAGATGGTAGCAGATGCAAACTTAGATCTACACAAAGTAATGAAGAGTGAAGAAAATGAAAATAGTAAGATAAATATAAAAAACATTTCCCTTATTTTTAATCAGTCTAAAATGTAATTTACTATCACAAAAAGTAGTTTTACTGTATTATGGGGTTTATAATGCATGTAAGAGTGAAATGTATGACAAAAATAGCACAAAGGATGAGAGAGGGGAAATTGTAAGATTCTTATACATGAAGGGATACAATTTGAATGTAGACTGTGATAAGGAAAGATGTATATTGTAAACCTTTGTAAAAGAAAAACTGCACTGGACACTTATTAAAAATGGCAAGGAAGACTTTATTCAAGACTACTGAAATGCGGGGGGGAGGGGGGGAGATTGAACTTAACTCCATTGAAGGATTTTTAAATGCTGGTGTGAGTTAATGGCCTCTACTGGATGACAGTGGAAAAGAGGTTAGTCAATGTGATTAGGGCACTTGTGTTTGCTAATTGTCACTTATCAAAGGGAGGCTCCCTACCCTCCCGTAGATACTGGGAGATAGAGGCTCTATCTATCTTTCTTGATTACATTTCAAAGGGATGGCTCCCAGATTCTTGAGAAAGATTTATATTTTAAAAGGGGAGAGAAAGAATTTACCATTGCAACTTTTCTAGAGTAAATGCCCTTAAGAAAAGAGAATCAAGAGTCTATGGTCAGAAAAAAGACTATCTAAGGTTCAGTCAATCTGAGGGGAACATTAGAGCTGTCTTGGTCACCTTAGGACATCCATCAAAAATAAGTAAAAATAAGTGAGCTGTAATTACTAGGTAAATATTGGAGATAAAATGGAATCATAAACAACATCCAACTCAAAAGCAGGCAGAATAAAATGAACAGAGAAGAGATGGGACAAGTGGAAAACAACTAGTTAGACAGCACATTTAAATCAAACCTTATTTATAATTATATGAAATATAAATGGTCATTAAAAAAACAGAGGTTGTCTGACTTCATTAAAAAGCAAGACCTAACTAACTATATAAGAAACTCACTTTAAATATGAAGGCATGGGTAGTTTAAAACGCTAGAAAATAAAAGGGTACATAGATAGGATCAAAATACATCTGTAGTGGCTATATTAATATCAAACCAAGAAACATCAGAAAAATAAATATTGCCAATGATAAACAGGAATAACATTACATAATAACAAAGAGGTCAAGTCACCATGAAGATGTAATAATTCTTAATTTGTGAATTATCTGGCAGCAGAGCGTCAAAATCCATGAAGAAATATGCAGCATCTTCTCAGCAGCATTTGGACCATCTGGGAGCTTGCTAGAGATGCAGAGTCTCAGGCCCTACCCCTGACCTTAAGGTTAAGGTCAGATGAATTAAGAATCTGCATTTATAACAAGATCTCCACATAATTAAACTGCATCAGAAAATCTAAGAATACTGATATACATTATGCCACATTTCTAATAAAGAACAAACACTCAGGTGGTATGTTTGCATAGCAGTTTAAGAGAATGTGGCAGTTTCATGGTTTCATAGAGTAACAGCATTCAGCATTCAGCAACAATAGTATATAATAGAGATTTGAAAATCGAGGAATACTTAAAAGAGGCTTTATATGAGAAGCATTGCAGTATAACATTCTAAAAAGTAGTTTTCACCACCTCAACTCTCTTTAGTTATAAATTGCTCGAAGGATTTTTAACCACAAATGTGTATTTTCCAGTTGTTTTATTGGTGGGTGTTTTTGTTTTTAATGGTACCAACTAGTTCCAACATTATTCCTGCCTTATCCTTGGGGGATACATTCCAAGACTATCAGTGGATGCCTGAAACCATAGATAGTGTCAAACCCTATATATACTCTGTTTTTTCCTATACACACACACCTGGGATAAAGTTTAGTTTATAAATTACATACAACTGTGATAAAGTTTAGTTTATAAATACACACACACCTGTGATAAAGTATAATTTATAAATTAGGCACAGTAAGAGAGAATAATAACTAATAAGATGGAACAATTAAAACTATATACTGTAATGGAGGTTATGTGAATGTGGTCTCTCACTCTCTGAAAATATTTTATTATACTGTACTCACCTATTTTTGGACCTTGGTTGACTACAAGTAATTGAAACTTTGGAAAGCAAAACAGTGGATAAGAGAGGACTACTGTATTCAAAACAGTGGTTCTCAACCCTGGCCACTTTAACAGGATGCCCTGGCCCCTCCCCCTAGTTATTTTTATTTAGTTAGACTGGGCTATGGCCTTATTATCAACATTTTTACAAATCTCTCTAAGTGATTCTCAAGTACAGCCAAGGTTAAATGCCATTATTTTAATAAATGAAAGGTTTTTATAGTAAACAAAAGCAGTAACTTTGATTGTGACCCAGTATCTGTTTATTTTACATCTCCCTTTTGTCATCTCACATGGATGGTCACTAGTTAGTAAATGAAATACATGACAGGCTTTGTTAGTCTGAACAGGCACAAAGGAAAAAGCAGCATCATTTAATAACTTATGGTGTGAATATCAGCATTAGACATCAGCATTAAATGGCATATTACACAAACAGTGTATTTATGCATATCATGCAGAGAGAAATTGGAGACGTTTTAGGGCTTTACTTTGGAATTGACTCACAAGCATGTTCCCATCAAAACAACAAGAACAAAAGAAACTCCAGGAAATCACTTTGCTTCTAAATTGAAAACAAGGAGAGAATGGCATTGATGGAGATGAAGCTGGGCTTAATACCCTTATGAGGAGGAGTAAAAGGACTGTACCTACCTGTCATAGTCTGTTCAGGCTGCCTTAGCAAAGTACCATACAGTGGGTAGCTTAAGCAATATACACTGATTTCTCACAGCAGTTCTGGAGCTGGGAAATCCAAGACCAAGGCACAGATGGATTCAGTGTCTGGTGAGGGTTCTTTTCCAGTTCATGGATGGTGCCTTCTCTCTGTGTCCTCACATGGCAGAAGAAGCAAAGGGTCTCTCTTGGGCCTCTATTATAAGCCCACTAATCCCATTTATTTAAGGCCCTGCCCATGACCTAACTATCTCCCAAAAGCCCCATCTCCAACTACCATCACACTGGGAATTTCATCATATGAATTTTGGGTGGACCCACATATTCAGACCACAGCACCACTGGTCCTTAAGCATTCCTCCTAAAACATGTTGTCACATCAGGTGGTGGCTGTTCACTGTCTCTCCTCTGTACCTGAATTGACCTGTAACAGGAGAAAGAAACTCACCGTGGGTGAGCCCTCCTTTGTCCTGGGTACTTTCAACTTGTTTGTCTTTATTGTTCATCCCAACAACCTCACAAGGAAGGTACCATATCGTGCACCCATTTTGCAGATAAGGAAACAAGGCCTCAGAAATGCTAACCAACTTTCCAAATAAACCCAGCTAGTAAATGGTGCATACAGGGTTTGAACCAGTCTCAAGTTCCAAATGCCCCTTTTTCCCTGTCACCCTGCCACCTCCCTGGCATGATACTAATCAAGAAAGGATGTGACCAGGAAGCCAGTTGATGAGAAGTATCTCTGAGAGGAGGAAGTTTTCCAGGTGGGACACTCCAAAGCCTAGGGTTACTCACACTCCTATTCCCGTGCGTTCCAGATGATACAAGCCACCACAAGGTGATTTGAGCTAGGCAAGGAGTTGGTAGGCATACTAGAACCCCTAATAGAGCAAGGCAGGAAGTAGGGGCTTGAGATGACAGTGGCGATGGCGGGGGTTGCATATTAGCATCTGAGTCTAGAACTCTGAATCACTTTTTCCCATGGACATTTAATTACAGGGTAGCCTGTGTGCTTATGATGAGTGGCATGATTATTTATAAAGGTGCTCATGGTTAACAGACCCTTTAGTGAGCTAGCTGGGGCCTAAACAATATGACTAAATAGGAGTGACTGATTAGGCCAGGAGATTCCAGGTTTGGGGCATTCCTAAACTTTTTATTTGTGGCAAAATATTATTAATAATAGTTCTATTAGGCCAGGATTAATTTGAACCTGCAGCTTATGACATAGTCTCATGTATGAGATGCAGACCTTTCAACGTGTGGTTAAATTTGAAAGACAATCTGTGGTGCTCTCTAGGTCAACCATTGCCCACATTGCAAAGATAAGCTTCAGTGAAAATGATGGCTGTGTTTTCTGAAGGGCAAAGGAAGAGTCTAGGCCAGCAAAGAATAGCAAGCAAAGATCTCTTTGAGTCCAGCTCTCTATCTAAATACAAGGAGTCCTCCAAGGGGCTCTCATCTTAAACAATTAGCAGTTTAATCTGGGAGGTGTCAAGATTACGGCTGAAGGTGGCAGCAAGGTAGAGGAAAGGGTCTTTTTACAAAGACACAATCTGAGGGTGTTACAACTAGGCAAAGGTCTGTCGCAGTCTGTATAAACTGAAAACAACCTTGGAATTTTTATGAGAGACTGCAGACCTCATTCTGAAGCTCACCACTAGCAGGGACTGCCTGCCACGGACTCTATCCCAGTAGAACCATGAAGACATCATTGCAGCATGATACAGACATACATCATAGGCAACTGTATAAGGCTCTGGTGTAATATTTCTTCTATGAGATGTATTTATATCAATTGTGAAGAGGCTGGCATGAAATTATATTGCTAAGGTCTATTTAATTTCTAGACAATGCTGCATTCTCTTTTATCATTCATCTAAAGACCCACTCATTTTATTAAAGAGATGTAAATTTTCCCAAAATAAGCTAGTTGATTTTGTTCATGCAGAAGCATTGATTTTAGAAGATATTTTCTATTAACAATAATCTACTTACATCTAAATGCAAACAGGCTAGCATCAGAGAACAAAAAAATTAAATTTGCAAAAACTCTATATTTCTAACATTAACTTAGAAAGTTTCTCTCAGTATTCCACACTCAGCTCTAATTTATCAGTGAATTTTTCATCCTTATAAGGTACCAATACGGGTCAAATAATGTGTTCTGCTCTTTTCTGCTGAAGACTATTGATAGACTTTTAGCATGAGAAAAACAGATTAGGGAAACCAACAACAAGCAATACAAACCAAAATAAGCTAAAGCAAATATAGATATATTCATTCAATATAAGCCAAAATAAGCTAAAGCAAATATGGATATATTCTCCAGCCAATGCTCAATTTTCTGATTTCTAATACAACTAAAATATCTAGAAAAAAATTGTTTTTTAGTAATATGGTTCAACTTATAACAATCATCTTTTTAAAAGCCCCTCATTTGTACCATTTATAAATCTTTGTTACCTGGGTTACCAGGTATCAGGGGATATCATATGTGAATTTCAATGTATTATGTCCCAGAAACACTAAAAACATTTTCACTATTGCTAGAATAGCAAAAAGTTTCATTGCTGCATGCAAATGACCACTTTTCAAATGATAAAACACTAAAATGTTTTATAAGCTCTTTTCCTAGAGGTCTCTGGGGATTTGCCTTAAGTATTTGCATAAATAAATTATAAATGGATCCATCACAGCTGACTGCATTGAGTGAGGTGAAACTCAAGAGTGAATTTTAAACTGTGCTCAGCAATAAAGAGGAGTGTTCAATATCAGCTGCAGCACAGGTTTTGATTCATAATCCTTCACAGGTCTCTCCATTCCGTGACTTTCCAGGTAGTCTCTTCGGTGTCCTTCATCACATTTAATCTTTCTCTCTTCTCAACTACTCAGAATGAACACTCTATGTGGTCTTATTAAAATCGACTCCTGCACAAAGTATTGGGGAAAACTTAATTGGCCTTCCAGGGTAGCGTGTTTGTGATTACGTTTGATATGAATTCTGTGCATATTAGCCTAAGTGAAGAAATAAATGAAGAAAGGTATTCCAGTGATCATAAAACATTACTAGAACAGGGGCAAAGCATCACGCTGCACAATGTGTCTTGGCTCTGCCCACAAGATGCACAGCAAGGAGCAATAATGTATTGCCCAATGAAAAATACCATTTGGTATGCAAATTAAAGAGAGGACAAAGCTTCTGATCTTGGCCCTGCATCCACCCAACATAAACGCAGACTTGGAAACAATTAGTATGCCTATTTGCCAATAGAGCCTTGGAAAACTAAATGGAGTCCTAAATCAGAGACAGACACTAAGAAGGCAGAGAAAGAATACTCATTAGCCAGGTCCACACAGTGGTTTTATGGGTGTTCCTAAGAGAAAAGAGCTGATAGGACTTTCAGAAGACCTCAGATAAAATCCTTTAAGCCATTGACATTATAATATTAGATCTAATACTGTTGGCACTTTGCAAGAAAATTCTGAAATCCGGGGGATGAAGAAGCCATTTTTAAAAGGCTCATTTGAGGAGTTTTGAGTTTAATTCATTGTCTTGATCAAGTGTTATTGCTAATAAACAAATTCTAACAGCGTCTGAGGAAAAGAAACATGAGGCCATTTATCCGCCACTGCATCCCACTCTTGATACTTCATTCTTCACTTCAAGTTCCTTCCCTCCCACCTGCTCTCTATATTTTCTTTTTTATGCAAATGAAAGGAGAGAGTAGAATTCTGTCTATAAATACTACTTACCTGGCTGCTCAGATTTATGGTTTTCCAGGCTGAAGACCAGAACCAGAAAAGCCCCTCAGGGTGCAGATCAGACAAGCAACACATTCTATTCTTGCATAGATAACATTAATTTTGTTTAAAGTGCAGCACAGAATAAGTCTCATCATTTAAGACAACTAAGAACATGTTTGTAAATTCAGTTTCTTAGCCAAATCTCATATCTGATTCTAAAACTGACCTTGAATCCTTCTTATCCTCCTTCACGGGGGATATTTACGGAAACTTGATATGCACATGTTGGACGTAGCAGATGCCACTCAATTGACCAGAGCACATAAACCTCAAGAATACCACTAGATTTCCTCCTCGTGTTTTCAAAACCGACTGGTTTATTGGTTTTCCAAAGGATTCAGACTATGGAGAGCCATATTGTGAATATAAGTGTACCACTTGTTTGTCCTTAAGAGGCATTATTTTGATGTGCTGACAGGGGCTACTAATCAAGAGTGATCAGTTGCGTAGTTTTTAAAAATCACTCCTAATACTTGCAAGAGAAAATTATTTAAAATGTAAAAGCAATTATGCATGTCATCAGAGCCATTTTAGGAAAAAAAAGGTGTACTGCAGATTTTGGGGAGAGGATTGTCTTTCAGACAAAATTACTCATACATATGTTTTATTATTTATATCATTACTAAAAATCTTCATACTGAAAAAAATTCAGAAACTATATTATCAGTATGCACTCACATACCTAGGTTTTTTTAAATTTTTGGGGGGTACATAGTAGGTGTATATGTATTTATGGAGTACATGAGATATTTTGATACACGCATACAAGGTGTAATAATCACATCAGGATAAATGGGGTGTCCATCACCTCAAGCATTTATCCTTTGTGTTACAAACAATCCAGTTATACTCTTCTAGTTATTTTAAATGTGCAGTTAAATTATTATTAACTATAGTCATCCTGCTTTGCTATCAAATACTAGATCTTATTGATTCTATTTTTTGTACTCACTAACCATGCCCACTTCCCCTAGTTTCATATAACGCTTCATCTTTGAACAAAAATTTATCACTAATAATGACATTGATGCTGTATATTTTGTCTAAACTATAGAATCCTACAAGCTACTTAAGTATAAAATTTGTGGCTGTCTCATCAGGTCTCTTAATACTGAATTCTTTATAATGAGATTTTTCCATTGCAAATGGTATTTAACAAAAAGTACTCCTCATTCCAATGACTTAGAAACACATGATTTCCATCCACCACTACTCCAAACTGGCAGCCATCATCATAAGGTGTGAAATTTCATTTTAAAAGCAGCCCTCCACATCCCTCCATATCCCTCCACTCCAAGTCAGGCTTTCCTGTCACCCGTCCTGCAGATACTGTGCCCACTTTCTCCCTTTAGGGAGCAAGAGGCCAGTCCCCAGCGCTTGGGGGTCTGAGATGTTTTCCTTTACTCCTTTAAATCTAAATTTAGATGTCACCTTCTCAGAGCTGCTTTTCCTTATGGTCCAATCAAATTAAGTCTCTCCAGGCAAAGAGTATCCTGAGTAGAGATGTTGTTCGAGGACACTGGACCCTGGCTAGGCTTTTTCCACTGATGGTGACATGGCCTCACTAATGCTGAGGTGGTTCAATGTTTGCCAGCATTCCGTTAAAGATGCTCAGAGAAGCCAAGGTATGCTTCTATGGAATGGTGAAATAAGCCCCATACATAAAAAGACAGTTCTTTATGAGACAAGACTTTCCTTTTAGACTCAGTCAATTCTGGAAGGACCTTACCTGCCCAGAGAGGGTCACCAGAAGCTGTGAGTTGCACAAGGGAACAAGGGAGCCAGAAAACCAGAGAAAAGCCAGGCAAGGATGTGCAGCAGCTGCTCTGGCTCCGGGGAGTGCCTCCCTGCTATTGCATGTATGTCCTCCGTAAAAATAAATGTCATCTAGGAAGAAGAGAAGTCTTTGAATGTTCTCACCACAAAGAAATGATAAATGCATGAGATGCTGGATATACACATTACTCTAATTGGATCATTACACAACACAAATATGTATCAAAACATCAAATTTTACTCCATAAATATGTACAATTACAATGTGTCAATTAAAAACATCAATTTAAATTTAAAAAGTAATAAATGTCGAGAGATTATGAATATGTAAATTAGCTTCGTTTAATCACTCCACATTGTATACATATATCAAAACACCACATTTTACTCCATAAATGCAATATGATCAGTTAATCAATTAAAAATATCAATAAAACAGTAAAAATAAATGGTGACATTGTAACATGGCTTCTGCCTGATAGTGGTGACACAACTGATGTGCTGCAGTCTCCTCTGTTATTCTCATTCACGACGTCCAGTATTTTCCTTCATAGCACTTAATGCACAATCTTTATATTATCTTCTAGACACCTAATGTACATCATGTTATATAACCATAAATTTAGATTATAGATAACTACTGATATGGTTTGGGCTCTGTGTCCCCACCCAAATCTCATCTTGAATTGTAATCCCCATGTGTCAAGGGAGAGACCTGGGGGGAGGGATTGAATCCTGGAGACAGTTTCCCCCTTGCTGTTCACAGGATAGTGAGCTCTCACGAGATATGATGGTTTAAAAGTGTGACAGCCCCCACCCCTTCCACCATGTAAGACGTGCCTTGCTTCCCCTTGGCCTTCCACCATGATTGTAAGTTTCCTGAGGCCTCCTAAGCCTTGTGAAACTGTGAGTCAATTAAACCTCTTTTCTTTATCAATTACCCAGTCTCACGTAGTTCATTATAATGTATATATGAACTAATAAAGAAAATTGGTACCAGGAGTTTGGGTCACTGCTGTAAAGATACCTGAAAATGTGGAAGCAACTTTGAAACTGGGTAATGGGCAGAGGTTGGTACAGTTTGGAGAGCTCAGAAGAAGACAGGAAGAGGTGGGAAACTTTGGAACTTCCTAGAAATGTGTTGAATAGTTTTGACCAAAATGCTGATAGTGATGGGGCAATGAAGTCCAGGTTGAGATGCTCTCAGATGGAGATGAACTTATTGGGAACTGGAGCTAAGGTCACTCTTGCTGTGCTTTAGCAAACAGACTAACAGCATTTTTCCCCTGCCTTAGAGATCTGTGAAACTTTGAACTTGAGATGATTTAAGGTATCTGGCAGAAGAAATTTCTAAGCAGCAAAGCATTTAAGATGTGACCTGGGTGCTCTTAACAGCATACGGCCATATGCATTCACAAAGAGATGGTTTGAAATTAAAACTTATGTTTAAAGAGGAAGCAGAGCATAAAAATTTGACCAATTGCAGCCTGACCAAGTGATAGAAGAAAAAAAAATCTATTTTCTGGGGAGAAATTCAAGCTGCCTGCAGAAACTTGCATAAGTAAAGAGATGCCGAATATTAATAGCCAAGATAATGGGGAAAATGTCTCCAGGGCATTTCATAGATCTTCATGGCAGCCCCTCCCATCACAGGTCCGGAGGCCTAGAAGGGAAAAATTGTTTCCTGGGCTGGGCCCAGGGCTCCACTGCTCTGTGCAGCCTTGGGACATGACACCCTGCATCCCAGCTGCTCCAGCTCTAGCCATGGCTAAAAGTGGCCAAGGTACAGCTCAGGACACAGCTTCAGAGGGTACAAGCCCCAAGCCTTGGCAGGTTTCACATGGTGTTGGGCCTACAGGTATGCAGAAAACAAGACTTGAGGTTTCGGAACCTCCACTTAGATTTCAGAGGATGTATGGAAATGCCTGGATGTCCAGGCAGAAGTCTGGTGCAGTAGCAGAGTCCTCATGGAGAACCTCTACTAAGGCAGTGCAGAGGGGAAATGTAGAGTTAGAGCCTCCACACAGAGTCCCCACTGGAGCACTGCCTAGTGGAGCCATGAGAAATGCACCACCATCCTGTAGCTCCCAGAATGGTAGATCCACTGACAGCTTGCACTGTGCACCTGGAAAAGCTGCAGGCAATCAATGCCAGCCCGTGAAAGCAGCCACAGGGGCTGTACCCTATGGAGCTTCAGAGGTAGAGCTGCCCAAGAACTTGGGAGGCCACTTCTTGCATCAATGTGCCCTGGATATGAGATATGGAGTCAAAGGAGATTGTTTTGAAACTTTAAGGTTTAATGATTACCCTCTTGGGTTTTGGACTTGCATGGAGCCTGTAGCCCCTTTGTTTTGGCCAATTTTCCCATTTGGTGCTTTTGATTTTACAGGCTCACAGGTGGAAGGGACTTCTCTTGTCTCAGATGAGACTTTGGACTTGGACTTTTAGGTTAATGCTGGAATGAGTTAAGACTTTTGGGGACTGTTGGGAAGGTATGATTGTGTTTTAAAATATAAGGACATGAGAGTTGGGAAGGGCTGGGGTGGAACAATATGGTTTGGCTCTGTGTCCCCACCCAAATCTCATCTTAAATTGTAATCCCCACATGTCGAGGGAGGAACCTGGTGGTATGTTATTGGATCATGGGGGCAGTTTCCCCTGTGTGGTTCTCATGATAGAGAGTGAGTTCCCACAAGATCTGAAGGTTTAAAAGTGTGTGGCTGTTCCCTTCACGTTCTCTCTCTCCTGCTCCACCATTGTGAAGATATGCCTGGTTCCTCTTCATCTTCCACCATGATTACGTTTCCTGAGGCCTCCCCAGCCATACAGAACTGTGAGTCAATTTTAAACCTCTTCTCTTTATAAATTCACCAGTCTCAGGTAGTTCTTTATAGCAGTGTGAAAACGGACTAATACAACTACATGTGTACCTGAATAATTGCTATATTCTGCATCTATTCTTCTCAGGTGAATTCTATGAGATTAAGCACTGTGACTGTTTTTTTTTCTTTCACCATTGCATCACCAATTCAGCAGAGAGTCTTCATAGGAGGTGCAAAATAAATATTTTTTAGTAAATCAATATTGGGACAGTTGAAAAAGACTGTTATATGATTCTGCAATGGTAGCAAGCCCCTGGCTGTTTTTTCTCCATGTCTAAGACCATCAGAAAGCCTCTCCATTGCAGGAGAGATTCATTCAATCGGTCCTCCCTTGCCTACCTGACTGTGGAATGCCCAGCACCTTTTGGTGGGAGGAGCCCCGGTAGGGGTAGGTGGCTATGCAGAAAGGGGCCTCATTGACTCATCACTGCTTCAGGGGCCAGCCATGTTGAATTAGTTCCTAAAAGTTCTTAGTTGTTTTCATGGTCTTTTTCTACTTTGGGTCTCCAAGACTTATGCATGCATACTAACAGATGTGTATCACAAAATCATATGAATGACACATTTTCAAATTATTTGATAAAAAATCCAGTCTTGAAAGCTTATTTCTAGATACTTAGTGCCAATTACCCCCTTTTCTGATAAACAACAATTATGAATGAGGCATTTAGTAAAAACATTTTATTAATTCCTATGATGTTGACATTTTCATTACTTGCTTTTCAAAATGAAATGATTGTTTCACCACAATTCACACAAATCAACTGATATACTAATCCACACCAAAAGAAAGAACTCACAAGAAAACAGTATCATCTAAGATGGTGGGAGTCACAGGAGCCACTCAGTCCTAACTCTCATGATCATGAGCATGAAATAATGATCCTGGTCCACAGAATGAAGCCCAGTGAGAGGGACCCACACTTGTCTCCCGGTATCCACCTACCAAAAACTGTTTATCCAAAAAAATGCAGTTATACAGATCCAGAGCTAACCAAAAGTTTATAAACCACAATTCTAATTTAGTACTGACTATATTTTCTAGTCAGTAGGTTAGATGAAGAATTATTAATAACATCTAACCAGAATTTAAAGAAAAATACGTGAAAAGTTCCTTTGATAATGTTTCCTAATTAATAAAAGTCCATAGAAAGTCCCTACGCACCGTCTAATATTTCTACCCTTTTTTTATTTTTTCTCCTGATCATCACATTTTTTCAAGCCAACTATAATTCTTGCTATCACATCTGTTCTTATTTTTCTATCTTGCCATCTAATCTTTGTCCACATGCAAATATATTTGCTGTTATAATCACAGTGTGCTCAATATTTTGTAAACTAAATCTTTCACTTAACAGTCTGGGTCTACCATTTCATATTATGGAATCTTCAAAATTGTTTTTTATGGTTGCCAAATATCTCTTAATTTCCTTAACCATAGCCTGACTATTGAATATTTATGATTTTTCCATTTTTTTCTGTTATTAAATGCAATTTTATATAGACTGTTTTCAGTCTTTTAAATTGTTTCCTTGATGTAGAGAAAACAAAGATCCAAGGGTGTGAATATTTTTATGGCTCTTTCTGTATTTAATCATTTTACAAAAAGGTTGGGTTGATTTACATTGCTCCAGCAATTTGTGAGTGGATCAGTTTTACTGAGAGCATGCTATCATTTACTTTTAGCTTTAATTTTTATTATAAGAATTATCAATTAGTATTTCATTATTAATTATAAGTAGGCTTAAGCATTGTTCTACGTTTATTCTCTATGTTTACATAAATTTTCTATTTACATTCTTAATCCATTCTTCTATTTCCTTCTATTTTTTAAAAGGTATTTTTAATTGGCTGCTTGAAACCCTGAAAATAAGTCTCTTAACTTGACCTAAATACGAAAGGCAATAGAAGCAAAATCAGCACAGACTTGCCCTGTTACCTTCAAGAACTTGGCTGTTACCAGGCCACGTTAACAGAAGAATAATTCCTCCCAGAGAAATACTGTCTGCTTACCCTAGTCAGTCTTCGGAGCGAAGTAAGAAGAAAATATACTACTGTGGATTTGAGGGCCACACTTCATTAGGATGCTGTAAATTTACTTTTATATCACTAAATAACATTTTCAACAAACTCAGACATTGGTCACTAATGATGAAACAAGTAAAATATAAGCATCCAATTAAGGAGTGGGGAAAACCTATGCAGCTCATTAATTGCATAAACGACCTAACATACACTGTCCAGCAGTCATACAGAAATAAAGGTTACAATAATTTAGATCTTGCATTTTCCAAAGCATTGGGTGGGGACACTCCCCACATGTTACTTGACATCACACAGAAGGGCAACCCCACGGAGCACCCAGTGTTCAGGGGTCTGGGCTGTCCTGAGATCCACAGCGGCAATGTAGTTCAAGTCCGTTCGAACTGGCTTCTTATAGATGGGACAGGAGTAAAACCGAGGATCTCGTAAAGCTACAAAAAACATAAAAGAAAAGAACTTGGTGAAATTTCCACTTTAGAGCCCAAGGAGAATGCAGAGCCATGCTTCTGCATTCTGTAGGTCATTTCAAAAACAGATGGGTTTGGCTGAATGAGGGACATTCTTTCTGAGGTCAGGCAATTCCTAGATGTGAGGCAGATGCTCCCACATGGTGCCAGCAGATGTGGCAAGACACCCAGACAGCCTCTGGTGGCCTCTGCTGGCCCCTTGCCCTGAACCATGGACAGTAACTCATGCCCACATGCTTCCTCTCTCTCCTTTGCACCTGTCCACTCAACATCCCCTCCACCTGTTCTCCTTCACCTCCTCACCAAACCTTGAGCACACACACATCTACTTTTACTCAGGCATCCAGCACCAGTGGGCATTACTTTATTATTTCAAAATCTTCAACCCTGCAGGCCATAGTCTACATCACATTTTAAATCCCAGGACAGAGGGTGCCTCCCCACCCCCCAGCTAAATCAGGTATTGTGAATTCTCCATATATGTAGAGAAATAAAATTGCTGGGACGCAGAGAGTAATGGCCCAATTCACCTCCCTGAGACTCAGTCTACCTTTCTGGAGTAGAAGAATGGATGCAGTTTCCAAAATGACACTGCAATGAAAGGCAATCTATGTATGTCCATCCTTCAGAGATCCTTTCTAACACATCCATCTCCACCCACATGCTCCCTTTCTCTCCAGCCTTGGAAACCCCATACTCAGAGACAGGTCCAGGTCTGTGGGGACTTAAACTTATACAATTCATGAGGGCCCTCTTTAAGAAAAGGAGTAAAATTTATAAATAAAAAAGTAGGCTTTGGAAGGAGACTCTGCCTGTGAGCAGCCTGGGAGTTTAAGCCTCATTAGCTTCTTATGAAACCCACTCTGCCCACAGTAGTTTATCTGCACATCTCCTAACATGCATCTCAGGAAATAGTATATTATTTAATATTCTCTTCCAGATTATACATTTTTTGAGGACAAGAGTGTGTCTACACCCATCCCTGTACTCTTCCGGGAAGTCAATATTACAAAAAAATTAAAAAACCCTCACTTAACTATTCAGGTGAAATTACATTTAACTAAGAGGATGCTCTGCTTTTGTGAATTAATGTTACAAACATGGGCACTGAAACACATCAGAGTTATTGAATTTATTTCTCAAAACTGACATGCTCAAAAATTTACCTTTTCCAGAAAATTACAAAAGCAAGGCACTATCAGAAACTAAAGTCTCATTATTTGATCCAATAGAACTTGTAACCTGCTGTGCCCTGTGTTTTTACATATCCACTATAAATTTAATTAATTGTATTAGAAGAAGTGAAACGTTTGAATACAATAATGTTACACATAAGTTTCAATATAAAATAAATAATCCTAAAGCCGTGATTCTTAACCAGGGACAATTCTACTTACGGAGGACATTTGCCAATATCTGAAGACATTTTTGGTTAACACAGCCGTAGGCTTGCTGCTGACATCTTCAGGAATAGAGGTCAGGGATAATGCTAACATCCTATGATGCACAGGACAGCTCCCCCAAAACAAAGCGTTACCCAGACCAAATATGTCAATAGTACCAAGAGAATGAGAAACCTTCTTCTAAAACAACAAAGATATTTTATAGTATTTTAAAACCCTGTGTTTCCCTAATCTCATGAAAGTAATCATTAGGAACAACCTAAAACAACGTGATACCTAATTTTTAAGTCTGAGTGTAATTTTTCCAATTTCTATGCATATATCACTAGTGATAATCATTAGGCAAATATATATGAAAAATTCTGAACAAGTAAATGAATGACAATGAATCATGCAATACGGTTAACGCTAACTATACTCACTGATATAGTTAAATCCTTTAATCCTAGGATCTTTAAACATGTAAAACATATAAAAGTCATTCTTCTTGCTGCAGATTTGATTAACCATTTTATAAACCTTGAAGTAAGCCTTTGGTGCCTTACATCTGAATCTCCTGATAATTACAAAAATTACAACTTGAGAAGTATTTGACTACTTGGATTTTAATCCCAACAGAAAAATGGAGGGAAAAAATAGCATTCTCTTCAATAAGCAGGTAAAAATAATTTTCTGAAATATTTATCCAATTCTATTTATTTTTAATTGCTTCAGAGCTGAAGGTGCTCATGCCAAGTCACAGCGTGCAGCAAATTTCTGCGGCAGGATTAGAAGCCACTGAAGATATAATTTCATAGTGAAAACGTTGATAGATGCTAAACAACTACATAAGCAGATGATTCGAAACCATCCCCCTGCTTAGACAAATAACTTTGAAGACAAAAATAGGCATGCTAGGTAGGTAGAACAAATCACCTAAGTATGTTTAAAGCCTTAGGGTTCCAGAAGGAGGAGGAGAGAGAAGAGGTTGTGCAAATTGGCAAGCCATACCCTTTAGGATCTTAAAGGTTTTAACAAAACACCTTGGGGGAATTTCATTTTCTGACTATTTAACTTCCCTATCTTGCATTTTTCATCTACATGTGAGTATACATTCCATATATTCCTTCCAACATCCAAAATAATCGTTACATAGAGAGTCTCTATAGAATCGTTAAGTCATTCCTTTATTTAACCACCCTTTTGCTAACAACATTTAAATTACTAGACAGTTCACTCTTAACATACACTATTTCTTTCAATCCTTTAAAAACCATGTGAGCTAAGCATGTTAATAAAAGTAACAATTGAAAAAAATATTTATTATATGCTTCCTATGTACATAACAGTGTCAGTTTAATTCTCTCAATAATCCTATATGATGGGTACTAATATTTAATCATTTTACAGATTCAAAAACTGGAACAGAAGGAGGTGAGTTGTCCAAGATTAGAGAGCTATAGTGATAACTGAGAATGAAACCTAGTCAGAATGGATCCGTGGCCTCTCCGCTTCATCTCTGCAATACTTTGGAAGCACTATGCATGTATACCTCTGCCTTTGCAGAAAACATGAAAATGAAATGGACAGAACTAGAAACCTGAGTTCAATTTGTGGCATATTTGAGATGCCTCCAAAGCCACGTGACTAATGACTAGGATGATAAAAGCCAGGAGAACAACCCGAGTATCCTGGCCCTCGGCTCACAGTCCTCTACCGGTGAACAGGGGCACGAGCACTTTTCAGCCTGTAGCATGATGGAGGGAGGTATACGGAGGGAGAGCACCATCCGCAGAGGGCTCTCCCTGTGCCCTCCCACTGCCTACAGTCTACCTTAGCAGGTACCTGAGAAAAATTAACTCAGGACTTCGATATTCAAGGGAGCTGTCCTCATTTTGAGTTTAGCTGTCCTCATTTTCAAGTTTCATCCCAGGAACTACGAGGACATGTAAACACAGAATCTCAAGTAGAAGATTAACCATGGGAATTCCCAGAGGTTTGCATATACCTCATGACAAACAAATGTGATTCTCATACCAGCTTTCCCTGTCAGTAGCCAGGAATCATGGGCAAATTACCCAGTGTCTCCAAGCCTTAATTTCTCCATCTGCAAAATGAGGATGACAAATTTGACAGAGTTGTTGTAAAGATTAAATAAGTTAACACATGTATGTGCCTGGTATAGTATGATGCCTGGAATGTAGAAGGTGCCTAAGATAGAGATGTTATTCGACACTTCTTTATCTCTCAGTCTCCACACACACATACACAGGCACACATACATACCCACACATGCACATGCACATACACACACATGCACACGCACATACACACACATGCATCTACTTACGCATGGACCTTTTCACTAAAACAATTTCCCAGACTCATGTTTCCCATGACTTTAACAGACTTCCAGGTTGACAAGCTGACAGTGGATTAAATCCTGTGGGCTCAGGAGCCAGGAGGTCTCTACCCCTGGTCACCACATACGGCTATCCCCACCCCAGGCCCAAATCTGCACAGTCTCAGGTCAGAATGGGTCAGACGGTGTTCTTAGATACACTTTTTCCTTAGCAGGAAATAACCGTTGAGACCCCTCTTGCACCTGCTTAGTGACCAGAGGTATGTAGAAGGCTTGCCTCGTCCCTCGCAAATGTTCCAATCACGGTTTTCCATCACAGCAGCTACAGCTCTGAAGTTCATTGAGAATCATCAATCTGCTCATATAATAAATCTGTGAAGACACATATCTTTCTTCTATCTGTCCTTTTCAGCTTCCTTTGAGAATAGAGGATCTAGACAGTGTGTGTGTGGCTTTACCGTCTTGGTGAATTTAGTACTATTTGAATGACTTTCCCGTGATTTTCTAGCAAGAAACATGATTTCTTTTTCAAGTTTCAGGGTATATCACTCAATTTTTAGAATTAAAATAAATATCTAGATTTCTTCTTGTAGAAAACAAACCAGTCCTATATCTATATTTTAATGATTATTTAAATCAAAAAATTTCCTTCATATTAATGTAAAAACTGTTAACTATAAGAATTCCAATTTTTAAATGCTGCACTTTGGTCATTAATGATGCTACACACCCCTTTAAGTCAATTAGAGCCCTGCTCAATTATCAAAATTGAGTAAAAATTAAATATATCGCATGAAAGGGGTAACAGAATGTTAGTTTTCCATCACTAAAGAAACACCTCTTCAACAACAAAGCTATTTGGCAAACCAAGTTTCCACCAACTCTTACTGAAATCAAAAAAAGAATAAAGAACTAAAGTTTTCTTTTAATACTTTGAAATTAGCCCTTTTTCCTTTGCTTATTTTATTTTCTCCCTTACCTGCTGCTAATGAGCATCACCACTGGGCTAATACCCAGCAGGGTGGGTATAGTTCTTCTATAAAAATCTGTTCTTAAATCATAAAGAATTGCCAGTATTATAAAATTATTACTTTATTACTACCATGCTGAGATGTTCAATGTCAAATTGCCGTGGATTTTTATAGTTTAGTCACAAGAAAAAACAGGAACATGTAACTCAACTGGAAAAAGGTTTTTATTTCATTTTATATGGGAAACATTTTTACAATATGTTGACTAGATGCAATGATATGACAAAGCAATTTTTCTAAAATACTATTTTTGGCTAAAGGAACACTTGATTATTATTTCTATAAAATAATTACTGTCCCAAGATGTCACACTACCCTAAGAACCAGTAAATACAAAGCCATAGGCAGTATGCTTGCCTAAGCCCAGGTAGACACATTTATCATTTTAGATTCAACTAATAAATATTGAACTACACCATGTGCCAAGCAGTGTGCTGAGAACCTTCGTGTTCCTAATCTGATGCTCAACTCTCCCCTTCACAGGCTCTTCTTCCTTCATGTTTTAAACACTGGTCCCCTCCCAAGGTAATCCTTATTCCCTTCAACAAATCACAGCCTCTCTAGCTTGTTGTCCTCAAAGCAGAATCATTTCTCTAGCAAACTTTTGTAAAGACTAAATGAGACATGGTGTGAAATCCACCTTTAAACATTCTCCATAAATATCATTTCTCTCTTCCAACTCCCCCATTTCCACGTCTACCTGAAGAACCTCCTTCATGTGGAAACTTTGTTATCCACCTACACACTGCTAACATCCAGCTAACCTGGACTGGGTCTGTCTTCTAAATCCCAGAACTAAACTCTTCATCAAACCCAGCACATCCATTACCACCTCATGACTTTCCACTCTTGCCTCTGTTCCAGGATATTAGCATAGCCTCTTTCTATCACTTGGATCTCAGCTCAATATTTCTCACAGAACTCCTAAATTATCTTACACTCAAACCATGTGTATGGCTTGAATTTGTCCCCTAAAATTTCATGTGTTGAAAACTTAATCACTGGTGCAACCATATTTGGAGGTAGAGTCTGATAAAAGGTGATTGGGTCAAAAGGGTGAATCCCTTATGAATGAATTAATGTCATCATCATGCCAGTGAGATAGTTATTGCAAGAGTGGGTTGCTATAAACCAAGTCCAGCTCCTGGTGCCCCTCTCTGTCTCACATGCTTACTTCTACCTTCTGTCTGTGACCATGGAATGACCCTCACCAGATGGTGGCATCATGCCCTTGGACTTCCCAGCCTCCAGAACCAGGAGCAAAATAAACTTCTATTGTCTATCACATGCCCAGTCTGTAGTATTTTGTTATAGCAACAGAAAATGGACTAAGACACCATGCATGTGTTTTTTGCAGAGAAACAAGAAGTATCTGAAATCAGTATGTTCATTTCTAGTCAACTCTCATTATACACAGTAGTTATGTCCTATAAAGTCACCATGAATATTGAATTAACAAACGCCAAGCCATTTCTCCTAGGGGAAATACAGGGTTAGTTTCCTGCAAGCCTCCGGTCACAACATTTCCATCAAGCAGTCAATACATAATCTTGCTTTATGTGTGTTTCTGTTTAAGGATATCTTTTTAATATATATGGTTGATTACCATTGCACTGAAGGCCCACAGCACTATAACTAATGCCTGAAGTCAGTTTGTCCAACACATGTGTTTTCTCCATAAGGCACAGCCTTCTTGTGCTCAGAAACAGCAGACTTAAACACTACACTTGGGGGCCATTTTAAATAGGAAAAAGTACCCCCCAAAAATTGAAAAACATAGTACTAAAGAGACAACAAACAGGACACTTAGTTGTAATATGAAAGCTGGAACAAGAAGGCACAGCCTCACCTTGTTTGGCCCCAGCTAGAAATATGTACGTCTGGCAACTCCAATTGTTTGCTGCTTTGCACATATTTGTGAATGACCATAAAAGTGGCATTAGTATTGATTTGGGGGCTACAGAGAAATTTTAGCAGGTAGGCAAATTCACAAATACAAATCTGTGAGTAACAAGGCCCAACTATATTTGTTTCTTTTATGGCTATCACCCCTGTTTGCGACTCAGCTCCACGAGAATGGGAAGCCTGTTTGGTCTTTTCTCAGTGCTGCAACCCCAGCACTAGGGCAGTGTTTGGCAGATGGTCAGTAAGTAGTTACTGAATGACCAAGCAAGCTAATGCTATTTCCCTCTGCCACGAAAAGTCTAACTCCCCATAACTCTCATTCTTGTCCTCCAAAGCACATCTCAAAAGCAATCACCCCTAAACTCCTAGACACCTTTATGTTTTCTTTCTGAGCACCTCTTTTGTAACATGTATCAATTTGTATTTTCATTATTTACTTACTACGGGTCTCCTTCACTAGACTGTGAGTCTCTGGGAGCTGGATCTGGTTCATAATGATCTTTGCATCCCTAGCACCTAAGGTTATGGCTGGTAACTATTAGACATCCAGCAAATGTTTGCTTAAAAAATAAATACTTGGGGCCGGGCATGGTGGCTCACGCCTATAATCCTAGCACTTTGGGAGGCCAAGGCGGGGGCAGATCATGAGGTCAGGAGTTCGAGACCAGCCTAATCAACATGGTGAAGCCCTGTCTCTAGTAAAAATACAAAAATTAGCTGGATGTGGTGGTGCACGCCTGTAATCCCAGCTACTCAGGAGGCTGAGGCAGGAGAATCGCTTGAACTCAGGAGTTGGAGGTTGCAGTGAGCTGAGATTGTGCCACTGCACTCCAGCCTGGGTGACAGAACAAGACTCTGTCTCATATAAATAAATAAATAAATACTTGTAGTTCATAAATTATTTTATCCCTTTACTTGTTAGAATCTTTTGTGCTTCTATCATAAAATCAGTACTTCCTTGGGATCCACTATCATGGCTAGAGTTTATGGTTTATGCTTCTAAGACGAACAGGGAATTCCCTCGTGTGCTGAAATGTGGTTATTGCTGTAGAGATGTTAGCTGAGTGAAAGGTGACAAAAAAAGCCTCCAGAAAACATCAATCCAATAACGGAAAATAGTTTAGGCATTTTTAGACTTGTCAAGTACAGCTTTGATAATTTTGTTTAATTAGAATCACGTGTGTACTTCACAGAAGTGTTATTACATTCAAAGACTGAAGTAAGAACCCAGTATTTTACCATTAGCTACAGGATTAAACCAAATGCCTCTGAATTCAATCTAGAATTCACTGCCTGGTTCAAACCTCCAAGCTGGTAGAACCACAGCCTTCAACTGAGCCCTGTGCAGTCTTATCTAGAAAGTCTCCTTACCACAGCCTACCCCACCACATTGTATATATTCTTCAAAGCTCAGTCCAGGCCCAAATGCTCCTGAGACTCAGGCCCTGCTCACTTCATCCCGCTGTTATCTCACTCTCCTTTCCCATGCCTATTAATTATGCCAAACATTTCTTTCTTATCTCATCAGCTAATATTTCATGAGTATCCACACATGTTAATCTGCTTTATTAGATAAGCAAGTACTATCTAGAACTATTGCCTCCTCAATATACTCAAGAAAGTGCCTAGAAGTCAGTAAGTCCCCATTAAACATGGGTGTGAATGTAAAGCTAATAGATAAGAGAGCAAAATCTCTACTACATGATAACAAAAATAATGAAATCCTGTGTTGATAATGTCATCCAAACGAACAATGCGAGCCCTTACTGAAGGTACAAGACAACTTACTATTGTTTTCTGCATAAATCCTTATGACAGGCATCAACTCAAAGAGCACTTTTGGCTTTGATTCAATGAGTTTCATGTTCCTCTTGTCCCAGCCAGCACCTTCAAGATATAAGCCATAGACATAGACACCCTCTGTGGGAGGGGCAGAAATGTCGTCCTTCATCCATTTGGTGACTTCATTGCAAAGCACCATATTGTCCAGAGCCCAGCCTTTGTTGGCCCGAGTTATTTCCTATTCAGGGCAGCAAAAGATGAATGGAGCGGTTAGAGGTTTGTCTTAATAGAAAGAGCATAACAATAATGAAAGCTTGGCTCCGAATCACTCTAACTCGAAGGACGTACAATAGTATTTAAAGAATTAGCAAGATTCCCTCATTAAAAAAACCACATCCTAATTGAGCTAGGTCTACTTTAAAAAAAAATAGAAAATCAAATCAAATACAAAAATAAGAAATAAATATTTTGAAAGTCGAGCTAGCAGCCTGAGAACAACTGGCTGGGATTTATGTACATGACAATGTAACTGCTAGTACCAAAAAGAGACAGTCATTCTCTGTCTTATTATAGTCTTTAAAACTATAATGATGGAAAATCCTGTGGAGGAAAATTATAATAACGCAACGGGTGCAAATCAGAGCTCTTACCTGTCGCATTGCAGTTAAAAATCCCTGGGGGTTAAAAAAACCCGTCATCCAAAAGCAGTGAGGTCGGCCATTGAAAACCCACGAGGTAAACTGGCTGTTTCTTTCTATAAGTTCAGTAAACCAGAAACCCAGTGTACTAGAAATCCAAGAAGCCTGCAATGAAGACATTAAAACAATTAATTGATGTAAGTTTAATACTGCAGTGTAAACCAGCTATGTTCACTGAAAAAAAAAAAAGATGAAATATCAATTTCACTTTTATAATGAAAAAAGTCCCTAAGTCATGAATTTTCCCTGGATTCTGGCGTAAGTGTTTCAAATTATTCTTTCTCCTTAATAATAGTAATGCTACTAAGATATGATAGAATATACTAGTCATCACATGAACATCTGATAAATTCACAGAGCTGTTCAAGATATCTAACGTCAATTGAATCACTTTCCATGTACCAATATATTCATCACTGACTCTGCTGTAAAGGAATCAAAACAATTTATTGGATTAAATTTAAAGGCTTTCCTCATTTTTCCTTAGGTTACAATTTCAATCTATAACACATAAAAAAGGATTTTTATTCACCTAAATATGCTCATGGCCTTATCAAGATAAATCAACACTTTAAAACAGATCCCATGGATAAGTTGTAGAAGACTTGCTACACTTAATTTTAACGGGGTAAACAACAGTTATTTTCCAGAATGTTTATCCCTTTAGAATACATTTTTATTTCCTCTCTTGAAGGAGCAAAAAATGGAAACCCAAGACTCTTTATCATCCACAAACTATTTGCATTTATTGCTTCTGACTTTCTCCCTGAATTCACCTGTGGAACTTCCATTATGACAACTGGCATGAATATGTCATTAATGTCATCAGCAGCAGCAGTGTAAGGTATCTTCAAATCATAGATTATAACATTTTACTGTAATTGCAATATTTTATGTATGAATAAATGTAGTAATCAACCTGGGTATAACACTTGAATTTCAAATACCTTAAGAATTAATTTGCCTATTTTTCAAGAGTTATTGAGATTCCAAAGTCTGATAATAAGCTGAGAAGAATAAAAACCTGAATAAAATGATCATAATTTAAGAATTAAATCACTCATTGTCTGCTATCTTTATAGGTCTGTTAACTAAAAGAGATGTGTGTTTATACTACGTTCGGTCTGAGGGCAGAGGGAGCCGCTAATGAGAGAGTGCCCCTGACAGGGATTCCTGTTCCAGAGCCTCCTGGGTCCTACCGAGGTGGGTGATCTGGTTTGGTAGGGAAGGAACTCCCAATGGCCACTGATCTGGAAGAATCTCCCTCTGTCCTTGGCAATGAGAGGAGGCAATTCAGATACAAAACTCTCTGGCATGGACAATGGATTTATTAAAGATGAGAAGGAAATAAAGGGGTCTGGTCAAAGCTGATTCTGAGTCTCTCAGCTATGTGATGAGAGGGATGGAGGGTGGTGTCATCAAATAACATGGAGAAGACAAGAAGCAGCAGTCCTACTCACTATATGCTGCCTGCAGAACTCACTGCCTTGTAATCTGCTGAAGCCCGGGATGACATACCTGAGGCTCAGCACCAAACAAGTCCTATCACCTTCCCATTTAGCCAAGTAACCTACAGAGGCCAACCCTCTATCCTCCCACCCACCAACCTCACGTCTGTAGGCTGCCCTCTCTGTGCAGCCCCCAACCTGACGCAATCCCCCTCTGTCCTTGGCAATAAGAAGGGACAAGCCTCCCTCCCAAGCCTTTCCACTCTACCTTCAGCATCTTTAGTGCCATGATCAGAAAACTCTTCTAGATCCTCCACCTCATTCTGGAACATTCTCTCCATCCCTTCTCTTAACTGAAGTCTGCCCCCCACCCCACACCCTCTACCCAGGACAGACTGCTTCCCTCACAGCCTTCTCCAAATGTAGGCTACTGCTTTCCTCATACTCAACAACCCTCAGGGCCAGGAGAAGAGGAGGTGACCTCATGCCAGGCACTGTTCTAAGCACTTCACACACATCAACTCATTTAATCCTCACAATAATGCTAGGAATTATATAATGCTATTATTTCCCTTTTACAGATAAGGAAACTGAGGCACAACAAGGCAACTAGTGTACCCCAAGTTAGCCCATAAGAGACATGATTTGAACCTGGGTATTCTGGCCAAGTAAGTGCATACTCAAAACCCATAGACTACCTTTATTTACTTTCATTAATCATTCTAGGTGAATTCAGCATCCATGTGAATGATGCATTTAACATCTTATTATCTTATCTCATGACCCTCTGCTCTCTAATGACCCTGATGTCCATTCCATTTCATTCCTCTGCTCCCATGCTCTCATGTTAAATTTTGTCATCCTCAAACAGTAGCCTGTTGGGAGGTGCCTTTTTTCCACTCCTATATTTCCTTCTATGGGGAGAGAGCTCCTTTCATATAACATTCCAAGATCCTTGACCCTCTCATTCTCCCCACTCCCAGGAGATAAAGAAATTCATCTGGTTTCTGGCTGTTTCAGAGACACATTCTGCTCATCAGATGTCCCATGTGCCCCCTATACTTCTCAGCCTCACATGCAGTTAGGTTGGGTCCAAGGCTCTAGTTCTGATCTACAGACTGTGAATGAAAGTGGCATGGGTCACTTCCTAATCCAGAAAGTCTAGACCTGGGGTGCCTTGTCCATCTCCCTTCCCTCTGCTGTGATGACTTCAGAGGCCACATGCTCCAGGTGGTACAGCTCCCAGATGACAAGGCCTCCACAATGAGGGTCCCAGAGTAACTGTCTGGACCCAAGGATGCACCCAGCTGGTGAGGGGCATAAGGAAGTAGGGTGCAGCTATAACAGCAGCTCCTGAAGTATGATCAGTGACTTGGCACTAGGGCAGCAGCAGGTTGGAGAAGCCACAGCAGCGGTGGAAAGACAGAGATACAGTTAGGAAGCCCAGCCAGCCAGCCCCTTCTGCTTTTATTACTGGGGGTAGCAGGGGGAAAGGGACCACACACTCTCTTCTGCTCCCACACTCTCTTCTGCTCCCACACTCTCTTGTGCTCCTGCACACTCTCGCTTCACAGGGAAGTCTCTGTAGAGGAAGCTGTCTAGTGTAGTGCTGCTGGTGGGTAAGTCTGTCTGATACCAAATACCGTTTTAAAACCCCAAAACTCACCTTCCAGCAGATGGAAGCCACTTTGTTCAATATCAGCTTTATCAGTAAATGTTCTCTAATCTGCACCACTCCTTTTCTGCCATTTAATTGCTTTGGAATTCAGGCGGAGAAAAGAGCTAGTTATTTAGCCGCCTTAAGAAATCCAACATGCACCACCCCCATTCCACATTCCATTCTTCAACCACAACCTCCACTTCTAGTTCACTTGTTCAAGGACAGTCCTTTGACCTAAGCATAGTATCCGGTTCTTTGGTTCCATGATTTTCACCTCATCCATAAATTTTGTCCCATCTCCATTATGCTAGGTGAAATAAGCCAGGCACAGAAAGGCAAACACTACATCATCTTACCTATATGTGGAGCCTGAAAGAGTTGAACTCATAGAAATAGAGAGTAGAATGGTGGTTACCAGAGACTAGAGGGTGGAGTGAGGAGGGAGGGAATAGGAAGTTGTTGATCAAAGGGTATAAAATTTCAGTTAGATAGGAGAAGTATGTTCAAAAGATCTATTTTACAACAAGGTGACTATAGTTTATACCAATAGACAATTTTTTTTTTTTTTCTGAGAGGGAGTCTCGCTCTGTCACCCAGGCTGGAGGGCAGTGGTGCGACCTTGGCTCACTGCAGGTTCCGCCTCCCAGGTTCACGCCATTCTCCTGCCACAGCCTCCCGAGTAGCTGGGACTACAGATGCATGCTGCCACACCCAGCTAATTTTTTGTAGTTTTTTTAGTAGAGACGGGGTTTCACCGTGCTAGCCAGGATGGTCTTGATCTCCTGACCTTGTGATCCGCCTGCCTTGGCCTCCCAAAGTGCTGGATTACAGGCATGAGCCACTGCGCCCGGCTGCAATGGACTGTATTCTTGAAAATTGCTGAGAGTGGCTTTTAGGCCTGAACCACAAGAAAATGTTAATTAAGTATGTGAGGTAATGCCTATGTTAATTAGCCCAGCTTAGCCATTCTACAGCATACATATCTTTCAAAACAACATGTAGCACACCATAAATATATATAATTTTTGTCAAGTAAAATAAATTTTAAAATAAGTCTTTAACAGTTTTTGTCCCATCTCCTCTCCTCTCGTCTTCACCTTCCATCATTATAATCTCCCTGTTGAGAATGGCTTCCATGACCTAGCTACCTCTCCCACTATGGGTTGAATTGTGTCCCCTCAAAACCATACATTGAAGTCCTAACCCCCAGCACCTAACAACGTGATCTTATGCGGGAACAGGGTCTTTACAGAGGAAATCAAGTGAAAATGAAGGCATAAGCGTGACCCTAATCCAGTATGTTGCTGTCCTTATAAAAGGGAAATTTGGACACAGAGACAGATGTGCATAGAGGGAAGATGATGTGAATGTACACAAGGCAAAGAAAATCATATCTTCACAAGACAAAGGGAGAGACTGGACTAGGACTGCCACAAGCCAAGGAGCTCCTGGGGCCACCAGAAAGTAGAATGAAGCAAAGAAGGATGCTCTTCTAGACACTCTGAAGGGAGCACGGCTGGCCAACAGTTCTATTTTGGACTTGCCACCTCCAGAATTGCAAGAAAACAAACTTCTGTTGCTTAAGCCACCCAGTCGGTGGTACTTTGTTATGGCAGTCAAAAAATCCTACCACACCTGCCACTGCACTCTCCAGGTGGGTGTCCAACACGGAAGCTCCTCAAGTGTCTACCTTCCCAGGCCTACTCCTGGCAATTGAAGCCAGTTGGAGGCGATGCACACCAGTGAAAGCCGGTTTCATTCACATGCATAACTTGAGATCTCAAAGGGGTGAATCCTGTTGCCTTTCCATGCCTGCATTTCTGTCTTGATTTCCCCCTCCTTCCAACCTTTAGGTGTAGCAGGGCAAGTGAATGAGGAAGTGGAGCAGAAGTGAAAATCTAGGGAGCAGGACATTGGGAGTGATCTGTCAGGTCAGCCCTGCTTGGGTTCATGCTGTGGGTGTGGAGTCCCCCAGACAATGGCAGGAGTCAGATGGAAAGGAAGCCATGGGGCAGATCCAGATTTTCCCAAGAAATAGGTTATAGAAGACAGCTACACCTCCCACTCTTTTCCTACGTATTTTTTCACCATAATTAATCTTAGCAAGTTCACTTACATCTCCCCATAACATGGGTGTGCATGCACATCACACACAGACACATGCACACACAAATACAGAACAAAGAGAAGAATACCATTTAGGCTCCATCCCTTCAAATGTCCTCTACTAAAATACACTTATTTTCCTACTTACAAAGACACTCAGGAACTCACTTTACTTTTCCAAGTGAAAAATTATTCCTTAAAACCGTATCTGTCTTTAGCACAATTACTAACAAGTAACCAGTGAGCATGCTGTTAAATTCTTATCCTTTTATTTTGATATATACATACTACATACTGTATTTACAGATATAGTGATACCAGAGCAGGGCAGGGAAGTGCTGGGTAGAGAAGGGCAGGGTCCCTGGCGAAGGCTCCACCCTCAGGCTTATGCCCAAAGACCTACCTAAGTGAGAACAGGCACTCTTGTTTTCGTGCCCAAATGTTGCATTTTCCAAGACCACTCTGGCCCACCATGCCCCGCATCCTGTGCCCATATAAACCCAAGGGACCATAGCGGGCACACACACAAGTGGCTGGATGTTGAGAGGAGTAGAAGCGCAGAAGGGCACACTGACAGACACCAGCATATACTGGCAGGACCAACAGACACCGCTGACAGCGGGACGACGTGGAATTTGCTCAGGCATGGTCAGAGAAGAGTCCGGTCACTGGGCGGCCCAACTCCAGGGGAAGACCACCTTCCCACTCCATCCCCCTTCTGGCTCCCCATCCACCTTGCTGAGAGCAACTTCCACCACTCAATAAAACCTTGCACCCGACCTCTAAGCCCACATGTGAGGCAATTTTTCCAGTACACTAGAGCAAGAACCCAGGAAACAGAAAGCCCTCTGTCCTTGCGATAAAGAGGGTCTAATTGAGCTGATTAACGCGAGCCATCTGCAGATGGCAAAACTGAAAGAGTACACTGTAACACATGCCCATTCGGGAGCTGTAAACACTAACCCTAGACACTGCCATGGGGTTGGAGCCCCAGAACAGTCCCTACAACCTGCCCCTCTGCATGCTCCCCCTAGGGATTTCAGCAGCAGGGCACAGAAAACCCAGCCACACCCCTGTCACACGCCCTGTGAGGGGGATAAGGGAACTCCTCCGATTTCGACAGCATGTAGCAGAAACTTTATTTTTTTTTTCCTTTTGGTGTGACTTTTGATGTTAGGGTGAGGCATGTTTCCTTCTATGAAACCAACATCATGGACTTTGGAGTCCAGGAGCTTGGGTTTAAATTCTGATTCTTGGACTACTTAGATGTGTAATCTGAGAAAAGACTTAACCTGTCCCAAACTTAAGTTTCTCATCTGTAAAATAAGAGCAGTAAAATACAAAATTTAAGTAAAATAACGCATGTAAATGCCCTAGCAGAGAACCTGATTCGTGGGATTTGCTAAAAAAAAACTTCCTTCCCTACCTATGGTCTAAAAATACAGGGCTACAGGGGGCTTCGTCCCTGTGCAAAAGAATCATGTTGAGTAAATTATCCTTTCATGCTTTCCACTTGCCAATTACAACTCTTCACAATCATAAGTGAACAGGCAGAATAACAGCAGGCTTATACGTACTTTTTTCCACCAAGCAGGGATTCTAGCATCAAACATGCAATCCAATGCATCTCGCAGATTTTCGCTCATGATGATGGTGCCATCAATAGCAAGTTTCAGCTCAGTGAGGGTGCTGCGGACAAGGCTGAGTACCCTTTGCATTCTGTCTATTTCCTGCCTGAGGAAAATGTTCATAGGCTGGAATGGCCCCATCTTCTGCAGCCTCTCTTTTACCTGCCATGGAGACATTCAAAGCACATGTTAACAATTAGCTACTAAGGATTTTATAGACCTGGTGCCCTGGGGCCTCTGAACAGGCCCAAATTCTTACTATTCCATAAATAATAAGCTTCTAATTTATTGCATGGCAAAAAGAAAAAAAAAAAGAAAAGAAAACAGAAAAAAGTATCTGTTAGATGACCAGCCCGAATTTTCATGCCATGTGGGAAGGAACAGGCAGCCATGAATTCACAGAAGAATGTAAAATGCATGACCACAACCATGCAGTCTTCCAAACAGCAAATGCACTTATTGGGAAACTCCCTTTCTGAGAATCCGAGCTCTTTCAAACCCACATGTGGACACACACAAGCAAACATGTACACACACACACAACCATTCTGCTGGCTATTTCAAAAAACTAGAATTCTCTTTTAAGAGCTTTCTGTTTTTTCCATCAAAGCATCCATCCATCCCCCCAACCATTCATTATCATCCTACAAGTATTTATTGAGAGTCTTCTATGTATCAGATATTGTGTTAGGCTGAGTTGCTATAACCTAAGGTAGCACTGACAAATTCAGCAAAAGGCTGGAGACTCTTCTAACTCCTGCTACTTACCATGTTTATTTATGTAGTTATCATTCTATTTTTAGACATTTTTATCACTTCCTAACTATTTCAACCCCTGTTAGACACGAATGACGCCTTTCCTGATCCTATAATGAAGAGTGCTTATGAAAGCTGATAACAGTATTGATTTTTCTCCAAGCAAGTGATCAGAGGTTATTCCAGGGACATTATCCCCTTGACTAAAGGTCCTTAAGTTCAGTCTGTAGTATTAGCAGCCAAAATTGCCTGCTTAGTAGAAAACAGTGGGGTACAAAAGACACAAAATGCTACAGGATTCCTCTTGAAAATGAGATACAAAAGGGAAAAATACAAAGAAATAGGGTGGCTCATGTTAGAAGCACCAAATGATTGTCCAGGTCATCTCTTAAAACTATATGGAAAATCAGCTACCTCTTAGTCTTGGTTTAATCAAAGATTTTTATTTTTTTATTTTTTATTTTGTAATTTAAAAAAAAAAATTTGTGAGTGCATATGTAATTGAATTGTTTGTAACTCAAAGGATAATTGAAGATTTAAAAAAATACTATCAGGGTAACTCTTTCCACAATACTCATTAAGATGTTAAAAAAGAAAACACCTGGGGGACAGAGGCAAGACTAGATTGCAGCTTTGACTCGGATGGGCAGAGCAGTGTTCAGAGGCTTGCATTGTGAACATTAGCTCCGGATCTACTCCAAGAACAAAGCAGCAATCCCTAGAGGACCCACAGACTCTGTGAAGGAGGCGGTCTGCTCCTGCAGGACTCAGGAGACACCCCAAATACTGTGAGTGCCCCAACTGCAGAAGTGGGAAAGGGAGAGCCTCCTCTCCTGAACACACACCCCCACTGAAGAAACTGAAGTAGCCACAGCAAGACAAGCCTAAGGAGAGGCTGAGATCAGACACACCTAGCCTTGCCCCTACTTGGTGGTCCTTCCCTACCCACCCTGGTAGTGGAAGACAAACGGCATATAATCTTGGGAGTTCTAGGGCCCTGCCTATTGCCGGTTTCTCTTCATACTACCACAGCTGATGCTCTCTGGAAAGCACCACCTCCTGACAGGAGGTCAACCAGCACAAAAACAGAGCATTAAACCACCAAAGCTAAGAACCCTCACGGAGTCCATTGCACCCCACCGCCAACTCCGCCAGAACAAATGCTGCTATCTGCAGCTGCGAGACCCACAGACAAGGTTCACATCACAAGACTGTGCAGAAAACCCCCAGTACCAGCCCAGAGCCAGGTAGACTTGCTGGGTGGCTAGACCCAGAAGAGAGACAACAATCACTGCAGCTCGGCTCACAGGAAGCCACATCCATAGGAAAAGGGGGAGACTACTACATCAAGGGAACACCCTGTGGGACAAAAGAATCTGAACAACAGCCTTCAGCCTAAGACCTTCTCTCTGACAGAGCCTACTCAAATGAGAAGGAACCAGAAAACCAACTCTGGTAATATGACAAAAATTGACATTCTAATGTCACACCTCAAGGAACTAGAGAAACAAGAAGAAACCAAACTCAAACCCAGCAGAAGAAAGGAAATAACCAAGATCAGAGCAGAACTAAATGAAATTGAAACAAAACAAAGCAATACAAAAGGTAAATGAAACAAAAAGCTGGTTCTTTGAAAAGAAACAAAAAGCTGGTTCTTTGAAAAGATAAATAAAATAGATAGACCATTAGCAAGATTCACCAAGAAAAGAAGAGAGAAAATCCAAATAACCTCACTGAGAAACAAAACAGGCGATATTACAACTGACACCACTGAAATACAAAAGGTCATTCAAGGCTATTATGAACACCTTTACACACATAAACCAGAACACCTAGAAGAGATAGGTAAATTCCTGGAAAAATACAGCCCTCCTAGCTTTTATCAGGAAGAATTAGATAACCCTGAAGAGACCAATAACAGGCAGTGAGATTGAAATGGTAATTTAAAAATTACCAACATAAAAAAATCTAAGACCAGAAGGATTCACAGCAGAATTCTGCTAGACATTCAAAGAAGAATTGGTACCAATCCTTTTGACACTATTCTACAAGATAGAGAAAGAAGAAACCCTCCTTAATTCATTCTATGAAGCCAGCATCACCCTAATACCAAAATCAGGAAAGGACATACCCAAAAATGAAAACTACAGACTGATATCCTCGATGGACATAGATGCTAAAATCCTTAACAAAATACTAGCTAACTGAATCCAACAACATATCAAAAAGATAACCCAGCATGATCAAGTGGCTTTCATACCAGGGATGCAGGGATGGTTTAACATACGCAAGTCAATAAATGTGATACACCACATAAACAGAATTAAAAACAAAAATCACATGATCATCCCAATAGATGCAGAAAAAGCATTCAACAAAATCCAGCATCGCTCTATGATTAAAAGTCTCAACAAAATCGGCATACAAGGGATATACCTCAATGTAATAAAAGCCATCTATGACAAACCCACAACCAACATAATATTGAATGGGGAAAACTTGAAAGCATTCCCTCTGAGAACCAGAACAAGACAAGGATGCCCACTCTCATCACTCCTCTTCAATACAGCACTGGAAGTCCTGGCCAGAGCAATCAGTCAAGAGAAATAAATAAAGAGCATCCAAATCAGTAAAGAGGAAGTCAAACTGTCACTGCTTGCTGACGATATGATCGCTTGCCTTGAAAACCCTAAAGACTCCTCCAGAAAGCTCTTGGAACTGATACAAGAAATCAGCAAAGTTTCTAGATACAAGATTAATGTACACAAATCACAAATCAGTAGCTCTTCTATACCAACAGTGACCAAGTGGAGAATCAAATCAAGAACGCAACCCCTTTTACAATAGCTGCAAAAAAATAAAATACTTAGGAATATATGTAACCAAGAAGTCAAAAGACCTCTACAAGGAAAACTACAAAACAATGCTGAAAGAAATCACAGACAACACAAACAAATGGAAATACATTTCATGGTCATGGATGGGTAGAATCAAAATGACCACACTGCCAAAAGCAATCTACAAATTCAATGCAATCCCTATCAAAATACCACCATCATTCTTCAAAGAATGAGAAACAACAATTCTAAACTTCATATGTAACCAAAAAAGAGCCTGCCTAGCCAAAGCAAGACTAACTACAAAGAACAAATCAGGAGGCATCATACAACATGGTACTGGTATAAAAATAGGCACATAGACCAACTGAATAGAACAGAGAACCCAGAAATAAACCCAAATACTTACAGCCAACTGATTTCGACAAAGCAAACAAAAACCTAAAGTGGGGAAAGGACACCCTTTTCAAAAAATGGTGATGGGATAATTGGCTAACCACATGTATAAGAATAAAACTGGACCCTCATCTCTCACCTTATACAAAAATCAACTCAAGATGGATTAAGGACTTAAATCTAAGACCTGAAACTACAAAAATTCTCGACAATAACATTGGAAAAACCCTTCTAGACATCAGCTTAGGCAAGGATTTCATGACCAAGAACTCAAAAGCAAATGCAATAACAACAAAGATATATAGTTGGGACCTAATTAAACTAAAGAGCCTTTGCATGGCAAAAGGAACAGTCAGCAGAGTGAACAAACAACCCACAGAGTGGGAGAAAAATCTTCACAATCTATACATCTGACAAAGAACTAATATCCAGAATCACAACGAACTCAAACAAATCAGTAAGAAAAAAACAAACAATCCCATCCAAAAGTGGGCTAAGCATATGAATAGGCAATTCTCAAAAGAAGATATACAAGTAGCCAACAAGCATATGAAAAAAATGCTCAACATCACTAATGATCAGGGAAATGCAAATCAAAACCACAACGCGACAACAACTTACTCCTGCAAGAATGGCCATAATCGAAAAATCAAAAAACAGTAGATGTTGGCATGGATGCAGTGATCAAGGAACACTTCCACACTGCTGGTGGGAATGTAAACTAGAACAGCCACTATGGAAAACAGTGTGAAGATTCCTTTAAAAAGTAGAACTACCATTTGATCCAGCAATCCCACTACTGGGTATCTACCCAGAAGAAAATAAGTCATTCTACAAAAAAGATACTTGCACATGCATGTTTACAGCAGCACAATTCACAACTGCAAAATCGTGGAACCAACCCATCAATTAACGAATGTATAAAGAAACTGTGGTGTGTGTGTGTATATATATATATATATACACACACACTGACATATATATACCGACATATATATATACCGACATATATATATATATACGGACATATATATGTATATACCGACATATATATATACCGACATATATATGTATATACCAACATATATATATACCGACATATATATACCGACATATATATACCAACATATATATACCGACATATATATATACCGACATATATATACCGACATATATATATACCGACATATATATACTGACATATATATATACCGACATATATATATACACTGACATATATATATACACCGACATATATATATATACATCGACATATATATATATATATATATATATATATATATACACACACCGATATATATATATATATGATGGAATACTACTCAGCCATAAAAAGGAATGAATTAACAGCATTTGGAGCGATCTGGATGAGATTGAAGACTATTATCCTAAGTGAAGTAACTCAGGAATGGAAAGCCAATCATATGTTCTCACTGATATGTGGGAGCTAAGCTATGAGGACGCAAAGGCATAAGAATGATACAATGGACTTTGGGGACTTGGGGGGAAGAGTGTGAGGGGGGCGAGGAATAAAAGATTACAAATATGGTGCATCGCATACTGCTTAGGTGATGGGTTCACCAATATCTCACAAATCACCACTAAAGAACTTACTCATGTAACCAAATACCACCTGTACCCCAATAACTCATGAAAAAAAACTTTTGAAAATTAATTCAATTTAAAAAGATGTCAAAAAATTAACTTTCATCATCATAAATTTGCTTAGAAACTACTTACATACTAAAAATATCAATTTTCAAAACTAATGAGATGAAGAAGCTGCAGAGGTAATGATATAAATGTAGACTCTCTGAAATAAAGAAGGTCTGAATTTTAAGGTGTGCATTAAACTACATAAAATGTATTTTTGAATAATCAGGTGTTTTAATAATACTTCGCTTTATTTTGAACAAATGGCAATGTAAAGTACCTCAGGGAAGGTTCAGAAAAGCAGTCCTAATCCATCAGTACACACCTGTAAATCAATCATAAGTATTAACATTCTCAACAGGTTTCCTTATGGTTTATATATTGAAAAGATTATGTTACATTCATGGAGGCAAAAACTTCTTTTTCTGGTTCTTTAAGAAGCTGGTTTTTAAAAGAATGTTTTTTAATTTCAGGAAAATCATTTTTTGCCCTCCTTTCTTCTTCCTCACTCTCCCAACCGAAGATATGCAACCCCAGCTGACATTTTGTCAGGATTTCATCAACTCACTTCAAAGGGGACATAGTCTGGGGGCAGCTTCTCCAGCATATCATCAGCCAGCCGGGCCACCACCGCCTCCCGGGTCTCATCCCCTCCACCAGAGGTGTCCTTGGGTTGGATGCCTAGGATGGTGTCCAGCACGTCCTTGGCCAGCTTGCTCTGGTAGGTGATGTCAGCATTGGGGTGCAGCCCAAACACCTCAGGGCTGTCATAGGCAGGCAAACTCTGAACAACAGACACCCCAGATAAGCACAGACTGCCAACATAAGCACCGTCTAAATTACACTATTTTAGGAAACAAAAATGCTTCTATGAGGGTATGCATTTACTTAAGTCTTATTGGTGTCAAGCTACAAACTCAATAATTTCTCCAGAAAAGAATCAAATTTCCTTTAAAAAAACAATTAACATTGAGAAACAGACAGTAGGCTCATGGCTCTTTACAGTCTGCACCTCAAACAAAATTTAATCAAGAGAGACTGTCTTGTTATAAAATATGTGAGATAGAAAGGGAGCTGTGGATTGGTGTTTTGCTTTATGACAGTCTAATAGACTTCAAACCAGTTGTCCAAATCAATGTTGTATAACTAATGGTTATTATGTTTAGAAGATACCAGGAAATGACAGCTTTAGTAATCGTGGTCCAAATAAAGGCAGCACGTGGGAGTCATACCCACCCAGGGAAAAATACAGAGACTAGGAAAAGAGAGAAACTGAGAAAGCAACAGAGTCAGAGAGAAAAACAGAGACAGAGATGGTGTGGGACACAGGCAGAAGCAGGAGAAGCAGGCAAAAAGATCCCCCAACGGTTTGAAAAAAAAGAAAATTTACGGACAATTTGACACATATTTCTATGTATGAATCTTATCCTTAACTTAATTATTTGAGTCATACTCGTATTTCCCTCCCTTCTTCTCCCTCATTTTATTCCCTCTTGCATAATATCTTCTTATGAGCTACCTCAAATAAACTGTGAGATGGGGTATATATAAAAATATATGTACAGGCACCCCCAAATTTATACCTTCATGGCCACTTTTCTTATTCAGTGCTGATGATTTAAAGATACATGCAGTACAGTAAAACAAATATATTTGCTGATTTGAATTAATAAAAGTGCAGAGGCGGTAATATATGATAAACTCATTACATTTGTATATCAAAGCAACATGTAAATATACTGATAAATTTAGCCCTCTGGGGCTGTTATGTTTTAGTTTGTTTACTCTGAGATAAATCTTCGATAGAGACCAAAGAGACTGCTAAATAATGATATAATGAATTTTAGGTATAGAGAAAGGAGACGCAGTCACCTTGAAAATCAGAATTTTTTCCCCACCTATTCCCAAACTGCCTGTAGAAATCTACCTATTCCTTCTTATGTCAGTGCTTCTCAACAAGCGACAATTTTGCCCCCCAGAGGACATTTGGCAATTTCAGGAGACATTTTTGGTTCTTACAATTGGGTATGGGGTTGTTATTGGCATCCCGTGGATAGAGGCCTGGGATGCTGCTCAACAGCACAGGCCAGCCCCCTACAACACAGAGTGATCCAACCCTGAATGTCAATAGTGCCAAGGTTGAGAAACCCTGTCCTAGAGGAGGTTCTTACACAAAGCAGCTTCCTGGACATATCCATAGGCTGTCCATTAGGCCAGGGTTAAGGAACAGATGTCATGGGATTTGTCAAATGGATTGGAAAACAGAACAAATTGGGTCTAGAAGCTGCCTTTGCTCTACTGCTGTGGCAGCCGAAGTTTCACAGACAGAGAACTCCAGGTGATTTGTGTAGGTCTCCTAGTTCTAAATCTGCCTAATCTATCATCTTCCTCAAAGAAAATTCCTCCCTGGGGCATTAAAAAAGAGGGGGGATGGAAACACGATTCACACAAAACACACACTCAGAACAAATATAAACATTTTAATCATCCATTGAGTATAAAAATATGAAGAAAGCCTTCACAGCAAAAGCATTAGTATATATCACCATTAAAATGTATTGTAAAAGCAATATAGACAGTGTAATTAATACCCAAAACTCAAGTGGCTACAGATATTTGCTCTATGCATAAAATTCTGAAGTTGACAAACCTGGATATACTGAAGATAGTTATCCACTGTGCTGCATTTTGGAATATTGTATCCTTGGTAAAAACTGAAATCTGGTCCAAACATATTTTCACTGAACCAAACCTTAGCAAATGTGTTCAACAATCTCTTATCATAGTCGTCAGTGACTCTGCCTCCATATTGAATCTCTCCTATCATGTAGCGGATGGTGGTCCAGGAGACACCCTGGGAAATTTTATAGAATAATTATGTAGAACTGACTACCGTTGCATTATTATTTCCCTGCCAAGTCACACCCATGTATTCACTTTCAACATCATTCAGTCAGTCACTCTTCATCAGTACTGCAAAGAGAAAGTGCAGAAAGAAAAGTAAAAAGGTAAAGAAGAGTAGTTACTCAGTGCTCAGGTCCATGATTTGAAATAGACTTCCTTGATGCATTCGTATGTTTTCATACTTCAATATAAATAGAAAATAGTGTTTGCTTTTTGAGGGTATTGAGGCAGTTCTTTAGAAAGCACACACTTCCAACTGATCTGGACTCCCATTTTCATTTTCCAGGATTTTGAAGAACAAGCTTCCCCACCCACACCCCCTGAGAACAGGCCCCTTGAGGCTGTCTTCTTTGGAATGTCAACTCACTTTTGAGAAATAAAATAATAATCAAAATTTGATCAATTTTTCCTGAAATCAAGAGGCAAGTGTGACCCAAATTGCTATGACTTAAAGATGACTTTGCAAGCACAGCAAATTCTCTTATATAATTTACGCCAAAGCTAGGAGGTCCCGTGAGCTTGATGGCCCAAGCCCACAGCCACTAGAGGCATGAGGCAGCATGCGCGGCAGTACCTTTTTGACATCCATGTCATCCAAGTGGTTTTGGATGAACTGCACAGTGGCATTAAAGTCCGCTTGGTTAAATTCGTAGGGGATATTCCACCCCAGGGCACCGAACTTGCGCCTCTCCTGGACAGTGGAGTGCAGGAAAGCCACTGCGTACAGCATGGGCTTCCACTGGGACCCAGAGCTCACGTCCAGCAGGTCTTGGCTGACACCTGTTGTGGTCAGTTGGGTGAAAAATGTATCATCTCTCAAATGTCTTTATTTTCTACTACTTTTATAAGTAATCATTTTTGTAAATCCCTGATATTAAAATTCACTTACTTTGGATTGTTTTTATGACACTCATGTGACAATAATAATTTAACTTTTGGGTGTCCAGAGGCCATTTCTCTCTGAAAAATCTTCAAAGAGACTTTGGGGAGGGGAGGAGCTTGCTAACATGGGTCAACTTCCTGCCAATCTAACAAGATCATGTGGGGGTAAAATCAAGCTGGAAGGGTAACGACAGTTAAATAAATTCTGCCACTATTACTATAACTACTACTCTATTATTATTACTGTTGTTTTGAGCATATACTTGGGGCATATACTTTTAACTAATTTTATATTAATTAAGATAGTATATATAGAAGCCCTTTGCACCTGAGTACATGCTCCAAATAATAATGATTGATACATATGCATATACTATATTGTATATATAATTAGATTTATTTATTTATTTTTTACTGCCATTATCCTTCCACCTCTCTTTTATCCCCACATTATCTTATAGATTGGCAGGAATTTGGGCCTTGTTAGCAACTCCCCAAAAGTCTCTTTGCAGGTTTTCCAGATTGAAATACAATAATTATATTTATTATGGTTATCAAATACATGATTTTAGTTACAATTTATTTCAATTCTCCTAGAGAGATTCTCTTGTCCCTATTTTATATATGAGAAAATTGAAACTCAGATTGAATGACTCACACCCAAAAGAACAAAGTAATTGTCAACAGCAAGGGCCAGAATCAGGATTTCTGACTGAAAGTTCCATGTTCTTTTCATGACCACAAGCCCCATACATAAAGCTATGAAGCAGAGGAAGCAATGGCCAAGAGAGCGACCTCAGCCCCAGTCATGATGGGGGCATTTGGGCCTGAGTTTGCTGCCACTGGATTTTTAACTTAGCTACCTTCTGACATATGGCCCTAATGAAAGGCAGGCAGGCATGACTTTAATTCAGACTCTCCTCTTGGAAGAGACTACTGTACTACTTTAAGTATGGAGCATAAAGACCATAAATGACAAAATTGTTCATTTTTGATATTAATTATGTCTAGCTGGAGAACAGCATGGGCTTAAATAGGGCAGTACTGGGAAAATAGGAAACTAGAAGGTGGGAATCATGAGCTCTGATTCTTTCACACTGCCGGGACATATTCACAAAAGAGGACCATCACCTCCCCATCAGGTTAAACAGTAGTACTATTTGCTATAACTGTATCCTAGCTAATCCTTTTATAATTTTTTTAGGAAAACAATTTAAGTAAGGAAACTCCTGTAGACTCGCAAGTATTTCTGGACTCACCACTATATGTTCTTTTCAGTCCTGCCCGGAGTCCTTGTGGAGGATCGTTGGCAAATTTAATGGACATCTGAAGGAGTGTAATGGGAAACTGCTTATGAGCCTCGGTGGTCATCCAGAGGCGGAACGCATCATGTACAAGCTCAGTTTCTATGATTATGTCCATCAGCTCATCCATGAAATCAAGTCCCAGATGGCAGTTCTGCAGAAGTGCCCATCCTCCCTGTCAATAGCAGTAAACGGAAATTAGGTAGTTTTGTATTTCACCCAAATTCTAAATTATTACATTCTTTAGAAATTAAGTAATTAAAATTTAATAGGAAAACACTAACCATTTTAAATTAATCCAGGTCAAATCTAAGAAAACAAAAATGTTTAATTGCGATAAGCTATTTTATTTTTAGTCCATGCATTTGTTCCAGTATACACTAGTATGCAATTGTACCAATACTATATGGTCGCAATCATGAATATAATCAAAGTTAAACATAAAAGGACTTCCAAGTAAAGATGGCTGATTGAAAACATCCATTTAACTCAGATCCCTCCCCAAATTCCATTAAAACTACAATGAAGAAAATTTTTAAAGGCATGAACTCTTAAGGACAATGACAGAGAGAGTGAAGGCATTATCATTAACATTTAAAAGAGGTTCAGGAAAGTTGAATCCTAAGCTAGCATTTAGGGAAATCTGAGATGCAACCTGATTTATACCACATAACTCCCCAAATTCTGCCTGCCTTAATGAAAAATGAGAAGTTGATTTTCTACAGAAGGCAAAACAGGGTCTAGATTGGAGGATACCAGCACATTGAGGGAATAGGTACCACACTGAAACCAGGTGAAAGAATGATTGCCTGCTGAATTTTGAGACCTGCTACTTCCTGCCTCCCACTAGTTCTCAGAATCCTGGCAACTGAGCATACACCCTTTAGCATGTGGAAGAACCTTCCCTGGGAATCTGACCACACTAAGAAGAGAAAGAGCCTTAGAAAATAATAAGCCATATATTTTGCCTGAATTATACCATAAGGATAGGAAGGTCTTCGTGTAATGCAACTCAGGCAAAATTGGGGGTCATGTAACAATAATTTCCTCAATATCTAATCTATAAAATATTTTTGCTAAAATCATCTACAAGATCCAGATCATAATCTTGAGGTGTTTTTCTATAACCCATCTTAGATCACTGACTAGAGCTGCATGAGTTGTCTTTCAAAAAGAAAAAACACCAAAAAAAAAAAAAAAACAAGCACTAGATCTAAAGTCTTAGCAGAGTTACACGTAAAACTGATAATTTAGAGATTTCACATTTTCCTTATATTTTCTTCAGAAATTTACAGTACTGCTGAATAAGTTATCTAAACATTACCGTTTGAAAATTTCAACTGACACCGTCCACAATTCAAAACAAAAAGGAAATTCAATATAAAACACAGCAACTACAAAAAGACTTCAGTTCTTCTCTTTTACCCAGCATAGAAGTGAACCCTGACCTGAGTTTCCTTCTTTTGTATTTTGCTTTGTTTTGGTTTTTGAGAAAGTGTCTTGTTCTGTCACCCAGGCTGGACTGCAGTGACTGCAGCCTCTACCTTCCCAGATCAAGTGATCCTCCCACCTCAGACTCCAAAGTAGATGGGCCCACAGGCACAGGCCACCACGTCCAGTTAATTTTTTTTTGTAAAGATGGGGTCTATGTTGCCCAAGCTGGTCTTGAACTCCTGAGCTCAAGCAATCCTTAGCCTCGGCCTCCCAAAGTGCTGAGATTACAGTTGTGAGGCATTGCACCCAGGTGATCTAAACTTCTTAGGTGAGAACTCTGATATTCCATCTTCACCCACAGAATCCCATTTCTTTGGGATTCCATTCTCTGCATTAAATGTTTTGTTTTCATCTAACTGAGTAGACCATCCACTTTGCTATCCTTGGGTAGTTGATTTATTTGCCACATTGCCTCAAAAGTTTCAATGTTAGCTTAAATTTAAAAAAAAAACGCTGTTTAGTAAACAGCAGGCAGCATGTAAATTTAAACTCCTAATGATTTATATTTTTCTTCTGCATTGCTATTCTATAACCTGTAATATGAACAGCATGGCACAAAAGTAGACTATTCAGCCTTACGTTCGCCATGGTCTGCTGCAAGAGCTTCCGAGCATGGACTTCCTGGCCCTGGCCCATGGACACATAACGGGTTTCTATTTTTAATCTCTTCCCCAAGGCAATGATGGAATCTGTGGGGTCTGAGCCCATAGACAGGAGACAGATGAGTGGCGTCCGTGGATCAGATTCCTCCCACGTCTTCTCCAAGTCTAAAATAACACCTTCGGCATATTTTTCTCCCATGGAGTCCACGATGTACTTGCGGGCCTGCCAAAAACAGTATACAAGTCAGTAAAAGTCATTCCAACTCTTTCATGTAGATAATGTAGTGTGGTTTCCAAAATTCATTTTTGTAATTATCTCAGTGATGTCCACAGTAACCCTGTCAGGCAAACAGGGTAGAGACTGTTTTTCATATTTGTTTGTTTATATCTCCATTCTATAGGTGGGAAAACTGTGTTGCTTACCCAGTACAAAATCAGAGTGTCAAAAGAACCAAAGTTGTATGACTCCTGGTTTGAAACCCATTTCAATATACTGCTTGCTTCCTGCTAGACCAGAAAATAAAAATACTGGGAAACTATTGTTTAGGATGCTCTAAGGCAAATATATTTGCATTTAAATAATCAAGTAAGCAACACAATACCTAGAATGTAATGGGTACTGATTAAATAGATAATTATTGAGTGACTATTTTTATGAAATATATTGGATATTTGTTGAATGAATGAATTAGTTTTTAAAGATTTAATCCATAATCTCTCTCCTCATCATTGTCGTCATTCCTTCCCACATTTGGCTCATCCCTTTACTGTTAATTTTGTTTTGAATGAAATCCATACTCGAAATATCACAGATTTTGTCAACTTTATTACAACCATAGAAAAAAATTATGGTAACAACAAAGTCCTTTTTCAAATGAGGTAAAAGAGTTATAATTTATTTTTCAACAAATGGTATTGTGAATATGATCCTTAGTCTATATTCTCCACCTTCTAAATAATTAAATTCCCTCAAAAACATTTTTCCTCCTATTCTGGTGGTCTTCTTCCACCTTAGATGGGTAAAACCCAAGTTTCTCTCCCCAGCAGCATTCTCCACAATAATCATTTTCACATAACTTAGGCGTGGGTGCAACATGACCTGCAACTCTCCCAAGGGCTAGGCAGGTGAGCCTCCCCACTCCAATTCCCGGAGAAACACAAAACAGCTTCAGATGGAGCTTCCCTTGAATCAGACAGATTTCAGATAGACCCGGATCAAAGGGGAGCCAGAGCTGGTTCAGTCATTATCCTTGACTTTAAAACATCAGAGTTTGATTTACAGCCAGTAATCTGGGCTCATCCCTCATCTTCGATATCTTGCTATCCCCTATTCATCCTCAAAATGTACCCCAAGCATCTGAGCTTACAAATTGGTGCGATGTTTCCCACTTGTGTTTGCCCTCTTTTGTGGGTTACAATGAGAGAGAAGTGGCCACCACAGAGGAATCTCCTGGCTTACTACGTCCTCTCATAGCTTGGTAAGAGAGGTACAATGGGTGCCACATGAGTCTAGACTGTTGAACGACTGGCTTGGTCCTACTTTCTGATTCCACCTGGTGTGTGGAGACTTCTCAAACAAGCTTCATCATTCATATAGCCAGGTAAAGAGTGTCTGAAAATTGGTCATCAGGGAACGTCCATCTTCCTCATGAGAGTGCAAAACACAAAAAGAGGAGCATTTACATTCCCTAACTCATACCAGCTAATTCAGAAACAGCTGGACCATTTTACTGTGGATCTCTTCTCCTTCTTCTAAAGTCATAATCCTCCTCATAATGTCCATTCCCCCATACCAATGGCAGATTAAGAGGCATGCCAACTTTGTAGAATACACAGGATTTCTGCCTTGGCAACTATTTCTAGATGGCTTTGGGGAAAGACCTCTACCTGGTTTCCCAAAGGAACAAGAAATGGTGGTCAGGCCCTCTTTGACAGGACTAGGCCACTGGCAATGAAATGACCAAACAGCACCTTGGCCCCTCACTCACAGAGAGGCTCACCCCTTCTGACCTTCCTCTCTATTAGTTCAGTGCCTGGGAAGTTTTGAGGAGGTGAATTTCAGTCCAGTTGAATTTGAGGCACAGGATGCTATTTATTTTCATACCTCTCAATACTTTTTCTAGGTTGGACAGATCCAATATCTAAATCTCTAACTTGCATATAAAAGCCTACATATTTTTCTACAGCCTCTGGCAGGTGTTTAATAAGTTTGCCTGATATGTTCTTTGACTTCCCCAAATGTCTACTCCATGTACACATTCAGTCACAGTCACTGAAGCAGGGAGTCCTGTGATCAGGAAGGACTTCAAAGGCTGGACACTGAGGCATTCCACAGTTGCAGCTGTTTCTCAGCCACATGTTCCGCCATCACTGCATCTCTATAGTGCAACTCATCAAGATTCAAGTACTTTCTACCCCAAGATAGCAAGGGGCTCAACATGGCCAGTTCTGCCATATAACTCAGCATTGACCCAGTTCAGGTATTACCATCCAAGCCATGAGCTAACATGTTAGAATACTATGGGGCCAGATGGTAAATATTTTAGACTTTGGTGGCCAAATCATCTCTATTGCAACTATTCAACTCCGCCATTGTTGCACAAAAGCAGTCATAGGCACACAAATAAAAAGCATGGCTATGTTCCAATAAATTGTTAGAGACACTGAAATGTGAAAGTTATACAATCTTCACTTATCACAAAATATTAGTCTTCTGGTGATTTTTTTCAGGCATTTAAAAATATAATTCTTAAGTCACCAGCTGAGCATAAACAGACAGTTGGCCAAATGTTGTTGGCAGGCCCTAGTTTGCCAACCTCTGGAATAGATAACCACAGGGAAGGCTGCTTCACTTATATCTGGAGAAGGGACCTTTGGTCATAATTCCAGTTCCTGGGCGGGGACATTCTTAAATAGGGTCACAGTCATGGTTCAAATTGGCTCCAAGCCTAAGGGTTGTAATGAGTCTGTGGGGCAAATGTGTAATATGCAAGGATGCTCAGCAATCCCAGGGAAGGCCCCACTGCGGTAGGCATGGATCTGAAACCAGATATGCATGCATTAGAAAGAGTACATTTCTTCATCTTCTTTTCTCCAACTTCAACCCAACACCCTGCATTATCTCACCAGCCAGCAGGACAATAATTCCAGGCATTACTCGGTCTCCCCATCTTCTCAAAGTTTTGGGAGCCCATCCCTTGCACCAGTGTGCCTTGGATGCAGGACACGGGGTCAAAGGAAATTATTTTGGAGATTCAAGATTTAAGGACTGCCCTGCTGTGTTTCAGACTTGCATAGGGCCTACTATTCCTTTCTTTTGGCCAATTTCTCCCTTCTGGAATGGTAATATTTACCCAATGCCTTACTACCATTGTATCTTGGGAGTAAATAATGTGTTTTGATTTTACAGGCTCACAGGTGGGAGGAGATGAGTCTCAGAGAGACTTAGGACTTTGGACTTGATGCTGTAACAAGTTAAGACTTTAGGGGACAGTTAGGAAGAGATGATTGTATTTTGCAATGTAAGAAGGACATGGGATTTGAGGGGCCATGGGAGGAATAATATAGTTTGAATGTTTGCCCCCTTCAAATCTCATGTTGAAATGTAATCCCCAGTGATGAAAGTGGGGCCTGGTGGGAGGTGTTTGGGTCATAGAGGTGAGTCCCTCATGAATGGCTTGGTGCTGTACTCATGAGAGTGAGTGAGTTCTTCCCAGATCTGGTTGTTTAAAAGTATGCAGCATCTCCCCCACTCTCTTGCTCTGGCTCTCGCCATATGACATGCCAGCTCCTCCTTCACCTTCTGCCATGATTGAAAGTTTCCTGAAGCCTCACCAGAAGCTGAGCAGATGCCAGCCCCATGCTTCCTGTACAACCTGCAGAACCATGAGCCAATTAAACCTCTTTTCTTTATAAATTACCCAGTCTCAGATATTTATTTATAGCAACGCACAAACTAACAAACCATGTTAGATAATTCACCTCATGCAACAGATATAAACCTTGGTCCATGACCCTCTCCTCTGTCCCAGGCAGTGCAACAGGTTTTAGGAACAGATCAGTGGACAAATGGCCCAGCCCTTATGAAGCTTGCCCCCCACCTCCATGCCAGGATGAGACATACATTGAGCAAGTAATAGCAAAATAACTAGTTTGAAGGATTTATGACTTGCAGGGTGACATGAAAGTATGAAACTGATTAATCTTGCAGGAATATGTCAGAGAAGGCTCCCTTGTGAAAGAAGCATTTAAGCTGTTGCTTGGATGATGAGTGGGATTTACTGAGGCAAAGAGGACAGCTAAGTGGGTCAGAGCATGTGCATTCTATGCAGAAGAAACATATGCAGAGACCCTGAAGGAGCAAAGAGCAAGTCACTGGCTAGGGACAGGAGGACACCCATAATAACTGATGTAAGAGTTAATTCAGGTGTGGCAAGCCAGGTTTCTGCACAGCCTGCCAGCCTTTAAAGAAAGCCAACACCCCACTGTGGAGTGCTGCATTTTCATACACTGCTCTTCACACAGCTCTGCAGAACTTGTTCATCCCAATATGTGGTCCCAATGCAACAGATTCAGCCTTTCAATGGGGGAGAAAATGAACAAATAACCTGCACACCTGTGCCAACCTCCCTTTGTTGAGTATTTTTTTTTTGAGATGGAGTCTCACCCTGGCACCTAGGCTGGGTGCAGTGGCACGATCTCAGTTCACTGCAAGCTCCACTTTCCAAGTTCAAGCGATTCTCCTGCCTCAGCCTCCCAAGTAGCTGGCATTACAGGTGCCACCACCATGCCTGGCTAATTTTTGCATTTTTAGCAGAAATGCGGTTTCACCATGTTGGCCAGACTGGTCTTGAACCCCTGACCTCGTGATCCACCTGCCTCAGCCTCCCAAAGTGCTGGGATTACAGGTGTGAGCCACCGCGCCTGACCTGTTGAGGATTTTTAAGACACAAATGTGTACCTCTCAGGAGACACACTCGGACAGTGCAGCATTTTTGCAATCAGGCATGCACAGATGTGGACAGTCACACTCAGCCAAAATGCAGAGAATAAGAAATGCATATAGCCTGATGCTGCCTATGGGGAATGGGATTGAATGTATCTACATTGTAGACCTACTAATATGCTTCCCAGAAAGTTGTCAGGTTGAAAATCACAAAAGGATTCTAAAAGGAGAATAAGAACTTGAGAGAACATTTATCCAACAGGCCTTCTAAACCTTGTTTAGGACCTGGGCACTATAAGGGCCATGGGCAGATACTGCAGGACTTGAAAAGCCAATGAATGGCACCATATTTGCATTTCTTCTAGTGTGTGCAGAGTAGACTAGAGTATACAAGAAGAAATGTAAGGAGAACAGGTATGAGGCCATGGCTGTGGTAAGTCCAGGGATCGGAGAAGCTAAAGGGATCGGATGAAGATAAAGTTACAAAAAAGAGTTACTTAAATTTCAGCATTGAAGCAAATATAGCTTTCTATGGAAAAAGATAAGAAAGAGACTACTCAAACATTTCTTTCCACACTGTCCTTAAATAAGGCAACCATTTCACAATTCAGTTGGGCAGGATAAAAGTAATGAAACTGAGAAGAAAAACTGAAAGGAAAGGTGATCTCAGTGCCCCGAACTGTGAAACTCATTTTTCTTTTCTCAATAAATCATTGAATCTGGTTGTTTTCATGATTCCACAGTACCTAAGTGGACTTGGAGGTAGTTACTCCATAAGTTTTTAACACTCCCTCTGGAGAATGAAGGAGAAAATATCTTACATTCTATTATAAACCCAAGGCTATTGCTACTCCACAGCTCATTTGGAAAAGCCCTTAAGGAGTCAACCTGGGCTGAATATCAGCGTTAAACTTTTCATCATAAAGGCAAGACACAAGTCCTTTTAGTGGGTAAAGTCCCATGATACTAAGCCAGCAAATTAAAGGTCTTTAAACAGATGAATCATCTGGAGGCAGGATTCACATTTAAACCATATGTGAAATTCAGTTGTAAGACAACCTTACTGACATCTAGAGCTGTGACATTTTTCTGGGGAAATGACTACGGTTTGGGCACACTGTCCTTCCCCCACTCTATTCACCCTAATGCCTTTATGTTCTTCCTGCTTTCAGAAACACTGTTTTACTACCAGCAAAATGGAGCAGCCATATAATCTTTGATTGAATATAAAATGATATAAAAGAATAACGCATTACCTGTATGTTATACCTATATGCCAACCTTAGAATCATGGTTTTCTCATTTACTCCTATTGTAGCCATAGGTCAGAAAAAGTTACTAAATCACTTAGCCCAAACATATGCCTCAAGACATCTATTTGTTTACTTTTCCATTTTTCACACATATTGCTAGAAAATCACACAGAGGCCTACAAGAAAATTCTCACTGGAATTCACATTTAAAATATTTTTTTTAATTTAAAAGAAAATTCTCTTTAAAAATATTCTCTCATTTTTCTCTTTAATATGGACTTTTTACCTGGGCGATGGTTCTGTCAGGACACCAGGATCTAATAAGGAGAAGACGTCTGAAGCAGTCAAGAGATTTATCATAGGCATTTGGAAGAGGTTCCTCCTCCGGGTTTTCCTTATCAAACCAAATTTTCCACATTTTCTCATTTCTCGATATCTGAAAATACCATGGGATAAAAACTGTGTCATGCCACCCAACAATCTTTCAGTAACAGGTCATAGATATGTTTCATCAAACCTCTGACCTCTCCAGATATGTGTAAATTATATTCCTTGGCTATTTTTTTATTTTATATTATAGAAAGTTTGACAGTGTAAAATCTAATGTCATTTGCTCCAAAGTCAGTCTATACTAACATCAGCCTACAACTACATTTCAAAGTAGGGAGAGTCATGGGATATTTAATTTCTTCTATGCCTTTGTGGTAACAAATTTGTAAAGAATACAACAAAATCAATGGAAATTCATTTTCATTATTTCAACGAAGTCCGATTTGCTCCACAAAATCTTCTCATGTCAGGAACCAAATCTCATTCACTTATGTTTCCTCATTTCCCAGGACCACTCCTGACCCAAAAGAAGACATTTAACACATGTTTATTATTGAATGAACAGCTTTTTGATCAATACTCTATTAATCTAGAGTAATTGGAAATACGCCAGTTAATATCATCAAATGAATGATCAGACACCTGCTACCCTTAGGCAACTGGGAAAGAGTAAAAGGACATAGTACATTATCCTCTGCAGCTTAAAACACCAAAGAGAGGCAGGAATTACATGGTAAGCAGATCAGAAACACTGAACAAACAAATAATGTCTACAGATAAATATCATCTTATGTTATCTGGTATATTCCTTTTCATCAAGGGTTCCAATGTCTTTCTTGGGATATAATCAAAGGCAAATCATTCCAGGTTCATATTTAGAAAGTACCATGTAAGAATAAAAATAATAACTTCTTTCGATCTTGAAAGACTACTTAATATTGAGGGGTTTCGTGCATAAGATATCATCTCCAGAAGGTAGCAACTTCAATATCAATGGTCTAGGCAAGGCCACTGGGGGTAATCCTATTGGGGAATAACCCGAAAGAATGGTTTGTACCCCTAAGTACATGGTAGTAATAATAAACACCACCAGTGATAAGCCAAAACATAAAAGGATAGCAGAACATAAGCAAATGGTCAACTTAAACTGAGGAAGTCAAGAACCAACTTTAAGACATTTCCTCGTCAAAAAAAGCCTTCAACTTATAGCTGGATAAAGCCACCCTGCTGCCAAACTCATTTCTCTATGGTCACCTGATTTTCAATAACCTGTTTCTTGGCTTGTCCCAATTCAATTCTCTACACCCAACTTCCATGATTCCAGAACATGCAAAGTTCATCAGGAGCTGGCTGATTCTAGAAAGATGATAACTTCTAAAGATAAGAGGCCAAGTGTTTACAGGAGATTCATACCCAGGTGCCTAACTAAGTCAAATAATGGGAAGGGCAGGAGAGGAAGAAGAAGAAGAGGGAGAGAAACAAGAGGCAAGAAAGGAAATTTAGCATTTAGAGGCAAGCTGTTCATATGTCTTTTCATTTAACCTCTAGAAAGAAGGAAAAGGCTTTTTAAGTCTATCTAATTATTTAATCTAATTGGATCTATCAGTTTTTCTACTTGTGGACATCCAATTGGTGATACTAACATATGGCCCAGGATGGCACTGGTTAAAGTTCCTGGGCACATTTCTACCTGCAAGATCAGTTAACGATGAGCAGAGAATGCCTTATCAGAGTGTAAGTGTGCTTTCAAGAAGGTCAAGCACATGTAATACCATTTTAAGAGTGACAATATTAAGAACTATCTCTCTTCCACAAATATTGTACCTAGTGATAAATCAGAAAGCTGCTCAACATGACATCAGCTTAAGTTGATTCAAAGCACAGTTACCTGGTCAAGGACATCTGAAAACTGTCTGAGTTTGCTAAGTTCCACCAAATTCAGCCATGTTATGTCCAGGATCCATTTTGATGGTTTTGGAGGACAAGCTTTAAGGTCTAATGAGGCACCTCCTTTAAAATTAAATATTAAATTATCAGATTTCCCTTCCTTCACTATAAAACAATCTATTTAGTAAAATTTGTATTATTTTAATTTCAGTTATTTTACTACTTTCACTTTTTTAAGCACAGAAATATAAATCATAGTGAGAAACATGCAACATTTAATAAATCAATAGATAATTTTAGAAAAAACTCATTTAATCATCAGTAATATAACTTTGGAACCAGGCAGATGCTGGATTCTGTCCTAGCTTCCCCTGGACAAGGTCTGAGACAAGCCATTTCATTTGTCTAGGTCTCTAATTCCAAATTAGTAAAATAAGAATAATTAAACCTGTGTCACAATGTATGCGTGTAAAGCACACAAAACAGGATAGAGGACATGGCAGAGGGTCACTAAATGAGCATCAATTTTCAATATTAAGAATTGCCCAATATTAGCACAAGCTAATATTCAATACACACTTTATCTAGAAATGTTAGTAGTACTAGATGTTTGAAGGATTCTCTTCTATAAATCAGTATATTACTTACATCTACCTTGAACACACCCCAAGGGTTCCATGCTGTGTCACTTATGCCTGTGGTTATACCCTAAGCTAACCACAACAAACATTTCCATTTGGTACTGACCCTTATCTTTTTACTGATGATTTACCAAAGCTCATGTAACCCACGTAACTCTGACAGCAATGTAACAAAAATGACACCTTAAAAATGTTTTTGTTGTCCACTTCAGAACAACTGAATGTGTGAGCAATCGTTATTTTAAGAAAGAGTTAAGAATAAAGGATAAAGTTAAGAATTAAGGATAAAATATACTATTTAATAAATAACATCCATTAAAGAATATCAAGGAAAATATGCTCTATGCATTATTCTTTCTTTCTTTCTTTCTTTTGAGATGGAGTCTCGTTCTGTAGCCCAGGCTGGAGTGCAGTGGCACGATCTCGGTTCACTGCAAGCTCCGCCTCCCAGGTTCATGCCATTCTCCTGCCTCAGCCTCCTGAGTAGCTGGGACTACAGGCACCCGCCACCACGCCCATCTAATTTTTCATATTTTTAGTGAAGACGAGGTTTCACCGTGTTAGCCAGGATGGTATCGATCTCCTGACCTCGTGGTCTGCCCACCTCGGCCTCCCAAAGTGCTGTTATTTTTTTTTTTTTTTGAGATGTAGTTTCACTCTTGTTGCCCAGGCTAGAGTGCAATGGCGTGATCTCGGCTCACAACATCTGCCTCCCAGGTTCAAGCAATTCTCCTGCCTCAGCCTCGTGAGTAGCGGGGATTACAGGCATGCATGACCACGCCTGGCTAATTTTGTATTTTTAGTAGAGGCGGGGTTTCTCCACGTTTGTCAGGCTGGTCTCGAACTCCCGACCCCAGGTGATTTGCCCGCCTCAGCCTCCCTCCCAAAGCACTGGGATTAAAGGCATGAGCCACCGCGCCCGGCCTACGCATTATTCATAAAATGATAAAATCAATCCATTTGGCCACTTTAAAAATCTTTGTTTGAACAGAGTAGGTTATAAACAAATGACAATACTCAAGATATTTATTGAGCTAATCTCTATTTTATCCAGGCACCATGTACACTACTAAATTGTTATTTTTTGCCAAATCCATCAAAATATATTTACAATGAGGTCAGTATGGCCTTGAAGCCAATTTGAAGAAAATATTAGCTCGTAAAATGAAAACAGATTGTTTTAACACCAGTGAGCAAAGACCTAAAGACAATGCATTGTGTTGAATAAAATTTTGCACCTTAGCAACTGTCCATTTTCCAACAAATTGAAAAGAGTAAGACATCCACCAGAGGGTTAGGGAAAGGCTATTCACAGAAAGGAAAGAGTGTTCCTCGCGGGCCAGAGTATTATTCATTGTTTAGTAGCCGGTAACTATGTCATGACTAACCTGCCGGCTCCCAAAGTACACAATTAGGCACAAATAGTGATTGTAACTTGGGGGAGAGGACATATTCCTGAATAATGTGGTAACAAATTAAATAGACCCTTGATGAATAAATAGCTGAAAGGAATAATTCGAAATAAATTGTCCAGATAATTGAGAACTGTGCTGTTCCCTTCTTTCCTCAAACTCTTGCTTTGGAAAAAAAAAGTAAGTTGGAGTTTTTACCGTAATACTTTGTGAAAATGATACATGCTTATAATGAAAGTTTTATACAAGCTATGCCACACAATCATAAATTGTCACAGCTAAGGCAGACTTAGAGAATAATCTAGGCTGAGCCTTTCCCATCTTAGAAATGACTGAAAGACCACCATCCAAATACTGTTGAGGCCAAGAGCAGTGTCCCACATCTGTCATCCCAGGACTTTGGGAGGAAAAGGCAAGAGGACAGCTTAACCCAGAAGTTTGAGACCAGCTGGGGCAACATAATGAGACTTCATCTCTACAAAAAATTTAAAAGTTAGCTGGATGTATTGGCATGAGCTTGTAGTCCTAGCTACTCAGGAGGATCACCTAAGCCCAGGAGTTTGAGGTTACAGTGAGTTGTGATTGCACCACTGCACTCTAGCTTGGGTGACAGAGCAAGACTCTGTCTTCAAAAAAAAAAAAAAAAAATGGAAATCTGTTGTGGCTATTGGGCTTAAAAGCTGCTACAACAGAATATCACATTCTAGGAGGCACTCTGCTTATCAACAACTGAAATTTATTTATCACAGTTCTGGAAGATGGGAATTCCAAGTTCAAGGCACCAGTGATTTGGTGTCTGGTGAGAGCTCACTTCTGGTTCATAGAAGACCATATTCTCACTGCAATTCTCACATAGTGCAGGAGCTGGGGTCTCTCTTGAGCCCCTTTTTTTGTGAGAGGGAGTCTTGCTCTGTCACCCAGGCTGGAGTGCAGTGGCGCAATCTCGGCTCACTGCAACCTCCGCCTCCCAGGTTCAAATGATTCTCCTGCTTCAGTCTCCCAAGTAGCTGGGACTACAGGTGTGAGCCACCACTCCTGGCTAATTTTTTTTGTATTTTAGTAGAGACGGTGTTTCACCATGTTGGCCAGGCTGGTCTTGAACTCCTGACCTCAAGTGATCTGACCACCTCAGCCTTCCAAAGTGCTGGGATTACAGACTTGAGCCACCGCACCTGGGTGGGCCTCTCTTATAAGGGCATCAATCCCTTATCTTGACTCTGCCCCTATGACCTAATCACCTCCCAAAAATCCCTCCATCTCATGCCATAACCTTGGGGTTTAGGTTTTCATCATACGAATTTTAGTCGGATACAAACATTTGCACCATAACACTATCTAAATAACATTTTAAATTATGTTAAATGATTTTAAAGTCCTTACAGAGAGAGTTTATATCACCAGGTAGCTCTCATCAACCTAACCATTGAAGGGCAGATTTGCAACATAATCCTGCTCCAAAGTTTGCTCTGAAACTGTTTCATAAAGCAGTGTTACAAACAGCTGTTGAAAGCCAAAGACCCATGACAACCAGTCCAACCCATACAAGCATCAGACTAATCAAAATATCTAAAGTGATGAAGATAATATGATGGCCATCATTTGCTAAGCATATCCTATGTATCAGGATTTACATAAACTGTGTAAATTCTCAATAATCCTACTATGTAGATTTTACTATCCTTGTATTATAGACAAGGAAACTGGAGTTTGAAAAGGGTAAATGACCTTCTCAAGATCAAGAAAGTGACAAAGCCAACACATATTTTAACTCTCAACTTCCTAACTCTAAATCTTATGTTTGCTATCATGAAGACAAACTGTGAGATGCTTCACAGTATTTCAACAAGAGCTGGACACTCTCTTCAAAGTTATTTCTATGTGGAAATACATTTCATGCCTGAGTTGAGAACGACAGGAACAACAATCCATTGAAAAGCTCTAGAAACGGGGGACTAGAGTCACTGAGGCCAGAAATTAGTAACATATTAAGGGTTCACCAGAGAAGGCAGCTCTTACATCTACACATCTTTCTCTCCAGAGACTCATCTGTCACTTATTCTGATTTAGGAAATTTGGAAAATAAGGTTCAAATATAGCTAAAGAGTAAGTGTTTAATGGTTAGACACAATTAAAGAGAGAGAGATTGTCTATAATTTAATCATTTCTAAGTTCAAATCTAAACAGATGAGTCTTTGTTGCTACTATAAGATATATATATACACACACACATATGCATATGTATATGCATATGAAAATGCATTTGCATATGTATGACTATGGACCTATAACCCCCACCAGGGCACAGCATGTGTATACCTACATTCCTTCCCTACTGTTCCCCTAGGGGTGGTCTTCAAGTTCTCCTACAAACCTACTCTCCATGTTAAGCATGAAAATCTCCTGCTAGATAAAATTATGTCTTATCTCTAAAGACTTGGTTTAGAAAGGTATACTAGATGAATCTATTTAGACCCTGGCATCATTTTCATAGTGTTATGGGATGAATATTGTGTCTCCCCAAAACTCATATGTTGAAACCCTATATCTCAATTCTGACGGTCCTGGGAGGTGAGGCCATTGAGACATAATTATGATTAGATGAGGTCATGAAGGTGGAGCCCTTAGGAATGAGATTAGTGCCCTTATAATAGTCACTAGAGAGCTTGCTTCCTCTTCTCTGCTCCCCAGCATGTGAAGATGCAATGAGAAGACAGTTGTCTACAACCCAGAAGAGGCTCCTCACTAGAATCCACTGTGCTGCACCCTGATCTGGGACTTCCAACTTCTAGAACTGTGAAAAATAAATGTCTGTTGTTTATTAGCCACCCAGTCTATAGTAATTTCTTATAGCATTGAGAACTAAGATACACAGTTACTTCAAATATTTTTTTCAAGACATTCAAGAATGTGATAGTGAATTTATGTTTTCCAGCCTTCCGCTGGGCTGTTTCGTTTGAATGGCCCAGGGGACACGGCTGTGAGCAATGCTTCAGTAGATGCAGAATAAATCATCCACAGGATGAGCTGCACAGGGTCTTCATCCGCTTCACTCATCACCCAGTCACTTTGTTTTATCTACATCACACCAGCCTCACTCCACCAGAGGCCCTGACCTGATGCCATCCCTTCTGCTTCAGCCCTCTTCCCTAAATGTTCCCATGGCCAGCACCTCCTGCTCTTTCAGGTCTTTGCCCACCTACCGATCTCTTAGGAATGCCACCCCATTAAATATCCCATTGAATACCTCACTTAAAGCTTGAAGCTCCTCCCACTTCATAATGCCCTGTAACTTCCCATCCCTCTCATCCTGCTCTGTTTTCCATAGGACTTACCATCTTCCCACTCACTATAAAATTCATTTATTATTTTATTTTTTTTCTGTACCCTCCCTAAATCTATATATGCTTTTCAAGGGTTTTTGTTCACTGACATGCCCCAAATACCTATTCCATGCCCAGGTATACAGTAGGTCCTCAATAGATAGTTATCACTCAAGAAAAGAACAAATAAAATATCTCATCTAAATGCAGTCTTACATAATGCAAGGCAATTGTTATAACCAAAAAATGTACTGCAAAGGGCTTTCACAATAACTCCTCCATCTGCACCTGTGCGCTATAGTCTCTATTCTTATATTGACCTTTAATAAGAGTGAGAAACTCTTCATGCTTGACTCGGTTCCTCTGGATGTCAATCTTTAGGGTAAGCAACAAGGTGAACAGGAATTTGTGCTCCTCGTACAGCCCTCGGGCAGCATACTTATAAACCTCGTAGGTCATGTGCTCGATGATATTAGCAATCCTCTTGCTTGTAATCGGGCTCTTGACAGACCTGGTGAATAGAATATTTAAATCAGGCTTATCCCACTGCCCTTTTCAATTGTCTGTAAAAACAATTGTCTTTAATGGAAAATAAGTAACTTTGGAGGAAGAATTCTTATTTTTACACATCAAGAGAAAGCCTCCTAAATCTAAAATAACAAGAATTCTCTCAACATGAAATAATATAACAGAATCCCGAATGTTGTCTAAATCAATTCTACCTGCAGGGCATCATCACTCACAACGATATCTTGGGAATTTTCTTGTTTAACAGAAACATACGAAGCCAAAGGAATCAAATCAATGGATAAATAGTTGGTAGAGTTTTCTCTGGGCATAAAATGGCAAATCAGAATGATTTGTTAACACATTGGTAATTACACTGATCTGAGATTTAAAAAAGAAAAAGACTCTTACTAACAAAGGAGAAGGAAGTTATAAATGTAATGTCATCATTTTAGTGCACAGATATAGAATTCAGCTTGGCTTCCCGCGTACAGACGTACCTGGCTAAGGAAAGGTCAAATAAGCCCAGAAACTGGCGAAGCGAAGTCTGATACATCTCATTAACCAAGCGCATCTCAGTAATGAGGAAGTAGAGGATGCTGCCCCGCGTAGCCACTGGAAGACAAAGAGCAAGGTTGCATGTGCTACGAGAGAGGAAAATAAATGATCCATGCAAAGAGATCAGCCTAAACTCTAAATGAAAACAACAACTTTTATTTTAGGCAGTGGCTGCCTACCAGATACGGGATACAAAGCGATATTCATTTATTAATATATTTATTATTTACAACATTTTGTAAGTAATCAACTATTTGTATTTATTAAATGGTACTTCTCATTTTAGAATCTCTAGACCCCTCGCAACAATATTTTACTATTTTTACTGCAGGTAGAAAAGACAATCAAAGAAATTTCAAAGGTTGTGTTAGTTTAACACCCAGCAAGCGAGGTAGCCATTAGGGACCTCATCCTTAAGTTCCAGGGAGAAGCCATGCCTAACCTGGGCTTCAAGTCTGCAAAACAAGCCATTGCAAAGATGATGCTTCTGCCTCTCTAACAATAAACGACACTTTAATTATTATTATTATTTTGTTGATACGGAGTTTTGCTCTTGTCCCCCAGGCTGGAGTACAGTGGCGTGATCTCGGCTCACTGCAACCTCCGCCTCCTGGGTTTAAGAGAGTCTCCTGCCTCAGCCTCCTGAGTAGCTGGGATTACAGGCGCCCACCACCATGCCTGGCTAATTTTTTTTTCTCTTATATTTTTAGTAGAAACAGAGTTTCACCATGTTATCCAGGCTGGTCTCATCATGTTGACCAGGCCTGTCTCACACTCCTGACCTCAGATGATCTGCCCACCTCAGCCTCCCAAAGTGCTGGGATTATAGTCATGAGCAACCATGCCCGGCCGATTATTTGTTAAGAGGAATAATAAAATACTAAAAGATAGCCGATCCAACTGAATTATTTAGCAGGTTTCTCTTGTACAAGGCCAATTTGCAAATTGGTGGCTGAGGATAAAAATCTCCCAAGAGACCACAGAACTACCTTCCTAACACAAAAACTATAAACAAAATACCAACATAGTGTTACCAAACGATAAATAACTGGTGCACTAATTCCTCAGATTTCCCTAATTTGTAGTCATCAGATTTTTTAAAATTCTCCTTCTTTACTTTCTAACATCAAAATAAGTTCATGAGAACCTTAAAGGATTTACCAACTAACATGAATGACAAGTACCCAGGAAATTTATACCATTATAAAAAATTTTTGACCTCCATTTTACGGAATATTTCCCAACAGAAATTCCACAAAACACCTCCACTTTGCATAATCATTTGTATAACTCCCTCACATCCTTCCATTTCTCTAATTCTCATTCCTCTCTCATTTCATTTTCCTGTGACATTTGTCTTTCATTACCAAACTCACCAGGTCTGTATTCCTCCCGGGCTGAGTTAATTTGAACTTCTGTCTCAGCAGAAATTTCTAGCTTCTGTGTCACCTCCTCGGCTGTCCTTTTTGTGTTACTCAGCACGACAATGAGACTTTCATCTTCTACCAGGGACCCCTGGGTACTTGTCAGGCGGTAAAGCAAGTTATCTTCTAGTTCCTTCATCCTTCTTTTGTTTGCAGTTACATCTTCCATCAGATGAGTTCTTTCTTTCTCCAATTCCTATTAATTTGCATAAATATATTTTCTACCTCAATTAACAACTCTTGTTGAGTATTCCTTAAGACGTTAACCTACATGGCTGCTTTGAAGCTCCCATACTGTATTTATCATAATCAACTGCAGGAAATATGGACATCAAAAAAGAAGGGCCGGGCGCAGGGGCTCACACCTGTAATCCCAGCACTTTGGGAGGCAGAGGCGGGTGGATCATTTGAAGTCGAAAGTTCGAGACTAGCCTGGTCAACATGGTAAAACCCCATCTCTACTAAAATACAAAAAAAAATAGCTGGGCGTGGTGGCGCATACCTGTAGTCCCAGCACTTTAGGAGGCAGAGGCGGGTGGATCATTTGAGGTCAGGAGTTTGAGACCAGCCTGGCCAACATAGTGAAAACCTGTCTCTACTAAAATACAAAAAAATTATCTGGGCATGGTGGCTCATGCCTGTAGTCCCAGCTGCTTGGGAAGCTGAAGCAGGAGAATCCCTTGAGCCAGGGAGGCAGAGGTTGCAGTGAGCTGAGATCATGCAACTGCACTCCAGCCTGGACAACAGAGTGAGACTCTAACATAAAATAAAATAAAAAATAAAATGTTAAAAAAAAAAAAAAGGAGGAGGAGAAGTAACAGAGGAAGGAAGAATAGGTGCCAAGCAACATGAAACCTGCAAAAAATACTACCAGCATCCCTTTAATCACCCATTTATTTTCTCAAGTCACATCAGTTTCAAGTGATTGCTGTGATTATATTTAATATTATATATATAAAATCTTCTTTTGAAGGGGAAATATATTTGAAGACAAAGATATATATCTCTGATTAAATAGGTTTACTTCTGTCTACTTTCTTAAGAGAGTTCCATTATTGTTTAAATGTGGTTATTTCAAACTTGCTAATTGAAAAAGTATCCAAGTCTGTGAAAAACTACTCTCCGAAATCTTAGGCAAGCAACTGAGCTGCAACTGTGAGCACGTTTAAATTGAAAAGTCTTCTTGGCCTGCTGTTCTCTCCAAAAGCAGAAAAGTTTTGCATCTTTTCTGAGGGAGCTTTGGAGACAGCTGGGAGAGTGAAGCCTTGGAAGACTATTATCCTTATTGGCCTTTTCTTCCTCTTGGCAGCTTGGAGAGGGAGAGACAGAGGAAGAGAAGGACAGAAAAGATGGAGGTGGTGGCAGGGGTGGGAGAAGGAGAAATACGTGTGACACCAAGCAAGCCACAGGAAGAGGAAGCCCAAAGGCAGGGAGACAAAACAGAAATATGCTTCTGGCACCAAGTCAAATTGTACATGGATATCAACTTGCTATATGAGAGACTCTATCTGTGATGCTAAAGAAAAGAATCAAAAATGGAAAGAACAATAAAATGATACGTACAAATTTAAAATGAAACTTATGTATTAGAGAGTTTATTTGAAGAGCTTCCTGGATGTGGAGTCCATTGACAATTTGCCTATGTTTAACTGCGTTTATAATGTACAATTCATTATAAGTAAAATACGGGGAAACCAGGGTTAAGTGCAGGTGACAAACAGCAAAATCACAGGAGCTTTACCTGTGATTTTGACAGTGCGTTTGACAGTTCTGACTGGACTCACGGCAGCTACCTGAACGTATGGTACCAAGCTCACATCTCTAGACCAGCTTCAGAAATCTACATTCTCAATTGGGTACTCTGGATATGACTCAGTAGGTGATATGGTTTGGCTCTGTGCCCCCACTCAAATCTCACCTTGAATTGTAATCCCCACAATCCCCAAGTGTCAAGGGTGGCACCAGGTAAAGGTAATGGGGTCATGAGGGCAGTTTCCCCCATGCTGTTCTCATAACAGTGAGTGAATTCTCACAAGATCTGATGGTTTTATCAGCATCTGGCACTTCCCCTGCTTGTACTCACTCTGTCTTGCCACCCTGTGAAGAAGGTCCCTGCTTCTCCTTTGCCTTCCGCCATGATTGTAAGTTTCCTGAGGCCTCCCCAGCCATGCAGAACTGTGAGTCAATTAAACCTCTTTCCTTTATAAATTACCCAGTCTCGGGTATTTCTTCATACCAGTGAGAGAATGGACTAATACAGTAGGTTTTATAGATTCTACTCCCTATTGAGAGAGCCAGAAATCTAGAGTGAGGCAGTGATGAATCATATGAAACCATATAAAACATAATGGACTATTCACTGATTACATGATTAATTACACAATTTACCTTTGTTATGATCCGGTATGCACACAGACATGGAGGGAAAGGAGAGGCCAGACCCAGCCCAAACCGTCACTGTTAACCATTACGCAAGTTCTTCCCTTTAGTGGCTCTTACAATTATTCATTTTTAGTACTTAGTTTATGCTTACGAGAAACTTATCCCCATACTACTCCATGAATTACATTTTGTTTTAAACAGTATCGCTATGCTGATGACTCCCAAGTTTATATCTCAGCTTCAGATCATACCTCCTTTCAACTCTCCACTTGGACATCTAAGAGACTTCTCCTACTTAGCACCATCAGCAAAACTAAACGTCTGATCCTCCCTTCAAACATGCTCAACCTCACCCTTCCACAGCCCAGCAAATGGCAACACTATTCTTCTAGATGCTCTGGCCAAAACCTTTGAACCCTGCTTGGTCACTTTCTTCTCCTCAAATTCAACAACAAATTCATTGGCAAGTTCTATGACCTCCACTTCAAAATGAGATTCAGAATCTAATCATTTCTCACTCCCTCCACTATCACCACCCTGGTTTAAACTATCATTGTCACCCCCCTCTAAATTAGGAGGTCTAAACAGGTCTCCCTACCCCAGCCTTACCCCCTGGTCTACTCCCAGCCCAGCAGTCAGAATGATGCTACTAAAACATACTTCCTCTCTCAAAACCCTCCAGTGGCCAATCTTTCCACTCAGAGTGAAAGGTAAAGACCTTACCAAGGCCTATAAGGCTCTACCAAGCTGCCCCCTCCTTCATTACTGCTGGGACTTCATTTCCTACTTTTCTCCCCTTTTTCACTTTGCTCTAGCCACGTTTGCTATTTCCTACATCAGTGGTTTTCAAATTTCAGTGCATTAGGATCACCTGGAAGGCTTGTGCTGTAGGCCTGGAACAGCATCTGGGAATTTGCACTTCTAATCCCATGTGATGTGATGCTGCTATTCCAGGAAACATGCTTTGAGACTCACTGTCTTAAACACACAAGGAACTCTCTTGCCTCAGGGCCTCTGCATTAGCTGCTGCTCTGTCAGGTCTGTTCTTCCAAATAACTCACTCTCTTCCCTTATTCAAGTCTTCCTCAAATGTCACATTCTCAGTAAGCCCCACTGTGACCACCCTCTTTAAAATGCTAGCCCACCAGCTGACTCCCCAGCTCTCCCGCTCACCAGTGTCTGTACCTTTTATGGCATTTACCACCTTCTAACATAATACATAAATTATTTATATGTTATGCTCCAGGGATAGTTTGGTCTGTTAGTCTATTTTGTTCATTGATAAATTCCTAAATTAGTGAAACAAAGCCTGGTACGTAGTAGGCACTCCATTAACACTGCAGATTGAATGATTAAATGTTGCATCTCTTTTCAAATTGATAAACTGAAACACACAGTGAACTGGAAAATCTAGTCTTTGTGCCAGAAATGCAGATGTGGAAATGCTCAATCTCTGAAAACCATGACATTAAAAATAAAGGAGGTGTTAACAAAACTGCATGAAGGCAAACAGCAAAGACCCCTGGCCTCTGCTTTATGTTTCAGCCAGTTAATCACCACTGATTGAATGGTTATAGTTGGTAAGACCCCACCAGACTCACAACTCATGCTCTGAGCACAGTGAATCAGGTCTGCGGACATTCGAGGAAAGGAAGAATTCCCTCTTTAAGCAAAACAGAAGTTCAGGTTTTGTGTCAATTCTTAATTCTTTAAGATGTAGCAACTCAAGCAAAACTTGCTCTTATCATCTTTGTTTCCATCTGTTATCTGGTTACAGATGAAAGCTCCCTTAGTGGTTATTTCAATTCATTGATTCACTAGATGAGAATTTCAAATTTCAGAAAATGTAGAAATTAGTACAAACAAGTGACATTTAATGGCTGCTATAAAATTAATTTCCATAAGCAGTTATAATAAAAGCCCTCACATTACGGTTGTACTAGGAAATAAAAGTGATAATGAAAATTCAAACAATTTTTATTGCCATATTTATAAATTTCACACACTATCACTATCATTTCTGAGTTCCAGAGGGTGAGCATTTAAAGGTCTTCACCTGAAGACAGGTAAGGGAAGAAAAGTAAAGCAGTAGAAAGAGTGATGGTTTTGACATCAGGAAGACATATGTTTGAATTACAGCTCTCAAAACCCTTCAGCCACTTGACATTTGCCATGTTTTAAAACTCTGCAAGCCTCAGTATTTTCATCCACAAAATGTATGTAAAAACTGCTCATAGGATTATGGTGAAGATATCACCAGTAATGCAGCTAAAGTAGTGGCTGGATTATGATAACTGCTCAAAATGTCTCTTCCCTTCCATCTTCTCCCTTGATTCATTTCTGGCCAAATTTTCAGAAGCATGATAATGCTTATTGTAAAAATAAGTAGTTTGAAAAATCAAGTTGAAATGTGGCACAAAGTAAATGATAAATGATACTTTGAATTTCACATATTATCATAAAAGTGCATAATAAAGTAGCTGAAAAGGGATAAGAAAGGAGAACTTAGAATGATAAGGACAAATACTTTTGTTTCAACTGGGAATGAGAGCATGGACTATCAAACTCAAAAGCAGAACCAGGTCTTATCAATTCTTGCTGCACAAAAACTTTTACCTTTCTGCCCATTTTTTCAACCACATAACCACTGCCCTACTTGAGAATTTACTTGTCATTCATGGACTACTCTAACAAAACTGGTCTTCCTGCTGACCCTTTTCCACTCACAGTCACTCAGGAGATCTCCCTTACCTATTTTGAAAGGTCCAAAAATTCTCAATATAGTTGGCAAAACCTGTCACAATCTACTTTTCTAATCTTATTTCTACTTGAGAACTATGAATTGGGGTTAAAATCATGCCTCCATGTTGCTTATGAAACAAATATTAATAAAATAAACATAGTAACGATGTATACAATCAGTGGCAAACCATTCAATTCTTGATAAAGCAAAAATAGTAACTAAAAAGATTGAACATTATTGAGATGGCTGTAGTCAATTTAATATCATTGTTAACAAATTTGTCGATTAAAGCAATTGCCTATATTCCCAAAGGATTAAAATAAATCTAAGTACATTTCCCCAAAGTTTGAAACGGATGAAAATAAAATATACTAAGTAAACAGTATAATTGAAAATACTATTTGGAATCCCAAAAGCAATCTGTATATTAAATAGAAACAAGTGGCCAAATACTTGGGCTCTAGAAAGTTATTGGCAAAAGAAAGTTTATCTGAGAAAAAAAAATAGAACAATTGTTGCTTGGTTTTTGTTCAAGGTTAAAAGATTGAAAACCTACTTATGGATATGGTTATAGGCATATTTTCATTTATATGGCTGATTTAAACATTTGTATTAAACAATTACTTTCATTCCACCAATTCATAAGAAGAAGGTAAGACTTTTTCAGATTAATATGATGAGGCAAAATTAATCACAATAATTTTATCCATAAGTCTCCTTCCCACCAAAGGGATTATCTCTTAGCAGGCAGATAGATATATTGATAGATAGGTAGGTAGATAGAGAGATAGATGATAGATAAAAGTAAAGATTTGTGCTAAGTGTTCTATATAAATTCTAAGGCTACAATGTAAAATTCTTATATAAACTGTGATATATTCCAAAGGGAATTTTAAAAGTAAGAAATAGATCAAAGATCTAAAAGTAAGACCTGAAACTATAAAACTACTAGAAGAAAACATAAAGGAAATGCTTCAGGACACTGGTCTGGGAAAAGATTCTATGAATAACACCACAAAAGCACAGGCAACAAACGCCAAAATAAACAAATGGGGTTATACCAAAAAGCTTCTGCACAGCAAAGGAAACAATCAACAGAGTGAAAAGATAACTTATGAAATGGAAGCAGTTACAAACTATTTATCTAAGAGGGGATTAACATCCAGAACATACAAGGAACTCAAACATCTCAACAGAAAAAAAATCAATTAAAAAATGGGCAAATTATCTGAACAGACATGTCTCAAAAGACATAAAAATGGCCAAGAAATATATGAAAAAATTCTCAACATCATTAATGGTCGGGGAAATGCAAATCAAAACCAAAATGACATATCATCTCACCCCAGCTGGGTTGGCGATTATCAAAAAGTCAAAAAATAACAAATGCTGATGAAGATGCAGAGAAAAGGGAACTGTTAAACACTGTGTGTGGGAATGTAAACTAGAACAACCACTATGGAGAACAGTATGGAAGTTCCTCAAAAAAGTACACACATGGATACACACACTGAAACAAATAGAACTACCACATGATCCATCAATCCCACCACTGGGCATTTATTCAAAGGAAAGGAAATCAGTGTATCGAAGGCATGTCTGCATCCCCATGTTTACTGCAGCACTATGCACAATTGACAAGATATGGAATTAACCTAGGTGCCCAACAACAGATGAATGGATGAAGAAAATGTGGTATACATACACAATGGAATACTATTCAGCAATAAAAAAGAATAAAATCCTGTCATTCACAGCACCATGGATGGAACTGGAGGTCATTATGCTAAGTGAAATAAGCTAGGAACAGAAAGTAAAACACTACATATTCTCACTCACATATGTAAGCTAAAAAAAAAATGTTGATCTCATAGAAGTGAAAAGTAGAACAGAGGATACTAGAGGCTGGGAAGGGTAGGGGAAAGGGTGAGAGAGGGAGAGATTTGTTAAGATACAAAATTACAGCTAGATAGGACAAATAAGTTATAGTGTTTTATAGCATTACAGGATGACTGTACTTAATGATTATATTATATAATTTCAAATAGTTCGAAGGAGAATATTGAATGTTCCCAACATACAGAAATGATCAATGTTTGAGATGATGGATATGCTAATTACCCCAATCTGATCACTATACATTATATTATGGAAATATCACTATGTACCCCATAAACATGTACAATTACTATATGTCAATTAAAAATAAAATAAAAATTTACACGTACAGGGTGGTTTGGTAAAATTTCGTGAACATAGCATTTGTTAATTAAATGATTTTTTACTGTAAGTAGCTTAACAAAGAAGCAAATGAAAACTAAACTTATTTGTGTACTTAAACTGCATTTATAACCAAAGTTTTGAAATCAGTAAAAGACAAACGGCAGCCAGAGTTCTCATTCTTAAAGGTATCACACAGCCTCCATTACCAAATATTATTTCTCTTTTGTACTTTACACTAGTAACCAAAATAGAAAGATTAAACAAGAGAACTCAGAAAGAGATTTCTTTTTCCCCCACCACCAGTGAGCTGGTGATAACGATGTCTGTTTAATGTCCTTCTTAAATTACTTCCCATGTCAGTTTCACCAAGTTCAGGTACTTGCACCTCAAAAGGAAATCACACACCTGTTTGTTCATCCAGAATTCTGAACAATGATGATCCCTGAGGCCTTGTATTGTGTGACCAGCAGGAGCTATTGATCAACATTGGCATTTTTCTCCCAATGGAACATAGATTTTTTTTAAGTTTCCATTTTATTCTCTATGATCAAAGTGAGAGTGAGTCTAAGAGATTTGGTTTCTATAAAGGAAGGTTGTTGTAGGCCTACAACATGTTCAAAATGGTCTAGATACATCACCTTCTGGTAATAGCAGCAGAATGTCCAAATCTACTCACAGGTGCATCAGATAAACAATTGGATATAGGCTTGATGTGAATTTGAACAGCACATGCATTTAAAATGACTGTTTTGAAGCACACAGAAAGTATAACTCTGTTAAAATTCATGCTTCCTTGCATCCATACGCTCTAAGGTTTACACGTGTTTCTGAAGCAAACAAACCTGAAGGTCTAGCAGATATACAACTGAACATTCATGAGACCCGATTATGTGTGATAATAAGGTCCCTCATTGCCTCTGTATCCCTAGGACACAGAACAGCTGATGAATTTTTGGAGTCAAAGATTTGTCTTTCCCTTGCATGATCAATTACTGTTCAGAGTCTCCTTTCACAAGACGAATCAACAAACCTATGAAGTCATGACTCATCCCCACTGAAGAGATTCAGCCTCTGTTTCAGCCCCACATTCCTTAGATGGTTTCCAACATCAACTTCCTATTCTGTTTGGGATATCCTATCCCTTCCTGTGTGTAATCTTCCTAACGTCAACAGCTCTCCTTAAATCAATAAAATTTCAAATTGATATTTTATATTTATAATCACCCAAGAAGTGAGATTATAGTCAAAGACACTGCATTGTCACTGAAGTCAAAGGAATAATTTGGACTGTATTTTTTATGATTTCATTTATTTTTTACTTTATTTTCCATTACTTTAAAAAAGATTGAATCTTAATACAATTAACATAATTACTTCTTTGACTTATAAGACAACATAAAAATAGTTTTCATATAACATCAATATTACTGAAAAAACTTAAAGTTTAAAATACCTTATTTCTTTTTATTCTTAGAACACTTTTACTAAGGAAATGAGTCAAACTTCTCTGTTAAAAAGCCACTGAGAGCAATTCTTTCTGTGTGTAATGATGTTTGCAGTTTGGAGAAGCTCTTACTAGGACAATGCTGTGGAGAGAGAGGATGGGTTGAGACAGCTTCCTGGGAGGAGACCTGTGCTCAGTCTCTAATCATGTTCACCTAGAATCCAGAAGCTTCAGGTTGCTGCTTCTATTAACAGGTGAACTCAAATCTATTTGTTAGGTTACTAAATTTGTGGAATTACAGAAGGCCCTGAGTTTATTATACCTAAGGGTGATATCTGAATGCATGAAAGAGGGAGGACAGGCCAACACACGGTTTGCAACTGTGCACTACAGATCCCTGGGCACCTGGCCTGTTAGTAAGAGAAGTCAGAATTTCCACAGGCCTATGAAGCATCATATCTTGGGTGAATAACTAATATGTATCACTATATTTATGGGGTAGTGACTCTTAAACCCTCTTATTTTAAAATTAAGATTTACAACAGGTAGGATATGAAATATGGGAGGCAATTAGTATTAACAGCAAATATTTGATTCAGGTTGAGTTTCTCCCAAGTGAGAGAAAAGATTGGCAGGCAATACGCTCATGACTCTGTTAAGCAAACAGGCTTGATCCATTTTCTTTTACCCTTGGCTCATTTTTTTTCTATAAAATATCAATAATTGTCCTTTGAATAAATTTCTAGCAGAAACAACTTGAGAAAGTTTAAAACTATGTACTATCCTTGTTTTTTTTTAATATATATTTTTATTATACTTTAAGTTCTAGGGTACATGTGCACAACGTGCAGGTTTGTTACATATGTATACATGTGCCATGTTGGTGTGCTGCACCCATTAACTCGTCATTTACATTAGCTATATCTCCTAATGCTATCCCTCCCCTCTCCCCCCACCCCACAACAGGCCCCAGTGTGTGAAGTTCCCCTTCCTGTGTCCAAGTGTTCTCATTGTTCAATTCCCACCTACGAGTGAGAACATGCGGTGTTTGGTTTTTTGTCCTTGCGATAGTTTGCTGAGAATGATGGTTTCCAGCTTCATCCATGTCCCTACAAAGGACATGAACTCATCCTTTTTTACGGCTGCATAGTATTCCATGGTGTATATGTGCCATGTTTTCTTAATCCAGTCTATCATTGTTGGACATTTGGTTTGGTTCCAAGTCTTTGCTATTGTGAATAGTGCCGCAATAAACATACGTGTGCATGTATCTTTATAGCAGCATGATTTATAATCCTTTGGGTATATACCCAGTAATGGGATGGCAGGGTCAAATGGTATTTCTAGTTCTAGATCCCTGAGGAATCGCCACACTGTCTTCCACAATGGTTGAACTAGTTTACAGTCCCACCAACAGTGTAAAAGTATTCCTATTTCTCCACATCCTCTCCAGCATGTTGCTTCCTGACTTTTTAATGATCGCCATTCTAACTGGTGTGAGATGGTATCTCATTGTGGTTTTGATTTGCATTTCTCTGATGGTCAGTGATGATGAGCATTTTTTCATGTGTCTGTTGGCTGCATAAATGTCTTCTTTTGAGAAGTGTCTGTTCATATCCTTCGCCCGCTTGTTGATGGGGTTGTTTTTTTCTTGTAAATTTCTTTGAGTTCTTTGTAGATTCTGGATATTAGCCCTTTGTCAGATGAGTAGATTGCAAAAATGTTCTCCCATTCTGTAGGTTGCCTGTTCACTCTGATGGTAGTTTCTTTTGCTGTGCAGAAGCTCTTTAGTTTTGTCAATTTTGTCAATTTTGGCTTTTGTTGCCATTGCTTTTGGTGTTTTAGTCATGAAGTCCTTGCCCATGCCTATGTCCTGAATGGTATTGCCTAGGTTTTCTTCTAGGGTTTTTATAGTTTTAGGTCTAACATTGAAGTCTTTAATCCATCTTGAATTAATTTTTGTATAAGATGTAAGGAAGGGATCCAGTTTCAGCTTTCTACAGATGGCTAGCCAGTTTTCCCAGCACCATTTGTTAAATAGGGAATCCTTTCCCCATTGCTTGTTTTTCTCAGGTTTGTCAAAGATCAGATAGTTGTAGATGTGTGGTATTATTTCTGAGGGTTCTGTTCTGTTCCATTGGTCTGTATCTCTGTTTTGGTACCAGTACCATGCTGTTTTCGTTACTATAACCTTGTAGTATGTTTGAAGTCAGGTAGCGTGATGCCTCCAGCTTTGTTCTTTTGGCTTAGGATTGTCTTGGCAATGTGGGCTCTTTTTTTGGTTCCATATGAACTTTAAAGTAGTTTTTTCCAATTCTGTGAAGAAAGTCATTGGTAGCTTGATGGGGATGGCATTGAATCTATAAATTACTTTGGGCAGTATGGCCATTTTCACGATATTGATTCTTCCTATCCATGAGCATGGAATGTTCTTCCATTTGTTTGTATCCTCTTTTATTTCGTTTAGCAGTGGTTTGTAGTTCTCCTTGAAGAGGTCCTTCATATCCCTTGTAAGTTGGATTCCCAGGTATTCTATTCTCTTTGAAGCAATTGTGAATGGGAGTTCACTCATGATTTGGCTCTCTGTTTGCCTGTTATTGGTGTATAAGAATGCTTGTGATTTTTGCACATTGCTTTTGTATCCTGAGACTTTGCTTAAGTTGCTTATCAGCTTAAGGAGATTTTGGGCTGAGACAATGGGGTTTTCTAGATATACAATCATGTCATCTGCAAACAGGGACAATTTGACTTCCTCTTTTCCTAATTGAATACCCTTTATTTCTTTCTCCTGCTTGATTGCCCTGGCCAGAACTGATATATCTGTGTTCATAAGGCACACATAAGACTCTTTCCAATTGAGTAACTAGATTGTAGGAAATGACCCAAAAGCAGCAGGGATCAACTCAGACCCATCTGCACCACCCAGACTGAGAAGGTCCAGCAGTGTTAGCAGATTCAGGAATATGCTGGGAAGTGAAGAAGCTGCAAAAGTAAAAGCCTCTTAGAACAAGCATACTGCTGAAAATCCATGAAAATGAAGCCCAGCAGCTCACTTCTTCTATCACAAGACCTCATTTTGGGAACAAAATAAATAAAGGTTAGGCGTTATAATGCTGTTCACATTATAAAAGAAAACGAGTGTCTGTTATTATGAAAGAAAAAAAATGAGTGTCACATTATTCTGGCTGATCATTTTGTAAGAATTATTTACTGTGAGCCCAGAACAGATTCTGATAATGAGATAATATTAAAGGAGTAATTCTCTCAAGACACTCAATTTTCCTAAGAAGTAAGAAAAAGCCTGGTCCTGCATCCATACTGGCTTTTCAGGGCTGCTCCAAGTGTTTTCAAATGAGCTTAACAAGCTCCTTATTTCATCTTAAACCTCTGCTACAGGAATTAAGGCCCAGTGATGGGCTTATTTTTGTTTTTGTTGTTGCTGTTGCTGTTGTTGTGTTTTGCTGCAATCCAAGTCTGTCAGATCAAATTATTTGTTCCAAGGAGACTGTATTCATTCAGTTGAATATAAGAAAACCAAGGACAAGAATATTATTCAAACTGCCATCAGGGCCCCTTATCTCCATGAAGCCAAGGCTACAGGTGGAAGGAGAGTCTCAAATACCAGTGACAGAGGTGGCCCAAAAGACCCTCAGGAACTTCCACTTGCTCCAGGTCACATGCTATTGCTCAAGAATCCCAGTCCCGCCTGAAGTAATTACATGACAATGCTAAATTTCCTTCACCACCTCTATTGAGATTTAACTCGGGACTCAAAAACTAAGCAAGTACATATTTTGAAGGCGGTCATTACCACAACAGCAACCCAGTGGCAGGAACCAGAATCAGTATCTGCCATTCTGAGATCACTCAACCATGCGATTTATGAAGCTGGATTAAATGCTCCTAATGCAGCTTCCAACTTTATGACTCTGTGATTCATGTGCTATAAATTAACAATAATGTTCAGGAAAAGGGAAGGGAGAGAGAAGGGGAGGAAGTGGAGGAGAAAGAGATAGACATGTGGTAGGGCTCAGACGGGCAAGCACCGTACAACACACAGAAAAGGTACAGACAAGGGGAGGGACAGACCCCAAAGACTTTGCTGACTGTATTAACATAAATAATCTTCAGGTCAGCGTAGAAGGTGCCATAAAGTTAACTAAATTCCTCATTATTATCGAACCCAGGAGGAAATCAATAGCAATGTTAAGAGTTCGTGCAGTTTCACCATAACATTCCCATTAAAATCTTCCACGTTTCTTTGCTGAAGCCTCACATACTCCCTAAAGAAAATGCTCACTCGAAAGAAGGAAGTTTACAAATGTGTGCCCATTTTTCATTGAGCATTAAGTTATTCCATAAAACAGAAGTAAAGAAGGCAGACATGGAGTTATGTTTCATTAGCATAATTAAGTCAGTAGCCTTCAAAAGTTACAGAGTGAAACTCAGGTGGCACAAACTTCTGTCTTCTCACATCAGATCCCATCAGGACATACTACAGGGCTCTCTTAGATCACAAATGAGAACTGACAATGTTGTTTGTTATGAGTACAAAGTTCTAATTTTATATTCTAAAAGCATAATAATGAATCAAATGAAAGAAAAACCTAGATGTGTACTAGAAAATTAAAAGTCAACAGATGAGTTGAATTCATAATAGAACACACTTTTCAGAACAATCAAGTAATTTAAGAACAAAGTAATGATGCTGAAAATGAGACTGATTCCTCGTAGTTTCATCATCAGTCTGTATAAAGGCAATCGATGACATACGTAATTTATGAGACATTTGTGAAACATATGAGTAGATGACTGGTTAATAATTTCCTTTAGGAAAAAAAGAAAACACTTGGAGATTAATGGAAAAAAACACAGGGAATAAAAGGAGAGAAACTCAGTCCTATTACAACTGTTATTATCTTATTTTTGTCAATGAAATATGACATTAAAGCAATGCAGAATGGGAGGGAGCCACACTTCACTCACCTGCTTCTCTGTGAGAATGACCCTCCCCAGTAACTGATCTTCTAGACCTTTCATGGTGACAGTGAAGTCAATGATGGAGGTACGGGCACTTATCTCAGGGGTGTAGGCTGGGTTAGGCAATTTGGTGGTAATGTAGAGTCTAAAGCCATCCAACACATCTACTTCCTTGTCACCAACTTTCACCTTTTTTATAAAAAGAAATTTAAAAGTAATAAAATAGAGATATACCTTACTGTGTCTTTTTTGTATCAGATCAAGTATTGTTTTAAATAATTACATAATTGGAGATCATTTGTATACTAAAAAAGAAATGGTCATGAGGCGTCTGCACAGCTTCAGACAACTAGGATGAAAGAAAGGAAGCAAAGAAGGATGGGAGGAAGAAACATATATATACACACATATATATAATGGACTGAATATAGAATTTAACACCAAAATTGTTATGATCACATTGCAGGAGTGAGATGGATCCCTTACCCAAAATTCAGTTCACAGGTTGAGACTGATGATGCTACACATGCACCGAAAGAGTATAAAAAGGTTTATTACTCACTTGATAAGATTTTGGGAGAGATCAGAGCAGGTTCCCAAACAGGTCCCAAAAACCGGCTTGAGAGAGCAGGGAGGGGCAGCTGCTCTAGGGCTTTGTGGTGTTTAGGGGGTAGAGCTGGGGTGAGGGTTCCCATACATAGGTGTGGACAGGGGATTGCATGGTTTGAATTTCAACCTGTGCCAAAGCAGGGGGCACCCAGGTTTTATCAGCTTGCCCAGATGTGGGTGGGGCAGAAGGGGAGAGGGGCATGGAGAGGCTTCAAAGCTGTCAGCATCAAATGCAGTCAGACCCTTTTCACATTACAAAAGTGAAGTCAATACTCCTAAAAGGCTTGCTCCTGGATATTTTAATCCAAAGTCAAGAAGTGTAGAAGAGAAAAACAAACCTTTCCCAAGGACTCAAATTTAAGTTGTTGCCTATTGAGAGAATTCTATCTGTGTCACATTGACCTGGCCTCATGGTAATTGTTCTGCACATTGTCATCCATAGGTTTAACCTACCTTAAAGGTAGACCCAGTTTTAATGAAGTTTCTTTCCAAAACATTATCTAGTGCTGGATCTAGTTCCTCTCCAACATCTTCAATAAGCAAAGGCCTTCCAAGAGAAAGGCTGTCTTCCAGGTGGTTTCTGAAGTACTTGTGATTTAAAGACGTGATCTAGGAACAGGATCACAAGGTTGCTATTGGCAGACATTACCATGAAGCAATGCACAGGGATAACTGTTTTCAAATGAAGCCTAAAGCATTCTACTGCAAGAGACAAATACAAATTGAGCATCCAAAATGTTCCCAAATACAAAACTTGTTGAGAGCCCACATGATGCCCACAGTGGAAAATTCCACACCTGACCCCTATGCTTTCTGATGGTTGAATGTACACAAACTTTGTTTCATGCATAAAATTGTTTAAAATATTGTATAAAATTACCTTCAAATATATGAAGAAGGTGTATATGAAACATAAATGAATTTCGTGTTCTGACTTGGGTCCCATCCTCAAGTTATCTCATTATGTACATGCAAATATTCCAAAATCTAAAATCTGAAACACTTCGGATCCCAAGTATTTAGGATAAGGGGCATTCAACTTTCATATAGATTTTTAGAGATCCTTGGCTTTGAAACCCACACTTGGTGAAATTGTAAAGAAGTGTAACTGTTTCCATTGTTGTTTAACAAACTATCATTTTGTTTTATTGGGAAGCATGTAAAGGCTCTGTGTGGGAACAATGTTTTTTCTTCACCACTACCACTTTTGTGACAAATAATAATGTAATAATTAGGAAGTATTCATGCAAAGTGCTGCACACTTTGTGTGATACAGCTCTGCCGTTCTGTACTTATCAAAGAGAGCCCTGGACCCTGACAGAATAGCCTGAAACCATTGAAAGATGGCATTGGTAGAGATCAACACAAATGCAAATAATGAAAGTTTTAGAAAATATTTTTATATTAGATTTAAGCTTGCATCTGCTACTGCTCTACCTAGGATTACAAAAACATCTCTAGTGTTTTCAAATATTTCTTTACTCTTGGATTTTTGTTTATCTGAGGCAATAAAACTTAACCGGTAGCATAAACATACTAAAACACAAATTACCTGGAGTTCATTTCGGCTTTCTTTATTTTTAATCCAGATCTTGCCTTGAGTCTGTGGATCAATTAACAAAGGGTAACGAGATGCCTTCGTGACAATAATTCCATTTTGAATGGACAAGTCATCATTTGGCAGACCTTGGAGGTTCCATTCACTAATAGTAGGAGCATCAATCAACATCTCACTGAGATTTAGGTTCTTTCCAAATGGAATTTTCCGGGCTTTCATTTCCTTCCGCCAGTCATTTAACAGAAGATCACGAAACTCTTGGTTAAATGGACCAGAATAAGATAGAAAAGCTGTAGCCAACAGTACATCCCCTAAAATAGAAAACAAACACCATTGAAATACTTTACGTTCATCCGTGTGATTGTACAGCATATTAAAAATGAAAAAAATTAAAAAGACAATAATTCTTTTAAACTAAATTCCACAAATCAAACTGGAGGCACAAGTGGCTGTGCTGGTGAATAAGCAGTAGTCTGGTTTATTAGTCAATAAGGTCCAAGTGGCCTACCAAGTGATACCTACTAGCAGTCAAGCACTGGATTATCTTTACTCTCATTAGAAGTGAAAAGATGACCTCTAAGTTTAAGAGAATAAAACCTCATAAGACAGAGCCTTCATTAAATGTGACCTTCATCAATATACCCATGCACTCACAGAATTCTAAAGTGACCTGATAATAAAAGGCATAAAGGTCGTTAACACATCTAATAAGGACAGCATAGATGCCAGAACAATGTCTCTTTCTCTGAAATGGCTGGAGGCACACACACACACACAGGAATTTTTTTTTAATTTTATTATTATTATACTTTAAGTTTTAGGGTACATGCGCACAATGTGCGGGTTTGTTACATATGTATACATGCGCCATGTTGGACACACAAAGGAATTTGATTAAAGTATAAGCTTTCGAATTCCCTATCACAGTCAACACACAATCTCATTAATAAAGAAATTTACATACCTACAAGTCTTTTAGTTTGTGCAGCAAACTCTTGGCTTTGCTCTGTCCATCTTTCTTTTTCACCTGCCAAGCCACTGATGAGCGTGGAAGCTGTCTGCATCTTGTGTCTGCATCGCTCTGCATCTTCAAGCAAGGTCTAACAAAGGTCATAATCACAAGAAAGCTTTTACTGAAATAAACATAGCCACTGGCTCAAAAATATAATTGTAGAACACGCCATATTATCTGCCTTCCTGAGACATGTGAGCCATTACTTCACAAGAAGCATGAGATTCTATTTCCATGTGTCTGTCAGCCCAGTCCTCTCTCCTTTGCCCTGTCCTCTCTCTTATCCCCTGCCCATGGAACTTGGCTGGATAGAGTTTCGCTCTTGTTACCCAGGCTGCAGTGCAATGGCATGACCTTAGCTCACTGCAACCTCTGCCTCCCGGGTTCAAGTGATTCTCCTGCCTCAGCCTCCCAAGTAGCTGGGATTACAAGCATACGCCACCACACCCCGCTAATTTTGTATTTTTAGTAGAGATGGGGTTTCTCCATGTTGGTCAGGCTGGTCTCAAGCTCCCAACCTCAGGTGATCCGCCAACCTAAGCCTCCCAAAGTGCTGGGATTACAGATATGAGCCACCGCACCTGACCAGTGCTTAGTTCTTAAAAACAAATGGTTCCGGTGGCTCACACCTGTAATCTCAGTACTTTGGAAGGCTGCGAGGTGGGCGGATCACTTGAGGTCAGGAGTTCAAGACCAGCCTGACCAACATGGTGAAACCCCATCTCTGCTAAAAATACAAAAATTAGCTGGGCGTGGTGGCAGGAACCTGTAATCCCAGCTACTTGGGAGGCTAAGGCAGGAGAATCACTTGAACCTGGGAGGTGGAGATTGCAGTGAGCCAAGATCGTGCCACTCAAATCCGCTCAAAAAAACACAAAAAGCAAAAAACAAATGGCTCTGTTTCTTAGTGTTTAAGCAACAATTGCTTATTCTACTTGTAAAAATCTAAACTTATGAAATAAAATGGGTATGTACAAAGGTGTAGCTACCTGACAAGTCACTGGGTGTTCAAATATATATACACATGCTAAATGTCTAACAATAGAGGATTATTTAAATAAATTATAGTGTATCCATGAATAAGAATACTCTGAAGCCATAAAAAAATCCTATAAAAATTTTTATGACCAAGAAAGCAGATCACAATATATTGTTAAAAATTCGATTTATAAAATGGCATTTCTAAATTATCAGTTATGTTGAGTTCAAAATGCATCTGAAAGGCATATATTATGATATGAATAATAACAGAATATGATTAATGTTCATCTCCAGGGTTACCTGTATTTTGTATAGAGACATGAATTGCTTTTGTAATAATAACACATTACAGTGTTTTTCAAAAGCAAGATATTTATTCCACTTCGTCCTAATCTATTTTCTTCCTCTGGAGTTAAGGCAAAAAAACTAACAGTCCATCGGAGAGAACCATCCCCCAACTACGGCTACTCACATCTGTTTGTTTCCCTCAAGAGGGAAGGTGCCAGCTGGGAAGGACAATCCTACATTGTTTATTAGAAAAAAAAAACTTTTTATTTGTAACATACTTTTAATATTGATTTGCTTTCTCTAAATTCTGCAATCCCAATTCCATCAGCCAAATCAGAAAATGACCAGTCCTCTCCCTTTCTGGCTTTTGTTTTCTGGAAGCCCAGGCTTCTTTGGGGGATTACAATTTGGGAGAAGAGAAAGGAGTAAATGTTGACAATGCAAGAGAAAGAAAGCCGTAAGTTCCGTGAGTTCCCCCCAGCCTGTTGAGGGGAGCACACGGGACTTACTGGGTTCCCTGAGTAGTACCCCCCTCCTCAGGCCCACTCTCTCATAGGTCCCAGAGAGGTGACTGGCTCTCCAGCAGGCCTAGGCAAGCTGAACCCTAGGCAAAGGCACTGGATTCTGCATGGGGCACAGCCAGGACACACTCTCCTTCAATGGGCCATGCAGGCCTGGGCCATGGTGAACTGCAGATTGGAACCCTTCTGCTTTCTGGGAGGCCCACAAACCCCTGGACTTTCATGGAGTCCTATGGAGGGAGAAGAGCAACAAAAATGACTGAAGATCAAGTTCAGAAGTTGGTTGTAGGTATGCCCAGATTTTTTTTTAATACGGAATTTGACATTTGTTGAAATTCAAGTTTTAGAGTTAGAGCCATGATGTTACAGTTCTTCTGTGGTCCCATGATTATTTACCTAACAAATAGCAGATGCTCAAAAACAATAAAGCTTGCTGAATGAGTTAAGGTAAAAATGTTAAAATGTACACATAATAAAGTGAGAAGGTAAAGTATTTTCACTGTGTTCAGTAGAGCTTCCTGATACAAATGAGCATCCAAAATGGTAGAAATTAACACTCCTTCCAAAGTAGATTCTTTCAGACTGCCATAATGTTTTCCATACATAAGTGAATTTTATGAGGCATAAGTATATAAACCCAGATAAGTGTTACTTCTTTTTTATAATTTCATTTTCATTTTCAGTTCAGGGGTATGTGTACAGGTTTGTTATATAAGTAAACTTGTGTCATGGGGGTTTGTTGTGAAGATTTTTTCATCACCCAGGTATTAAGCCTAGTACTTGTCAGTTATTTTTCCTGATCCTCTCCCTCTTCCCATCCTCCACCCTCCAGTAGGCCCCAGTGTGTGTTGTTTCCGTCTATGTGTCCATGTGTTCTCATCATTTAGCTCCCACTTATAAGTGAAAACATGTGGCATTTGGTTTTTCAGTTCCTGTGTTAGTTTGCTAAGGATAATGGCCTCCAGTTCCATCTAGGTTCCTGAAAGGACACAATCTCATTCTTTTTTATAGCTGCGTGGTATTCCATGGTGTACATGTACCACATTTTCTTTATCCAGTCTACCACTGTTGAACATTTAAGTTGATTCCATGTCTTTGCTATTGTGAACAGGGCAGCAATGAACATATTCACACAGGTGGCTTTATAACAGAACGATTTATATTCCTTTGGGTATATATCAAGTAATGGGATTGCTGGGTCAATGGTATTTCTGTTTTTACGTCTTTGAGGAATTGCCACACTATCTACCAGAATGGTTGAACTAACTTACACTCTGACCAGCAGTGTATAAGCATTCTTTTTCTCCGCAATCTCACCAGCATCTGTTGTTTTTTGACTTTTTAATAATAGCCATTCTGACTGGTGTGAGATGGTAACTGATTGTGGTTTTGATGTGCATTTCTCTAGTGATCAGTGATACTGAGCTTGTTTTCATATGATTGTTGGCCGCATGTATGTCTTTTTTTGAAAAGTGTCTGTTGTAAAGAAAGCAAAAACTGACAAATGGGATCTAATTAAAATAAAAAGCTTCTGCACAGTAAAAGAAACTATCCACAGAGTGAAGAGACAACCTCTAGAATGGGAGAAAATTATTGCAAAATATGGATCTGAAAAAATCTTAATATCCAGGATCTATAAGGAACTTAAAGAAATTCACAATTTAAAAAAAATCTCATTAAAAGTGGGCAAAGGACATGAACAGACATTTTTCAAAAGTGCTACTTCTTTAAAGCTTCCAAAAGCATTTACTTTGCTTGTGGAAGACTTATCTTTAAGACATTATATCATACATTCTGCAGATATTGAAACTGAAATGTTTATCTAAACTCTTTTATTGGGACCCCTACAAAACTAACAAGGCAGGAATTTCAATTCGGCCAAGTAAAGGCTGAGAAGGGGTAGAGGTGAATTTCATAAAATTATCAAGGTAAAACAGAGTGAATCTAGCTATTATTTACCAAATATTGGATTTATCAGAGGCAGATACAGATTTTATTAAGCCAAAAGCTTATATACTCTAGAGAGACCACTTTGTAAAAAAAAAAAATCAGTATGTATTTAAAGTAAAAAAAAAAAAGTGACAAGATCCTGGTTACTTAGAAACTCAGGTACTTTTCCTCTGTGATCTCTTTAGGCATTTGACTTGAATGCTCTAAAGTGAGAACAAAGATAGGTAAGGCACTAGGGTGCCTTGGCTCACACCTGTAATCCCAACCTTTGGGAGGCCGAGGCAGGTGTATCACTTGAGCTCAGGAGTTCGAGACCAGCCTGGGCAATATGGTGAAAACTTGTCTCTACAAAAAATTAGCCAGGCATGGTGGTGCATGTCTGTAGTCCCAGCTACTTGGGAGGCTGAGGTGGAATGATCACTTAACCCCAGGAATTCAAGGCTGCAGTGAGCCATGATCATGCCATTGCACTCCAGCCTGGACGACAGAGCAATACTTTGTCTAAATAAATAAATAAATAAATAAACCCACCCTGCCTACCTTGCAAGTTACTTCAAAGATTAAATGAGATAAAAATGGGAGGACATGATTTGAAAAACATAACAAAAATGCTAGTACACAAGATGCTGTCATCACTACCAACACCACTAACAAAGAAACTCAGAATGGCTATGTTCCAGCACTGACAGCCATCTTGACTGACCATCCTGTTGTCTCATCAAAGACCCTTGGTGTCCATTATGTGCTATGTATGTATTATGTATAAATTCAGTGAAACCCCACAAGAACCCAAACTCTTGGAGAGAGAAGCCGTGTAGATATGTGACAGTCCCTGCCATGACAAAGGGCAGTTACCTGCTTTTCAGTCATGGCCTGTTCATACTCAGCCTGCACCACGTCAAGTTCCGCCTGCTTGTCATCCAACTCGGCCTGGGCTTTCTGCAGATCCTGCATGGCCAGGAGATGGCGATTCTCTTGCACCACCAAGTTGGCCTGCACAGGACACACACAGAGTGAAGAGATGGGCAGCCAACCTCAAAACATCCTGCATTTCAGGGTCTGAGAACTCAGCTAACGTCACATGTTTATACCTTTGCTTTGTTCCCGCTCCAGAATCCTTTCAAATCACATTAAGTCCTGAACAAATCTTAATGTGAACTTGACATAAATGTGTATAAGCAGAAAGTTACACTTCATTAGAAAGGAGGTCAGCAAATATTTTCTTTAAAGTGCCAGATAGTAAATATTTTGGGCCAAGAGGCAAAATCAAAATTATTGTTCATGTACTTATTTTAAAACTATTTAAACATGTAAAACCTACTCTTATTTCACAAGCCATCCAAATATAGGTAGTGGGCTAGATTTGGCCCACAGGCCATAGTCTACCTAGATCAGAACACTGTAATATTAAATGTATATAGGTAAATTATAAAACATGCTAATATTGAGAGTTGTAGAAAAAAACAATATTTAGAACTATCTGCCTAGCAGGACTCATCACTGTTGAGGAGTAATAAAGGATGTAAAATGATTATTTACTGAATATAAATATCTACGTTTTGTGTATCGTGGTGGTCTTGACATTGTTCCTGTCACTTTCATATATTTCTTGCCTTCTGGAAAGCGTATTTGATACCTTGAGCTGTGACTAATTAAAAATGTTTATTTTAAAGAAGCTATTAAGATAGAATCAAAAGACTTAACCAAAAGCAATATTAGCAAAAGATGAGATGTAAAAAAGTAGTTCATGCCTAAGAAATTTAGATCCTTTAAAATCATTTTTGAAACCAAATTTTTCCCTTTTAAATTTATAAAGTGTTAATATTGACTTTCATGGGATGACTAGAAGGCATATTCTTTCTGAAGTATTTGAGAAAAGATTATTTTTAAAACACTTTTGAAATAAATTATTTTCCTATCTCAAAACTTCAGGCTTCCAAATTTTGGCAGAATAAATCTTTAGGGAAAAACTCAAGAGTTCCATAATTGACTAGATCCAGTGATGGGCAAAAGCATCGCTTGTAAGTTACAATTTAAAAAGAACCTGACTGGTGGAACATTTTTTCCTCAGCTCTGCTGTAAGCTGCAACTGTTCCCATGGCTCAAAACATGGAAGGAAAAAGTAAAGTCACCGTGTCAAGCAACTTACAACTTAAAGTCACCTGCTAATGACAAACTTTGCAAACCCAAAGATTTTGAACATTTTCTAGTACTTTACTCACCAATAAATAAATAAATAAAATTTATATTAAATGAAGCTGTCAACAATTGCTAATCAAAATCCTTCAAACCCAATTAATTGCTCAACTTAGGACTTGTAGAACTCTGTGCAGGCTGCTTAAACCCTGTGAGCTTCAGTTTCTTCATTAAAATATTGAAAAACTAACTCCTAGGACTTTTTATGAGGATTAAATAAGATAACATATGTAAAATCCCAAGTCTAGTCCCCGGCACATAACATGAGTTCAATAAATAGTAGATGTTGTTACTGTTATTATCTATGTTCAATATTTAAGTTCTGCTTTTTTATAACATTCTCTTTATATGTACTCATACTGATTTCCATAAAGTTTTCAAGGAGAATCTCATTATAAGGAACTTGAATAGAATCTAAATTGCTATTGCCGCTAATTCATACTTGTTTGAATTTATTCACTACTAGAAGTCACTTAGCCCAACTACAAGGATTGCAAGATGAAAGATAACAGCTCCTCAGTGTGTCCATTACTAATTAGTGTCTAAGAGATTCCACCTGGAATTTAGGGAATGCCCTTGACCTCTCCTCACTTAAGAAGCAGGGGTTTGCCAGTGAAGCCCCTCCAGGAAGAAGGGAAGTTAAAGTCGTAGGTCTGAATTTCTTAATATATTCAACAGAACCACCTGGTGACAATATGCACTCACTGCCTCTTCTACTCCTCCCTACACAGTGAATGCGGGTCTGTGTAACAGCATGTATTTTTCGGACTGACGTAAGAGGAACCTGACAAGCTGAGTGGTCCAAGATGCTAGATACTTGTAAGAATATAAGAGAACAGACTTCTCAGAAAGAAAAGCACAGGTTGTAGGAGTAAATAAAAAGGTTCCCACTACTGATAGTGTTCCCTTCACTTCCTACTGCAGGACCCAGATTGTCTTGAGACAAGCTGAAAGCTGAAATGTGGATGGCATTGAATACAGGGGAAGAGATCTCATTGTTCTTATGCAAGCCTTGTTCAGAATGTCCATGTTTAACAATTTCAGCTATGTACTTAAAATGACAACAATAACAGAAAAAAACTATGCATCATGAACTTAACTGTAGTTCTCTTTAAGACACTATGTGGCCGGGCACAGTGGCTCACGCCTGTAATCACAGCACTTTGGGAGGCCGAGGTGGGCGGATCACGAGGTCAGGAGATCAAGACCATCCTGGCTAACATGGTGAAACCCCATCTCTACTAAAAATACAAAAAATTAGCCAGGCATGGTGGTGGGCGCCTGTAGTCCCAGCTACTCGGGAGGCTGAGGCAGGAGAATGGCGTGAACCTGGGACGCAGAGCTTCCGGTGAGCTGAGATCAAGCCACTGCACTCCAGCCTGGGTGACAGAGAAAGACTCCGTCTCAAAAAAAAAAAAAAGACACTATGCATGGTTACCCACTGGAAAAGTATGCAAAGAATGACTGTACTTTTCACTTGATATAATGGTTCTAATTCAGTCAATATCAGATTGTCCATTTTTGAGCTATGCTGAAGTCTTCAATAGTCACAATATCCATGGTGTCAGACAGCATGACATCAATTATTTGCTCTGAAATTCTCGGACTCAAATGACTCTTTGTCCCTTTAGGTTGTCCTGGGACCTCAAGAGCCTCAATTGCTGAATATATGGTCCTGGTATCACAACAAGTAGAAACAAAATAGAACTTGCAACTCCATGCCTGTCTTCCTGATACTCTTGATTATTTGTATGATGATTGTTAAGTTTCTTGGGTAGTTAACAAGTGTAAGTAGAATGTAGTTGATGATTAAGAGAGATGAGACTCATACAAAAGCAAAATAATCAACCAAGCCATGAGATATGATTTTGAGACATCAGCATTTCATTTTCAAAAAACCCACTCTCCATTGCCTCTCCATTTGCTGAAGACTGACCTTTTAATGGTAGAGGAATATGCAAAAATGAAGCTTAAGGATTCAATTACACAAAGGAAATAAAAAGCATGTCTAAAAAGTCACATTAAATAACAAATATTCAGATATTCAGTTTCTTTCCTGAGAGACAAAACAAAAATGGAAAAGGGAGGAATACATCACGTCTTAAGCCAAGCTAAGACCAGCTTTCAGCATGTTCTGTCTTGACCCTACCTCACTCATAGGATTCTCTGGATAAAGATCTGAAATATCAGCAGAGGATTCTGTGCTACAGTTTGCAGCGTTTTTTGTTTGTTTGTTTTTGTTTTTTTCAAGTTAACATTGTGGAGGAAAAATATCGAGCAGCCCACAATGGACCTGTAGGGAGCATCCTTGTAGAGAGTCTGTCCCTGCTTAGAGGCTCATATGGTTCTGATTAGAACAGGATTACAAAGAAGAAAGAAACATCCCATGCTTGGCCTTTCTATGCTCACTCTCCCCATGGACCTGAGTATCCTAACACCAGAAGCCACAGGCACATGTGCTCCTGTAAAGATAAGACGGGTCGACCTGGAGACTCCGCCCAGCCACCTTCACCCAGGTCTGCCTAGCAGGCTTACCTTCAGAGGCAGTACTTCTTTGTTTATAGAAAAGAAGGAAGCCATAGCTTTCGTCCAGGAACAAAGACCAGCTACATTTCCACATACGCGTTTAGCAGTTTCGATGTTATAGTCAGGCATTTCAAAGTAAGGACTCAAAAATTCTATCACCTCTTCATTGATTGTGTCTTTTGGGAATTGCTATGGAAGAAAAGAGTAAAATAAAGTCGAAACACTTCTTTCCATAAAGTCATACTTGCATCATGCTCTCAATGCCACTGAAACTACTGAACGACCACAAATGAATGAAGGGCATCATATTTTGTCACTATTTTAAGATATGAGGCAAAAGTCCTAAAAGTAAAAATACAGTAAGAAATGACAGCAAAGAAGTCTGTTAGAGTACACTTTGTCTTCTGTAGAAAAGATACCAACCTTAAATAAATATAATGAGATCCAGGGAAAGAGTAAATTATTTAGGTGATGAACACTAATATTGTTATTAGAATTTCCAAAGCAATAAAGATTTTTTGTCATTAATCCTAAATGGATGAATTACAAACCCATAAAATCCACAATGAAAACTAAACACACCTAGGTGTATTCAGTCTGAGGATATACATATTTAGCATTTATCAGCAACTAAACGCTTAATACATTCAGACAGAAGTTTTATTAAACTCACCTAAAATGTGAAGATAATAACTTGGACATTAGGCTTTGAGGGTGATGAATTAATTTTTAATCATAGAACTATCAAGAATATGAGAGAATTATTATCTTCTGGTGGGATAAAAATTTAAAATAGTAGCAGAAATGAATTAAGAATGCCTTTCTGCATCACAAAAAGAAGACTGACCAAACAATGAAATTGGATCTTTTAAAAGTGGTGTTTGATCATTTAAAAGAGGATGATTAAATGTTTTCCAAGCGGAAAGAAATTTAGCAACTAAATAATTTAGTGACACAAACCTTCGCAGAACACATAATGTATAGTAGAACACACTCTCATTCAGACCTCGTTTAATGTAACTCATTTTTATGAGACTTGAAAAATTGTAACCCCAAAAAAAGCCAGATGAATGTCTGGGAGCAACAGAAGGTCAGTGGTGACAATGACAAATGCAAGGGAGAGTCCAAGAGCAGGGGCTTTGCCACCAGGTAAATGTCAGGAACGTGTAATCACTTGTCAGGATTCCATCCAAAGTCCAAGTCTATTGGCAGAGTCTCATATTATAATTATCTGGGACAAGTCTGTTTGGCCCACTAGTTTCATAAGCTACTTATCGTTATAGCTGCTGTGTGCACCTCACCACAGGCCCCAGACATAGCAGTCACTTGAGCAATGCTGAATTGAAAACCAAAAGAAAGATGGTGCTGAATTCACAACTTGGGAAATAGAGGTGGACTGGGTATTCCCAATTAGTTGTTTTGAGATTTGAACATGAAAGAAAAGACAATAAAGCTTCCAGAAGAAAACTAGAAATCTGCCTTGGATGTGGGCAAAGATCTCCTAAACAGAACATAGAAAGCACTATTAGGGAAAATATTAAGAAATTGGACTACATTAAACCTAAGAATTTCTGTTTATCAAAAGACACCATTAATCGAGGGAACAACTAACGCCAGAAAGCAGCAGAAAATATTTGCAAACATATAAATGACAAATTAGTCATATTTTACATATAAGGAAATTCTACAAAGTAATAAAAAAAATTAACTGGACAAGCAACTCCAACAGGCACTTAACAAAAGAATTCCCCAGAGGCTCATAAGCCTATGAAAAGGTTGGGAAATGCAAATTAAGCCAACAATAATAAGACACCACTACAAACTCATCAGAGTAGCTAAAAGAAAATGGTGAAGATGTTGAGCAACTTATACACTGCTGGTAGGTATATATATAGATACATCAGTTTTGAAAACTCTTCAGCACTGCCTACCAAAGCTGATTAAATGTGTATAACCAAAGTCCCAGAAATTCCACTCCTGAGTATGAAACCAACAGGAATGCATACCTAGAGCCACCAAATGACCAATATTCACAGCAGCTTGATTTATAATAGCCATAAATTAATACTAAGCCCAAAATTCATCAAAAGTACAAGGGACAAACAAAATGAAGCATATTATAGTGTTTCACACTGGTGCTGGTTCAAACAGGCTTGTAAAAAATGATTGTTAAATTTCCAAGAATTCTGCAAACTTGTTAGACTCCGCCATTATTAAAAATTAAAATATATAAGCTTACAATTAAATAAATGATATCTCAAACAAAGATTATAGTCAAAGCTCATAACTTGCTAATTCTTAGACTAAATTTGACTACCATCTGTGTTTTTGAGGTCATTTACAAGTATTGTATCTACATGGTGGAAACACTACACAGTGGCTGCTACCATGCACCTCTTCTCAACTCTAGATTCAGCAACATCATTTTGGCAGCTTAAAACAGCCATCATGGGAGTGCTTACACTATGGCAAGACTTCAAATTAGAGCTTTTTTTTTCTTTTTTTTGTTTTCCTTTCTCCCTTAAGAATCAGTTGTTAAACATTTCTCACACACAGTACAGCACATTTATATACTGGCAAACTATATAACAATGAAAAAAGAAAGACTGTCATTTGCAACAATAAGAATGAATTTCACAGACATGTTGAATGAAAGAGGTCAAAACAAAAGTGTTCATACAATATTATTTCACATATGCAAATTTCAAAACAGGCAAAGCTAATTATCTGGATAAAGGTAAGGATATAATTATCTTAAGGAAAGTTATTGACTTGGTTGGGGCACAAGAGAGATTTCTGGGGTCTGAAAATATATATTTTTCTTCCAGTGTTCACAAATAGGTATATACATATGTAAATATTCATCAAGTTATACATTTAAAATTTGTGCATTTATTCATGTTAAGTTCTATCTCATAAAATTAAAAAAGCTGTAAATTAATACTAAAAAATTACTGAGAAATGCAAAATACAAATATTTGTATTCATGTGAATATAATATAAATACATACTTATTGTCTTCTTAAAATGATTTTTTTAACTTTTATTGAAGTATACATAACACTGATGATGCTTTAATACAACTAAAATCTGTCAGGAAAAACTCTAATGCTTATAATGTTTTATATTTGAGACAAAGTTTTACTCTGAAAAAATCATGTATGTAGAGTAAGTTCTTTTTTTAGAAACTTATTCTACGAAAAGGACTCATACACCAGTGAAGAATGAGTTCCCTCTTAGCCCATCACCACTGAACTACCAACCTGTAAGTTCTGTAAAAAGTTCCCTGCAGTCATCAATTTTAAGGATTCCTGCCAGGAGGGCATGGTACAGCTTTTTTCCAGGTCAATTTTCACAGCACTGACTTTCCTTTGAAACAGCAGCAGTACGCAATCCATGATCCGCATGATGAGGTGAGGGGGGCGGCCCAACGTGCGAACAGTGGCGATGTCCGAAGGCCTGATGGTCTGGGGGATGAAAGGAACGATCACCCAACCACAGATAGGAAAGCACAGACAAGCAAACCTTGCATGTCCAAATGCTGCTATTTCAACAGAGGACAGAAAACTGTTTTAAGTTAGATGCAGGCCACAGGGTCTAGATGCATATTTAATCCCAAAGAAACACCATGTCCCAACAAGTTCACATTTCTACTATTCAAACTAGCAGTGACAGGAAAGAAATGTTGGCGAGCAGATAAGGAGCTGTGACTTCTCTAAAAGTGCACAGATGGCTTTGTGCCAGAAAAAAGAAAGGCATAATCTGAAAGAAAAAGAATAGTCAGCACATAAGTAGATTTCGAGGTTCAAAACCAGGAAAATTACAGTATTTGTGGTGCTTTTTTACTTATTAGCTATGTAGGTCAAGAATCTGCCTCTCTCTCTTAAACAATTCAGGCTCGTCACTGTGGACTGACACCAGAGGGTAGCCACAGGGCTGACAGATTGAATAATTAGAGGTTTCTTAGCTAGGAACTGACCTTTAAATGACGGGACTTGAGCAATAAGAATTTTACTAAGCTCTCTCTTAGAAAAGTTCCATTCCATTTCTAGTATGTATACACTTATAGAGTAAATGATTTAATAGTCACATACACCTGTTTTGGTTGATAATAACTGCTCAATCACCTAAAACTCACTATGGAATAAGTATTGAAAAAGTGTTAAATGTAAGAATTGGAAACAATCCTATCTCTAAGACAAATAGTATATATTCCTTCCTTCCAGATCTTCAAAACATCCATCTGGTTTGTATTTGCATCCTTTCTATCAAAAGACAGTAACCAATGACCTTCACATAAAAGTGAATGATTTTTTTCTCCAAGGACTGAGGACAAAGAAAAAACACTAAACTTGGTAAATTAGGAATGTAATTACATACCTTGAAAAGGTTTGTATATATATATAGTTTTGCTTTTGTTTTTTATTTTGAGACCTGAGTCTCACTCTGTCACCCAGGCTGGAGTGCACTGGCGTAATCTCAGCTCACTGCAACCTCCCCCTCCCAGGTTCAAGTGATTCTCGTGCCTCAGCCTCCTGAATAGCTGGGACTACAGGCACACACCACCATGCCGGGCTAATTTTTGTATTTTTAGTAGAGACAGAGTTTCACCATGTTGGCCAGGCTGGTCTCAAACTCCTGACATCAGGTGATCTGCCCACCTCGGCCTCCCAAAGTACTGGAATTACAGGCGTGAGCCAGCATGCCCAGCCTGTTTTAATATATTAATACTAGCAGTTATGAAAGCCAGACAGCTGGAAGTTAGGGTGAATGTGTAGTAGAGAACTGAAAATGGCAAACAGACCTTTATTTGAGGTGCACAGTTATAAAAGAAAAGAGAAAAATAGAACAGCAGCCAGTGAGGAAAGTAGGGTAGGGTCAAATTAAAGTTATATAAAATGTAAGGGCTAGGCATGCTTACTTTACTTTAGCTTTAAAAATAATTTTCAAACAGCATGGTGCTCAGCTGTGTTAGATGCCCAGGTAAAAGAGGTTGGAGAGGGGAACAAAAACTCAACCTGTTTCACCTAAGCATTAAAGTCCTCTCTTTTCTGCAGGCCAAGAAATATGACTGTTATATAATCTCCTATATGCTGTGGCAATAGAACAGTTATCTAACATCTGGAGGTATTTTTTATTTTTGCTCTGAGCTGGTTAAAGTCACATTAATATCAAGATAGGAAGAGACACATTCTTTGCACAAGATTTGTTGTCTTATTTGTTGTATGGATTTATGTAACCTGATGTCAAAATGTTAAGAGTTTGTACATACCTGGAACTTTCTTAGTAAAAGTGAGTCTTCAAAACTGGACCAGCCTTTAAGGTGTGGCCTAGTTCACTAAACTCATTTCATTTTCTCAAAATCCAACCTCTTTTGTAATTTTGCCATTGGTGTATTGCCACATAGTTTGATATGGTTTAGCTCTATGTCCCCACCCAAATCTCATCGCAAACTGTAATCTCCACATGTCAAGGGAGGGACCTGGTGGGAGGTGATTGGATCATGGGGACAGTTTCCCCCATGCTGTTCTCATGATGGTGAGTGAGTTCTCAGGAGATCTGATGGTTTCAAAGTGGCAGTTTCCCCTGATCTCTCTCCCGCCATCTTGTGAAGAAAGTGTCTGCTTCCGTTCACCTTCTGCCATGATCGTAAGTTTCCTGAGGCCTCCCCAGCCATGCGGAACTCTGAGTCAATTAAACGTCTTTTGTTTATAAATTACCCCGTCTCAGGTAACATCTTTATACAGTGTGAACACAGACTAATACACAATTGTACTGTTTAATTGCGTTGGAAGCCTGCTCAAACTCTCTCATTAATGTGCTACATCAGACCAGCAGCTCTCTATTTGGGTAATTCATAGACAGAAAACGTCGTATCTTACAGATCACCTACTCCATTGGCCTCAATGAATGAATGAGAGAATGTTGCCTTAGAAAGTTGATGTAACTTTTCCAACATTACATAGCTTATTGATGACAGAGTTGAAATGAGGACCCAGGACTCTTGGCCACCAGTATATGGCATTGCCCAACATTGATGAGTGAAGAGTGTGAGATGTTAAGCAGAACAGGCAAAACCTATAAAGAGCTAATAAAGTCTCAAGCAGAAAATATTACTTGAAATCACTCAAGTGGATAGAGCTTTCATCTGAACCAGTAGAGCATTTCCTTGCTGTTATTCATCTTTTTAGCATTAGTCTGCCTCTTAAGCCCTAAAGCTGACATCTGTTATATCACATAGATGCACCTGCAATGCAGCTTCTGCCTCTTCTAAAGCTGGTTTTGCTGCTTCCAGTTTTTCTTCAGCAATGGCTTTGTCTTTAGAGATGCTGTCCACAATGGCCTGGGCCCTGTCCTTCACCTTCTGTACCTCAGCCTTGACCTTTTCAGCAGCCTGTGCTTTCATTGTCACTTCTTTTAAGACCTAATTCAATATAAAGCAAGCAATACTTCACCAAACAGTATTAAACATCCAGCTGAAAATGCACATTTTTGCCTTGATTTGTTGATTTTGTTCACTTACCCAGTTTTGTTGTTTTTTTTTTTTTTTTTTGAGATGGAGTCTCGCTCTGTCGCCCAGGCTGGAGTGCAGTAGCGCGATCTTGGCTCACTGCAAGCTCCGCCTCCTGCACTTACCCAGTTTTTTATACATAAAATTAAGAGTATTTTATTCCAATGGAAGTTAATGTATACTTCACTAGTTATAGCCAGTGAATATGCATAGATCATTAACACTTGTGAACTGAGAATTCAAAAGGAATGTGGCACATGTGTAAATGCCCACCCACCATGTCGGCTTTATCGTTGGCCACTTGTAGCTCCTTTTCTTTCGCTTCCAGTTCTTTACTCAAGGCTGCAACAGACTCTGAAGCTTCTTTGAGCTTTTCCAATCCAGTATTCATTCTGGGATTGAAAATCCAAGCAAGCAATGTTAAAATGTGTAGGACTTGGATGCAATTCTCAAGTACTGGTCCAATAATGAGTGGTAATGGTTATATCTGAAGATTGCATGTATGCAAGTAGCAAACCCAAGAGGGCTTAGCAAAAAGGATACAGATCCAGTCTTGACTCTAGACTGATAACATGTATGTTCTTTACAGACCACGTGCAAGAACAGCGAACCTGCTAGAACACACGACATGAAATTAGGAACGACAGTAAGGCTAGAATCTGTATCACGAAGGAAACATACTTAATGACATTAGGCTAAATGACAATAGACTTCAAATGCTTAAAGCTCAGTCATGCAGGAAGGAAAATAATGCCTGTTTTTCAAAAGAGACATATGAAGTCAAAAGAAGAATGATGTGGGCTTAAGAAACCAATTTAAAGCCATCAGAACAGCTGTAGGAAGGAACTAGCTGCCTGCCTGAACCTGAAATAACGTGACCATAGAGATGGGAACCCTCCGAGTCATTTCGTGTAACTGCCCACCCAGGGATTCCTTACTCTGGCTGATTCTAGCCACGCTCAGGAAGATGATCTGATCAGAAAAGCATAGGGCAGAGCAGTGACATTTGGAAGAAACTTCAGGGAAGCAGGGATACTCCTTAGGCAGTGAA